>NC_000012.12:96210128-96835128 GCF_000001405.40 Homo sapiens
GTATGAGGGTCGGGGGGCCAGATGCCCACTGGGGATTTGAGAGCTCATTAATTTAAAGCTCAAACTGAAAGACAGTTTGTAAGATCCTAGTAAGTTTCACTGACTGCGGAACAGCCTGTTTTTTTCGGGGCATGTTGTGGTCCTCCATGAAATCCTAAACACTGCTTTCTTAGAACCTGAAACAGGCTTCCCTAGAGGTGTTTCTTTTTAAAGGAAAGTTTTGGAGGCACTGCTGGGTACTAGGGACCTTGCCAGATCCTGTCATGCACGGTTTCCCTGGGATTCCAGCCTGTCCCTATTCACACTTGAAGTGCTTCTCATGATTCGTTTCGTGATGTGAGGTGCATGCATGTTTGGGGCCCCTCTTGGGCTAGGCTAGCTCACTTCTGTTTCCTCTGACTTTCATCCTGTTCCACCGCCCTGCGCGCGGGCGCACGCACACACACACACACACACACACACACACACACCCCGAGTGGGAGGTCCAGGGGCACCGACTTCCAGAACACGCAGCTTCTCAACGGCCCACTTGTATCGAGAACCACCCTTGCTTATTTAGTGTTGGGTGAACCTTGAACCTATTTAAACCACGATACAGATCTTTGAAAGGAGGGCACTGGTTAACAAAATGGTGGATGGGGTGGATTCAAAGATTCTTTCTTGAAACAACCCAACTGGAGCAGCTGGAGACACAGATGAGGCAACACCAGAAATGAACAAGGAAATGTCCTGATTTGATTCCTAGTAGGAATGTATTTCCCACGCATTACAATGAGACGTTTCCCTTAGCAGCAGTGAAGTGTGCATATGAGAAAAGAAGCCTCTACTGGGGGCATATGCGCGTTGATTAAGAACCTGGACTTTGGAGCCAGATGCCCCTGGATATGAGGCTCTGTTGGCCCATTTTACCCATGTGGCCATGAGTGTCTTATTTCACCTTTCGAAGTCATAGTTCCTCGTGGGCACAGCCAACTGAGAGTATTAAATTTAGACAGCATGTATAAAGCACTCAGCACAATTCCTGGTACATAGTAAGTGGTCATCAAATTTAATTGCACTAAAAAGAAAAGCTCCTATTTAATAAAGTAATGGATTTCTTTAGGTATGGGCGCTGTTCTTCAGAATTCCATGGGATCTCAGCATTGCTGGTGGTGGAGGATATATTAATAGCTAACGTTTTCTTAGAACAGTGCTCTTAATTTGAAATTTATAAGTTATTTTTAGAGTTTTATAAATCCTGGTGAAATTATGTGTATTTTGTATAGCTGTATATTTTTCCTAGAGAATTTTAGATTGTCAGAAAGGTCCATGGACCAAATATGTGAAGAGGAAACTGCCCTGGGGATGTCATTGTGTGTTTGTGTGTGTGTGTGTGTGTGTGTGTGTGTGTGTGTGTGTATCAGTTTTATGTATGTGAATATATTTTAGGTTGAATATATGAGATTGCTGGTATTTAACTAGTTTTGATCTCTAAAAAGAATAATTTCTTACAGTTCAACTTAATAGTTGTGATATTATGAAACAATTTGAAATATATCACAATGTGATATTTATAATGAAATATGATTGTAGCTTATTTTTGTACGTTATTTATCAAAGCCTAGCAAGTTAAAATTCATCAGGCAGCCTTGGACCACTAGTAACCATATTTACCTAAAATAACTTGTGCTTTTCCATTGACCTTAATCACAGGAAATACAAAATAAAAACTTTTCTGTGTCCAGTATTATGAAACAGTCTTTAATTTTCATTGTGGATTTATTAATAGCTTTATTACATCTAATGAATCATTTTTCTGATCCAAATGACTACTGTTTAGGAGAATCTGCTTAGTATTTTTTCCCTGTTGAATTCACAATGTTAATTACTTTGGGGAGGAACAAAAATTCTGAGTTTTCTTGGGCGATAAGAACCTCAGTGTTGTTTCAGAAGGCAGAGTTGGGCTGCAGTACTGAAGGTTAAAACAGAGCTAAAACACAAGACAAAATGAAACCAGAGCTGCAGTGACAAAGTGGGACAGATGTAGGAGGCCAGGTTTCCTGTGGCCCATTTTCCAGTTTCCTGCCTGCAACCTGCAGAAGAAGAGGAAGCTGAATGTTACCAAGTATGAGAACTGCGGGACGTGCTTCAAGCTAGAATTAAGAGAATGCAAACAACACAGGCAACAAAAACAATTGCAAAGAAAGTGAATGTTCAGGTTTTAGTCCAAAAATGTCTGGGAAGGAACAGCCCATCTGTTTAAAGAAAAAGCATTGTCAGCAGAGCTTGTCCTTCCATGTGAGACTCTGAGGGGGCCTAGGGACTGCCTCAGGTTGTAGGAACCTCTGTTTTTTATAGCCCCACTCATCTTTCAAGACATGGTCTGCTGTTTTAATACAGAAGGTTACCTGAAAAGATTTTCCCTGCAATTCCCAGGACTTCTAAATCTGTTTCCTGGGGATGTTGTTATAGGGGGGAGGTGGATGTGGTTAACCAAGCAGCTCTAATGAACGGCAGCCTCAATTTGGGAAGGCCGGGTGACCAGTTGGCTGCTTTGATCTAGGAGGCTTATATTCCTTTAACCACCCAATAAAATTTTTGTCTGATGTTTTCAAAGAAGAGATTAAATGAAGATGTGTGTGTGTTGAAGACTGCATAGTGCACACTCTGTGTGGCTACCGGTGAGCCACGTGGCGGGATACAGGACTCAAAGAAGATCACACTGGAGAAGGGAGTGAGTTCATCTTTCTCGCGGGGGAGGGGGAAGCAAAATAAAATTATTTTTTCTAGGCTCTTTAGCTCATTTTGGAAGAGTCTGTGAAGTCAGATCTTACAATACCCATCTTAGAGAAATCGAGAGCCAAAGAAATTGTGATTCATTACACACCTTTTAATTGAGTACCTATTGTTTGTCAGGGGCTGTGTTGGAAGTGCTGGGTAATGCAAGTGAAATGATGGCTAAAAATAAATAGCTGTTTATGTGTTGTGGAAGGCTTCATATAAGGCATATACGAAGGGGGCATAGAAACCTTGTTGAAGGTTTAAAACATATATAAGCCTTTGGCGCAGTGCCATGCTTTTTCCACACACCATCTCATTTAAATTGCCTTGCTGCTTTGTGCTACAGAGAAATAGGGTGTGCTTCTGGGACAATCAGTTATTTCTTTACCCTGCAGATTGACCACCTCTTCTTCTCTAAGCCCAGAAAGAACAAACTCTATCCCAGGAATCTTAAAAAGTTTTGGACTGTTAGGGATCAAGAGGTACCCACACGAGGCAGCCTTGGATGGAAATAGGCCCTTTTCTGTCTTACTGTGGGCCCGCTCTGAAAATGTAGGATAACATAGGGCTGGGTTGTATGGTGGTTATTAGGGTGGGGTGCGGTGAATTCTGTGGGAAAAAGTCGAATGGTTGTAAGACATTTTCTCAGCCAGTGTTAACGAAGCCATCATTTACTACTCACCCATATAAAAGTCACTGACAAACCAATTGAGTTACTTCTAATTTAGCCAGAGACAGCATAGTTCCAGAAGGAAAGAGGGGTGTTCCTACACACAGTAAATTGCATATGTTGTTATTTCAGTGGTTGTCAGTGATTTCCTCTGAAAAATCTCTCTTTTTTTTTGTTTTGTTTTTGAGACAGGTTCATGCTCTGTTGCCCAGGCTGGGGTGCAGTGATGTGATCACAGCTCACTGCAGCCTCAAACTCCTGGGCTTAAGTGATCCTCCTGCCTCAGCTCCCCAAGTAGCTGGGACTACAGGTATGTGTCACCACATCCAGCTAACTTTTGTGTTTTTTGTGGGGATGGGGGTCTCGTGTTGCCCAGGCTGGTCTTGAACTCCTAGGCACAAACTGTCCTCCCTCCTCGGTCTCCCAAAGTGCTGGGATTACAGACATGTAATCCGTTCATTAAAAACCCAGTAATCCTTGCATTGTGCTAGATATTACATTGTGCTAGATATAACATGTACAGGCATGTAATCCCAGCAACCTTTCTCTTTCCCAAGATGGAAGAGTTATTTAAAAAACATTGCAGACTGGGCCAGACACGGTGGCTCACGCTTATAATCCCAGCACTTTGGGAGGCCGAGGTGGGTGGATCACCTGAGGTCAGGAGTTTGAGACCACCCTGGCGAACATGCTGAAACCCTGTCTCTACTAAAAATACAAAAATGAGCCGGAGGCAGTGGTGTGCGCCTGTAGTCCCAGCTACTCGGGAGGCTGAGGCACGAGAATCACTTGAACCTGGGAGGCGGAGCTTGCAGTGAACCGAGATCACACCACTGTGCTCCAGCCTGGGCGACAGAGCAAGACTCTGTCTCAAAAAACAAAACAAAACAAACAAACAAAAAAAAAAACAGCAAAAACCATTGCAGACTGTAAAGAGTAAGTAAATAGGTGAGCAATACCTACTTTTGTTTACCTTTTTTAAAATGAACAATTTGTAGATATTCACAGAATGCAAATACTTGTTAATAAATGAAAAGCTTGGGAGACATGAAGTTGGCCTCATGCCTTTTTTATACACAGTGATAATGATCAAAATAATTTAAATGTCCTTTGAAAATAAATTTAATAGTCTTCCAACTCACAGAAATAATAAAAAACTTCAGAACTTGTATAAGTTTTTTTTTCAAATATTATCCTTATTTACTTAATACCTTACACTTACTCTGTGCTGAGTTATTGCAGATCCCTAATAATATAAAATGTTGTCTTCCAGTTCTTTGACTGAGGTACAGGGTTCATTTTCTATAATGAAATGGCTACTACCCTTTGTCTTAGACAATGATAGTATCATGACATGGAAATGCATAGCAGATACTGGCAGAGGAGTTGAACTCAGCAGAATTTTCAGTAAGAAGTGTTCAAATCCATCTTCATTTCTCTAACCATGCAAAATTTAACAAACGAAAAAAGACATGGGTACCTCATGAGCACCTATTTTGTTTATTCCTTACCCAGAAGTTTTTCTCCTTTTCTTGGGCTCTCATTGCCTTTTTTTTTTTTTTAAGTTGCCTCGTTTCTTATTTCCCACCACATAGAAGCTTAAGAAAATCAAAGCTAATTCTGCCCCCTCAACTCCCACCTCAGTAAAAATGAAACAAGGAACATGCAAAGGGAAGTGCTAGGTTGCCATCAGTAGAAAGAAGAACAAATAAGTGGGCATTTCGACTTCTAAGAATGGAGGCAAAAACCTCATACTTTGCATAAGGGGTCTGTGCGGCCCTTGCTCACATTAAGACGTCGGGCGCCACCTTGTGGCCGACAGGAAGGAGGTCAGCTTCCAAGAAGAGGCCAGTAGCTTTTCGGTGACAGAGGCAGGAGGCAGCTGGGACACCTGAAGCTGGGATCGTGTCATGTGACCTGACAGCTCTCACGTAGGCGGAGGCGGGCACAGCGTAATGAGAATGATCAATATTTCTGTCAATAGCATCTTTCTTTTTGAGGCTCCGTCGGATTAAAGAATGAATCAAAGTTAAATAAAAACATGGGAAAGACTAAAGAGGGACATAAAACCTTTTTTTTTTTTTTTTTTTTTAAAGAGAGATGGTCTCGCTCTGTCACCCAGGCTGGAGTGCAGTGGTGCAATCACAGCTCACTGCAGCCTCTACTTCCCAGGCTTAGGCGATCCTCTCACCCCAGCCTCTTGAGTAGCTGGGTGGACAGGCGCGGACCACCAGACACAGCTAATTTTTGTATTTTTTGTAGAGATGGGGTCTTACTCTTGCCCAGGCTGGTCTCGAATTCCTGGGCTCAAGCGATCCACCCACCTCGGCCTCCCAAAGTGCCAGGATTACAGGCGTGAGCTATCACGCCTAGCCTCAAAACTGTTTTCATAACTGCATTCTTTAAGTGCAAAAAGCTGAAAACAGAATAAGGGCAGAAAATAATCACTCAGAGTCTGCAAAAATGTCCCTCCCCTCTGTGCCAGAGGTCAAGCGTTTTACTCTCGGCCTCTCTACTCTGTGTCTTTTGCCCTGACCAGCCCGTGAATGCCCTCCTGTAGGGCCCCATCTGCAGCGGCTATGAGCGGTGTTGTCATCATTGTCCCTTGGCTTGTCATTTAGAACATCTTTCTTTCTTCGCTATCTGACCCAACAGCTCTCATGTACTTGACTCTCCTTCCTGCTCCAGAGAAACCACATAGATGGGAGCCGAATGTACCCCAGGGAAGGAGAGAGCCCCAGGGACCCTCTTTGCTGAGGTCACACAGCTTGGAGGCCTCAGGGTCAGCATTTAAACCAGTGTTTGTTAAGCTGGAGTCGGAGAATCAGTGCCCTAGCATCTGAGTTTTCTGCAAGCATTTACGATTTTTTGTGCTTTCATATTTGATGATAGACTACAAAACAGAAGCATACTCCAAGTCACCTTATAAACCACAGTCGCCATGTGGCTGAAGAGTCTCCCTGGATTTCAGTGCCTGTGTGGGGCTCATTGCCTAATGGACAAAGAGCCCAGGTGGGTGCTGTAGCTACACAATGCCTTCTAGCCTGGTGAAGGCCATGTGACTCCACAGCAAGCTCTGTGAGGAGGATTCCCTGTAGCTTAAAAGGTAATTGTAGTTAACATTTAAATAGCACTTACTTTGCCCCAGGTGTAGTTTAAGTGCATTATTAGTAACTTCTGTAACTCTTACAACAACCCTGTATGATATGATACTTTTATCATATCAGTCCCATTTTACCTATGAGGATACTGAGGCACAGAAAGGTTAAGTAACTTCCCCAAAGTCCCACAACCAGACAGGACGAGTCTTTGCTGTTGAACCCAGAGAGTCAGGTGCCAGAATCTGCGCTTACCTTCCAAATAGACAAAAGTGCTTCACTAGCACCTGCTTTGAGTTATAGAAAATAGCTAAACAGCTGGATGCGATGGCTCATGCCTGTAATCCCAGCACTTTGAGAGGCTGAGGCAGGAGAGTTGCTTCAGGCCAGGAGTTGGAGACTCCTGAGCAACATACAGAGATGGTCTCCACAAAAAATTAAGAAATGAGCAGGGCGTGGTGGCACATACCTGTAGCCCAAGCTACTTGGGAGCTAGAGATGGGAGGATTGTTTGACCCCAGGAGGCTGAGGCTGCAGTGAGCCAAGATCGTGCCACTGCACTCCAGCCTGGCTGACAGAGTGAGACCTAGTCGAAAAGAAAAGAATTATGCTTCAGTGAAAAACTGCATTCTTGACTCTAGAGAAGACTCCCTCCGGATGATGTGATTCTGATTTTTTGGAAGGTATTTTACAACGTTGTTGACTATAGGTAACTGATCATGAAATAATTCTCGTCTATAGACAGCCAAATTCTGTCTTACAGAGTGCCATTGACTCCCACCCCTAGTTTTGCCTCCATTTAAGCATTTATTTCAATGTTCTTCTTCTATAAATGCCTCTATTATTCAGATGCTTTTTTGAACTCATTATAACGTCTGCCTGGTTCCCTACTGAATTATGAGTGAAATAAAATCTCGAACGTGTTCATTTTGATATCTGTATGAGAGCCATGATTTAACCCTCTTTTGAAAATTATTTTTTAACAAACCAATTCCTCAGCTGGGCACAGTGGCTCACACCTGTAATCCCAGCACTTTGGGAGGCCGAGGCGGGCAGATCACCTGAGGTCAGGAGATCGAGACCATCTTGGCCAACATGGTGAAACCCTGTCTCCACTAAAAATACAAAAAAATTAGCTGGGCGTGGTGGTGCGCACCTGTGGTCCCAGCTACTTGGAAGGCTGAGGCAGGAGAATCGCTTGAACCCGGGAGGCAGAGGTTGCAGTGAGCCGAGATCGCACCACTGCACTCCAGCCTGAGGGACAAAGAGAGACGCCGTCTCAAAAAAAAAAAAAAAAAAAATCATTTGTCAACACTGAGAACGAAAATCACTTTTCCTCCTCCTCCTTTAAAGGAGGTATGCATATGATTCACGTTTGACAAGCTGCTCTAAATCATCTAACTTCACTCTACCATGGCAGATCACAGCTCTGCATTACAAAGGGAAAGGAGTTGGGGCAAGTAACAGGTGGTTTTGCCCTCTGGAGTAGGAGTGGGTGGACCTCAGCCCCCTGTGACCATGGTCCTGGTCAGTGCTGGTAGAAATGGTGAGAGACCAGCCAGAGACGGGAAGGCCCTGCAGGCTGCAAGGTTGAGGTGAGGTCAGAGGAATCCAGAAAGTATCAGATGTGAAGGGGGCACCTCTTCCTGTAAGAGCAGCAATGCCTTTAAAAGCAGACTGATGGGCCTCAGTATGAAAGCACAGAGTTCGATTCTGCAAAAAGAATGGCATTAAAATACCTGATAAAATTTTGTACATTCAAAATAAGGTCTGATAAGGACGGGAATAATAGACTGGGGACTCCAAAAGTGGGGAGAGAGGGAGGGAGTGAGGGCTGCCAGATTACCTGTTGGGTGCAGTGTTCGCTATTTGGGTGGTGGGTATGCTAGAAGCCCAATCCCCGCCATTATGCAGTATACCCATGTAACAAACATGCATGTATACCCCCTGAATCTTAAAAAAGTGGGGGTCTAGGCAGGGGAAAGATAAGCATTTTTTTTTTTTTTTTTTGAGACAGAGTCTCGCTCTGTCACCTAGGCTGGAGTGTAGTGGCGCGATCTTGCCTCACTGCAAGCTCCACCTCCTGGGTTCACGCCATTCTCCTGCCTTAGCCTCCCGAGTAGCTGGGACCACAGGCGCCCGCCACCACGCCTGGCTAATTTTTTGTATTTTTAGTAGAGACAGGGTTTCACTGTGTTAGCCGGGATGGTCTCGATCTCCTGACCTTGTGATCCGCCCGCCTCGGCCTCGCAAAGTGCTGGGATTACAGGCGTGAGCCACCGCGCCCGGCCAAGATAAGCATTTTCTCATTAGATAAAGGGAATTTTAAAAAAAAGATTTCTAGCATGCCTTTTATGTGTTCTACATTTTTGAAGCTCAGAGTGGTGGGAAATCAGCTAAGTAAAGTTAGGCAGATGAAACATTTTAACTTAGAGCAGGCCTCCATGTGCATAATAATCTATCAAACATAAATCTCAAGTACCACCACTTTTTCAATTGTTGATTTAATAAAAGCCACAGTGTACTGTCTGAATTACTCACATTCCTTAAAGTGGCATCCAGATAAATGGGCTTTATTGTACCTGCCTGTTAAGACATTGGACTTCATTAAGGATTCTAGGTATCAAGGAATTAATTTAGAAAAAAAAATCGTTTAAATTTTTTTTCCGGTGAGAGAGATACTCATATAGATGAGTTTACGAAAATCTGTAGTGTTAGCGGTTATTGGAAGGGCGTACCTCCCAGCATGATGGTACAAAGTCTGTGTTTTCCAACACCCCAGAGGGCAAAATTTCCAACTGGCAGAGGCGCAGTGGAATGTACAGTGTGATTGTATGTGAAAATAGTTGTGTAAATTATGAAACTTGATCTCATAGTTAAACTACGTCGAGTGGAACGAAAACAATATGGAGAGCGCTGTGGCAGCTGGTGGCCCACTGCCCACCTGTCCCCCTACCCAAACCTCTGCCACAGACAACCACGCATTTTCATCATGCAGATGGCTCTGGCCAGAGAGGATGGTGGGTCCCAGAGCTGCCTGGGGGCTCCACGATACCCCAGAGTGACTTCTGAGCGTAGACAGGAGTGACTGATCTTTGTAGATGCAATGATAAGCTCACAGGAAAGTAGTTTTTCGACTTAGCTCTGAGTAATGTCTGGCTGCGATTTCCACCGGGAAGGCTACATGACTGCCCAGTCATCGAAACTGGTGGATCCACCAGGTTGAAGGAGTGGCTCAAGAGAGCGCGAGAAGAGGAGAACGAGGCCCTCAGCACGGGGCGAGGCTGGGCATGCCTCAGACAGGAGAGGCTGGAGCCCTTAGTCACCTCCGCCGGAGCAGTGTTGCGCATAGCAACCCCTCTGAGTAATCCTCTGATGATCCCCTGTGCCTGCAGCTGCCACCCAAGCTCTGCAGCTTGGTTGAACTGTGGGGGCATTTCTGTGATTCCTAGTGAACAGCTCTTGCCTTCTCTAGGCGAGTTCCTTTATTCCAGAAATCTGGGAGGCCCTGAAGCAGTAGGTCCCCATCCCCACCACTGCTCCTCTGCCTGTTCCCTTTCTACTCTTTCACCTGTCCTTTTTGTCCTTTTTCTTTCTTTCTCTCCTTCTACCTTTGCCTGAGGTTATGGCCATAGCACCCATGGCTGCCACTTAGCCCATGTGTGGCCTCTGAGTAAAAATGTGATCAGCCGATCCCTCCACACCTAGTAGCATACTTTTTCGTGATTTTTTTTTTTTTTTTTTTTTTGAGATGGAGTTTCGCTCTTGTTGTCCAGGCTGGAGTGCAGTGGCGCGATCTTGGCTTACTGCAACCTCTGCCTCCTGGGTTCAAGCTATTCTCCTGCCTCAGCCTCCCAAGTAGCTGTGATTATAAGCGCGGGCCACCACGCCCAGCTGGTTTTTTGTATTTTTAGTAGAGATGGGATTTCATCATGTTGGCCAGGCTGGTCTTGAACTCCTCCTGACCTCAGGTAATCCACCTGCCTCAGCCTCCCAAAGTGCTGGGATTACAGGCGTGAGCCACCACAGCCGGCCTTTCTCATGATTTTGAACACAAGCTCTAGAGCATAAAGATAACAGCACCCCAGCAAAGGGAGAATTTTTTTTTTAAACAAAGACATCATGTATTTTAATAGTCAGCTTTTGCTGCAGTGGTGCTGTGTAACCAGTTGCCCCAAGATCACTGGCTTACAGTGGCATTTATTTTTCTCACAAGTCAGTGTCACGGATGCTGCTTCAGATGATGGGCGGGTGGGGCTTGGCTTCGGACTTTGGGTTGAGTTCAGGTCACCTCCATGTGTCTCATTCTGGGGCAGCAGCTTCCTGGCAGCATAGCACAGGAGGAAAAGTGCCAACTTATGATGCCTCCAAGACCCCAACTCGGCAATGGGATGCTGTCACTTTCCCGTGTCAGTCTCCTGGCCAAATGCAATCACATGGCAAAGCCCCAATGTCAGCACTCCTCCCACAGCCACTCCAGTGCAGGGCTACACAGTCACCTAAGGAGAGGGCAGTTGAGAACATTTAACAAGTCTGCCATATGGGTTCTCATAAGTCATGCCCAGAACATGGTCTCTGACACATGGGGTTGGATTGCAATGAAAAGTGATTCTGTGATGCACAAGAAGCTCCGAGGAGGCCAGGCAGGTGGAAATGCTAAGTGTAGTAAAATACATGGATAGATGTTTCTGCTGCCCTCCTGTCCCATTCGGAACGTGATGTCAGTTAAAAGTGGGGGGTGGCGGTGGCCGACCACTTTCCCACCTGGCATGTGAGCAGAGGCCCCACAGTCCCTTCCCTGCAGACCTCCAAACCCACCGGCAGCCTTCTGCCCTCAGGAGCAGATTCATCTGAGCAGGCACTTAAAGTTTCAAAGATATGTTAAAGCTGACTGACTGACATGTTTGGCCAAGAAAATCTCAAGAATTTGCGACAACTGTTAGCCGTTCTTAGTGCCAGTGAAGAGAAGAAAGTTGTGGCTCATATCCAAGTCATCAGAAGGGTGGTTCATAGGAGGAGTTGGGACTCGTCAGCTGCCATGCATCCCAGCAAAGTGGGGGCTTGCAAGATTTGTGAGATGCAGAGGTGGTTTTGACCCAGCAGTGAAATGACTGTCTTACAGACCATTGTGGTTAATACTGATTTCTGTAAAGAATATCCCCTTTAAAGAGCCCTAAATAAAATGCCCTGTGGGTAATTGGAGAGCACTCCTAGTCTACTTTCCTTTAATTGAGAGGAGTTGTGGGGTTGACAATATTGGTACAAATAACCCTCCCCAAGGCAATTATTCTGGCTTCCAGGTCTCCCAGAGCTGCCCCCTGGGTTGCGGTCACTCCAGGTTCAGTCCCCTGCCCCCCGCCCACCAGGACTTCAGTGTCTCCCTCCTATCCAAGGGGATGATCCCTAGCTCTCTGTGCCACTCACAACAGTTGATCCGTGGCAAAGCTTTTGAGGCCAGTCTAACCACCTTTTTTTAAATGTAATGAGGATTGATAACACAAATGGATTATTATTATTATTACTACTTAGAATCAATACCTATTGTCATGAAAGTCCTCAAAGGCCTGAAATTGAGAAACTGCCCAGGAGTGGGGAAAAACTTCCTTGAGAAGGCCCTATTTGAGCTGGGTCACAATGGATGAGAAAGAGTTCACCAGGCTCCAAAGCTAAGGAACAGCATTTTAGCCAGAAGAAATAGCATTTAAAAAGTTCACACCAGAGTTGAAGGAAAAGGATAACATTGTATATATAGGTTTTTGTCTCTTCATGGGAGAAATTGCTTTTCCCATCTGTGCATCTGTGATGGTGGGCTTTGACCTGCAGCATGGTGAGTGCCGGGAAAGGGAAGGTCTCTGCAATTGGCAGTGATTGTTCGGTTTCACAAGCATCCACGGACTGGGCAGCTTTGAGCATTGTATGGGTTATCAGAGTGCTGGCAATACAAAATAATCCAGCAAAGTCCTTTCCTCGTGAAGCTCATCACAGTAGGAAAGGCAGTTACACTTAGACATATACCACAACCACAGGAGAGATATTCCAGGCACCTGTATAAAGTATGGGGTCCAGCATTTTAGTTAGAGACCGACTATATTAGTTCTTTCTCACATTGCTATAGAGAAATACCCCAGACTGTATAATTTATAAAGAAAAGCGGTTTAATGGGCTCACAGTTCTGCAGGCTGTACAGGAAGCATGATGCTGGCATCTGCTGGGTTTCTGGGGAGGCCTCAGGAAACCTGCAATCATGGCAGAAGGCAAAAGGGGAGCAGGCGTGTCACATGGCCGGAGCAAGAGCAAGAAAGCGAGGGTCAAGGTGCCA
Source organism: Homo sapiens (assembly GCF_000001405.40). NCBI lineage: Eukaryota > Metazoa > Chordata > Mammalia > Primates > Hominidae > Homo > Homo sapiens. Next base: position 96,222,976 of record NC_000012.12, read on the forward strand.
CACACTGTTAAATGACCAGATCTCATGAGAACTCAGTCACTAACTCAAGGATGGTACCAAGGGAGATGGTGCTAAACCATTCATGAGAAATCCACCCTTAGGATCCAGTCACTTCCCACCAGGCCCCACCTCCAACGTTGGGGATTACAATTCAACATGAGATTTGGGCGGGGCACACATCCAAACTATATCACGGACCCACAAAGAAATTGATGGGATGGGCGGGAATAGACACTTGTGTTAAGTGGGGAATGGTTTGAATGGGGACTCATTCTGCAAGTGGTCATGTCATTAATCATTGTTCTGCATCATTCCCCATGCATCGCTGTCACTCGTGGGGACATGTGGTGAATAGAGGAGGATCACAGGGCCTCCCTGTATTTCTGAATTGTGGCTCCTTACAGAAATGCAGCCAGGAAGCTCCTGGTTCAGAGTGGCCCCTTGAGATGGAAGTGAAAGCTACTTTTTATTAGGTTCACTGGGGGAAGGAGGGGACAGCTGAGTTGCCCATTCTGAAGCCCCCTCTCTCCTCGCCAAGTTTGGTCGGCATCGTGACCAGCAGCTCTGACCTGGCCTCCTCTCCCTGCAGGTATGGAGAGTGCAATCACGCTGTGGCAGTTCCTGTTGCAGTTGCTGCTGGATCAGAAACATGAGCATTTGATCTGCTGGACCTCGAACGATGGTGAATTCAAGCTCCTCAAAGCAGAAGAAGTGGCCAAGCTGTGGGGACTCCGAAAAAACAAAACAAATATGAACTATGATAAGCTGAGCAGAGCCCTGCGATACTATTATGACAAGGTAAACCCTTGACCTTGCATGGGGCCGTCTTGGGGAGGGTGGAATCCCCTCTGCGTAGTTCACTGATGAAAGAAAATAATAGCGTGCTATGAATCAAGTTAGAAAATAAAATAGGGGCAGTGCATACCTTCTTTTTGGAGAAAAGCTGTGCTGTAGGGATTTTCCCCACCCTCTGGACGCCCTTTGGATATTACTGAGGGTCACATTTTGTTTCTTCTGCATTTTCGTCTGAGTTTGCTGAAGAACTTTGCTCACAATACAAATGAGATGCAGGCAGGCTCTGGGGCTTTCCTCATGTTGAATTGCTTGAATGACACAATGCGTGTTAAAATCCGGAAAGTCTGTTTATCCTGTCTGGTTTGTGGTTCAATTAAAGGGACCTTTCCTGGAAGGTGGTAGCTTTGGCAGATTATTTTTTAACAATTCAGTGCCTCAGTATCCTCGTTTATAAAACAGGAATCAGCATAGGAATAATAATAGGAATAGGAATCCTGTCTCAGGATTGTGGTGATGACCGACCGAGCCATTACATGTAAGTACTTAGAACGCTGCTAATAGGAGTAGGAATCCTGTCTCAGGATTGTGATGACCAACCGAGCCATTACGTGTAAGTACTTAGAACACTGCTAATAGGAGTAGGAATCCTGTCTCAGGATTGTGGTGATGACCGACCGAGCCATTACATATAAGTACTTAGAACACTGCTTGGTATGTGGTGCTTGCAACTTCATGGGAAACTTCCCTAATTGGAAGAAAAAACATGTTCATTTTTAAGTCATAGAGATGAGGCAGAGTGCCTTGATAAGTGATAATATAGCGTAGTTGCCAAAACCAGGACAGTTGGAGTGAGTTTTAATGCATTTCTGGAAAAGCAGTTTTAATGTGCTTGCTAGGGCAAAATTATTGCTGTTTAGGAGAACCATTTCAGGCCTTAATTGTTAGCCATTTCAGTTTGAATCTGTTGTTGCTGAATATTTAGCCTCTAAGACATAAAGGCATAGAGCCATGATAATGGTAAGCTTTTGTTCTGGTTTTATTGTTCATATTAAAAGGTGAATTAAAAACTGATTTAAATATTAGTTCCTGATCTATATTTAGGGTATGCCGTCTGCCAACCCCTTTGGAATTCAAGACATAAGGATTATACGTTTCAGGAAGTAGAGACATCATTAATTATAAAGTGTTCCTTTATGTGATCGTAATTGCACGTGATTGTGTCATTGAAATGCTAAAGGTGCTCTCCTTTAACGTAGCAATTAATTAATCCTGACTTACTGCAGAGTCCTACTAAGATATAAAAGCACTTCTTGCAAATTGCACTGTCTGAAAGCCTCGCAGATGGCTTATTGTTTTGCGTGTTTTCCCAGGTTCTAAATTCTGCAGTGGGAACTGGGGCCGCTGAAGGAAAACACTCCCGTTGCCTGCTGGCAGAGTGCCTAAAAGCTGGGCTTTGAGACTCAAAAAGCATTTTCATTGTTTTCAATCAAGGTATCAAAAAAAGAAGTCCTCCCTCTGTGTCTGGGACTTGACTCATCTCTTCCCTGGCCTGGGCCTGGGGGCTTAAGGGTTGTGTCTCTTTAGCATGAAGGGTTGTCCTGGGCTGGAAATGACTGCTCACAAAATTAGCAAAGCCATTCCTGTTTAGACTATATCTTATCTCCCTTGGGCAGATTTTAAAATCTCTAGAGAGAGCAGTTTCATAGCCTTCAGTCAACAAGTATGTTCTGGCACTTTCTGTCAGACGTCTAAGGTGCTGTGCTGAGCACTTCTTCCCCTTGTCTCCTTTAAACTTTACAACAACCCCATAGACAGGTGCTGCTGTCATCATCCTCCTTATACACATGAGAACGTGGAGGCTTGGATGAGAAACCTGCCCAGGTGCACACAGCCAGTGAGCAGCAGAGCCCGGATTTGAACCCAGCTGGTCCACCCAGGTTCCCAGCCAAAAGGCACACACACACCCTGCCTTCTGGGCCATTCATTTCCTTTGCCTTTGAGTGTCTTGAGTTCCAGGTAGGCAGTCAGGCTGTCCAAAGGGTATTACAACCTAAGAAGTTTTGTTTATTACCAAGAGCCTCAGGCTGGGCATAGTGCCTCACACCTAATCCCAGCACTTTGGGAGGCTGAGGCAGGAGGATCACTTGAGTCCAGGAGTCTGAGACCAGCCTGGGCAACATGGTGAGACCCTGTCACAACAAAGAATTAAAAATTAGCCGAGTGTGGAAGTGCATGCCTGTAGTCTCAGCTACTTGGGAGGCTGAGGTGGGAGGATCATTTGAGCCTGGGAGTTTGAGACTGCAGTGAGCTCTGATTGCACCACTGCACTCCAGCTTGGGCAATAGAGGGAGATCCTGTCTCTTAAAAAGAAAAAAAAAAGGAAAGAAACAAATTCAGTACTGAAAAATCCCAGCAAACGATGTGTATCAGGTAGAGCCCAAGGTCAGGAGTCCAGGTGGCTGGTGTGGCCTGCCTGCCTGCACTGCCCCTTTCTCTCTTGCCAGGCAGAGCATGGGGGCTGGCCACATGACCTTTGAGCAGCCCCAGGCATCAAGCTGGAGCTGGCAGTAAGGGCAGGAGCAGCCTCCTATCCTGTTGTATCATGTAGACTTTGGCCACCAGAAGAAATTGCTCCATGTCTTTCCTTCTACAGATATACCTGTCCACATGCACACACACACACAAGTATACACATACACACCTGTCCACATGCACACAGAGATGTCCACATGTGCACACCCATGCCCACACAGATGTCCACATGTCCACACAGATGTCCACATGTGCACACCCATGCCCACATGCACACACAGATGTCCACATGCACACACACATATGCCCACATGCACACAGGCACACACACCCACTTGCACATACATATCCACATGCACACGTGGCCACTGCCATATGCACAGACATGTGCACACGCATACATGTACATGTGCACGCATGGCTGGTTAATTCTTGCTTATAAAATGCTCTCAAGTGATGAGCAAGACGGAAAGTTAGACTCTTAATACAGTTTAAAAAGAAAAGAAGGAGAGGGGGAGGAAGATAAGAAGAAAAGAGATGGTTGAGGGAAATGGAGGGGAGAGGAAAAAAAGAGGGGATGGAGAAGGAGGAAGAAGAGGAGGCATGTCAAAAAGAGATGACGAAAACTACACTCTATTTGACATTTTCCGATGACCTCTTTCTTCCTTCCGTTTTGCCAGTGTCACTCTGTGATGATAGGTGTAAGTTGACTGTGTGCATTGCCCGTCTGTGACCGTTTTCGACTCACAGAAATGGCAGTCTGAAGTGGCTCGGCCTCTTGCTTGAGAGACAGATTGGAGCAGAGTCTTTGTGGATGCAAAGCCACCTGGGCCACTGCCGTGTGTGCCACCCTGAACTTCAAGCTGCCCTGAACCGCGTGCGTTTCTCAGTGTCACGTACAGCTCGGCCTGACCGTTTGCCTTTTAGTGTTCTCTTCCTTCTCGGTGTCCTCCTCCTCTTCCTCACTAACATTCATCCAGAGCCTTTCAGTGCAGAAATCAGGTAGCTGCTGAACTCGGCAGCTGCGTCCTTTTTCCCATCATCTCTTCTGTCCTTTGCTAGCTGTCATTTCTTCCCTCTTGGCTTCAACTGCACATCCCTGGGTTTGTCCTAATAGGGAATTTTTCCCACTTGAGTAGACAAGCATGAGAATATCATTATTTTTATATGTTATATGTTATATTTTTAGCAGAGAAAAAAGTGGAAAATGTGTGCAAACTTGCAGAAGGCCCCCCGGAGGAGGGTCGTCCCTGTGCCCATGCTGTCAGGAAGGCCCCGGAGGAGGGTCGTCCCTGTGCCCATGCGGTCAGAAAGGCCCCGGAGGAGGGTCATCTCTGTGCCCATGCGGTCAGGTTGGGGCTGAGGCACTTTGATCATTGCTCCTCCTCAGAGTGTTCTTTTCCTCCCCTCTCAGATTATAATAACGAGGTAGTTACAGAGTGAGCTCCAGCCTAGATCGTCTGGGTTTGAATCCAGCTCCATGACTGTGGCCGTGTTGCCTAATCTCTCTGAGTCTCAGCTTCCTTTTCTGTAAAGTGGGTATAATAGTAGAGTCTACACTGTGGGGCTGTGGTGGGATTCATTGTGTTCACACGTGTGCAGGGCTGAGAACAGGGCCCCAAACAGGGTAGGCACAATGAAGCATGAGTCAGAATAATAATACAGATGACAGTTTCTCTATCACTAATTTGAACATTGCAGACAGTGCAAAGAAGAAAATTAGAAACTGGGAGGATCACTTGAGCACAGGAGTTCAAGTCCAGCCTGGGCAACGTAGTGAGACCCCTGTCTCTTTTTAAAAAATTTAGCACAATTTATTAAAAAAAAGAAGAAGAGGCCGAGCATGGTGGCTCACGCCTGTAATCCCAGCACTTTGGGAGGCCAAGGTGGGTGGATCATGAGGTCAAGAGATCAAGACCAGCCTGGCCAACATGGTGAAACCCCGTCTCTACTAAAAATACAAAAATTAGCTGGGCGTGGTGGTGCACACCTGTGGTCCCAGTTACTCCAGAGGCTGAGGCAGGAGAATCGCTTGAACCCGGGAGGCAGAGGTTGCAGTGAGCCGAGATTGCGCCACTGCACTCCAGCCTGGCGACAGAGTGAGACTCTGTGTCAAAAAAAAAAAAAAAAAAAAAAAAAAAAGAAGATCAAAACCTTTGTTGCTACGTTGCTGCTCAGGCACATGGAGATAGGGAAACGCCGGATCTGAGTATTATGGCCCTTTTCACTTAGGACCTATCAGGAGCACTTTGTCGTGCTTTTTAATGACTGAAGACAGATGACAACAGTTTCTTTCCTCAGTTGCTTATTTTCATATATTTAATCTGTTCTGAAAATTCAGCTGTGAAGATGCTTTCTTATTTAAATGACTCTCCCTCACCGCTCTGAATCAAAGCTCTGGCACTTCTCTGAGCACCTGCAGTTGGAGCCAGTCTCCACCTTCTGGACTGTCTTAGTGACTGGTGGGAGCTTTGTATCCAGAGCCCTCGAGGTTAAGAGTCCAGCTGTCCCTCAACCTCAGCGTCTCAGTTCACCCATTGGAAAGTGGTGATGGGAACAGCACCCTTCCTTGTCGGACTGTGTGAGGATGGAAAGAGAAGATAAGATGACGCGGATAAGGTGCTTAGCACAGTGTCAGGCACCTACTCAGTGAAGGCTCCTCATTCCAGTTATGTGTATTTATAAAACTGACTGTATTATGTCGTAGCTGTCTGTATATAGCTGACTTCATCGTGGCCTTCTGGATGCACCACTTTTGTCGCTCTGGTACCTCGGACAGGGTCTGGCATGTATTAGTTGCTTAGTAAATGCTAGACGAGTGAACAAATGGATAAAACACTGATGTGTCCACTACTCAAGTGCACACCATTTATGTCATGAAAGTTGATATTAATGAGTGATAAACTAAAAAATAAAAGTAGTCACTGCTTTTTGTTTATTGTCCCGTAGTTTCCTAGGGCTGCCAGGTCAGATGACCACAAACTGTAGGTGGCTTAAAACAACAGAAATGTGTTGTCTCACAGTTCTGGAGGCCAGATGTCCAGAGCCAGGGTGTCAGCAGAGCTGTGCTCCCTCTGACTCAGGTGGACTCTTTCTTGGCCTCTCCCCAGCCCCGGGCTTGCCAGCAGTCCCTGGCGTGCCTTGGCTTGCAGCAGCCTCACTCGGATCGCTGCCCCCATCATCACATGACGTTCTCCCCATTCTGTGTGTCCAGATTTTCCTTTTTTTTTTTTTTTTTTTTTTTTTTGAGACAGAGTCTTGCTCTGTCGCCCAGGCTGGAGTGCAATGGCATGGTCTCAGCTCACTGCAAACTCTGCCTCCCAGATTCAAGGGAGTCTCCTGCCTCAGCCTCCTGAGTAGCTGGGACTACAGGCATGTGCCACCACACCTGGCGAATTTTTGTGTTTTTAGTAGAGATGGGGTTTCAATATGTTGGCCAGGCTGGTTTTGAACTCCTGACCTTGTGATCTGCCTGCCTCATCCTCCCAAAGTGCTGGGATTACAGGTGTGAGCCACCGTGCCTGGCCGATTTTCCTCTTCTTATGAGGATACCGGTCATTGGATTAGGGCCCACCTTAATGCATTATGACCTCATCTTAACTTGGTTACGTCTGTAAAGACCCCTTTCTAAATAAGGTCCTAGTCACAGGTATTGGGGATTAGGACATCAGCATAGTTTGGGGAAGGACAAAATTCACTCTGTAACACCTCCATATACAGTCATGTACCACATAATGTTCTGGTCCACAGTGGGCCACGTATATAACAGCGGTCCCATAAGACTATAATTCCATATTTTTACTGTACCTTTTGTACGTTTAGATACGTTGAGATACATACATACTTACTATTATATTGCAGTTGCCTACATACAGTATTCAGTACAGTAACGTGCTGTACAGGTTTGTAGCCTGAGAGCATATAGCATAGCCTTGGTGTGTGATAGGCTAGACCCTCCAGGTTTGTGCAAGTACATGCTATGATGCTCGCACAACAACGAAATTCCCCAGCGACACATTTCTCAGAACGTAGCCTCATCGTTAAGTGATGCATGACTGTATTTCAGACACTGCTGGGCTTTTTGTTTAGATTTTTAAAATTATACTTAAAAGGAGAGTGTTGGTTTCCCTCTATAAGTGATGGTTCGATTCAGCAAATCCTAAAAGGAAACTGCTCCCCATGACAGGCACAGCACCTAGATTCTGCAGCAGGTATAAACACTAGACTCCGTGACAGGTGTGACACTAGAATCAAAGACACATCGCTGAGCCAAGTCCCCAGGGTGGAGACAGGTCCACCCAAGAGGAGTCCTGCCTTGGAGGGATTCAGAGTTGCTGGGAATTGAGCAGCTCCCTGGTCTCGAAGTGCACATGATTTTAATAGATGACTTAAATGGGAAGAAAAGGCGACCCTGGGGGCGCCAATCCCGGATTGGCAGTGCTGGGATCGGAGGCTCTGATCACTGTGCTCAGAGGCTCCTTCCTGCATCTACAGTTGTGCGGAGTGCACGTGACGCAGGTGTGGGGAAAGTCTGGAGGGCCAGGGTTCCGCATCCGAGCTCCACCAGGGAACTGCTTTCCCCAGTTAAGCTTTTGTAGAGGCTGCGGGGCAAACCCAATTATAATTCCAAGAAAGGAGTGATGCCCCATCCAGGGAGCGGCATGTTTTGCAACCCGGGTATGGATGAAAGGCCCCTGTTGATTTGAGAAACACACAGGTCATGGGAGGTGCCTGTGGCTGAGCCCGTGAGGGGCAGAAACCAGAGTCCGTAGAGGCCTAAACAGGACATTTAACTGAGGCCTGGGCATTTTACACTTCCTCTCTGTCAAACAGCTTTTTCCCTTGGTCTTGTTTTAAGCCCTAGGAGATAGGTTTGTTACTGTAGTTCTGATGGTGTGAATTTTTGGATAAGTTTTTTTTTCCTTAGGTTTAAACTGAGTCTTCCAGAAGGTAGTTTTATAACCTGATGTAACAGTAAGGATCTTTTTCAGAGATTTTATTTATTAACAAGCTAACAAGTCTTTCACTCCTTAACATCAGACAGATGGACCCTTCATCTTAGAGTAGAGAAGAGCGGGGCCCATGCCCAGAGCATTTCTGTCACTGGCCCTGACAACTGCCAGGCACCTTATGGGTCAAGCCTGAGGGGCAGGAATTCCTGCTGGGATTCACAGCATTCACCACTTCTTGAATAAGGCTTTTTTTTGGAGACACAGTTTCACTCCTGTTGGCCAGACTGGAGTGCAGTGGCGCGATCTCAGCTCACTGCAACCTCTGCCTCCCAGGTTCAAGTGATTCTCCTGCCTCAGCCTCCCGAGTAGCTGGGATTACAGGTGCGTCCCACCATTCCCAGCTAGGTTTTGTATTTTTAGTAGAGATGGGATTTCACCAGACTAGTCTCGAACTCCTGACCTCAGGTGATCTGCTCGCCTCGGCCTCCCAAAGCGCTGGGATTGCAGGCATGAGCCACAGCACCTGGCCTAGGGTTTTTAATTATACATCCACCTCCAGTTGACACGGCCTCTTCTTTCACCTCTGCCTTTTCCTCAGCCATCCAGCCATCCCTTTGGAAACATACCTCCTTCCTCCTGAGGGGCTCAGCAGCTGGTTGGGGAGACAGACATGAAACCAATTTTAGTAGAGAACCCCGTGTAAAGTGCTGGCATGGCCAATGCTGGGGTCTTCTGGGAGAGCAGGGAGGGATGTAGAGGCAGAGGGAAGGCCTCCGGAGGTCAAGACACTTGATCTGGATCTTAAGGAATGAGAATGAGTTTACCCGGCTGAAAAAAGTTAGAAGGGATATACCAAGAAGGGAACAGTGTGAGTAAAGGCAGGGACGTGTGGATGAGTTTGACCTTTCAAGCACAGAGTATCTTGGGAGTGAGGGCAAGATGTGGTTGGAAAAGTGAGTGGGGAATGGAGTGTGGAGTATATCATGCTAAAGGGTTGGAACTCTGTGGTGAGAGCCAATGAAAAGTTAAAAGCTGGCTGGGTGCGGTGGCTCACGCCTGCAATCCCAGCACTTTGGGAGGCCGAGGCGGGTGGATCCTGAGGTCAGGAGATCGAGACCATTCCGGCCAACATGGTGAAAACCCCGTCTCTACTAAAAATACAAAAATTAGCTGGGCATGGTGGTGTGCGCCTATAAATCCCAGCTACTCGGGAGGCTGAGGCAGGAGAATTGCTTGAACCTGGGAGGTGGAGATTGCAGTGGGCCGAGATCACATCACTGCACTGCAGCCTGGGCAACTGAGCAAGGCTCCATCTCAAAAAAAAAAATAAATAAAAATACATTAAAAAAAAAGTTAAAAACAGGAGATGGGGGAGGGGGCGGGGAATGCTCACACCTGTAATCCCAGTACTTTGGGAGGCCAAGATGAGAAGATTGCTTGAGCCCAGGAGTTTTGAGACCAGCCTGGGCAATATAGTGAGGCCTTGTTTCTACAAAAACAAACAAAAAAAAGCCCCCAAGAACCAAAAAACTAATAATAACAGATGAGCAAAAATGACAAAAAATTAGCTGGGCATGGTTGTGCGCACCTGTAGTCCTACTTACTGGGGAGGCTGAGGCAGGAGGATCACTTGAGCCCAGGAAGTAGAGGCTGCAGTGAGCTCTTACTATATGACTGCACTCCAGCCTCGGCAACAGAGTGAAAGAGCAAAACTCTGTCTCTTAAAAAAGCAAGAGAGTGCTATGAGCAGATTTCCATTTTAGAAATAAAAATCTGTGTCTCCTCTTACTGTTCTTGGCATGGATCATTTTACACCCAACCATACAGCCTTGATCTTTCTGGCCAGGTACCATGAATCTATTTCTCTCTGCTGGCCGAGTTGGCCCTATCACACCTTCAGCATGAGGTGGAGAGGGAAAAAGGATGGGCTCTGGTATCCCCATAATGTGGGCAACTGTCTTTTGCTCACGAGAAGCTGAAGACACGGGTTCTCTCTGTTGTTGCAGAAGGAGACCTGGAAGCTTTCACAACCCCTCATCCTCTTCTGTCCAGCAGACCTTTTGTCCTTGCTGGCACTGAACATTCAACCCCGGGGGAGGCTGAAAGCTCTGCTGGCTCCCTTCTCATCAAGAGAGGAAAATGGTGATAGGATGAAAAATCCTCCCGTCTCCACAGCAACCTCTTGGCTTAGCCTCACGATGTACTGAACAATCTTTACTTAATTGGAAGGGATTTCGGGGAGAACAGTCAAGACAAAGTCATTGGCAACCTATTCCTGGAATTAGAACGCATCACCTTCTTAACTTAATTGGATAATTCATTTTAAATTGGGCGTGCAATCACGACAAGAAAATGTTAGTATTAATAATACATATCTGAGATCAACTGCCTCTCCCAAGAAACCTGGCCCTGGTGGAATTCTTTAATTCCTCCAAAATAAATTTTGCAAAGATAAAATGATGTTGTCAAAGTGGAGAAGGAACAAACATCCAGCAGGCATTCATATCCCAGAACTTTCTAGAACACCTCTGTTGGTCATGGAATGTTAGGGAAGACCTGGACTCCCTTTGGGGTGTTTTATCGATCGAGGGGGCCCTCTGTGCCCGGCCCTGGGTGTGAGTGTTGAGGGCCTGGTGTGTTTTGTTAAGTGTCTTTCTTTCCTACCATAGCAGCTATTCAGATGGTTGGAAGCATAACAGATGGCAATGGGCTATTGCCTGGGGGCGCAGGGGATGACCAGGGCCTCTCTCACAAGCTTGGGTCCTGGAAGCTGCTTAGAGACCTGTGGAGTGGCTGAACCGCCTCATGGAGGTCTTCCAATCTGGTCACATTGTGCCGGGAGATGGCAGCTGGTATCAGGGGACCAGGCTGCTGGGAGCAGGGGGCTGCGTGTTGACTGAAGGTGCTGCCTGTCTTGCACGTGCTTCCAGGCCAGCTTCCCTGTGGCACTCAGTGTTCCCCCAAAATAGGGCAGTTGCTAAGAAACAGGGATGAGCCAGAGGCCCGGGAGCGCCGTCAACACTGTGTTGATGAGGATGCTTCTGCGCCAGGGGCTCGGCTGCCAAAGCTCTTGCGGCCTTGCCAGATCCACTTACGTCAGGCTGTTGCCCAAGCCCACACCGAGTCTGCGTTTGCCAGCATGAGCGTTCCTGCTTCTGGGATTTGAGCTGCAGGAAAATTTAGTGGTTGTGTAGACAAACTCACAAAAACTCCAACATTCACAGCATAGCACCCACCACCCGCCGTCCACCCACGCCTCAGCTGCTCCTCTGCACGGCCTCTCCCCCACCCCTGCCTGTGCTCCTCCACGGCTCTTCTCAGTTCCTACCCCAAATTTGTAACATAAAAAAGAGATGCTTACGTGTGTGCAGCATTTTGTTTTAAGCCAGGCACTGTGCTAGGTATTTTTACATCTATTAGCTTATTTTCCAATTTGTGATGCACCAGTGCTGGTGGTCGATATTGAGCCCATTGTAGAGGTGGGGATGCTGAGTCTCCAAGAGGTGTAAGTCACGGACTCAAGATGCAGCAGCAGGGCGGTGGCAGAGCTTTCAGACTAAGAGTGTTGACCCCCAAGGCCCATGCCTGGGCTTCCAAAGCTGGAGGGCGACACAGCTCCAGAGCCCTGGGCCCAGACTTGAGTCCTGTATGCCCAGTACTGCTGATGATTACCCCAAGGGCAGCCAGGGAGGAGAGACAGGCCCCCGGTATTTTTTAATTGAAATGACAGTGGAAAAACTGCTGGCAAGATTATCTGAGTCAGCTGAAAATGTGAGTTTGAGTGGCCCCGGAATACCCCACGCTTCCAGAAGACGCTTCCTATGGAAAGTACTGGAGCGTGGCACTCCTCTGCGTGTGCGCCTCCCAGCTCTCGGCGGCCTCCAGGAAGGAGTCCAAACTCCCTTCACCATCTCACCCCAACCCAACTGCCTTCCCTGCACCCCCACAGCCGCCCCCCACCCCAGCATCTTCTCAGGCCCCCTCCTTCCCCCTGCCCTTCTTGCCTGGCTCACTCCTGGCCACCCTTCAGACTCCTCTCTCTGCCTCCTCCAGCTGGCGCCTCACTTGGTGATGGCCGTGTCTGTTCCATGGCCCCTCCCAGAGGGACTTGGTTTCTCCTGCTGTCATTGCGTCTCCCTTACGGGGCCGCATGCTGGGTTTTCTTACCATTTCCTGCATCCTGCAGAGCCGAGGGCGTGGCAGCACCAATCAAGTGTAGTAGGAATGAGTAGGAAACAAGCATCCTTCTCCATGGCACAGAAGGGAGTCTGTCACCTTGGAAAGTCACTCAAGAGAGGATCCAAGAAAGCGTCTTGCCCTACCTACCCCTCCTTTAGCAAGTGAGGATCTTCGAGGGGAGGGGAGTTTCCAAGTCAACTGGTGACAAAGCCAGGATGAGAAGACACTCCCAGACCACCTGTGGCTAATGACACACACTGCCCGGCCATGCCATCTGCCAGCGCTGGAGGTGGCCGCTCAACACAGGAAGGTCAAGGTCAGTGTTAGCAGCTCCCCCACCCAGCAGGGGAAAGGGAAAGACTTGCACTGGGGAGCAGTTTTATTTATTTTTATTTATTTATTATTAATTATTTTTAGATGGAGTCTTGCTCTGTCACCCAGGCTGATGCAGTGGTGAGATTTTAGTTCACTGCAACCTCTACCTCCTGGGTTCGAGCGATTCTCCTGCCTTAGCCTCCTGAGTAGCTGGGACTATAGGTGTGCCACCATACCCGGCTAATTTTTGTATTTTTAGTAGAGATGGGGTTTCACCATGTTGGCCAGGCTGGTCTCGAACTTCTGACCTCAGTTGAACCACCTGCCTTGGCCTCCCAAACTGCTGGGATTACAGGTGTAAGCCACCACCCCGCCTGAGCAGCTTTATGTTCTATGTTATTAACACTTAAAAGGCCTTTGAATAAAAGTACCCTTGAGTGTTTAAGGAGAGCCAGGAGGGAGACAGGACTCCAGGTCCAGCCAGCAGCAGCGCCCAGCCAAGAAGGCAGGGAGAAAAATGCTGCGAACGTCCAGTCGAATCCTCCCGGGTTGGGGTGTCCTGCCAGGCCAGCAAGCCAGCACTTCTCACTAGCACCCTCAGGGTGCCACGTGTACTCAGGCAGCAGGGATGAAGAGCGCCTCAACTTCAGGCTGGCCAAATTTGGTGAGATAGTTCACGCTGCAGTTTACCGGTGCCAGAAAGCAAAGAAACCTCAACCCAAACCACAAGAAAACCTCTCCCGGGAGCCGACAGAGTTGGCCTGTTCAGAGACAGAGTTCCAGCCTTTGTTGGCAGCACGTCATTCTTAGAAGTCTGGAATGGGTGTGAGTGGGTGTGTACGTGTGTGTGTGTGCACACTCCAAAGTTCGGCTTTGCACAAGGGACAGCCTAGGCTCCACCTTACCCGGTGCCTGTACCATCGCAGTGGGAAGGGCTAGTTGCACCCCAGTGGCGGCCCCAGGCTGTGCCTCCTCTGCCTCGCTGAACAGAGACAATTTTAAGAAAGGGGTGTATTAGTTTCCCAGGGCTGCTGTAACAAATGACCCCAAACTTGGTGGCTCAAAACAATAGAAATGTATTCTCTGAAGGTTTTGGAAGACAGAAGTGTGTAATCCAGGTATCTGCAGGGCCCCGCTCCCTCTGAAGGCCCTAGGGAAAAATCCCCCCTTCCTCTTCTGGCTTCTTGTGGGCTCCAGCCACCCTTGGTGTTCCTTGACTTGCAGCTGCCTCACTCCAGTCTCTGCCTCCACGTCCCATGACCACCTTCCCTGTGTGTGTCTTTCTGTGTCTTCATGAGGACAGAAGCCATTGATTTCAGTGCCTACCTCAAATCCAGGATGATTCTGTCTCGACATCTTTAACCAATTACATCTGTAAGAACCCTGCTTCCAAATCAGATCACATTCTAAGGTCCTTGGTGGACATGAATTTGGCAGGGACATTAAACTCACTGCAGCGGTGGGTGGGGGAAGATTGCCTTGGTGAGAAGCAGCTCAGGTTTATGGGTCAGAGGAGCCCTTTCATAAGATGCTCTTAAATAGCTGGGTGTGGCGGCTCACGCTTGTCATCCCACTACTTTGGGAGGCCGAGGTGAGAGGATCGTTTGAGCCCGTGAGTCCAGGATCATAAGATGCTCTTTAGTGGGGGTGGGTGTGAGGTGAGCCTGCCCCCCAGACATTTGTAGCAGAGTCTCTTATGGCCAGCTGACTGCTCACTGTCCCCTCTGCTTCAATGGCAGAGACAGAGCAGAGGCAGGGGATGTCACACTGCATCCAAGCCACTGAGGGGCACTTCAAGGACAGAAGCTGGCTTCACTCCTTCTCCATTCCTCAGAGCCTGGCATGGGGCCACCCATAGGAGAGTGTGTATTCAGTGTTCACTGAAAGCCAGGTGTGGTGGCTTGAACCTATAGTCCCAGCTACTTGGGAGGCTGAGGCAAGAGGACCGCTTGAGCCCAGGAGCTCCAGGCTGCCGTGTGTAACAGTCGTGCCTGTGAATAGCCACTGCATTCCAGCCTGGGCAATGCCAGCAAGACCCCATCTCTAAAAAACAAAAACAATGTTTGCTGAAAGAATGTTTGCTTGTCGGAGAGATACAGTAACTACTTGTTCTAACTTTGGAGAAAGGACACTTCGGGTTTCATGTCAGGAAGGAGTGAGTCAGACTGTGGTCTGGAAGGGAACCCAAAAGCAGGAGTTGAAGAAAATGTGTTGGCCAGGAAGCCGCGGCCTGGAGATACTCCTCTGCTACTTGTGGGTGTTGTGAACTCAGCTGGGAGCCTCGGGTCTCACATCTGTGAAGTGGGTATCAAAGCGTTGTGAGGCTAACATGAGATTTTGTGTGAGCCTTCTGTAAACTGTAAAGTAAGGTGCCCACCCAAGAAATTTTCCTGGAAGGCAGAATAAAATGAAAAGTGTGATATAATGAGCAGTGTGTACGATTAGATTATTGCATGCTAAGCAAGATTCACTGGGTGAGGGTCATGTTGTAAGGACCTGTGTGAGTGAGGCACTGACTGCGTTGAGTCTTTAGAAAAAATTAGCCTATGGGGTATTTTTATTCCCATTTTAGGGGTGAGCAAACTGAGCCCCGTGTAGATGTTCAGTAACTTTCCCAAGGTCATAGTAAGCAGAGAGGCTGGAATTCAAACCCAGATCTGTTCACCCCAGCACTGGGTCCACATGACTTCTGGCCCGTCAAGGCTCCTGGCCTGTGCCCTTGTGTGAGCTGCTGCTGGGCACGGGCCTGGAGACAGCCGGGGGAGCTTGGCAGTGGGTGCCATCACCGGGCTGTATATGGTGGACACGAGCTTCCTGTTGTTTTCCTGTCACCCTCGTCCCTTGGATGGCATGCCACTTATAGTTTGGCTGCTCATGTCCAGTCTGCTGCACTGGGAGTGCTGGGTCCCCCGTGCCTCATGTTAGGGTGTCCCTCCAAAGCAGGCACCTTCTCTACCCTGTGGATTGGCAGAGGCAGTTCTATTTCTAGGTAATGAATGGACCTTACGGAAGATTGGTCTCTTCCGCCCGAAGAGCTAGAAATAACTGTTCTCAAGCAAGGCCCATGCTTTCTCAGCACAGAGCTGGTTTTCCCAGGCACTCTGCAGTTAACCCCACTATTACTCTGGAATGCAGAGACCCCTTGGCCCTGTCGGATTTACTTTAGTAGCAGCCTCTGCTTCCAAATGCAGCTGCTTTCTGGAAGAGGGTGTGGTAGTGGAACAGAAATGGCTTAGGTCTTGGCACTAGATACAATTGGGTTCAAACTTCGGCTCCACCAGTTACAAGCTGTGTGACCTTGGGCTAGTCAGCTTTTTAGTTCCTATTTCTTTCCCTTAAAAAGTCTTAATTTGACAAGTAATACATATCAAATATACATTCTTTAATGTGAAAATACACATAAGCAAAAAGAAATATGAAAAATCACTGTTAAATTTTAGTATACCTCTTTTAAGATTAATTTTTCTACCTCCTTTTATTTACACATATATGCATATATACAGTAGAAAACATATAAATATATATGCAATAGAACATTTTTAAAATAATGGAATTATTCATACTGTTTTTTTTCCCCACCTAATGTATATTTAAAGGTATGGGGAAGTGTTAGCAATGTCGTGTCCCCTGAAGTAGCTACGTGGTATTCCATTGTATGGCTCTCCCAATATTTAACCTACCCCCAGGTGGTGGACAGTTGGATATAACCTCACTGTCCAGGGGGACCTTGGCTTCTCCATCTCTGCAATGGGATAACAGTGCCCATCCTGCAAGGCAGCTGTGTGTGCTCAGCATGCAGCTGGCCCTCATAAATGCTGGCTTCTTTCCTTGTCCTTTCTCTGTACTGGTTCCTTTCACGTAGGGTATCTACCACGATAAAATGAGTGTGCCCCAAATAAATGCATTGTCTCGTGTGTCTGCTCAGCACCTGAACAGGTTCCTGCCTCGGGTCTTGCTGACAAGTGCGCAGGGCCAGCAGCTTCCCGTTGGCCTCTCCCAGGAACCCTGAGCAGAGGCCTGAGCCCAAGCAGACGCTGCAAGGCTGCTCTTCTCCCTCCCAGTCTGGGCAGCATGGTTTCTGCTCTGAGAAGCCGCCGGGAGCAGTTGAGATGAGCTGGGTGCCTGGTTAGTGTCTGCACCACCTTTCGGGGCCTGACATGTGGCGTCTCGCCTGTAGGCTGCGGCCAGCATCTAAGCGGAGCACTTGGATCTAGCAGTTATTCACATCTGCGGCTCCGTGTGTCCCCCTCCTAGAACCTCCCCACAACCCCCAAATTAATTGGATTGTGTAAGGTTTTCGTCACAGTGGATGTCAAGTGCTGGCCGTGTTAGGCACAATATAATATAAGCCTTGTATCTATTTCTTGTCTGAACCTAACTAAATAAAAACATCATGTTTCCCTGCTCAGTTGAGATATGTAAACCAGATGTAATTCTGCCTGCTGTGCAACTGATCATGTTACCCAGAACTTTGGACAAAGCTAGCAGAATATGCGCAGCCTTCTGTGAGGGTTAATTTTGTCTATTAAATTGTCATTAGGGCTGACACAGGGTGATATTTATGTTTTGTTCTGTTTTTGCTTAAATGGGAGTGTAAAAATGATGATAATACTAATAGCTAGTATATGTTATGGGGCTTGTCATGCGTGGATGCATCGGGCGTTCTGATAGAAGCTGTATATGGATGTCTCATTCAGTCCCATGAGGCAGATGGATCAGTCCCCATTTTATACATGAGAAGCTGAGGCATTGAACTCAGGCAGTGACTCTGGAGCCTCTCCTTTTAATCCCTGCAGCAGTCTTTGTGATAGGGTCAAGTGGGTATTTATTGGAAAGGTCCCCTGCTCTGTCCCCCTTACCCAGTGCAGGGGTTAAGAAGGGCCTGTTTGTTAGGAAAAGTCTTCAGCACAACCGATCCTGCTTGCTTACTGAGCTGCTGACATTCTCAGTTTTGAGAACGAGGTAGGAGAGTTGCAGAATCAGAGGGCAGGAGCGCTGTGTTTCCAGGGTGCCCTGAAATGGCAGAGGATCCAGGGGCCAGACCAGAATGACGAGGAACTCGCCACAGGCCTGGCTCCTCGCGGGGAGGAAAACGGAAGATCAGATAACAAGACTAAGCACGTGAACTCCAGATGCATAACCTTGGATCAAAATTGGGGTGCCAGACCAGAGTGGGTGGACAGACACATGCAGCAAATATTTGCCACGTAAATGGATGGGTGAAATTATGGCTCATTAAGCTCTCACGGGAGGTGTGAGGTTGTATGTAGCATGTGGAGTTTGCATATGGCCTCTAATATCTGCCTGGGAGTTTTCAGTTTAAAAATGCCAGCAAAGAAGAACAAGCAGGTATATGTATGGGATACACCCACAGGGAGCTTTAACCAGCCTAAGAATGAGCCGTGGAAAATTGTGTCTTTCATGCCTGTGGCTTTATGCCTGGGTCAGTTCTCCTTATAGTTGGTAATTCATTCAACAAACATTTAATTAACTCATTTAAATATAATCCTAATAACATCATCAAGAAGGTAAATCTAATTCCATATGCATCTTTTCATTACCTAGCACTGCATATGCTTTTTTTAAATTACAAAACTTATCGAAATATTTCTCATCTATCTACTATTTGAGATTATTTACACAGACTCCTTCCTCTTCAAAGGGCACAGTGGAGCGTTTGTGTGTGTGTGTGTGTGTGTGTGTGTGTGTGTACATATGTAAACACACTGTGGACAGCCATACCTTTTCTTATAGGTAGGTATGCCTGTAACCTGTCAGGGTAACAGACAGCACTGAAATGGAAATGGAAATATGACCTGCTCTCTTGGCATTTTCTATGCAGTTAAAGTGAAATAATTGAGGGATCCTGTCACGAGATCCTGTCATGGGCTGCTGTCATGGGATGCCTTGGTCCCCAGAGGTGGCTGGTGAGTTGGGAAGGGTTCTTCTGCACAGGTCTGCCCGGAATCCTGTCCCAAAGGGACGACTTGCCCTTTAGGCTACTACTGCATTCTCAAAATGGCAACTTGGACGGGGTGAGGGATTAATTTTGGTATCTGGTCCTCCTCTTTTGCCTGGAACTGCCACTGGGCTCTGTTTGAAGGGGATGTTGCTTTTTCCTCTCACTAAAATTGGTCCCATCCTTGCTGCCCGTAACCTCACATGGAATGCCTGCCGGGCAAAGAGGCAGCCCTTTTGCAAATACGTATTTAATGGGAAATTACAAAGAGACTGGTCCCACCCATGTAAGAGGGAAGCGGATGTGTGTAACACTCTAAAACCACGCTGGAGATGCACTCAGCTCCACCCGACACAGACCAGCATCGCTCAGGTTACCAGGCAACTGTGAGCAACAAATACTTGTGAGTCTGGGATTGAAGGGGGTGGAAACCCGACTTTTTCTAAATATCCTCATCACTTACCATAATAAGAGCCCTTACCCAAGTGTGCTTGTGTCCCGGGCTGCCTAAGTTGGCCTGAATCTTGTGTCACCCTTCATAGTAGCCAAGACCTCAGGAGTCAGATTGCCTGGGTACCATCTGTTCTCTCCAGGTACAAGCTTCCAACAGTGTATAATTTATACTTTCCGAGCCTCAGCTTGCTTATCTCCAAAATGGGGATAATAATCATTCCATTCTCTAAGAGGATTGAGTGAGTTGATGGTTGACAGGTTCTTAGAAGATAGCCTGACAAATAATACGTGCTCAGCACATACTAGCTTGTATTATTCCTGACACTGAGTCTTCTCAGCAAACTCTTGGAAGGAAACTTCCCTCTGGAAGCCACAGAGAGATCTTCAAACATACATGGCGCTGCTTCTGGGGGCAGCCCTGGAAGATAAGGAAGAAGGGGCTGTCAGTGCAGCTGCAGGGACACACGTCCTCTGAGCCCAGGTTGTTCCTAATCCTCCAGCCGTGGGCACCGCTGTGGGGGGCTTTCCTTACCAGCTCCCCTCGTCTAGCAGATGTCCCCGGTGCTGAGTCACTGGGCTGCACTGCTCTGACCCACTTACTGTACCCGACCCTGCCCTCTTCCCTCCCAGTTCCACTCTTTAGCCTTCGACCCTGGCAGGTTTCCAGGTAGCCAGATCGAATCCGTCTTTCCCATTGGTCTCTAGAGAAGCATGACCTGCCTCGGTTCTTTCCAATGGCTGTCACTTCCTCCTTTTGGCCAGCTAGTAAATTGTCTCCATCCCCGTCACTGCGTAACCTTTCCCCAGAAAACTCTTGGTGTCCTCTCTGCTCCCCCAGCAGAGGCAGCAGCTACTGAAGGGCCCTTCCCAGTGTCTCCCTTTTTACATTCTGAGTAGGGTTATGACAGTTGCTTCTAGCTATAGAAAGTTCCCACTGTCTTCCACTTAAACACGTAAAATACTTAAGATTCTTATATGTTCTTTTCTTTAAAAACCAGCTTCATTAAGATAAAATTCACATACCATACAATTCACCCATTTACCATATACAGTTCAGTGGCTCTGAGTATAGAGTTCTGCACCCATCACCGTGACCCACTTTAGAACATTTTCATTACCTCCTTCCTTCCACCCCTCTCAGCCCTAGGTAACCATGCTCTACTTTCTGGTTTTTTGTATAGATATCATGATTCTGGACATTTCATATAAATGGAATCATATGTGACCTTTATCATGTAATATCTGGCTGCTTTCACTTTGCAGTGAATCATAGAATAGAATATTCTATTCTATGGCTCATGCCTATAATCCCAGCACTTTGGGAGGCTGAGGCGGGCAGATCACCTGAGGTCAGGAGTTCAAGACCAGCCTGGCCAACATGGTGAAACCCCGTCTCTATAAAAATTAGGCAGGGCGTGGTGGCTCACGCCTGTAATCCCAGCACTTTGGGAGGCCGAGGCAAGGCAGATCACGAGGTCAGGAGATCGAGACCATCCTGACTTACACGGTGAAACCCCATCTCTACTAAAAAAAATTAGCCAGGCATGGTGGCGGGCGCCTGTAGTCCCAGCTACTCAGAGGCTGAGGCAGGAGAATGGCGTGAATCAGGGAGGCGGAGCTTGCAGTGAGCCGAGATCACACCACTGCACTCTAGCCTGGGCAACAGAGCGAGACTCCATCTCAAAAAAAAAAAAAATTAGCTGGGCATGATGGTGGGTGCCTGTAATTCCAGCTGCTTGGGAGGCTGGGGCAGAAGAATCGCTTGAACCTAGGAGGCAGAGGTTGCAGTGAGCCGAGATCACGCCACTACATTCCAGCCTGGACGACAGAGCAAGACTCCATCTCAAAAAAAAAAAAAAAAAAAATCTATGATTCTGTTTAATGAAATTGAGGCCCATTATGTTATGTTTGTTCCTTACTATTCCAAACAATATTCCTTATTGTTCTTACTATAGTCTAGTAATTCATTATTCCTCAAATAATGAATTCTAGGCCTTGGTGCAGAGCTTCATTCTTTACTACAGCTGGATAATATTCCATTGTAAGGACACCCCACATTTCATTTATCCTTTTGCTGGTTGGTGGACAGGTGGGTTGTTCCTCATGTTCTTTTTAACACAGCAAGGCCATATGATCTGTCTGAGGCTGCCTTTCAGTTCCCAACCATTTTTTGAGCAGGAGAGACATTTTCTGTCATTTTTATCACAGCCCTTGGTTATTTCTTGATGTGTTCATGAATGTAATCCCAACTTAGACATGATGTTCCAAACCTATAAGAAAATTAGAATTTTTTTTTTTTTTTTTTGGGAAAGAAGAAACAGTTATTTAAGACTTGTTAGAATAAATGATTCAGATCCTTTTTCTTCTGTGTTTTTATTTTGGCTCTAAATAAAACATTTATAGAAGTTTGTCTTTTGTGTAATTATTTAGGCTCTAAAAACTTCACTCAGTTTAGATGAGTGTTCAAACTCGCTGAGGGAAAAAAATAAAGTTTTTCCCCAGGGAGAAAAATATTATGAGCTAAAACTAAAAATAACTTAAAATTTTAGCGAAGGAAGCATTAACACACCAGGCCAGCACACTTTCTTTTTAATGGGAACTGACCCTGGGTCAGGTGGGTCCAATGACACCCTTATTTAATTTATTTCCTGCTGGGAGCTGATTTTCCTGGGCATGTTCTGACCCAGGGCACTCGGCAGAGACGCTGCTAACAAAGTCCAGGTGGAAAACATCTGAGTTTCCCAAATTTCTCTAAAGGTTTTTAAGGGCTGTTCAGCTTCGAGTAGCAGCGTGAGTGTGAGGTCGCTGGCGTAAATGAGACCCCGCGGGTTAAGTTGCAGGTGGGAGCTCCAGGATGCAGCAAGGTGGCCGCGGCCACTGGAACTGTTGTTTGGCCTTGACTCTAATCTAAGGTGCCCTGGGCGTCGGCCTGTATGCTGGTGCTCAGTGAGGTTTCTCCATGACTCTGTATGAGATCTCCTGTGCTGAATGGGACCCTTAAATGTGCCCTTCGCTGCCATCATTTAAGGAGGGAAAAGGCAAATCAGAATGTCATAATGTAAAGGATGGCAGGCAAACACATGTTTTTAGAACCACACTATGATTTCAAAAGGCACATCAACATTCAGTTGAATTTCATGTCTATTGGGGGATCTTTGATTTCTCTCCCCCTAAATTTGTGTGGGGATGTGAAAAAGCTTACGCTTTAGAATCTGTCGATCTTGGTGGTTCTTGGGCAAATGACTCTCCATCCCTGGGATCTTGTTTGTGTCAGAAGGATGACATCCTCCACCTCCATCAGGGCTAATGTGGGGATCTAATGAGGTGCCTTATGTACAACCCCTGGTACAGAAGAGAGGCACTCAATCAGAGCTGCTTCTAAAGCTCTTCTACTTGAAATGATCTTTTTTTAATCCTCACTCATACCCTGGTTTTAGGTGGAATAGTTTCTAAGGAAACAGAGTCCTTTTCCCATAGGATGGTGCTGGGTTTTTGTGCTTGAGAGAGACCATCTTTGTCTCTCTGAGCCCCTTGGACGCCAAGATGCATCCACAGGGCAAGGCACACGCAAGCATTTGGTAGGTAAATATAGAACCCAGTGGGTTCGGCAGGGAATTAAAGTATCCATTTAATAAACCTCAAGAACAGCATAGCCTTTAATATAAAGTCCCTTCTCCCAAAGGGTTGCAAAAACTTTTGCAATGATTATTGCTTTTCATTTATAGCCTAATGTTTGAGGACTGGAGCCATAAACTGAAGAGCCAGAAGTAGACGCTAGCAACTAAAAATACTGTCAATGAATGTCACAGATATCCAAAGTAGACAATTCGTTTTCCTTCCAGTGGCTTTCTTGGCAAAAAAAATAAAAATTAAAAAGGAAAAAAATGACTGAGTTAAGAAAACGTTGTAGTGTTTGATGATGATAACTTGCATTTTATAATGCTTTCCAGCTTACAGAATGCTTTCTCATTATTATTTCATTGAATTCTTCTGACTCGCAGAGGTAGGTAAGACAATACTGTGTTATGGTTCAGGACATGCTGCCTCTACCACTTCACTTCCTAGCAGGTGGTCATGTGAGTTAGGGAAGTGCTCTAAGCTTATT
Source organism: Homo sapiens (assembly GCF_000001405.40). Taxonomy (NCBI): domain Eukaryota; kingdom Metazoa; phylum Chordata; class Mammalia; order Primates; family Hominidae; genus Homo; species Homo sapiens. The sequence goes on from NC_000012.12 coordinate 96,246,266, forward strand.
TTCCAAATTTTTAAAATAGGAGTCACAACACCTTCCTTTTAGGATTGCTGTTCAGATTGTATGAGATAAGATATGAATAATCCCATCCACATAGTAAAGGCTTCATAAATGGCAGCTGTTACTATGTTATTACATAGAATAATCCTCACTCGGCCAAGGTTGGGGGATTGCTTGAGTCCAGGAGTTTGAGACCAGCCTGAGCAACCAAGTGAGATGCTGTCTCCACAAAAAATAAAAATGTAAAAATTAGCAGGGTGTGGTGGCATGTACCTGTAGTCCCAGCCACTCAGGAGGTGGAGGCAGGAGGATTGCTTGAGTCCAGGAGGTTGAGGCTGCAGTGAGCCATGTTCGTGCCACTGCACTCCAGCCTGTGCGACAGAGTGAGACCCTGTCTAAGAAATCATCATCATCATCATCATCTTCCTTACTTTACAGACGAGGAAACTCAAAGTGGCACTTAATTTGCCAAAGATCACAAAGATCTAGTAATGGCAGAACTGGAATGCACATCTAATTCTACTTCCAACTTCATTCCTCCTTCCACTTTTCCTTAGCCAAGAATGTAAATCAGGAACATTTTGGTGCTTCTGCCAGCGACATTTACCATTATCATGAGCTCTTACATGGTTTCTCGGGTGCACTCAGATTTTCAACGTCTACTTTTGTATTTGCAGAACATCATCAAGAAGGTGATCGGGCAGAAGTTTGTGTACAAGTTTGTCTCTTTCCCGGAGATCCTGAAGATGGATCCTCACGCGGTGGAGATCAGCCGGGAGAGCCTTCTGCTGCAGGACAGCGACTGCAAGGCGTCTCCGGAGGGCCGCGAGGCCCACAAACACGGCCTGGCCGCCCTCAGAAGCACGAGCCGCAACGAATACATCCACTCAGGCCTGTACTCGTCCTTCACCATTAATTCCCTGCAGAACCCACCAGACGCCTTCAAGGCCATCAAGACGGAGAAGCTGGAGGAGCCGCCCGAAGACAGCCCCCCCGTGGAAGAAGTCAGGACTGTGATCAGGTTTGTGACCAATAAAACCGACAAGCACGTCACCAGGCCGGTGGTGTCCCTGCCTTCCACGTCAGAGGCTGCGGCGGCGTCCGCCTTCCTGGCCTCGTCCGTCTCGGCCAAGATCTCCTCTTTAATGTTGCCAAACGCTGCCAGTATTTCATCCGCCTCACCCTTCTCATCTCGGTCCCCGTCCCTGTCCCCCAACTCACCCCTCCCTTCTGAACACAGAAGCCTCTTCCTGGAGGCCGCCTGCCATGACTCCGATTCCCTGGAGCCCTTGAACCTGTCATCGGGCTCCAAGACCAAGTCTCCATCTCTTCCCCCAAAGGCCAAAAAACCCAAAGGCTTGGAAATCTCAGCGCCCCCGCTGGTGCTCTCCGGCACCGACATCGGCTCCATCGCCCTCAACAGCCCAGCCCTCCCCTCGGGATCCCTCACCCCAGCCTTCTTCACCGCACAGGTAAGAGTCATTCCTGTCATCTAAGCCACAGCCAGCTTCAGTGGCTTAGCAAAAAAGGAAGAGCAACTAAAGAGACTTCCTTCTGTCCCTCAAAACGTTGTCCTATGACTCGTACCGAGGTCACTGTGTAAATGTGAAGGGAAGCTGCTTTTCCATCCTCAGACCAAGGGGTGCACATGAGACAGGGTTTGGTTTGTCGACTCTAGTGGGATGCTTGATTGGTTTCTTGCTTTTAGCGGCCTAAAGTGACCATAGGTGGAACACGCACACTGGCCGACAAAGCAGATCTCACCAGCGATTTCCAAGGGAAAGTTGAGCGGGCCAGTTTACATTTCGGGAGGCGCTTGGGCTTTATGAAATTTTTATGGCAGAATCTTCTCTGGGGGCGCTTAATAAGGAGCCACTTGTGTTCTGTTAACAAGAAAATAGATGTCAACTGATGCCGCCATCGCATGTCAGTGTGGAGCTGTGGTCATAGCGTAGGTAATAAGAAACAAAGGGGCCACCCCAAACAGCTGCTTCGCTGAAAGCAGCACTACTCTGAGAAAGCCCCAGTCCACAGCACTGGCGAGAGGACAGCAAACTTGCAGAGCCAAAAAAGCCTTCGTTGTTATTAGTCCCAAAGAGAAAGCAGCCTTTTCCTTTAAATCAGATATTCAGATGCTCTTTCTTGTCCAGCTGACAATTGCAGTGCAAAGGCGTAGTAGGTGCTGGGAAACCATATTTCTCCTTCCCCTTGAAAATTGGATGCAATTTTAGTGGCAGAGGTTAAAAGAGTATTCGTTTTAGGTTCACAGACCTGCATTCAGTTCCTGGCTACCCTGCTTCCTAGGAGTGGGACTGTGGGCGGTTGCTCTCTGGGCCAGGTTCCATGTGTGGAAAATGGGACCATGGACAGGCTTTGTGAGCTGGGGACACCTGGTAGCATTGTTAACCGTGGAGCTGCACCCGTCCCCTGCCTCTGTAATCTCATCGTAGTTGTCCCTGTTGTCATTAGCAGCAGCCGCGGCAGCATATGACGGGCTCCCCACGTGTGCCAGGCACTGCTCCAGATGCTTTACATGCATTGCCTGTATCCACACTTACAGCAGCCCTGTCACGTGGATACAGGTTGAGCATCCTGTTTCCAAAATGCTTGTGACCAGAAGCATTTCAGAGTTCAGATGTTTTCAGATTTTGGAATATTTGCATGATACTTGCCAGTTGAATATCCCACATCTGAAAATCTGAAATCCAAAATGTTGCAATGAGCATTTCCTTGGAGTGTCATGTCAGGACTCAGAAAGTTTCAGATTCTGGAGGATTTGGGATTTGGGAATTTTTGGATTTGGGATGCTGAGCCTGTGCTATTATTATCATCCTGTTTCCCAGCTGAGATAAATGAGGCACAGAGGTAAAGTAGTTCGTCCAGGGTCCCACAGCCAATAGGTGGTAGAGGTGGCTTTGGATCCAGTGTCTGCCTCCAGAATCCATGCTCTCAAATGAAATGCATTCCCGCTGCGAGAAGGCAGTGTCCCTGATCACGATGGCCGTCCATGGAGCACCTGAAAGCAGCTCTGGGCCACTGTCCTCTCCACGCTTTCTCTGGACTGGATTCTGCCCAGGATTTCATGACAGCTCAAGCCTGTGAGCTGGTGGTGACGCGCGCCACTGCGGAGGGGGAGGGCCAGGGGATCAGGATATAGGTCAGAGTGAGCACGTGTGCTCTTAAATCAGGCATCTTCCAGTTAAGCAAGGCTGTCCAGTGACCAAGGGCTGCTGAGCAAATGGCTCAGAAACAGCAGCTCCTGATGTAGCTCAGGGGAGTATCTTGAGAGGCAGGGCCAGGGTAGATGATCTGAGCATCTCCTCCCCTGGCCTCCTGTGTGTTTACAACTGTCAGGGTGAGAAAGGTCCGAAGCCAGGCCAGGGCTGACTCTGATTTAGGTGTCTGTGTTCCCTGGGAGCCTGGATCACCTTCTCAGAACAGAGTGAGGCAGATGCCAGCCCTGTCTCAGAGGAAGTCAGCTCAGCCAGCCCTGTGGATAATGTGGATGGAGTGGTGGCTCCCATCGGTGGGGCTGAGGGCGTGAGAGAAGGATCAAGGGTGGATGCCCAACAAATGGATGCAGAGGGCACGACCAGGAGCCAGAAGCCACCAGCATGGCCTGAAACTAGGTGGGAAGGCGTAGGAAAGCCAGGATCTTTACAAGAGGACCTGTGCCTTAGGCAGTGAGGGTGCCTGGTCCTCAGCCAAGCTGTGAGGGTGGGGCTGTGATGATTTAGTGCCAGGAAGCCCAGAAATGGTCCTGAGGGGAGGGAGGCAACAGGCAGCATCTGGACCCAGGGCAGGAGAGTGGAAGTAAAGGGACCTGGCTCAGAGAGGGCCTTCGGGTCAAAGGAGGAGGAGGGGCACCAGGCAGTCCTCTAAACCACGCAAAACTAAGGGGGTCACCAGCTACACTGGGAGATGGTAGAGCCTCGGGACTCAGACCCCACTTTGAACTTCCCTCACATTCCCAGAGTGTGGGCTCTGCTCCTGGCATGGCCATGGGTGGCCAACAGGGAGGGAGAGAAGGGGCAATGAGGGAGACACCAGAGGGGCCCGGGTGGTAGTCAGGGGTGTGGTACTTATTCAGAGTTGAGTTCTTGCAGCCGGTTTCACCCAGGCGGATTCCCTGAGATCAGATAGGATATCTTGAAGCCAGGGGTGGTTTAGGATTAGGGTATGTCAGTGTCAGATTTGGACTCTCAGATTCCCTCCCCTGGGAGCTGCTTCAGGGGGTGCCCCAGAAACTCACCCACCAGCACCAGCTCAGTAGTTTGTCTTCCAGGTGACAGCCAGAAACAGCGTGGCTCTCAACAGCCAGGCATTCTGTGGAATTCCTTTCGGCCTCAGGAGTGAAGGACAACTGTGGGGTTCAGGGTGTTCCACAGGCAGCAGTGAGGCTTCAGTGGTTTTCCTCTTACCTGAGCACTTTGTCACAGAAACTCTCCTTTTCTCTGTGTGTGGGGGGTGTGCTGTGTGCAGTGTGATGCTGTGTGCACATAAACATTTGATAATCTGTGGGCTGTCAGCTTTGCTTAGTGGTGGGCTTTGGAAGAGGTGAAAGCTGTGTGTGCTGTAATAACCCGATACCCTGAAGGTACAAATTCCGAAGGTTGGTTATTTCCAGCTAGAATCATGGCAGGAAGAAGGGGAGAAGTAAGGGAGCCTTGGCATGGCCTGTGTCACGTGGTTACCTTATCACACCTCATACAGGCATCCCTCATTTTACTGTACTTTGCTTTATTACGTTTCACAATTAATTGGTGGTTTTTACAAATCGAAGGTTTGTGGCAACCTGGCGCTGAGCAAGTCTTGTCAGCGCCAGTCTGTTCTTCCAACAGCACACACTCACTCCGTGTTTCAATGTCACATTTTGGTAATTCTCAAACATTTCCAACTTTTTCCTTACTATTATGTCTGTTATAGTGCTCTGAGATCAGCGAGCTTTGATACTACTATTGTCATTGTTTTGGGGCACCATGAACCACACCTGTATAAGACAGCAAACTTGATCAGTGTTGTGTGTGTCCCAACTGCTCTCCTGTGTCAAACTTGATCAGTGTTGTGTGTGTCCCAACTGCTCTCCTGTGTCTCCCTCTCCTTGGGTCTCCCTATTCCCTGAAACACAACAATTTTGAAATTAGGCCAATTGATAACCCTATAGTGGCCTATAAAGTGTTCAAGAGAAAGGAAGAGCTGCGCATCTCTCATTTTAAATCCAAAGCTAGAATGATGACGGTGAAGGCATGTCCAAAACCGAGACAGGCCTAAAGCTAGGGGGCTCTTATACCAGTTAAGTATGTAAATGTAAAGGAAGAGTTCCTGAAGGAAATGAAAGTGCTACGTCAGTGAAAACATGAATGATAAGAAAGTGGGACATCCTGATTGTTGATATGGAGAAAGTTTTAGTGGTCTGGATAGAAGATCAAACCAGCCACAACATTCCTTTCAGGCTAACCCAGAGCAAGGCCCTAACTCTTCAATTCTTTGAATGCTGAGAGAGGCGAAGAAGCTGCAGAAGAAAAGTGTGAAGCTAGCAGAGGTTGGTTCATGAGGTTTAAAGAAAAAAGCCATCTCCATAACATAAAAGTGCAAGGTGAAGCAGCGAGTGCTAATGGAGAAGCTGCAGTAAGCTGTCCAGAAGATCTAGCTACGCTCATTGATGAAGGTGGCTACGTCAAACAGCTTCACTGTAGGTGAAACGGCCTTCTACTGGAAGAAGATGCCATCTAGGACTTTCATAGCTGGAGAAGAGAAGTCCATGCCTGGCTTCAGAGCTTCAAAGGACAGGCTGAGTCTTGTTAGTACAGCTTGTGACTTTAAGTTGAAGCCAGTGCTACTAAATACACTCTGCCTGTGCTCTGTAAATGGAACAACAAAGTCTGGACGACAGCACATCTGTTTTCACAGTTTATGGAATAGTTTAAGCCCAGGTGAGACCTACTACTCAGAAAAAAGATTCCTTTCAAAATATTACTGCTCATTACAGTGCATCTGGTTACCCAAGAGCTCTCATGGAGATATACAAGAAGATTAATATTTTTCATGCCTGCAAATACAACATCCATTCTACAACCCAGAAGTCAAGGAGTAATTTTGACTTTCAAGTCTTATTACTTAATAAATACATTTCATAAAGCTACAGCTGCCATAGATAGTGATTCCTCTGATGGATCTGGGCAAAGTCAATTGAAAACCTTCTGGAAAGGAGTCACCATCCTAGATGCTATTAAGAATATTCATGATTCATGGGAGGAGGTCAAAATATCAACATTAACAGGAGTTTGGAAGAAACTGATTCCAGCCCTCATGGATCACTTTGAAGGGTTCAAGACTTCATTGGAGGAGGGAACTGCAGATGTGGTAGAAATAGCAAGAGAACTAGCATTAGAAGTGGAGCCTGGAGATGCAACCAAATTGCTGCAATTTATTGATCAAACTTGATTGGGTGAGTAGTTGCTTCTCACAGATGAGCAGAGAAAGTGGTTTCTTGAGATAGAATCTACTCCTGTTGAAGACGCTGTGAATATTGTTGAAATGACAACAAAGGACTGAGAATATTACATAACTTTACATTACATTACTTAGTTGATAAAGCAGCGGCAGGGTTTGAGAGGATTGACTCCAATTTTGAAAGAAGTTCTACTCTGGGTAAAATGCTATCAAACAGCATCACATGCCATAGAGAAATCTTTCATGAAAGGAATAATCAATTGGGCCAGGTGCGCTGGCTCACGCCTGTAATCGCAGCACTTTGGGAGGCCAAGGCGGGTGGATCACCTGAGGTCAGGAGTTCAAGACCAGCCTGGCCAACATGGCAAAACCCCGTCTCTACTAAAAGTACAAAAATTAGCCAGGTTTGGTGGCAGATGCCTGTAATCCCACTACTTGGGAGCCTGAGGCAGGAGAATCACTTGAACCTGGGAGGTGGAGGTTGTGATGAGCCGAGATCACGCCACCGCACTCCAGCCTGGACAACAAGAGCGAAACTCGCATCTCACCAAAAAAATAAATAAATAAATAAAAGAGTCAATCAATGTGGCAAACTTCATTATTGTCTTATTTTAAGAAACTGCCACAGCCACCCCAGTCTTCATGACTCTGCCTCCTTGTCCCTGGTTCTGCCCTGCTTCCTCCCCTGTCCCTTTCTGTAGCTACCCTAGGCCCCCATGGGAGTCTCCATTTTGTCTCCTTTTCCGTAGGATCAGTGCTACAGACTTCTGTGGGATTAACTCACCTTTTAAAGACCTTAAAACCATGGTTTCACTTGAATTCAGACAACTTTAGGAGCTTCCAGAGATTCAGTCACCTTTTATTTGAGGACATTTTTTTAACCTCAAGGTGGCATTGTCATGGATTCTGTTGGCATCTGTGGGAGCTTAGGATTACAGATATTTGTGGGTACAACCTGCTAGACATCTTGTTTCTCTCTCCTTTACTTTCTTAGAGACTGAGTGACTTACCGGTATCTCAGATCACCAAATCAAGTGATCAGCAAATACTTCTGCATCTTCTTTAATCAGTCCAGTAACAAATGTTTATCATGTATTCATTCATTTGGGAGATAATCACTGAAAACTAAGCATTCGCTTAGATACCTGGAGATACAGAGGTTAGCAAGATAGAAACCGTTCCTGTTCTCATGAGTTTACAGGTTGCTGTCCAGCATACGGGGCAATATATAACATAGGGTTATAATTTAGGGTGGTGTGAAATTATGGAGGACCCTGAGAACTGGCTAAGGAATTTTGACTTGTTTGGATTGGAAATTAACTGCTAGAGGCTGGGCGCAGTGGCTCACGCCTGTAATCCCAATATTTAGGGAGGCCAAGGGGGCGGATAGCTTGAGGTCAGGAGTTCAAGACCAACCTGGCCAACATGGCCAAACCCCATCTCTACTAAAGATAAGAAAATTAGCTGGGTGTGGTGGTGCATGCCTGTAATCTCAGCTACTCGGGAGGCTGAGGCAGGAGAATCGCTTGAACCCGGGAGGCAGAGGTTACAGTGAGCCAAGATTGTGCCACTGCACCCCAGCCTGGGTGACAGAGTGAGATTCTATCTCAAAGATAAATAAGTAAATAAACAGCTGCTAGAGGTATAAGTGAAAAAAATCTCATTAGAATCAACAAATAATTATTGAGCAATAACAGAGCCTAGAAAGGACACCAAAACTACAGTTGCTTGTTTTTATGACCTTAGGACCTAGCCATGACAACAAGGCATTACAAGTGCACACACACACACAATAGCCCTTGGCAAGAGTCAAACATGCAGCACAGAGAAGCGCTTTAGGAGCTGAGGGGCAAGATCGTTTAGTTCAGGTCAACACACATGAACTGAGTGCCCATCATGTGAAAGCTGCTGTGTTTGGAGCTGGGGCTACAAACGTGGATAAAATAGTCTCTGATAGTTAGGAGCTCATAACTTAAGTCCCTTCATCTAGTATCTCAGGTGCAATACAAAAGGAATACTAAGTTGCAAAAGGAATCCTAAGGAGGAAGGTATTAACTTTGCCTGAGATGGAGGAAGAATGTCCAGAGGGCTTCCTGGAGGGGGTGAGACCACTGGTACAGGGTGTTGAAGGATCAGCCTGTGGCAGGGTAGACAGGGAGAGGAAGGCATCGTCGGCAGAGGAACAGCTTGAGGCAAGGCATAGATACGTGAAATAGCTTTGTGATTAGGGGAGGTATAGCAATAGGAAGCATTGAAGGGGTATGAGTGACAGTCTGAATTGTTTTAGGAATCACCCTGCTGGCGAGATTGGGAAGGGGGAAGGCTGGATCCAAGTAGGATGCTATTGGAATATTCCAGGCGAAAGACCATGAGTATCTAAGGCTGTATGGTGGGAGGGGTCAGAGGGATGGATCTGATGTTGGGAGTGCCGTCAGCAGGAGTTGGTGACTGACTGGGTGGGAGGAGTGGGGAGAGCCAGAATTGAGTGTGAGGAACATGGGAGGAAGACTAAGCTCCCTGGGAAAAGGCTAAACGTCCAGTCGGGGCCATGCTGAGTTTGAGGACCCTGCAGGAAATTCGGGTGGAAAAGTCCAGCTGCATCTGGAGAGCGGAGAGTGTTTTGGAGCCGGAGAGGAAGTTAGGCAGTCATCAACACGCAAGGGGTGGTGAAACCATGGGAACGGATGAGGTCACTTGTGGAGAGGGCCTGTAGCCCAGGGAACTATGGGCTGGGCTGGGTGGTCAGGGAAGTTCTGAGGGAGCGTTGAAGGACTGTTGGGTTAGAATGCCTGTTCCTCCGTGCATATGAGGAAAGCTCAGGACACATCAAAGCAAGTAAGAGGGTTTGGGGAGGGAAGTGTCTACGAAGAGTCAAACTCTGTAAAATATTTGAAGAGATTTATTCTGAGCCAAATATGAGTGACCATGGCCTGTGACACAGTCCACAGGAGGTCCTGAGAACATGTGCCCCAGGTGGTCGGGGTACAGTTTGGTTTTATATATTTTAGGGAGGCATGAGACGTCATGAAATTGCCAGGCAACTTCAAGGTATGGCAAGGAAATATATTTTGGGGTTAAATATTTTTTCCTCGTTCCATAATGTTACTCCAGAGTCAGATTGAAAAGTAAGTCACCATATATAGGGTCAAATAAAACCCATCTGATGAGAATTTACGGTTTGTAGGGCATGACTCCCTAGACCCCTAGGTAGGAATTTGGGCAAGATAAAAAATGAGAGCTTAGTCCTCAGAAGTTAGCAAGTGTGTGAACCCAGATTATGGGGAACCTCAAATCTGGGGCTAAGGAGGACATCACATCCTTTCTGAAATGGTGACTGAATGTTGAGTGAACTCAGTGTTTGAGGGTGGTTGATTTGGCGATGGGGTACAGAATAGATGGGGAGACCGGAGGCAGGTGGACTGGCCTGGGCAGCTGTTGTGGAATGCCATCTGTAAGGTGATAGGGGCTTGGATGCAGCAGGAATGGAAATGAGGGATAAACAGGAGACTGAGTTGTGGGACTCCTCCAGAGGCTATGTCCGGAGCTTGCAGTTATCGGAAGGCATTTTGCATGGTGGGGCCTGGGATGCGGGTGGTAAATGGGGCTGTGCATGCAGGGTTTATGTCTTGTTTTATCCTCATCTGTGGCACCTGAAACATAGTTTGCACTCTCGGTCAGTATTTATTGAGGCAGTGCCTACACGGTGGTCCTGTTGACAGAAGGGGAAGAGTCTTAAGAAACACTGATGTGGAAAGGTGCTGAGCTTCATGAAGTTGGAGCATGGTGGGGCATCCAAGTGGAGATGCCCAACAAGCGATAAGCCAGGGGGGACCCAGCTAGAGCTGCAGATGGCTTCAGTTCATTGGTATTTAGGAGATGAAAGTACAGGAGGAATAAAGATGAGCAGATACCTTAAAGGCTACAGAAAGAATAAGAAAAATGTGCCAATCACCATAATAGGAGGCAGAACATGTTAAATGTTAAGAAAAAAATGGTCACAAAGTGTTACAAAGATTCAGAAATAAGAAATCCCATCTGGTTGAGGGGAGATCAGGAAAGTGTCCTTGGAGGAGGTGGCATTTTGATGGGCAGAGGAAGGCAAGAGGAGGAGGCAGCGGGCCGGGGCAGGGGTGCACAGGTGGGCATGCCTGGATGCCAGCTCACCCTGGCGAGCTCAGATGTGCAGGCTTTTTAGGAGACTCTATGAAGTGGAAGTGGAAGATGAACTGAGTGGGGAAAATGAAAAGGGGATCTTGGGATGAGGGTCTTACTCTTTGCAAATGCATTGCCTGTGGCATCTCCTTTCCCAGCAGCCGTGGGATCAGGAGCTCCTTATCTGCCATGCTTGTTAAAACGAGACTGTCTTTGGGGAAGGAAAGAAAACAGCACTTTTTGCTGTGGCTTCTTTAGCCCTTGGCCCTCAGGCTCAGCCCACTCTGCCTGACTCCAGGAGCGTGTGGAGAGAGGCTGTGAAGTCTCACACTGTCCCGGAGATAACCCAGAGCAGGTGTTATAGGAACTTTCCTTAAAAAAGCAACCACATGGTTCTTTAAGGCCACAGGATTTTCAGGGAGAACTTCAGGGATAGAAGGGAGAGGAGGGAATGAAATCATTTTACAGTGTTTATTTGCATATATTATAGAAGACATTTCAGACATATTAAAGATGAGAAACAAGAAGGCTACAGTAGTCTGAGTACATCCTGTATTCCTAAGAAACAAATGTGCAAACATCTCAAATCCAGACATGGGTATACGTTTTAGACCAGAGAAATAGAAATTCTAGACCTTGTACATTGCTTAGAGGATTAAAAAGGAATGGGCATATGATGGCCATGGAGGAGAGAAGGATAGCTGTGTTTTGTGGTTTAGAAGATTGTCTCTTTAAAGCTTTGAGAGCCTTCATTGATGGATAAACTAGGAGGCCTTGAACACACTGGTTATTAAATGTTAATGTGACATATTGAGGTTGGAACCTTGCTCCAGAGTAACATGCAAATATTAGTTTTCAGAACACCTGAGCTTGTGGCCTTGAGCCTAACACAACTGACAGTAGCCTCCAAGTCCAGGCTGACTCAGTTGAGTTGGTCTGTTTCAGAGGATTAAGTCCTTCTCTGTATACAGTTGAGAATTTCTCCCTCACATAGATGAAGTACGTTTAGTAAGTATGTCATGTATACTTTCAATTAATTACCAATCCATTTATTCATTCAAAAACATGTATGAAGTACCTAGCCAGATAACTGCCTCTGGCACTTGTTGAGCATTTCTATATGCCAGGCACATATCTTATAAGAGCTTGCAGTAGATCAGCTTATTTAATCTTCCCAACAACCCTGTAACGTGGGCATTTTTATTCTCCCCATTTTACAGATGAGGCAACTGAGACAGAGAGAGGTTAGGTGGCTTGCCTGAGGTTACCTGGCTGGGAAGTAGTGGTTCTGAGATTGGAACCCTGGCAGAGCTCATGCTGAGCCGTGAAGTTTTAACTGTTAGGCCAGATGGCCTGGCATGCTTGTGAAATTGCCTTGGACTAGAACAAATGGGAAGCTTATTCAAAACATGTATTTATTCTAGTAACCTCATAGGTCATTCAGTATGTAGGAAATGCCATGGAACCAACGACTCAAATAATTTGGTATAAATGTGTTTACATTTCAGCAGCTTCACAGTTTGAGGAACTTTGGATGTTTGTCTCCATTCTGCTGAACAGAGCAGACCTTTCAATTTAGGTTTAAGCCAAATGCTGTTGGTAATTAATGATGCTACGGAGGCCAATTCTAGGAAAAAATAACACTTTAGCATCCAGCATGGTGCAGTCTGAAAGGCTGGCGCCTTTGCTGTGGTTCTTCTTACACAAAGCACCTTATTGACATCACAAAACCACTGAGGGACTCCTTCTAGTCACCAAAGGTACAAAACCACCCTGGGCCGGGGAGTTTGTCTCCACTGAGAATAAAAGCCATGCAGACTTAGCAGCTGGGCGGGTGTTTCTTCTGCCCTCCTGCTGGCTTGCAGGCCAGGACTCCTGCTGTGTGTGTGCAAGAAATTCAGTCCTTGGAACTCCCCTGGGAAACCCAGGGTTTTGGCTTTATACCCAATCTGACAAGAAAGGGCCCTCCCTGCCCCCACCCAAACCATTGCCAGGGCAATGAATTCTCATCAACTCCACATCCGGAAGGAATCTGGAAAACCCGGCTCAGAGCTTCTGAAGAGGCTGCTACAGGGTATTTTAACAGCAAATCCCAAAGCCTTAACAGCTGTTGATATGGAGACCATTTAAAAACGTGTGTTCGTAACCCAAGTAATAGATGTCCACTGTAGAAACACAGGAAAATATAGATAAGAAGAATTAAAGCCCCTTTATGGGATCCTATTTTGTTTGTATACTAATCCTTGTTTAATCTGGGAAGGGGAACAAGTTAACAAACCATTCGGACGAAAGTTGATACAAACTTGAATTTTCCACCAGAATGTTTAGGGAAGGTAATGTGTCAATACCTTTTTCCTTTATGAAAAAAGTGTTAATAAAATTAGCATTGAAGAAAACTAGCCAGCCAGGTATGGTGGCTCACGCCTGTAATCCCAGCACTTTGGGAGGCTGAGGTGGGCAGATCACTTGAGGTCAGGAGTTCGAGACCAGCCTGGCCAACGTAATGAAACCCCTTCTCTACTAAAAATACAAAAATTAGTCGGTGGTGGGTGCCTGTAATCCCAGCTGCTTGGGAGGCTGAGGCAGGAGAATCGCTTAAACCCAGGAAGTGGAGGTTATAGTGAACCAAGATCGCGCCATTGCACTCCAGCCTGGGTGACAGAGCGAGACTGTCTCCAAAAGAAAAGAAAATTAAAATTAAACTGTTCACAGCCCCTCAGAATTAACGTTGCCAGTTTTCCTGAGATGGTAAGGTCGTTTCCTGGCCCATGCCTAGCCTACCTAACCTCTCTCTGCTGCTCTGTTGATCATGGCCCAAGTCAGGTGAACCTATATGAAGAAGTCTGTTTGCTTTACTTCCCAGACACCAAATGGATTGCTTCTGACTCCGAGTCCACTGCTCTCCAGCATACATTTCTGGAGCAGCCTTAGTCCAGTTGCTCCGCTGAGTCCTGCCAGGCTGCAAGGGCCAAGCACGCTGTTCCAGGTGAGCGTTTGGAAATGAACTTTTGAACATTAAGCTTCTGAGGGATGGTTTTTTCTCTAAATCCTGCAGAGGTAACGGTGAGTTTTGCCATATGTTGAGTTGAAATATTAAATGTCCAGAGGGGGTTCATGTTAGTGGGGTTGCACGCCCTTCAGAGGCAGACATTTTCATTGAGGCAGAAATTGCAGACTCATGCCAGACACCCATACGTGGAACAATTAGTTCTTAAAGTGTTTTGCATATTTTCATTTGTCTATGAAAACAGGAAATTTATTAAGGAAAAGGCAAAACTTTAAGAATTATTCTTTAGGCCAGTGTGATGGCTCACACCTGTAATCCCAGCACTTTGGGAGGTTGAGGGTGGGAGGATTGTTTGAGCCCAGGAGTTTGAGACCAGCCTGGGCAACACAGCAAGACCCCATCTATATTTAAAATAAAATGAAAATAAATATTATTATTTATAAAAGTCCACAAAAGACTTTAAAATATTAATCCTCCTAGTTAATGTAGCAACTTGTTTGACATAAAGTGAAAATAAAAATAGTGAACAATTTCCCCATCCTGGGATAGAAAAATTACTTGCATCATTTTATGAATCATCATTAAGTTCTCCTTGTTCTGTAATGAAAAAGGAGAATCCAGGGCATTTGGTTAAAAAATAATGAAGACTTAGCTGCTTTATCTTATAGAACTCTCCATACTAGGCGAGCACCTTCATTATTCATTCACACACCAGAATCTTGCAGGACCGTCACTTGCTATCATGGAGAAATCAGTATTTCCTCCTTGAGACCCATAGATCATTACTCACTGATTAAGGTGTTACTGTTTGAATATGTTGAGTGCAGGTGGAAAGAATCCTAGGGACAGGACTGAAGAAAAGGTGGACCCAGTGCAAACTCCCTCTTTCCCAAATTCTAGCTTTTCTCATCGTCCCTGCCTGTATCCTGTGCCCCACAGTGTGGCTTACCCCAAGTTAGTTGCAGCTCTTTGGATACCATTTCATCTAGCACGTGGCACTTTGTATTATGATTGCCTGTTGATCTGGCAATCTTTCTCACTAAACTATGGGCCCTCGAGACCAGAATGGAATCCTGTTCACTGTGGTGTCCCCAGCATCTGGCACATGGCTTGGTACACAAGTGAGGCTCAGTAATAATTGACTGTCTAAATGAATTCACAAAGAGAAGTCTGAGAAAGGCCAGTATTAATAGCAAGTCTTCATGATCATCTGAGCTGGTCATTTTGCTTGTCAAGGTTAATGTCTGCTGAGTACCTCCTCTGTGCCAGGAGCTGTACATGCTGGGATTCAGGGTCTCTTTGTAAGGGTGGAGCTAAAGAGGTTTTGATTGCCATCTTGCTTCTTTGGTTTCCTAGTGGAGTTAGGGTAGGGTGTCATGAAGTGACCATATCCTTGGAGTAATTGGGTTTCTATCTCTTTCACAGCCCTTATTCCCATCACAACAACTTGAGCTATAGTCATGTTGATTTTTAACAATTTCAGCTTGGGTAGGAAAAGAGAAACTAGAAATAGCAAAAAGCAATGAGCAAATGTTGTATTAGGAAAGTTTAAAATTAGGAATACTAATCTTTTGGTGGAGAGATAAAAACACCTCATTTCCTGAAAGTCTTAAGATTAGAGCAGCAGAATTCTAAAATTAATAGAATAGAAAGAAATTGTTTGGTTACAGTAAACTCCATGGCAGTAGGGATTGTTATACTACTCTAATCCTAGAATCTAACACAGAGCTTCTGTAGAGTTCAGTAGGTATTTGTGAATAATAAGTGGCCTCTCATTTCTCTCCTTACTGGGAATTCTGCCACCTGATTGGTGCAGGCCTTGGCAACCTCCTAGGAAAGCAATGGAGCACTATTGGCTGGGGGTTCTTTGGGATTCCTTGTCTTAGATACCTTTTCCAGCCCAACACTCCCAACAGGAAATGATGGTTCATGTCTACAGTGATTCGACACGTTATCAGGATCTCTGGGAGTTGGGATACGTGCATCCGCTCGTTTCTTCAGTCCTCAGTCACTACTGTAGACCAATGGTTCTCAAAGTTAGCATGCAAAATAATCTCCTAGAGGGTGAGTTAAAATAAAGATTGCAGGGCCCCACTCCCAGAGTTTCTGACTCAGTAGGTCTGGGATAGGGCCTGATAAAAACTTTTTTTTTTTTTTTTTTTGAGACAGAGTCTCACTCTGTTGCCCAGGCTGGAGTGCAGTGGTGTGATCTCTGCTCACTGCAATTTCCACCTCCTGGGTCCAAGTGATTCTCTTGCTTCAGCATCCCAAATAGCTAGGACTACAGGCGTGTACCACCACACACAGTTAATTTTTGTATTTTTAGTAGAGATGGAGTTTTGCCATGTTGGCCAGGCTGGTCCCAAACTCCTGACCTCAAGTGACCTGCCTGCCTTGGTCTCCCAAATTGCTGCGATTACAGGTGTAAGCCACCGTGCCTGGCCCAAAAACATTTTTGTCATGTTCCTAGTGATACTACCCAGTCTAGGAACCAATTTGAGAAGCACTGCAGACCAGAGGTTCCTAGTTTATATTTAGAATTCTGCATCAGAAATTACTGCATTTAAAGGCTACCTGCTTAGAGTTTTAATTTCACCAAGTGGACCTGTTCTCTTTCCTGAAGCCATTCAGAATACAACCCTTGAAAAAAAAGACAAGCTGGTATTCCGGATGGCTGACAGGTTGTATGGCCTTGGGCTCTCTTTTTGTGGCTGGATCCAGGAGACTAAGGAAAAACAATTTTTTGCCTTTTAAAATATTATTAGTCTTCCTGTGAAAAGAGCAACTGAGTATGGCAAAAGTTGAAAATAGCAATTTTGAGAACGGTAAACAACAAAATATGGTAGAGGAATAACTTTCTGATTTTTAAAACTAGATGTTACAATTGATACATATTCAGAATTCAGATTACTATCAGCAGTGCCTCTTATTTTTTTAAGAACTTTTTTTTTTTTTTAAATTTAGAGACGGGGTCTCATTATGTTGTCCAGGCTGGTCTTGAACTCCTGGGTTCAAGTAGTCCTCCACTTCAGCCTCTGGAGTAGCTGGGACTACAGGCATACCACCACGCTGGCCAACATCCCTTTTAAACTGATGAAAATAATTTTCTTTCAAAATAACAACAAACCTCTTTCATGTACGCTATAGATGTAATGAAGGAAGAAAAAAATAGATTTGGCTTACACATTTTAAATGATGCTGGCAAGTTTCCTATTACCATGATTGGAAAGGTTGATCAGAATCCTTGGGGTAATAGTTGAACAGCTGAAGCATTTTTGTACAGAAGGGCCCCTAATATGATTACTATAGCAGGTTATAGCAGATATGAAAGAATTCCAAGGAAGGAGAGAGAAGACGCCTTTCTGGAAGAGGTATGCTTTAAAATTGAGAAATGTTTAGGTAAGGAGAGAGGCACCGAAGACATTGTGCTAAATGTAAACAAAGAACCTTGATTTATATAAATAAAGTGAACTCGGTTTTTCTTGGACAGTTTATTATTTTCTTCTTGTCTAAGGATGTCTGTTCCATGACTTTTGAAACAGATTTTGTTCCAATGTGGAATATACCTAGTAGGAATAGGTATGTCTTGAAACAAGGTAGAGCTAATTAAGTTTTCAATTAAGAATGTGTGCTGTAATTTTTAGTTCAACAAATCTAACCCCAGCAAATATTTGCAATGCTCTGCGACAAGGACTGTAGGGACAGAGAATATGTGAATAGTGGATGAGTAAACAAACTGCTGCAGAAAGTAAGGGGCAGACGCGCTTTTTCCAGCTGGCCACTGGACAGGCTCCAAGGAAGCAGTGGCGCCTCAGCTGGGAGGAAGGGACAGGATTTCGATCGAGTACATTTAGATGAATAGAGCCGAATGACGGGGACGTGAGAGTCTGTTCAGGAAGGGACCAGGTGATAGGAGATAAGGTTGGAAACGCAGCTGTGGGCCTTGAATATAGGCTTAGGAATTTCTCTCTTTATCTGTTAAATGTTTACGCTTTTTAAGCTGGAGGTAGGAGGATGAGATCTCTGTTTTAGAGAACAATCACTGATATTAGTGTGGAGGAAGAACTGAAGAGAAAGTGGAAGGAACAGGAAGATAAGAGGAAATTTTTATTTTTATTTTTTGAGATGAGCTCGCTGTGCTGCCCAGGCTGGAGTGCGGTGGCACAATCTCGGCTCACTGCAACCTCTGCCTCCTGGGCTCAAGCGATCCTCCCACCTCAGCCTCTCAAGTAGCTGGGACTACAACTACAGGCATATGCCACCAAGCCTGGCTAAGTTTTGAAATTTTTTTGTAGAAACGAGGTCTCACTATATTGCTCAGGCTGGTTTTGAACTCCTGGGCTCGAGCAGTCCTCCTGCTTTAGCTTCCTAGGAAGGGCTAGGATTACAGGTGTCAACGACCATACCTGGCTAGAGGAAATGATACTACAAATATTGAAGGGAGAATCATCTTTGAGATTAAAACAGTGGACACAGGATATAATTAGAAGACATTTTAGAGGTGAGCTCAAGAGAGGCAGACTTTGAGCTGGGTCTGAGGGGTAAAGTAGGTATTGAAAATTAAGTAGAAGCAAAGATTACTAAGTGATTAACATACTGGAAATGCTACTAAATAACAATAGTTAAGGCCGGGCATGGTGGTTCATGCCTGTAATCCCAGCACTTTGGGAGGGTGACATGGGTGGATCACTTGAGCCCAAGAGTTCGAGACCATCAGGGGCAACATAGCAAGACCCTGTCTCTCCAAAAAAAATACAAAAATTGGCCACGTGTGCTGGCGTGTGCCTGTGGTCCCAACTACTAGGGAGGCTGAGGTGGCAGCACTGCTTGAGCCCTGGAGGTTGAGGCTGTAGTGAGCCATGAGCATGCCACTGCACTCAAACCTGGGCGACAGAGTGATCCTGTCTGAAAAAATAAAGATAAAACATAACAATAGTTAACATTTATTGATGATTGATGACTTATTGTGTGCAAGACGTTGTTCTTAGCACTTTTGGTGGCTTCTCATTTAATACTCCCAGTAATTCTATTTTAGAGATAAGAAACTAAGGCACAGGGATATTGGCTAGTTTATTCAAGATAACACACTCGTAAGTGGTGGAGCCCTGACTCAAGTTTTAAGTTTGTGGTCCCAGCCACCATTCTCACTGACTTGGAGTAAGCAATGGAAGAAGGGCGAGTTTTGTGGGAAAGAGGCATTGGTTGGAGATGTCTAAAATGGAAATGGTTGTCAAGTCCAAGCATGGTACTGGAGAAAAGGTGGCTGGGGACAAAAGTTTGGGAAACGTTGCAGTTTAAAATAGGGGAGTGTCATGGGAGAAGAGCCTAATAAAGATGACTAAAAAAATGTTAGAAAAGCCAGGCTAATCAAGAGAAACTATGTCCATTGAGTATACAGAAATAATAAGGGCAGAAATCAGTAATTTATTTTGCAAAACAGATGAATACCAAAACTGATTCTCTTGAAAACACCAATAAGGTACACCAAAGAGAGAGAAGATGCAAATAAACAAAAAGAATGAAAATGCAGGCTGGGCACAGTGGCTGACATCTGCAATCCCAGCACTTTGGGAGGCTGAGGCAGGCCAGTTGCTTGAGCTCAGGAGTTCCAGACCAGCCTGGGCAACATGGTGAAACCTCGTATTTACCAAACATACAAAAATTAGCTAGGCATGGTGGCATCCACCTGTAGTCCCAGCTACTTAGGAGGCTGAAGTGGGAGGATGGCTGGGAGGTGGAGGTTGCAGTGAGCCAATATTGCATCACTATGCTCCAGCCTGGGTGACAGAGCCAGACCCTATCTCTAAATAAAATAAATAAATAAATGAAAATTTAAAATCTGTTCATCTTCCCATGTTCACTCTAACTCAATGGGAAGAGTGGTTAGTAGCACGGACCTTTTAAACAAGAGTATAAACTATATGTGCATAGATTTGATAATGCAGTTGAAGTGAATACAATTCTAGAAAAAGTTAAAATTCTAAAGTTCCAGAAAAGAAACAAAAACCTTGAATATGCCAATAATCATTAAAGAAATTAAAACAGTAATTAAAGATACCCCCTAACTCCTACCAAAATAAAAAGTTGTAAAATGTTGGTACAGAAAGATTTGTTTAAAACTTGGCTGTGTTGCTTATTAGCTGTGTGACCTTTAGCCAACAGAACTTATTTGAAATCTGTTTTCTCATCTGTAAAATGGGGACAACAAAACTTACGTTACAGCTCCTAGGTATCAAATGAAATGACAAGCCTTGATAAACTCTAAGGTACTAGACACAAGTTACTGAAATTGTTTGAAAATTGCAAAAACATATTTACTTAAATATAAGTATTTGTTGTACTTCTAACATGTGTCAGGCTCTGTAATTTGATATTTGGCGCTGAAGTTTAACTTTCCTGGACTAAATAGGAAATAAGCTAGAAAAGACAGCCCAGGAGATCTTTTTGACACATCATCCTCAACAACGAAAATCTAGTTGCAAGTAGTCACATATTAAAAGGCCTTGTTCAGTTGGGATTGCAACTAACATATTTGTTTCAGACCTGAAACTCATTATCAGAGCATATACTGTCATCCTACTATATTTATCATCTTAGTGAACAACAATACAGAAATCTTATTCTTTGTCACTTATGAGTGATCTGTGTGATATTTTAATTAGAATACTTTCTTAGCTCCAAAATAATCTATTCTAAATCTTTAAATACATTTCTTACTTTAGAATAAATGCTGCAAGAATCATCTTTGTAGTACCCTGAAAAACTGATGGCAAATTTCAAAATATAGTATTAGAAATTACTGACTCACATGTAAAGAGTCTATGGTTTTCAAAACACTCTTTTAATATTTAATATTAAACATTATTTTAATATTTATAGCATTATCAGCATCCTGAGTAGCTTAGAACTTTTAAAAAATAGTGTTAGAAGATGCTTTAGCAACATATAAATTATATATTTTTTCCTAGTAGCCTATGCATATAGAATAATTAGGGACATTTTCTGGGCCTTATCCTTTGTTTGCTCTATGTAAATCTTGATCTCATTGTCATCTTCCAATTATTCTGTAAAATACATTGGCAACTAATCTCTATCACAGGGGTGATGAGAGAAATGGACTGCTATGGACTGTATGGGAATGTAAAGAACCTAAGTTCTTCCCAATGGATTTGCAATAATTATTGTAAAAATCTTTTGTCCCCTACAGTTCCCCACACTGCTTAATGGCCACATGCCAGTGCCAATCCCCAGTCTGGACAGAGCTGCTTCTCCAGTACTGCTTTCTTCAAACTCTCAGAAATCCTGATGACGTCTGGCCACAATTAAGGACTCATTAACTGATGAAACAAATTTGTCCCCACGGGCTAGTTTACCTGTGTCGTGAGAAGGACATTGTGAAACTCTTGTTAATTTGGTTTGCACTTTTCATAACATGGATAGTCTAGATTTATGTTAGCATTTTAAAAACTGTTTTTGATATATTCAAGTATATATGAAAATCTGTTTGGCATTAAGTGAATTTTAATGTTTTTGTTTTTATATCCTTTTAGCTCTTAAGTGTTGAACACTGTTGACAGTGAAGAACTTTTCTTAATGGTTTTCAGTATAACTAATAAGGATGTGAAGCTTTTTTCTCTTTAGTTCTGAGTATGCTAAACTGTGTGCTTATATAGACTATAACCAGTTGTGCCTTCCTTCGCATTTAATGTAAATGAATGATTTATATATTTTTTAGTATTAAGAGGAAATGTTTGAAAGATGAAAATTAGTATCAAACAGCTCTCTAGTAGAATTTCATTATTTTTCACCAGTGGGCAATATGAAAGCATATATCACGTTTTGTTTTACTTTCAATTGTATAAGAATTGCCTTAGAACCTCTTTTGAACTGAAATTCAGTAAATGTCCAAGTAATGTTTTTATAATAAACTAAGCCATATTTAGACAATAAACATTGATAAAAGAAAATGTTCTAAAGTACATTTTCAAAAGAATGGACCTTGAAAGGCTAGCCTCCTTAGCTGTTTACAGTATCTTATCTTTTAGATGCCTCCCAGACAAAAATCTGAGATGGAAAAGCTACATCAAGTTCATGCTATTCCAGGCCCAAGAATATCTCCTAGGTTAGCATATTCTTATTTCAAAAAATTAGCCCTGGTTTTCTCAGTTTTCCATAGGGAATCCCGACCATCTGATATATTTACTGTGTCAGTATAAGTAAGTTGGGGTTCCCCTGGAACTATAATTAACATTTAAAAAATCTAATGCTTTAGAAGAAGCTCACAGAGTGGTGATGAACCCAAACAACAAAGAAACCATTTTTAACACTAGGTATCTTCATCAGTATAGGTAGGTGTTCACAATTTTTGATGGATCAAAAACTTGCTGTAATACAAATAGAGAGTGGAGGTACTAAAGGCCTTGCTTGTGGAAACTGAGAGAGGATACACTGCTTTATGTATTACTAAAGTTAGGGGAGAATGAAGGAAATCTGACAGATGAAAAATTCTACAGGAACCTCATCATCGTGGAACTGAACTGATGATAACTTGGAACACTCCAGTAAATTCTGTTGTGTAATGTAATTTGGAGCAGTGATAATACAGACATATTTTCTGTTCCATCAGAAAATCAGCAGGCACCAGTCCAAAGGTACCACACCTGTACATGAAGAAGGAAAGTTCTAATACAAGAAAACTGAAAAGCACCAAGCTTTAAATTCAAGATTAATTACAATCCTTAACTATAAGTGATGATAAAAACTAACTTGAAATGTGACTAAATAACTGATCCAAACTGGGCATTAAGTGGCAGGATTATGAGAAAGGATAAAAAAAGAGATTTGAGAAAACACATTTCTTGAATTTTCAGAAAAAAATCTAGACTATTGCTTTGACACTTAGAAATTCTGAGGTTTTTCAATTGGAATTGAGCATCTCTGTATGTGGGGATGTGGGCCCTTATCAAGGGATAAAAATCCAAACACTCTAACATGCCTCCTTGACTGTAAAGTAATGACACTGGTTCCAAAATTCACAAATAATAGACACTACTGTCCCCCCACCCCCACCCCATAGGCTAAGAATAATTCTGTACCAGAATAAAAGGAGCTGGTCCAGGGAACTGATATTTACTGAACATACAAAGTTAGTGCTAGAAGGGGCCTTTGAGAATGCTTCCCGCCACCTGTTTCCAGCTCAAGACAGGTGCACAGCAGAAGCTGGGAGTTGCCTATGGCTGCACAGCTCACTGAAGGTAGAACAATGATTGGTGCTCAGTCCAATTCTGTCTCCCCCATGCCTAGCTGTTAAGTAATTACTGGTTCAAAACTACGTGTTATTAGTAAAACAAACAAAACAGATAAAGACAGCATTTAAAACTGTGTTGTCAGATAAGAGAACACATCCAAAATGCATGATTCTTACAAACTAAAGGAAGTTAATGTGCAAAAATCTCAACCAAAACTACTATTTTTAGTATACTTGTTTACGTAAATGCTGATTGGAAATATTTAAATGACTATAGATCTGATTCTTTCTTTTCCTTTGGAAACTGGGATTAATGTATGCTCTAGATCCATTTATTAGAAATGCAAAAATACTACAATTTTTTGATGGATGAAAATACTCCTGTAACACAAACAGAGAACTGGAGGAACTGAAGAATAACTCACTCATATAGCTCTGCCTCATTCTGTGTGTGTGTGCATGTGTGTGTTAGCAGAGGTATTTTACTCAGAAAATAGGTTTCAAAGAACATTAATGACTTTCTTTTCCCTTTTATGTCTGCTTAATCAGTGTTAAACTGCTATGGGAAAAGTTTTATAGAACTATATAACCTGAATGTTGGTCTCTTTGTACACATCTTTTCTATGACTGCAAATCTTCACTTTATGTATCATTTTTACTGTCATATTATTTTTGTTCAATAAAAACTTTGTGATAAAAGGTGTTTAGAGGTAACTGGATTGGCTTACTTCCATTTGCTTGGGGTGACCCAAACCACTTTTCCATATGGATACAAGTTGGAAAATGAGTCTTGTCACCTACCCTTAAAGACAGCACATCCAAAAAAAAAGTGCTTTACATACACATATTTTAAGAAATAAATGTAATTATTGAGGCTGACTTGTGGGAGAATGGAATGGATTGAAAAGCAGACCCCTGATCTTATTTAAGTTCTATCAACTGCTCTGTATTGA
The DNA here is from genome assembly GCF_000001405.40 of Homo sapiens. Classification (NCBI taxonomy): domain Eukaryota; kingdom Metazoa; phylum Chordata; class Mammalia; order Primates; family Hominidae; genus Homo; species Homo sapiens. Next base: position 96,270,075 of record NC_000012.12, read on the forward strand.
GGAGGAGGAGGAAGTGAGAAGGTAGGGGAAAATCAAATCTACCATTTATTCTTTTAGCCATTTTGTTGATTCAGGGGAATGTGAACTGCTAGGCTTGGTGATAAAGGTTATTATTTCTCTTGGTCTCAATACCAGGCTGACCTGGCTCTGGTTTTCATGGGTGATTCAAAGCAGTCTCCACTCAGGGTTTGATATAGGGAGACTGGTGTGAGGGGAGGGGAGGGGATGCAGGGAGAAAGCAGATTAATGCAGTCCCTAAACAACACATTCAGTATCACTAGCGTGCCAAAAGGCCACAGATAACTCACAGCTACATATAGTGTAACACAGGTGGCGGTAGGAAATCATTTGCTTCCTGAAGAAACATTTAAAGATCAACTATGTTCCAGGTGCCATTTTAGAAACGGGGGATGGAAACCCGATCCCTGTTCTCATTAATAATTTGCTTGGTTCTGTTTATACATAAGAATTCAACTGGCTGGGTGCGGTGGCTCACGCCTGTAATCCCAGCACTTTGGGAGGCCCAGGCGAGTGGATCACCTGAGGTCAGGAGTTCAAGACCAGCCTGGCCAACATGGTGAAACCCCGTCTCTACTAAATACGCAAAAATTAGTTGGGCATGATGGCAAGCGCCTGTAATCCCAGCTACGCGGGAGGCTGAGGCAGGAGAATCACCTGGATCTGGGAGGTGGAGGTTGCAGTGAGCCGAGATCATGCCACTGCACTCCAGCCTGGATGACGAGAGCGAAACTACATCTCAAAAAAAAAAAAAAAGAATTCAAATCAGTTTTGTAAAATGCCCTTTTATGCTTAAATACCCACAGGGATCTGCGCCGCCCCTTCGTGTTACCTGGGATTATATGACCCTGCCTAAAGGATTGGCACTGAAGAATACACTATGTTTAGTTACCCTCTCTCAGGTGAGTCAGATCTCTAAAACATGGTTTTATTTCATTGCTGGATGGCATAATTTCAGTTAATGATAGCAACCATTTGTAAGGTTGCTGTCATGCCAGGCACTGTTCTAAGCATGTTACATGGATTACTTAATCTTCCTAATAAACCTATGATAGAAGTACTATTATATACCATTTTACAGATAAGGAAATTGAAGCCTAGAGTGATTAAGGAACTGGCTCAAGGTCACAGAATTGGCCAGATTTCAAACAGCATTTTGATTGAGAGGCCATGGTCTTAATCTATAGGACTTCCAACGAATGTAAATTAGCAATTTACATCTTCACATAGAACAGTACCTGGTGCACATAAACCTTTCAGACATGTTTGCTATATCAGTGTTTCCTGGGAGGGCAGGCAAATTTTCTGTCATCAAGAAGCTGGCCCTACCTAGATTTCTCTAGTATTGACTTTATTCCTAGACCCACTCCCCAGTGGCGCGTGTGTACCTGCATATCTGTGTGTGTGTGTGCGTGTGTGTGTGTGTGTGTGTTGAGAACAGCTTGATCATAGGTTAGTTCTTAAGATTTTAAAGACTCACATGTTTTAGCCAGCTAGGAAGAAAGTTTCTATCACCAATTTTTGACAGCGACATTTGTCTTTGGTTGACTCAGAGAGGGGACGAATCCAAGTTGATATTACATAACTGACAAAAGATTTTTTAGAATTACTCAGAATTTCATCATGCATGTGTGCCTTAATTTGATCAGCAAATACTACTGTTCCCCTAAAATGTATCAGGTACTAGGATAAAGAAGAGCAAAATGCAATCCTCTCCTTCATGGAGCTTGTGGATTAGTGAGAAGAAATGACGTGTGATTAAGTGTTGTTGCAGAGTGAAGTATAAGGATGCTATTGGGAAGGAAGGCAGTTAAGCAGCAGAGCACATAACCCAGTCTGTGGTAGGGTAGGTGGGGCAGAGAAGGCTTTCTGGAAGAAAAAATTACATTGAGAATGAGTAAGGGTAACAAAGAGAAGAGGCATAGATGAACAAGCAGAGGAAAGGGGATGTTTCACAATGAGGTGAGGTGTGAGGAACTCAAAAGATCAATATGGCTGGATTTACCCTCACAGAGAACAAAGCCTATCTCATCATCATATGGGATAGTAATGTAGATACCAGTAGCAACAGAGTCGAAATTGAAAAGGGAGGAAGGAGGAACGCTTCTAGATCCCTGAGGAGTAAATGACACAGTGATTAGCTACGATTCTGTGGAAGAGCAAGATGGCAGGATGGGGCCCTCAAAAATAAACTTTTTCAGTGTTTCTGGAATAACAGTCCATCATCATCATCCAGAGATGAGCTACACAGCCTGTAACAGCACCACGTCACCCATTCATCACTTGACAACCTCAGCTGCATACATACATGAGGAAGAAAATAACAAGATAAAGATGATCCTTAAGACTATTTTGACTGTTAGAATGTGGAACTATTGTCAATATAGCTGGAGAAACGGCTGGAGAGTGGCACTGTTTCAACTAGCACTGTTCTAGGAAAGACTCAAAAGAGTCCCAAGGGAGTCTTGCGTTAAGTCCCAAGTCTATTCACTAAAATTCCATAGGTCAATCAGAGCCCAGTGGAGCCATCCTTTGGTAAACATACAAGACTGTTGGCAGACGCTAAGTTTCCCTTACCCTCTGAAAGGTGCTGCATATTATCCAGAGGGTCACCAGCTACATCTTCACATCTTTATGATCCAGCCCAGGTATCTCTGCATCACTACTGCAGCAGCGTTAAGGTGGGAGAGAGTAGCAAGAACAGCCATCAGGATTCCTATTCCAGCTTCAGTCTTTCTCTCCCTGTCCCCCTCTCACAGATGCACACCTGCACATCTAGCCCCCACACCCACTCTACTCAACAGAGGTTTAGTTTACAGTCTTTGAAATGGTAATCTTTGAAAAATGGGTTTTCAAATTAGTGGAATTTTCCCACTTCTCTTAGGGGGAACCCACCAATGAAAAATCCTCCCCATCATCACAGATTGAAATTTTATATTCTCCTCTAATCAAAGTAGCTTTATAATCAGTGGCTTGGTCACCTTCTTTCTGTTTGAGTCTAACAGAAAATTGGTAACTTCAGTGATTTTCTGGGTCAGTGATGGAAACTGATTATTGTAATAACTTCAGCCGGGAATGATGACAGCTCAGGGAAACTCCTATCTGACTAAGCCCAGAATCTGAATTTAAGATTAGAAAATAGTTTCAGGCCAGGCATGGTGGCTCACGTCTGTAATCCCAGCACTTTGGGGGGCCGAGGCAGGTGGATCACCTGAGGTCAGGAGTTCAAGACCAGCCTAGCCAACATAGTGAAACCTCGTCTCTACTAAATATAGAAAAATCAGCCAGGTATGGTGGCATGTACCTATAATCCCAGCTACTCAGGAAGCTGAGGCAGGAGAATTGCTTGAACCTGAGAGGCGGAGGTTGCAATGAGCTGAGATTGCACCACTGTACTCCAGCCTGGGTGACAGAGCATAACTCCATCTCAAAAAAAAATTTTTTTTAAATAGTTTCAGCTTTACACTGAGCAAGAGGGGAAAATGTTGTACCTTTCTCTTGGGTCTAAAGTAATGCATTAAAAACTTTGGAAATTTCAAGTTTGGAACATAGAAAAGTATGCAAATTCTTCAGCAGCCTTGCTTGAGGGCTTGTGTTAACACTTAAAATTCTGATATGGATGAATTTGTCAATCAGAAAGAATCAATGTAAGAATCTAGAATATTTAAAAAATAAAACCACTGACATTATAAATAATAAACTCGAAGGGATTACATTTGGGGATAAATATTTTAAAATGATAGGAACTGAAAATAACTAAAAATATACAGGCAAAGAAAGAAGAAAATAAAAATGGTACATTACCAAAAAAAAAAAAATCAAATACAAGGCAGTATGTAGAAACTGAAGAACAAAAAGCACATAAGACATACAGAAAACAGCTAAATGGCAGAAGTCCTTCCTTATCAGTAATTATTTTAAATGTAAATGTTGTAAAGTCTCCAATTAATGGGCAGAGATGGGCAGGATGGATTTAAAAAATGATCCATCAATATGCTATCTACAAGAGACTCACTTTAAAAACACAGACACTGTATTTTTACTTTGAAGAGGCTGAAAATAAAAGAATGGAAAAAATATTCCATACAAATAGTAACCAAAAGAGGTATGGGGTGGCCATATTTTTGTCAGATAAAATAGACTAAAGTATCAAAAAAAAGTTACAGGAGACAAAGGACATTATATATTGCTAAAAGGTTCAATCCACCAAGAAGATAGGTAACAATTATAAACACATATGCAGCCAGTAACAGGGCCCCCAAATATATGAAGCATGCACTCACAGAACTGAAAGGAGAAATATGACAATCCTGCAATAACAGTTGGAGATGTCAATGCTCCCACTTCAATAATGTACAAAAGAGTCAGATCAGTAAAGAAAGAGAGGAACTGAACACTGTGAACCAATTAGACCTAACAGACACATACCAAACACTCTACCCAACAATATTTTTCATAGAATGACACATACTTTCTCAAGCATACATGAAGCATTCTCCAGAACAGACCATATGTTAGGCCACAAAACAACTCTTAATACATTTTTAAAAACTGAAATCATACAAACTATCTTCTCTAACCACAATGGAATGAAACTAGAAATCAATAACAGAAATAAAAAGGATTATAAGAGACTACTATGAAAAAGTTTATGTCAGCAAACTGGTTATAAGAGATTAAATGGACAAATTCCTAGAAACACACAAACTACCAAAACTAACAAGAAATAAAAACTCTGAATAAAATTATATATAACAAAGAGACTGTATCATTAATCAAAACCTCTGAACAAAGAAAAGCCAGGACCAGGTCACCTCACTGCTGAATTCTACCAAATATTTAAGGAAGAATTAACACCAATCCTCAAACTATTCCAAAAAACTGAAGAGGAGAGAACACTTCCTAACTCATTCTATTAAGCCAGCATTACCCTGATACCAAATCCAGACAAAAACACTATAAGAAAAGTAACTACAGGCCAAATACCTTATGAATATAGGCAAAAATACTAAAAAAAATTTAGCAAACTAAATTCAGCAGCCTATTAGAATTACATACCATAACCAAGTAGGATTTATCCAAGGAATGCAAGAGTGGTTTCACATATGAAAATCAATGTAATACACATCAAAAAAATATAGAAAACAATATGATCATCTTAATTGATGGAGAAAAAGCATTTGAAGAAAATCCAATATTCTCAAGATAAAAATACTCAATAAACTAGGGATAGAAGGGAACTTCTTTAACACGTTAAAGACCATACATAGAAAGACACAGCTAATAGCATACTCAATGGTGAGAGACTGAAAGCTTTGTCCCTAAGATCAAAACAAGACAAGGATATGTTCCTTCATCACTTCAACATAGTACTGGAAGTCCTAGACAGAGCAATTAGGCAAGAGAAAGAAATAAACAGCATCCAAATTATAAAGGAGGAAGTAAAACTATCATTCCTTGCAGGTAACAAGATCATATGTATAGAAAACCCTAAAGACTCTACAGAAACCCTGTTAGTGCTAATAATCAAATTTAGCAAAGCTGCAGGATACAAAAGGAACACACAAAAATTACTTGTATTTCTATACACTAGCAATGAAAAAATCCAAAAAGAAATTAAGAAAACAACTCCATCTACAATAACATCAATAAGAATAAGATGCTTAGGAATAAATTTAAGAAGGCAAAAGACTTGTATGCTGAAAACTACAAAATGTTGCTGAAATTATAGATGACCTAACTAAATGGAAAGAAATCTTGTGTTCATGGACTGGAAGATTTAATATTATTAAAATTGTAATACTACCCAAAGTGATCTATAGATTCTAATTTAATGCAAACCCTATCATAATTCCAATGGTGTTTTGTTGTTGTTGCAGAAATAGAAAATCCCATCTTAAAATTCATATTGAATTTCAAGAGACTCTGAATAGCTACAACAATCTTGAGAAAGAGAACAAAGTTGGAAGACTCACATTTTCTGATTTAAAACGTTCTAAAGACAGTAATCAAAACATTGTGCTACAAACCCTTATGGACAGACATATAGACTAATGGAACAGACCTGACAGCCCAGAAATAAACCTCACATCTATGGTCAACTGATTTCTGAGAAGGGCACCAAGACCACTTAATGGGGAAAGGACAGTCTTTTCAACAAATGGTGCTGGAAAAAAAAATTGATATTCATATGCAAAATAAAGTCGGACCCTTACTTTGTATCACACATAAAAATTTAAATGGATCAAAGCTCTAAATCTGACAGCTAAAAATATAATAAACTCTTAAAGGAAAATATAAGAGCAAATATTTATGACCTTTGAAACGTGACAATACTTTCTTAAATCACCAAAAGCACAGGCAACAAACGAGATAAAATAGATGTCGTTAAATTAAAAACTTTTGGCTGTGCGTGGTGGCTCACACCTGTAATCCCAGCACTTTGGGAGGCTGAAATGGGCGGATCACAAGGTCAGGAGTTCGAGACCAGCCTGGCCAACATGGTGAAACCCCATCTCTACTAAAAACGTAAAAATTAGCTGGGCATGGTGGCACATGCCTATAATCCCAGCTACTTGGGAGGCTGAGTCAGGAGAATCGCTTGAACCCAGGAGGCAGAGGTAGCAGTGAGCCGAGATTGCACCACTGCACTCCAGTGTGGACAACAGAGCAAGGCTCCGTCTCAGAAAATAATAACAATAAAAATAAAATAAAATAAAACTTTTGTGCAACAAAAGGACACCAAAGAAAGTGAAAGAGAACCCAAAGAACAGGAGAAAATAATTACAAATCAAATACCTCATAAAGGTGTAACAGCCAAAATACATAAAGAATTTTTAAACTCGATGACAAAAAGACAAGCAACCCTATTTTTAAAATGGACAAAGTACTTGAATAAACCTTTGGATAAAGGTTTATCCAAAGCAAATAAACAAATAGCCAAAAAAGTATGAAAAGATGTTCCACATCACTAAGCATTAGGTAAATGCAAATAAAAACTACAATGAAATACCACTTCAACTTATTAGAATAAATGTAATAAAAAGGAGGAAAAAAAGAATTAGCAAGGATGAGGAGAAACTGGAACTCTCATGCATTACTACTGCAAATATCAAATAGTACAGCCACTGTGGAAAACATTTTGGCAGTTCCTCAAACAGTCAAACACAGAATTATATGACCCAGCAATTCCACTCCTAGGTGTATGTATTCCCCAAATAATTAAAAACAAGGACTCAAACAGATGCTTATACCCCAATGTTCACACAGCATTATTCACAAAAGCCAAAAGATGGGATATCCTAGTGTCCATCAACAGATAAATCGATAAACAAAATGTGTATAATCATAATAGAATATTATTCAGTCATGATAAGAAATGAAGTTCTGATACATGCTAAACATGGATGAACTGTGAACATTATGCTGAATGAAATAAGCCAGACCCAAAACGACAAATATGGTATGACTCCACTTATTTGAAATACCTAGAATGGGCAAATTCACAGAGACAGAAAGTAGATTAGCGGTTACCAGGGGCTGCGGGGAAGGGTAAAATGGTTCAGAGTTTCTGTTTGGAGTAATGAAACATTTTAGAAGTAGACAGTGGTAACTGTTATACAACTTTGTGGCTATAATTATGCCACTGAACTGTACACATACAAATAATTACAATGCCAAATTTTATGATATATATATATATATATATATATATATATATATATATATATATATGTCTCAACACAATTTTTAAAAGATAAAAAGAACCTACATAAATTGTCCCGAGTCCAAAAGACAGATTATAACATGTTAACAAATAGCCTTTCAAATGAAAGTTGATAAAGCCTCAGACAGAATGCAGCCACTCTATACACCTAGAATGACACATCCAATGTGTGTTCACAGTACCACTTGGAAAGAAAATATAAAAGGCATCTTCTCTTACCTTTAAGAATCTTACCAGTTTAAGAGGAATCACAGGTATTCAAAGTTCCAAGTTTCGGAGTTTCAATTCCCTTCACTGCAGTGTTTTCAGGATCTGAATGGTGCTCGAGTATCAAAAATAAAACAAAAAAACAAACACTTGTTTGCTTGTCAAATTCCTTAATAAAATGAAGAAATACCCCTAGGAATTCCTAGGAAGAAACACTTTATGTAACAAATGGATATATATTTTCATCTTTTATACGCAAGAATTAAGCCTATGAAAAGCTATAATGTCAAATTTGCAACAAATCAAATATACATTCTATGAAGTGACAAATTTGATACTTTATAATTGAGAGTGCTATAAAAAAAACCCAGCAGAAATTACTAAGCAAATGATTGGCACAAACAGAAAACAATAACACCTCTAGCACAGTGAGACTTCATTATCTTAAGAACGACCCATAAAAGAAAAGGACCCCACTCGGCACAGCCTTCATCCCCAAGAAAGAACTGTGACTCAATAAAACCACATTTTAACAACATGGAGATTTTGTTATTATAAATTTCAAAACAAAATGAAGGAATTTCCACATATTTATAACCTTCAAAGTACAATATTAATACATGTCTGTCAGTTAGAAAGAACAGCAGTTTGTTAGGCTACAAGGTTTAACATAAAACCAATTTACAAATGTGAAAAGCAGTAGTGGTCCAATATTCACCATTACACATGAATCTGTTTCTTCCAGAATTTTTTAAAATTAAAATTTTAGTATCGTGAAATATTAAAATAACACCCCAAACATGCCACAATCACTATTCACAAATAAAGTTAAAATGAAATATACAAAAATCCACTTAATACTGTTAAATAACAACAATAAACTACAAGATTTCCTGAACAGAAATGGTAGGACCCCTGAATGTTTTACAGTGAATTTCAGGAAAAGAAATTAAGTTATGACTATTTTCATGATATATAAGGCAAAAATTTACACGACCATTTCAAAATATACCAATTAAGATTTATAGTTTGTAAGATGCACTAAACAAATAGTCCTTAAAAGTGAACAAAAATGCTTAAAATACTGTTACCAACACCAAAGTGTGTTTATGATGTTCAAAGAGATGCATAATTAAAACTAATATTTAGTATCTCTGGTAAACAGATAATACCCACAATAATTTCAAGCAATCCTGTAAGTTCTCATTTCTCTTGTTTGTAATTTATCATGGCTCATTTCAAAGACATATTACAGCTTTCAGCTGATTCCAAGTGAATGTTATTGAAACACATAGCCCCCAAATGAAAGAAACTATTCCCCAATGAAATATCATCCTTTCTAATAAAATAAATGTATTTAAAACAAACAAAGCAAGACCTTTCGCGTTTGAACAGACTTCTACGGTTAAGTTTTAACTAAATTTAAAACACAATGTAAAATAGGTAAGTGTATTAGTATACAAATATCCAGTAATATGCAGTAGACGTTTCTAAAGTGAGGAACACATAAAAAATAAATAATTTTGGAGCTTTAATTTGTTGGTGTCTAATGTGAGATCCTCAAAATGTCAGGGATTCACTTGCTTGAATCAACTTCTGCATCACATGCTTATCTAAACGTAATGTGCTTGTCAATCTCTTAGCTACTCTATTTGCCAATGTTCATTAAGAAATTATATAGTATAAACTTAAAGTGTTCAAGATGGCTCACTTATTTTACTATTAAGCAAAGCTAAATTTACATTCCAGGAAACACTGCAGTTTAATTTTAAAAACAAAAAATGCAGCAGTAAAACAATTCGTGAGGAGAAACAGATGCATTCACATATAATAAAGCCACTGCAACTTCTTCAGGCATTCAATTGTTGTGTTAAATAAACAGACAGTAGTTATTTAGCAGCAATGATTCCGCAATAAATAATGCACTGTGTTTCTCAGTCCTGCACAAAAATTGCAGCTATAGTTACATCAATAGCTGTAACCTACTGGCTCTAATGGCAGAGAAGACCTTAAAACCGACTGTACAAAAAATTGTCACACTGTGACAACAAATATAAAAACAATCTGTAGGTCTGAAATAAAAAGACTCCACTGTGAAGAGGACAGTGTAGACAAACGGAGATTCCAAGTCCACCAAAAGAAATAATTGCCTTCAGTTCTGAGTCCTTGATTGGTAAGAAAGGCTGGGGGCTGGGCTTGAAACCATGTTATCAGACTTAAAAGAGCATGCTCTGTCTTCTGTTCTTCCCATGTCCTAAAATATAAAGTCATTTTATGAGGCAGTTCAAGGTTCAGTTTTATCCCACATACAGTTATTTGGTGACTAGGAAGCTAATGTTCCCACCAGCAAAAGCTAATATTCCATGGTAAGAGTGATCAGCACTGTCTTAAATGACCCTTCTGTTGACGGGGTCAGTCTACAGCTTCTATGCTTCGAAGTGATGAACCTGATGACTAGGGAAGCACAAGATGTGTCTTCTGCCTCAGGTACCAGGGATGGCGTGTGCAGTGATCAAGCCAGGTCACTTGTAAAAGGTCTTTGTGCCATCTGCAGCTTTCAGGATCCCTGACTTGACTGAGTCAGATTTTTCTCTGAAGATTTACTGAGCTGCCCACATCATACAGAAAAGTGAGTACGTGCAATGCTAAACATAAACAGTTGTGGAATGCACTGTACATTGGTTTTTACATCAATAATTTTACTGATCAATTTATAAACCAAAAGCTTGGTTCCACGCAAAAATTCATGATCGACACGTGAAATGGTTTATGACAAACACACCTGTCTCTGGATAAGAAGAATTTCGAAAACCCGGGTCCTTTTGCAACTGAATCTCTTTCAAACTGAATATTGATACACCTAAAATGCATAGACAAAAATTATTAGGTGAAGGTCTAACATTAAAACAAACACAACCCTACTATCAACAAATGTTTATAAAGCATATACTGATTCAATATGAAACCATTTTACAAGGTGATAGCCCTGCTGAAATTTTTCCTTTTTGTCCCAGTGTGTTGAGGAGAAAACTAAATGAATGAAGCAATCCACCTTTAGAACCTTTCTTCTTCCAACTCTGTGTCAGAGCAGGCTGTGGGCAAGTGTTTCTCTGAGGAGAATATACACTGTCTGTTCCAGGACTTTCTGGGGTTGGGAGACCCAGTCAAAATATATTATTATACTAGGTGTTAATTCTCTCTGTCCTTTCTCTGTCTCCTTACAATGACATGAAGGTACCAGGCCCTCAAGCTATCTTTGGAATTTTAGCGAAAAACAAGGAAAAGGTTTGTATAACCATAACTGCCTACCTCAAAGTAAAACTTGGTATTAATAATGAAACACAAATACCTTTTTCTTTTTGAGACGGAGTCTCACTCTCTCACCCAGGCTAGAGTGCAGTGGCATGATCTTGGCTCACTGCAACCTCCGCCTCCCAGGTTCAAGCAGTTCTCCTGCCTCAGTCTCCTGAGTAGCTGGGATTACAGGTACGCGCCACCACGCCCAGCTAATTTTTGTATTTTTAGTAGAGACGGGGTTTCCCCATGTTGGTCAGCCTGGTCTCGAACTCCTGACCTCGTGATCCGCCCGCCTTGGCCTCCCAAAGTGCTGGGATTACAGGCATGAGCCATCGCGCCCAGTGAAATACAAATATCTTTAAAAGAAAACTTGTAATTTATCTTTTTCATTTCCAATCTCTGTCAGAGAGGTATTCTTTCATTTAAATATATCCAGTAAAGTTGAAGTGAAAAGTATTAAGGATTTTTTATTCCAATTAGCTTTGTCACTGACTGCTACACAAGCTTTGATGAATCAATATTGTCTAATAAATGAGAATAGGAAATTAATGAAAGCTTTTGGCAGCTTAGTTCCCAAACATTCTTCTAATTCCCCACTCACCTTACTCTATTTTAAAGTAAAATACTGTGGTAATCTAAAAATAGAATGTTAAGAGTAAAATCAATGTTATTCAGGCATGGGAAATCTGCTATTACAGTGACTTTGACAATATGCTCACTGCTGTCATGGGGATAGTAAAGTCAGTGTGACCACAATAAAGGAAAATCATCTTTGTATCTTAAGAAAAAATGTATTTTCACAAGAAAACAATTTATGTTTCGGTTATGCTTCATTAGTTTTTGTTTGAAATTCACTTTTAACAACGCTAAATCGAAGCTAGATTGGGCCTAGGGACAATGCCTGTCATCAGATGGCATGTTTCAACTAAAGTCCAATAAGATTAATGATCCTTGCCTAAGTACTATTGGTTTCCTACAGAGGAGTGACAATGTGCTCAGTGTTACAAGAAATAACTGAATCATAGGGAAATAAGACACACACCTCCCTTCAAGAAATTCTAATCTAACTATAGAGAAGACTAGAATCTTAGGCTTAAAAATCAATAGCCATCTCCCCAATCACCCCAGACCCTAACCTTGGACAAATAAAAATAAAGCAGGGAAAACACTTTAGGATTTCTCTTACTTTCTGGTAAAGCATGTATTCTTGGTCCCAGACTTCGAAAGTACACATGTTTCATGGCCTCTTCAGCTGAAACCCTTTTCTTAGATTCATACTGTGAAAAAGCAAAGAACTGCTTCATTAGCTTTTTCTCTAATTACTGCAAAAAGTAGGAGATGGGCAAATTAGCATTTAGAGCTACTTAAAAAAAATCTTGATTATTTAATATGATGACTATTTTTCAATCAACAATTTGGAATACTCCAGTTATACTCTAATTTGAGTCGCTGCTGAGATTGTGTAATAACATCTCAGTTCCACATTTCTAAGATAAGGCTGGATCTTAAACAAGAATTTACATTGCTTGTATTTTCTGAAGCAAAGAAAAATTAAAATATTTGACCTGTGTAGTTACTTCTCTTCATGAACACCAAAGGACTGGTGGACATATACCCAGTATTTTTATGGCAGTCATTCTTAACGACCTATCCAATACTCATTTCCCTTTTTTTTTTGATGATACAACCTAGGTTTGTTCAAGGTGTCCATCAACTCTGATAGATGAATCATGAATCATAACTGTTTTAAATTTTGGCTAATTATGACAATTCTGCTCCCCAATTCCCAGTCTTTCCTACAATTAATGTTCTGGCCAATAAGACTTGGAAAGAAACCTTGTAGGGGTTTCTGTAAAGCTTTTGCTTCCAAGTTTCAAGAGGACTAATGTGGCTGGTACTACCCTTATCGTCCCCCCTTATTCCTGCTTTGGAGGGAAATATGAATGGCATTTGGAGGCAGAGCATCCTCCAAAGGCTGTACGTATAAGGAAAAGAGAACATAAGAGAGCATAGAGAGCATCAATTGCAGAGAATGTGGCCTTGACACAGCTGATCAATGCCAGTAACCAACTACCTCAGACTGTTGTAGGTGACAAGAGACCCAGACACATTAGGAGAAACCATGTTTTTTTTTTTTTTTTTAACTTAAACATGTGCCTTAAGCATAGATAATTTTATTTGTCATTAACAATACCGAGGAAGTACTACTGAGCCCATTCTACACATGAAGAAGCTGAGGCTTAACAACCTATTTAACAATTACTGTAAGAACTGACTTACCTGAAGAAATTTTGTTATCAACTCAATTCCTTCAGAGTCTAACCTAGAAACAACAAAGAACAAGTAAAAATTTATGCTCTCTTAGCTGATAAAACTTTTCAGATAAAACTATTTTCTAAGTGTTTTAATCTGCTAAATTTAAATGCCCTAAAATAGTCACTCTTGTTGTCTTCAAATAGACACAAATCTGTTTTAGTCTTAAAAGACTGGCCTTGCTATTTGTTTAAGGATAAGCCATAAATAACTTGGCTTCAATTTGAATTTTCAATATCCAAGAACAAATTAAAGAATTTTAAAAATCACCATGCTGTCTCAAAACAAAGAAACTTCAATATTAAGAAAGCTTACATATTGTATCACTTTTCGCAGTCTTTCACTAAACGCAAGTATATAAGAGCATCATTTTCCTATTATATAGGTGAAAACAGAGACAAGTGACCCCAAAATGTATCACTGTTGTTCAAGACAAACACAGAAATGAGCTATTCAGCAAATTTTTAGAGTTGTCTGCTTAGCACCGGGTACTAGAAGGTATTGAGTTCAATTTAAATATGCTACAATAACTTCATAAAACTTCATCAATGGTGGCCAGGTGCAGTGGCTCACGCCTGTAATCCCAGCACTTTGGGAGGCCGAGGCGGGTGGATCACGAGGTCAGGAGATCGAGACCATCCTGGCTAACATAGTGAAACCCCGTCTCTACTAAAAATTAGCCAGGCGCAGGGGCAGGCGCCTGTAGTCCCAGCTACTCGGGAGGCTGAGGCAGGAGAATGGCGTGAACCCGGGAGGTGGGGCTTGCAGTGACCTGAGATAGCACCACTGCAGTCTGGCCTGGGCGGAAGAGCGAGACTCTGTCTCCCAAAAAAAAAAAAAAAAAAAAAATTCATCAATAAGGGATATAAAACTAATGACATAATAAAGATGAAATTAGTATAACTAGGGGTAGTAGGGTTAGGGATTATCTTTTTTTTTTTTTTGAGATGGTGTTTCGCTCTTGTTGCCTAGGCTGGAGTGCAAAGGTGCGATCCCGGCTCACTGCAACCTCTCTACCTCCTGGGTTCACGTGATTCTCCTGCCTCAGCCTCCCGAGTAGCTAGGATTACAGGCATGCACCACCACGTCCGGCTAATTTTTTGTATTTTTAGTAGACAGGGTTTCTCCATGTTGGTCAGGCTGGTCTCAAACTCCCAACCTCAGGTGATCCGCCTGCCTTGGCCCCCCTAAAGTGCTGGGATTACAGGCGTGAATCACCGTGCCCGGCCTGGGATTATCTTAATGGAATAATCTCTTGATCAGAAATAACAGGTTCTATCTTACACTGCCTTTCACTGGTAGAAGTACAATTATGAATAAGGTAACGTTTTTTTCCAAGTGCTCTCAAGTGGGTCCTGTGGATGCTGCAGTCTAGACATTCTATGTAGTTTGCCATTCTAGCACATATCCAGAGTTCCCTGGGCACAAACTAGGCACTAAGTCATGGAGACTCTGCTTCAAAGAAAAGCTTCAACCTTCTACACTGAACATTACCAAAAAATAATTAAAGGACAAAAATAGAATTTATGCTACTTGGGAGAGACATGCAAAAAAAGCCCAGCAAGTATTATTATTCTTCCTAAGAAAATCTAGTTAGAATGGTATTAGTTGCTATAGTAACAATAAGAGTACCAACTCACATAAATACTTTAAAAATATTTTTGGTGTCATAACTGTTTTGCTCTTCCTTCCTTAGCTTGAAAATAAAAGGAAGCATAACAAGTGTGTTATGTTGTGAGCAATGTGAATGGCTTTGGGTTAAAATAAATGATGTCCTTATTTGGTATCTTGGTGACTTTCAAAATTTGGGGGGGTTGGGGGCAGGGAGATGGAAAATGCAGTCAAAGGGGTTATTCTATGTTATCTCCTGAAAATGTAATACATTCTACAAGTAAAAATGTTCTGACTCAAATTTTATTGGGAGCCTTGGATTGATCTTGGGGTAGGTCTAAGAAGAAACTTAAATGAATGGCTGACATTTAGATGTTACATTTTGCTAAGGAATTGGACAGAGTTTATATTCTTCAAATATGAATTACATCATTAACACTGGTCAAAATACTGATAGGTTACCTTGTGTTATAGAGTCAAGATTTTACTTACATAACCCTTTCTTAGGTTTTTGTTAAGTAAATACAGAATAATTCTGTAGAAAGCAAAACAGGAATTTCATCATAATCTCTGTGGTACGGAATAAGGCATTAATCAATGTCTTCTTTCTGGGAAAAGTAACTACATAAACTCTAGAATTCTAAAACATATACAGTTCAAAATTAAATAAGATCCTAAAATACGTAAGGGTTATGTGTATTATGTATTTTTTCCTGAATCCTTACTGTGGCTAATCCTTCAAAAGATTGAAAAGAATCATGTGTTTTCCCCCCTTTCACATAAGAAAAAAAAATACCTGGGTGCGTGGTTAATTAGAGGCTGTGGTTTATATTTTGGAAAGTTGTAGTTCTTGAACTCCTCATTTGAAGAAATACCTGGCCAAGTTTCCTGAGATGGAGTTCCTGAATTAAAAAAAAAAATTAAATATATTTATAAATATATATAAAATTTATATATAAAAATTATATACACATATATATAACAAAGTGTCTTAGAGAATAATTTACATTTACCAGATGACTTAACTATTTCAACTGCAATTGAAATGACAGAAATAAACGTACATGGACTTTTTGTTTGGACTTTGCAATGATACTGTAAAAAGGATGCCTGGTCCTTTTTCTATCCAGTTGATACCAAAAAAGTTAGCAATATTCCTTAATAATATGGTGACATCCAATTTTCCATACTAATTATGTTCTGTTTTTCCATAAAATCTTTATTGCAAAGATAAAACTTAGCAGATGAAGTTACCTAGAAGGATCTATCTTCATAGTGTCCATTCTAATTATTCTAACTAACAGCTGTTTATGTTAGTCTCAGTATCTAATTTTAAAATATGTATTTTAGAGATACAGTCTTATCCAGCTAGTCAATTATGGGTGCAAAATCACTGGGAAAAGATTTCTTCTGTTACCTAGCAGTCGGAAAATTAAGTGCAGTTCATCTTCCACGGTTGATCCTGGAAATAAAGGTCTTCCAGAAGCCATTTCAAAGAAAATGCAACCAACACCCCTTTAAAATAGATCATGAAAATAATTTAGCAATTCATTTACATATTATGAAGCACAAGAATCTTTTCCTTAAGGTTGCCTCTCTGCAGAATTTTGCACTAGCCTGTCGGAAAACCTCTTGAAGGGATATTTTAGATCTAACTAATTTGTTCGCATTTACCCTATTTGTCTCAATTTCTATATTGCTATATCCATTTTTCCCACTTAAAATGTCCAACTCTCCTTTGCATAATCCTTGAAGAATAACACTAACAACAGCTAACAGTGACTGAAGATTTACTATGTGTTAGAAATGTTTTTTAAGTGCACCAATTATCTCACTGAATCCTTGTATTAGCAATAGTGTAGACCATGGATTGAACAGCAAAGACAGGAGTGGGGAAAAACAACTGAAGAGATATTATGGTAATCTAGGAGATGACAGTGAGTGAAGCTAGGCAGGAGAAATGGAGAGAAACAAATGATTCAAGACGTTTTGATGCAGGAAGCAGAGGTAGAACATGTTGGTACAAGGCGGTGTGTGTAAGTGAAGGAAAAGAAAAGGATGGTGGTTCAGAGAATAGAATGGTGGTTCTTAGAACAGTCATCTAGGAACTGTATGTACACACACAGTTTAAGACATAATCCTTCCATTAAAGGGCTCGTAATCTAGCAACTATATATAAAAGTTAATTTTACATATTAAGTGTTATATAGAAAGTAAAATGATATAGTTGCTATGGAAAATAGTATGGTGGTTCCTCAAAAAATTAAAAGTAGAATTACTATATGATCCAGCAATTCTACTCCTAGGTATATATCTAAAAGAACTGAAATCAGGCCAATGCAGGAGGACTGCTTGAGCCCAGGAGTCTAAGACCAGCCTGGACAACATGGTGAGACAATGTCTCTTAAAAAGAAAAAGAGAAGGAGAGAGAGATAATTGAAAGCAGGGTCCTGAAAAGGTATTTGTATACCCATGTGCACAACAGCATTATTTACAATAGTCAAAAGGTGGAAGCAAACCAAATGTCCATCAATGGATAAATGGGTAACAGAATGTGGAATATATATTTAATGGAGTATTTTTAGCCTTAAAAAGGAAGGAAATTCTGGCATACACTACAACGTGAATGAACCTTAAAGACATTATGCCAAATGAAGTAAGCCAGTCATGAAAAGACACACACTGCATGATTCTACTCATAAGTGGTACTTAGAACAGTCAAATTTATGGAGACAGAAAGTATTATAGAACAGTGGTTACCAGAAACTGATGGTGGGGGAGGGGAATAGGAAGAAATTGTTAAGTGGGTACAGAGTTTTGGTTTTGCAAGATGAAAAAGATTCTGGAGGTAGATAGATAGTGGTGATGGTTGCATAACAATATAAATGTACTTAATGTCTCACAACTGTACACTTAAATTGGTTAAAATGATAAATTTTATGAGTATTTTACAATATTAAAAATTAATTTTAAAAAGTTATACGAGACATTTTACATAAACTGTTCAAGACAGCAACAGAAATCGGTATATGACTTATTACCACATGAAGAACATAGAAAATAAATGCAACCACAGTTCAGAGGAAGGAACTGCCAACAGAGGCTAGAGTATATTCAGGAAAGGATTTATGAAAAGCTGTATTTTGAACGTTACTAGGAATGAGCCCAAGTTAGAGCACCGGAGTGGGCATTCCAGATGGGTGGACTGGTATGAACACCAAGAGCAAAGGTAGGAAAGTCCACATTATTCCTGAGATATAGTGAGTATGCCATTTTGCTAAAAGGGAACATTTGTGTTGAGAAACAGTCTGAAATAAGTTGGAAAAGGTAGTTTAGAGACATCTTATGGAAATCCTTAAGTATCAGATTGAGGAATTAATTGTACCTTATTCTATAGGTAATGAAGGGGGTGGCAATAACGGTGTCTGAGTAGAAGAGTGTCAGGATCGAAGCGGTGTGTGAGAAAGATGACTACAATATTTTGATTATTACTTTTAGTTCAAGTTAAAGCAGAAAGATTTTGGTGAATATTAAATGATGATAAAATGATAATTTTGTTTTAAATTACTATGTATCAGATACTCTTGAGTGTCTCATAAAGCACTCTTCTGAGTGTTCATTTAATCTTAACATCACCTACAACACTTCAAAGTAGTTATTGTTACTATTCCCATTTCCTTAAATGAGGAAACTGAGGCAAAGGCCAGTAATTTGAATAAAGTTAACACATAGTTCTAAATGGCAGAATTGGTATTTAAACCTAGGTAATCTAATTCCCATGCCAGAACTCATTAATCACTGTTACATTATGGCTCTTTAAAATAATATCTCCTTAAAAGTATATACTTATCAATACATCTTGCATTAACAGTTACATTCTTTCAAAATTATAAATGTCAGTGACATCTGTATATATTTACCACATGTCAATCTGTGTTGAGTACTCCGAGGAACCAAGAAGCACATCAGGTGGCCGGTACCATAGTGTGACAACTTCATTTGAGTAGGTCTTTGTGGGAACTGACTTGGCTCGGGCTAGTCCTTCATAGGGAAAATAAAACAAAGGGTTAAGAAAAAGCTTTAATGGATCTCTCAGACCCTATTCTCACCATGACTCCATTCAAAGGGATGCCTGAAATGGTTAATTCGTAGCTTCTTGAGGCTTCACCACTATTAACTTTATGAATTCGTTGAGTGCATGTGGCCCTAAGTAAGCAAATCCTTACATAGTTGAACTAAACAAGAATTCCACAACCAGAGACTGTGCTTACTTTTATGTTTGAATACACCTGGTGAAGTATTCTGGGTGAATCTAAACTTAAGATGTTTTCCTTCTGTCCATGAATCATGATGACAAAATTATTTCTCAGCTGCAATTAAATTAATCCATAATAGGCCAATGACATTGAGATACACAATTTTACTTCTAACGGCTATGAGCTTTTGTCACCTTTTAACCTGATTCCAACTTTCATTTGCTATACCATTTTTTATCAAAAACTGTAAAGTTATTGGTCCATAATCTCATTGAGATTTACTGACAAATCGACTTAGAGACAATTTCCTTGGAATAAAATTACAGTGCTGTTCTGTACTCCCTTTTTAGGTTGTAAGTTACATGGATCATTCTGGAGTAAGACAGACTTCATTGTCCTTGGATATTATTAATTGCTGTTTACGTCAGGGGTGTCCAATCTTTTAGCTTCCCTGGGCTACAATGGAAGAACTGTCTTAAGCCACACATAAAATACACTAACACTAACAACAGCCATGACCTTTAAAAAAAAAAATCGCAAAAAAATCTCATAATGTTTTAAGAAAGTTTACGAATTTGTGTTGGGCTGCATTCAAAGCCATCCTGGGCCATATATGGCCCATGGGCCATGGGTTGGACAAGCTTGCTGTAAGTGATATAAAACATTTGCCATTCCTTTGCTAATTTAATATGGAATCTATTGATAATCCAGAAATAAAGGCTAGAGTTTACAACTTTATCTCTTGAGTCACTAGTGTGAGAGAGTCGCTATTACCTCGAAGCCTCTAAATTATGATCTGAAGAAGCAACTTTAAAAAATATCTGGAAAATTACAAATTTATTTTGCCAAAACAAGGAAGAATTTATTTTTTAGGCTGAGATTGCTGTTATATATAACTTGGTATATCTGATTAAAATATTAAAGAAAAATGTCACAAAAGAAAAAATCAATTTTACTGAATAAGGTTACAGAAACAATGTCAGAAATTTAATTAGGCAGGACTCATATACTATTTCAGTTCAGTATAATGGTGAAAGGTTATAACTGGAACAATGTTGACATTCCTTCATTTAATTACAAGTTTTACTCTAGCATCTCAACTTGGTGAAGTAAGTCCAACAAATTATTTTCATACCAATTTTGGTAATTAATTAACAAGATGGAGGTAGCTTTCTGACCTCTCTTCTTGATATTAAAAGTGGGTTATAGGAAGGCAAAGGACAGGGCTGCAAACGTGCTTATCCTGTAACATACCATATCAAGGCAAATTACCAGTTATAGTTTCCTCAGTATCCTACTCTCCCACTCCTGAGAGGATTCCGAACTATGGTGTTTGTGTACATGGCCTTCTAGTTCACAATTAGAATTTCAATACTGGTTGGAATGAAATGAAACAATCTCTCCTAAACAAAATTAATTAAATGTGATATGGTATTATTATATAAGCCATTTTCTATCATTAGTGAAAATATCTGTCTATATCACTAGTTCCTAGACTTCTGATTTTCACTGATCGTGGGAAAAGGGTAGAATTTTCAGAGGGACAGAGAACAACTTATAGTATAAATACTCAAAGTTATATGACCCTCCTTCACAAGAAGTCATATTTACTATGCAACCAAAAAAAAAAAAAAAAAGGAAGAAATAGAGACAGAATTGAATATACTATCTCATGGAATAATCAGAATTTCTTGTTGCCTTGTGGGTAAAATTTGCCTGGCTTGCATTGTAGAGGTTGGAAGCAAAATTTAAAGCACTCAGAGTATTCCCTGATAAAAGTAGTTGTTGTTTTTTTCTTCCTCTTTTTGAGACAGGGTCTTGTTCTGTCAACCAGGCTAGAATGAAATGGCTTGATCATGACTCGCTGAAGCCTCAACCTCCCGGGCACAACTGATCCTACCATCTCAGCCTCCCAACTGGCTGGGACTAGAGGTGCACACCGCCACACCTGGCTAATTTTGAAATTTTTTATAGAGGCAGGTTTTTGCCATATTGCCCAGACTGGTCTTGAACTCCTGAGCTCAAGCAATCTGCCTGCTGGGCCTTCCAAAGTGCTGGGATTACAGGTGTCAGCAACCGCACCCAGCCAAAGGTAAATTTTTTATAGTCCTTGACATTCCTTTTGCTTTTTTTTTTTTTTTTTTTTGAGATGAAGTCTCGCTCTGTCATGCAGTGGCATGATCTTGGCTCACTGCAACCTCCGCCTCCCGGGTTCAAGCAATTCTCCTGCCTAAACTTCCCAAATAGCTGGGATTACAGGTGTCCGCCACAATGCCCAGCTAACTTTTCTATTTTGAGTAGAGACAGGGTTTCACCATGTTGGTCAGGCTGGTTTTGAACTCCTGACCTCATCTGATCCACCCGCCTTAGCATCCTGAAGTATTTCTCTTCACTGCCATTCATTTTGGGATTGGGAATAAAGAGCATTACATGCAGGTTAGCAAACAAAGAGAAGGAGAAGGAAAAAGAGTGAAAAGGAAATAGTGGCTGGGGGAAGGAAAGAGAAAGAAAAAAGAGAGAGAGAGTAACAATTATTATAAGGGAAATAACAACATAAACTATGCCCAAGAAGAGACTTTATGAAAGCATATGTAAATAGCATATAATTTGTTATTCAAACACAGGTAACCCACACATTTCCTTTTTAAGGAAGGAAATGCAAAAAGTAATTTACTCTTCAAATGGCAAAGTATTAAACGAGCAAAAGTATAGGAATTTCCAGAATAAACTCACCATTTAATGACAGTGAAGAGTAATACTTGAAACACTCATATTTATTAAATTTAATGAAATACTCCAAACATAAAACTACCATAATCAAAGCCAGGTGTGATGGCTCACACCTGTAATCCCAGCATTTTGGGAGGCCAAGGCAGGCAGATTGCTTGAGGCCAGGAGTTCGAGACCAGCCTGAACAACATGGTGAAACCCCATCTCTACTAAAAATACAAAAATTAGCTGGGCGTGGTGGGCACCCCTGTAATTGCAGCTATTTGGGAGGCTGAGGCACCAGAATCGCTTGAACCCAGAAGGCGAAGGTTGTAGTGAGCTGAGATTGCACCACTAGACTTCAGCCAGGGTGACAGAGCAAGACCCTGTCTCAAAACAAACAACCAAAAAACTACCATAATCATTTATGAAAAAAAATTATGAATTTAGTTATGGAAAACTGCATGGGTTTTTAAAAACTAAGTTCTCTAAGAGTATTCAAACTCTCAGAATGCGGAATACAAAAAATTCAAAGCTGCTCTACAAAGTTCCTTCAATATGAAAAAGTTTACTTTCTAGAAGCAAAAAGAGCATTTAATTTTACTTTCAATTCCCTTAAAACCAGATTAGCTAAAAAAAAAATAGATAAATAGCTACAATTAAATTACTGAGCATATAATAAATACAGAGTAATGGTGGCAGGTATATTAAGGGAACGCCTTTCAGTAGTTGCTTCTAAACTCATTGTTCTCAAGACCCATTTTATACTCTTGAAAATTATCAAAGACCTAAAGAGCTTTTATTTTTGTGGATATATTTACTGATATTTGCCACATTAGAAATTAAAACTTAGCAAATTTTAAAATATTATTTTCTCTTTAAAAACACCACCCTTTATATGCAGCATGTATGACATTTTTATGAAAAACATTTTTTTTATAAAAACAAAACAGTAAGAAGAATGGCCTTCTTTCACATTTTTGTAAATCTCTTTTAAGTCTTGTTTTTGTAGAGATGGGGTCTTGCTATGTTGCCCAGGCTGGTCTTAAACTCCCGGCTTCAAGTGATCCTCTCACCTCAGCCTCATAAGTGCTGGGATTACACCCCTGAGCCACTGTGTCTGGCCTAAAGTCTATTTCAATAGAAGACAACTGGATTCCACATCTGTTTTTGCATTCTGTGTGTCGTGATATGTTGCTTTGATACATATCACAATATGTATCAAAATAGATCAAATATACATATCACAACATACATATATGAAGGAAATCAAATCTCACACAGATATGAGGTTGAAAGAGGAGGGGCATTTTAATAGCCTTTTCTGATAAATGTGAATAGTCTTATTTGACACTACATCAGAACTAGAAAGTAAGTGGTCTCTTAAAAGCTATGTGTTAACAAAACCTATAACGATGAACTTCTCATGCTTTTGTTGCACTAAAATTCATTGACCTTGTACTTTAAATGGGTCTTTTATCCATGCATGATTCTGTAATATCATGCATTAGCCATTTGGAAAACAGTGGATCCCTGGGTTATACATTCCAAATGTTTATACACTTTTTCAGCATATTGAAAAATCGTGTTTGTTAACATCAACATCGATCTCATCAGAAAAGTCTCTAAGTATTGAAAAGCCATCAAACTCAAAGCAGATCCAAATTTCCAAACTCTAATTTTTGCTTGAAAACTTGAATTTTATTATTGGCAAGAAATACTGACAGTTCTTTTCCTTGAAATGATAGGCTTCCTTCATTCACTTTCAGGAAAATGTCTGCCAAACACCTAAGTCTGAATAACCACAGTTTGTCTGTCAGTCATTTAAGTAAAAATGGTGTCCCCTCAAATAACAGGGCTAGTTCAATGTGCACTCAAATAATCACATGAGCACTTTTCCCTGAGAAGTAACCACATTATTTCTGTGTGCAGCAAATGAGTTTTATGTACACTTCCCATTTTATCACATAAAATATTAAAAAGAAATGTAGTCAAGGATGGAAATTAAATATAATTAATAAATTTTATTGCTTCATCATGTAAGTGTAACTGACAGTTTTCCCTTTACGTAAGTGTAGTGGTAAAGAATACAATGACGGCCTGGGCATGGTGGCTCATGCCTGTAATCTCAGCACTTTGGGAGGCCGAGGCGAGTGGACCACCTGAGGTCAGGAGTTCGAGATCAGCCTGACCAACATGGTGGTCACGCTAAAAATACAAAATTAGCCAGGCATGGTGGCGCATGCCTGTAATCCCAGCTACTTGGGAGGCTGAGGCAGGAGAGTCACTTGAACCTGGGAGGCAGAGGTTGCAGTGAGTCAAGATCACACCACTGCACTCCAGCCTGGGCTTTAACAGCAAAATGCTGTCTTCAAAAAAAAAAAAAAAAAAAAAAAAAAAGATATATTTTGGTGCCACTACTTTGATGTATAGTTTTATGCATTATTATTTTGGGACCATCATTGCAAATATTAACACAGTGAAATAGGCAAATAACAGATGGTACAATTTTGGTAATATATTTACATTTAGAGGCCTCCTACAAGGGTCTCAGGAGCCCTAGGGGTCTTTGTCCACACCCAAGAACAGCCTGTGCATTTTAGAATTTGCTGCTAATAACCAACATAAATCACCAACCAAAGTTCTGTCAAATATCTTATTCTGTGGGCTACCGAGAAAATTTCCAAACCCACATAAAAGCAATGGCACATTATGACAGTGGTTGATCTTTTAACCATTACACTTTAGAACCTGGAAGTACTAATAAATATCTCATACATTCCATACCAAAATCTGCTAGCTTTAATTCTCCTTTCTCATTAATGAGGAGGTTCTGTGGTTTCAAGTCTCGATGCAATACCTTTCTTCTATGGCAATATGCCAAACCACGTAGAATTTGGTACAGAAACAGCTACAGAAACAAATAAATAAAAATTAGTCTTAAAGATGAGACATGCTTTAGTATAAGCATAAATGATGGTAAGCAGAAAAGCAGCTGGCCTAGAACATTGTAACAGGAAAAAGAAAGTAATTGCATACTTAAGTACAATGTCTTTTTCCTTTTATATATAGTGGCTTTCTGAATTTAATAGTTTATTATTCTATTTGAAGCATCTACCTATTTCTTTTAGTCTAACAGTATCTATGGAAATATTTTTTAAAAAGTAACTTCCTCCTAGCAGTAACAGTTGATTTACTGTGGAAAATGACTTAAAAAAAAAAACATATCCTCATAAACTTACAGGCCTACTAAGGTTTACATAGTTTAATTATAAAATTCTGGCAAAACAACCAACCAACCCCCCTCCCACCCATCTCTCCTTGAAAAAAAACAAAAACAAAAACTCTGATCTGGGGCAGTGTCTTTAAAATAAGGCACTGGAATTGGCGATTTTATGAAAAGTCTGAGGTATCAAAGAGAAAGCTGCTGCATAGCTCTGGCAAATTACTTACTATAAAACTAACCTAAACCAGCTTCTATCACCCATCTCTTGGGTACTTTACTTTCAGCACCTCCTACTTAGCCTTCAAAATCTACTGTGATTCACAAAGGGGCATTAGCACCGTAGTGTTCTGAATGACTCTGAAAAAAGTAATTCCTATAAGGCTAATGGTAGAGTTTTTGCTGTACATTTTGGTAGAAAGAGGGTTACGGAACACATAAGACCTTTGATTCTCTGGGGTTAACAAAAAGAACCTCAAGTACAGAGGATTCAAGAGTTTCCCCTCAGTTCATCTGTAGGTGAAAAACAGGGCATCCGAACACTGAGGCAGCCAAGGCAGCAGGTCAACGGTATGCCTGAATGAATTCTCTGTGCCAGAGTCTCTCCAGTCTACATAATTATGTTTTTAAAACTCTAAAATTACTATTTAAATGAATTCTTGTTACACTTTGTATTTTGAAAGTATAAAGGCCATTTAAACAAATAAATAATAAAACGCTTTCCAACTTAAGCTAATCATGTAAACCTGGCATTAAAGAAATAAACGTCTCAACATTTGTGAAATTATCATCAAGGACCTTGTTTTATTTTCAAATTATTGCCAATAAAAAAAGCAGGAAAAACAAAATTAAAACCAAAAAAATACAAAATGACAGTTATAACACTTTGCAAACAAAAGATGTAAAATAAGATGAAAACAACCCTGACAGAATATATATGGAAGTACATTTAAAGCCCTTTTTAAAAATCCTTAGCAATGTGTTATCCATATGTTCTGAGCTGTCTTTTAGTAACAGAAACTGGCTCTCCTTTATAACCACCAAACTTAATATTTTTTTAAAATGTAAGTTTAAAATTACTACCTACAGAATTAGAAATGTCTGAAGCACACAGCTGCGACAGCCTATTTTCAGAATAGGTTCTTACATATTGTTGACTAAGTTTGGATAAATAAATCTTTGCTAAATTTGGATACACTACTCAGGTCAAAGAAACCTACTGTAAGAATACAAACTATGCTGGATGCTGTTACTCAGTTAATAACTTTTGGGTATCATCTGGCACTGATTTTATGGCAAACATTTTTAGCATTAAATTTTTAAATATGTTGTTGTAAGAAAACACACCAATTATCTTACTCTTCTTCCTGACAGTACAGATTGGTATTTCCAGCATAGTGTTCATAAAACCTGCATGTTCTGGCCTTATTCATTAGTTCTGAAAAGTTGTTGTTTTACAATTAAATACCATTTATTTGGGGAGTTCACTATTTAAAGAAGGCCTTTCACAGAATGCACCCATCATTCGTGTTTATTTTGAATTTTTTTTTTAAAGCAGAATACACCTGTACATATATTCTATATTAGGACAATCAGTTGTAATGTGAAATGTCAAAAGAATGAAGTGGTTCTACAAAAAGGTCTGATCCTAAGAAAGCTATAGTGTAGTAAACAGAAGTTCTGGGTAAATATTGCACGTTCAGAGGACAATAACCTATTTAAAAGGCCAAACAGAAAACCCTGAAGAAGAGTTATGAGGCTGGTACATTTCATTATATAATGGTTCACCTATGCTTTAAACAAAATTTAAAAATTACACACGCAAGAAAACATACCTTTACGTTGTGCATACTCATGATGTTTCCACAGTCATCCATGTACTGTTTCAGGTCTTTATCCTGGAAAAACACAGCACTCTGCTATGTGATACACCATTTTCAGAATGTTGTGACTGGTTCACTTAATAGTGTTTTTCAAAATTAGTTGTTTTTCAAGAAAAGATACTGGATGCACCATACACATAATTTAATGAAAAACTGATAACTAAATAATAAAGTCTCTTGGGCTGTTAAAAAGTCCAATTTAGCTAAGCACAGCTGCAGTTTAAAGAAAAATAAAAAACAAACTAAAAGTCCAATTTACTATGTTTTTCTAAAGTAAAGTTAAATACTGAATTTTTATGAGATGCTTACCAGATACTCAAACACCAAAGTCAAGGATTTATCTGTGTGAACAATGTCATGTAAGGTTACTATATTTGCATGTTTTAAATCCTTTAATAGTGAAACTGCAAAACAGAAAAAGAAAATTGTTTAGTCTGTGGCAGTCTTTATAAAAACCTGAAGTAAGTTGAACATACGAACTGATTAAAAGATTCTCTTAAGTTTAGGTCTTGGGCGGTGGCTCACCCCTATAATCCCAGCACTTTTGAGAGACCGAGGCAGGCGGATCACTTGAGCCCAGGAGTTCAAGACCAGCCTGGGCAACAATGCTATTTAAAAAAAAAAAAAAAAGATTCTCTTAAGTTTAAAGCAATAATTTACCAAGGGGATTGGTTGTAAAAATGTTCATGGAGGCTGGGCACGGTGGCTCATGCCTGTAATCCCAGCACTTTGGAAGGCCAAGGCGGGCGGATCGTGAGGTCAGGAGATCGCCTGGCTAACATGGTGAAACCCCGTCTCTACTAAAAAATACAAAAAAAAGTTAGCCGGGCGTGATGGCGGACGCCTGTAGTTCCAGCTACTCGGGAGGCTAAGGCAGGAGAATGGCGTGAACCCAGGAGGCGGAGCTTGCAGTGAGCCAAGATCTCGCCACTGCACTCCAGCCTGGGCAACAGAGCCAGACTCCCTCTCAAAAAAAAAAAAAAGTTCATGGAAATCAATTTTTTCTTTTATACTACTGGGTTTGATATTATAATACTTAAAATTGTCCCCAATATTATAACATTCTCCATATCATCTTCTGTATTTTTCCTAAATGTTAACTTTTGAAACTTCTGGCATTAATTTAGATATAAATTACAAGGAACCATTTTTCCCCTCCACATTACTAATCAGTTGCCTCAAGCCATTTTCTGAATAATCTTCTTTATAAAATGGTACTATGATATAAATATGTTTACACACTGTTTTTTAATTTATTTAGTTTATCTGGTTAATTTATAGTTACCATGTTCCTCATGTACCAATGTATAACATTTCCCTATGACAAATAGTTGTCTATGATAGTGATTTTTAATGAATTCAGATTTCATTATAAGTTATACACTAATATAATTAATCCCTTTGAGTATTTGTTTTAGAAATTTGCTTTTTAAAGGTTTAATTACATCTTCCAGTCATTTATTACTTGTATATCTGAGCTCTTTTTACTTATAAAAAATAGACACTTATTCCACCACTTTGATTTTAAAATGTTCTGTATAATTATTATACCTTCTCTTATAGCTGTGCAGGGTGCACCTTCTTCATGTTCCAATCGGATCTCTTTTAATGCCACCAAATTCTCTGTCAATTTACTTCTTCCTTTATATACTGTTGCATATGTACCCTATAAAATATATTTTTAAAGGACGCATCAAAAGTATCATAAGAGTCTATTTAATACCATCTTATAATAAAGAGCTCTACCTGAATTTCTAGTTTCTAAGCATTGTTAAGTTCCATCTTGCAAAGAAAAACACACAATGATCAGCCATGGCTTTTCTTACAGTAAACAGGACTTTCAGTTCATATGCACAGCTTCCATACTTCTGTAACACTACAGAGTGCCTCAAGAGTATAAAAACATAGACAGAATATTTACTTTTTGTACCTTATTTTAGATTAACAATTAGATCAATAGCTTTAAAATCAAAGGTGCTTTACCTGCAATGGTATATGGAGACTGATGGACACTAATTGAACATATTAATTGAAAAATGAAAACATAATGTACATATTGTTAAATGATAAATTTTTTTTTTTTTTTTTTTTGAGATGGAGTTTCATTCTTTCGCCCAGGCTAGAGTGCAGTGGCACAATCTTGGCTTGCTGTAACCTCCACCTTCCGGTTCCAAGCGATTCTCCTGACTCAGCCTCCCGAGTAGCTGGGATTACAGGCGCCCGCCACCACGCCCAGCTAATTTTTGTGTTTTCAGTACAGACGGGGTTTCACCATGTTGGCCAGGCTGGTCTCGAACTCCTGACCTCGTGATTCACCCGCCTTGGCCTCCCAAAATGCTGGGATTACAGGCGTGAGCCACCGCGCCCGGCAATCATAAAAATTTTACCCATGTTTCTAGACTTTTCAGAATCTTTGTACATTAACTCTCCTTTAAAAAACAAGGATCTCTTCTATTATTGCCAGGACAGCCCTCAAGCTCCTTTAAGCCTTCCCTATTAACTATTGTTTTCTTTGCCCTTTCCTACTATAGGAGGTAGGCCATTTCTAAATCAGTAGTACTAGTAGTAAGTTCAAGAAAACCAAGATCTTAAGAATTTCCGTAACCTTCAAAAAATGTGTTTTTATCTTTATTCTGATTTTTCACAGGTCTGAACTCATGCAATTTCCCATGGTGGCACAGACAGTAGACTGGCAGTAGACTAAGTGACAAATGCCTACTTTGTTATTAAGAAAACATAATACTTTCTGCTTCAATAAAAATTTCAAAGCTATAAAAAAAATTCATTTCCTCTCAAACTGATGGGATAATTTCAAGAATTGAAGACTCTAACTCCTAGAAACTCTGTTACCTTTCCAGAACAAGTATATAATCTTGTAGACATCAGTACTTACGTTTTTTCCAGGTTAACAAAAACCGTGGAGTAACAGAGTTTGAATGACGAATAAGAAAAAAATGTGTCTTACATTTTTGAGATATTTACTTACCTCTCCAAGCTTTTCCAATTTGATGTAGGTTTCCATTTTTCCAAAGCCAATTTCTGACTGAAAAGTAAACAATGAAAAATGTAGTATTTACTTTTTTTTTTTTTTTTTGAGACAGCATCGTCTCACTCTGTTGCCCAGGCTGGAGTGCAGCGGCACAATCTTGGCTTACTGCAACCTCCACCTCGCGGGTTCAAGTGATTCTCCTGCCTCAGCCTCCGGAGCAGCTGGGATTACAGGCACGCAGCACCAAGCCCGGCAAATTTTTGCATTTTTAGCAGAGACAGGGTTTCAACACATTGGCCAGGCTGTTCTCGAACTCCTGACCTCAAGTGATCTGCCTGCCTTGGCCTTCCAAAGTGCTGGGATTACAGGCGTAAGCCACCGCGCCCAGCCTTGTATATATTCTTAAAGTTTCAATTCATCTCTTCCTCAACTTCTGAAACTTTCCCACTCTAAAGAATGACTAAGAATAGAAAAATCTGATTATAATCAAATGGTTGAATATCTATCAAGTTTTAAAATAAACCCAATGTTGGAACATTCAAAGGTTCAAAAATATCAAAGTTCACAATCAAAATTGTCAACCCAACCTTTATATATACACAGTTAACATTCTGTCATGAAAAATATTTGGTTTTATTCTAAGATACCACAGGCATTTTAAGATACTAAAGAATCTTATCAAGGATAACTACTTGGGATTTTCTTTTTAACAAAATTGCAAAATAAATAATTTTCCTATGTATTTTCTCCCTCACCAATCTGAATTCCCAAGGAAGTCCTGCAAACAACAAAATACTATTTGTTTCAGGCTTTCCAATCAAAATACAATGAAAAAGACAACTGAAAATCATGCTCTTCTATGGATCAGGAAGTGGCAAACATAGAAGCAGCAATGTAAGTCTAATTCTGGCTACACCCCCCCTCAACACTCGGCCAAAAAAAAAAAAAAAAAACAAACAAACCCACAACAACAAGAGAAAATGCTTTAAAAGTGAGTTCTTAAAAGCCTTGCTTTTAAAACTTGAGCTCGCCTGACTATTGTGTATGGAGATGATAAACAGGGTACATGAAATATACCTAAATATGTAATACAAACACAATATTTAAAATGAAAAAGAAAAAACCTTAACACAAAATTTAGGAAAATTTGTTTTTAGATAGATTGAAAACTAGGGACTGAGAGAGCAGAAATATTTTAAAAAGTAAAACAGAATGGGAAAAGAATTTTCTTAAAGTTGCTTTCTAGTACCCCTTTATAGATAATGGAAAAGGTAATGATAATCTAAAGAAAGATCCACTTGCTTAGAATGGTGCTAATGCCCTTAAATAAAAAGCCAGTTAAAGGAAATAATGTTTTTTAATACATAATCTCAGTTCTCAAAGGTGTATAAATTATGCCAGATGATTAAACGTTGTGATTTAGTCAAACTCTAGAGGTCTAAATACGCAATTTTCCTTGGAACTGTGGAATAAAATTAAAATAATCCTTGGTAATTAGACTTGCATCACTTACCATTTCAGACAATAGGATAAATTATCCAAAGCTGAATGGCCAAAAGTAGCAGAGGCCCCTCAAAATAACTGTTTTTATCTTTTTGTTACAATGATATGTATCATATTAAAAGCCATGTGGAAAACTGCACGTCCAATAGTACTTAATTCAATTTTAGTAAACTAATTAAAACTTTGGTCACAGGTATTATTGAATGAATGAAAAATTATTTTTGCATTCTATGACATTTTCCTATGACGTTTTTCATAAAACATTAAATTTTAAAAATGAAGTTTTACGACCATCATACACTATTCATCCATGTATTGTCTTGAACATGACTCAGTATTAAGTCCTTCGCTTTCTAGTATCAATAACTATGCAAAATAAAGAAGTAAAACTACAATAGATAACATTTTTAAAATACAAGTGAAGTTTTTAAAATCAGTATGAAAAACATGGCAAATAGCCCACTATCTGGTACATGACAGTCTGATTACGAATAATCTTTTAATTTATATATGTTTTATATAGCCTATTTATATATGATCTTAAATACTTTACTCCATAAAAAAGGCTACTTGCCAAGATCACAGAAACTAATAAAATATCTTTATTCTGATACTTATCTCTGGAATTTAGGTGCTTAAATTCATGAATATGGAACTACCGCATTTTTGCCATGAATTTTAAGTTTTGTGTCATCTTTTATGGGGGAAAAAACACTATATTGAGAATAAATGCAAACTAGTATGAACAAAAGAATGAATGTTCCTGAAAAAAATATTTAAAATGTCATTATAACAATGAGAAGCACACGGGAAATAAGACTGTAAGCTAGGCATTTTTTCTTCTCAGGAGTAGAGAAATTTTCTTATTAATCCTTTTATCTTAAATGAATGAATACTACTATGTTCTTAAAACATCAAATACACTAGGGTCCAATGGTTACTATGACAAAATGTCGAGGTTTGCTTTAAAGACTATGTAAATGGACTACAAATTAGACTGTAAAGACAAATATGTAAGAGGTTAAGTTTAAATTTGAATAATCAGTCTATAAAATAAACAACACTACTGAATTCCACCCATGCAGGCAGGCAGGCAGGCAGAGAATTCAGACAAAGGCACAATTACACTAGTGAATTGTCTGTCAGATCCTAATTCAAAAAGTAAAAGCTTAGCCCCCAATTTAGTAATTTCCAACTTAGGATTTAATGATTACATCAAAACAGTACTTACTGAATCTTTAAATAAAATTTTTAGAAAATTTTGCTTGCATTTTTATTTGCTGAACACAACAAGATTAACAATAGATATAATGACTAGCTTGTTGACGTGCTCTCCTACAGAAATTATTCAGAGGACAGAGGACAAAGCTCATTTATTCAACATTTACCCAGCACAATGTTAGGTGCTAGAGAAGACAGACATGATTCCCACTTTCATGAGTTCACAATCTAGCCTGAGTTCCATCCTAGATTATTTTAGAATATTTTAAAAGTTTCACAGAAACAGAAATAATAGCTAAAGAAATAGCACAATAAGCTTTATAATGTGTATGTTGTTGTTCCAGTCTCTGCAGAAACTCAAAAATTGCCAATGCCAACTATAATCACAAGTTGTCATGGTGGGGGTATTTGGGAAAAATTTTCAATTAGCAATAACTGTGCCTTGGATAAACCTCGGGTATGATACTATCACTGCTCAAAGCTTATATTTTCATGTAATATAAGAGCCCCCTTAATGCTGCTTTCCAGACAAATGAAGATAATTTTTTCTGATATTTCACTGTTCCAAGAAAATACTTCACTTTTTGACAGCCCCAAGCAAATTCCTATTCAGATGGCTCTTAGAGTATAAACACATGAAAATTCTAAATATATATATAAATTAAATTATAATTTATAATAGTCTTCCTAGAATTCACTGTAACTTGTAAGCAATACCAAGCCTTATGGGAAACTTTTTGTTTACTTTGGATCTAGCAACATAATTACTCTATCACAGGCTGGAGATGCTGTTCTAGCTGAGCTTCAAAACAAATGAAGCACCAGAGGTCCCCCTTATCCACAGGGGATACTTCTAAGAACACCAGTGGATGCCTGAAACAGCAGACAGCACTGAAACCTGTATGTACTAGGTTTTTCCCTATACATATTAAATACACTCCTAAGATAAAGTTTAATTTATAAATTTTGCAGAGTAAGAGATCAACTAATAAAACAAATAACCATAATAATACACTGTAATAAAAGTTACGTGAATGCAGTCTCTATCTCTTGCTCTCAAAATAATCATACTGGCATTGTATTCACCTATCCTCAGACTATGTTTGACCTCACATAACTGAAATTGTGGAAAATGAAACCACAGATAAAGGGGGAAGCTTCTGTATGTACAGAGGATCCATAGATGACATTTTAAGAGTGAGTATATATTAATACATAAGAAACGGGGCCGGGCACGGTGGCTCATGCCTGTAATCCCAGCACTTTCGGAGGCCGAGAAGGGCGGATCATGAGGTCAGGAGATCAAGACCATCCTGGCCAACATAGTGAAACCCTGTCTCTACTAAAAATACAAAAATTAGCTGGGTGTGGTGGTGCATACCTATAATCCCAGCTACTCGGGAGGCTGAGGCAGAAGAATCGCTTGAACCCAGGAGGCGGAGATTGCAGTGAGCCAAGATCGTGCCACTGCACTCCAGCCTGGCGACAGAGCAAGACTCTGTCTCAAAAAACAACAAAAAAGAAACAGCAGGGGAAGAGGGAGGCTTTTTCAAACATTCATTTCCCTCTCTGTGGGAATTACCGAGTTACTGTTAACGAAAGAAATGTGTTTTATCCCTTAGACTTGGTGGGCAGGGGGAAAGACTGAGAATCTCTATTCTACTCAGTCACTTTGTCTTACAAAAATTGCTATTATCATCACCACAATACCACCTTAATCCTGTACTCCTGTACATAATATGCTAAAGGTAAATTCTGTGGGACTTTGAACCTCACTCCCACATTCCATCTTATATTTCTAATTGCTGAGAGATGTAAGGACTTGATTGTATTTTCTCACCTGCTCTGAGAATTAAGAAAGGTCTATATAGTCTATTGGTAAAACCAGGAATGAAGAATCCAAACATTCATTGTTTAGGAAGGCATATGCTCTTAAAATGTATAAACCTATAATTTGAATACAATAAGACAAATTTTTATATATGGATGACCTCCATTATAATTGAAGCTGCACTCAGTCTCACAAAACTTCCACTGGGTATACCATTATCGTAAGGGCAAGGAAGCTCTGATGAATCCTGACTATCTACATATAGGCTTTGCCACTATTCTAATATTTAACTAAATATGTTGACAATGTTTTATTTCTTATCAATCATAAAGGACTACTAAATAGCACGTCACCATCCAATAGCCAATATTTTTAACATGACATATGATCACTAAATGTAATGTGGTATCCTGGAGGGAGTATCGGGACAGAAAAACAACACTGACAAAAAATTAGTGAAATCTGAATAAAGTATGGAGTTTTGTTACTAGTAATGTACCAATGTTGGTTCCTTAGTTGTGACAAATGTATTAAAGTAATATAAAATGTTAATAATATGGTAACTGGGTATGTGGTATAGAAGAACTATATAATTTTTGTAATTTTTTCTGTAAATCTAAAACTAAAATTATGTTTATGTAAATAAAAAGTCACTGGAAAGGATTAAGGTAAGAAATGGGAGACTGAACACACATCAGTTTATAGGGATAACAGATAGTCTTAAGCATCCTGAAAAGATGGGATAGTAAGGGGGACAACTTCTCAAGATTAAAAACAAAAAAGAACAGAATGGGTATATGCATAGGTAGATTTGCAAGTTTGTTATACAGAAAAGGAGGGAGTTTTCGGTTAATGGCCACCCCCTTTTTTTTTGAGACAGGGTCTCTTGCTCTGTCGACAAGGCTGGAGTGCAGTGGTGCAATCATGGCTCACCACAACCTCATCCTCTTGGGCTCAAGTGATCTTCTCACCTCCTACCTACTGAGTAGCTGGGACTACAAAGGTGTGCCACCACGCCTGGCTAGTTTTGTTAATTTTTTGTAAAGATGGAGGTCTCACTATGTTGCCCAGGCTGGTCTTGGACTCCTGGGCTCAAGCAAACCTCCTGCCTCAGCCTCTCAAAGTGGTGGGATTACAGGCATGAGCCACAACATCTGGCCCTCTCTCTTTTTTATGATATAGGAAGAGAGATCATCTGCTTACAGTAAGAGAGGAAGAGTTAATCAGAGAAAGACAGTGGGATAGCCAGACAACACTGGGGATCTATGCGAGATTGATGACCATAAATTTATATTAGACCCATTCAGCCCTACTGTATAACTTTCTCCAGGAAAAATGAATTGTTTCTTAATTCCTACTCAAGCAAAGGTTTTATGTTATTTTTACTACTCATTATATATTGCCATTAGAAAATATGAAAATAGGCCAGGAGAGGTAGCTTACACCTGTAATGTCAGTGATTTTGGAGGCCAAAGCGGGAGGACTGCTTGAGGCCAGGAGTTCAAGACAAGCCTGGATAATATAGTATGACCCTGTCTCTACAAATAATTTGTACAAAAAAAAAAATTATATATATATATGAGAACAACACATTGAAAGTTTAAAACTTTTAGAAGACAAGGCTAAATTTTACATTTTACCTTAAAAAATATTTTATTTTTTAGATTAAGGGTATATTATCCATGGAAAAATGAAGTCTAGTACATGTGAAGAATATTTTTCTTTTCCTACCTCCTTTCTATCCATCCCTAATCTTTACCCATCTCCTTTACACATAAACCAAGGGTCCAGACTTCTATGCTGAAGAACTGATCTCTTTGAAAAAACTTTTACTTTTTAGGTATATAAAGAATATATTATCCACAGATACACAAATTCTAATACATATAAAAAAATGAGTTTCTTTTTCCCACTCCTTTTCCATCCATCCCTAACTTTCACATGCCCTCCCTTCACTGACTATGTTCAAATATAAACCTAGGGTAGAGATTTTCATTTTGAAGAATAATTTTTAATGTATTTCCAAAAAGTATGCTTTACTAAGGTAGATGAATAATGAAATGGATGCATCAGTAAAATCCAAAACATAGCTGGCATGATTTATCTGAAATCTATAAGCCATTTCAGAATTTTCTGAAAAGGGAAGTAGGCAGGCCAGGCGCAGGGGCTCACGCCTGTAATCCCAGCACTTTGGGAGGCTGTGGCAGGAGGATCACCTGAGATGGGGAGTTCAAGACCAGCCTGACCAACATGGAGAAACCCCATCTCTACTAAAAATACAAAATTAGCCGGGTGTGGTGGCGCATGCCTGTAATCCCAGCTACTCGGGAGGCTGAAGCAGGAGAATCGCTTGAACCCGGGAGGCGAAGGTTGCGGTGACCCGAGATCATGCCATTGCACTCCAGCCTGGGCAACAAAAGTGAAACTCTGTCTCAAAAAAAAAGCGGGGGAGGTAGGTAGGAACACTTAACCATAAATAAAAACTTTAATCACTTAGCATTCATTAGAGGGCACTGTTTTTCTTAATATCATGTAGACTGTAAAAGATAGCTCCTAAATGATAGCTTAAAAAAATTACATGGTGATTAAATCACATTTTTACTCCCAATTGGAACAAATACAACCTCAAAATTTATCCTAAGTACCAATCTTTGATAAAAACTGATAGCCGAAGAAAACTTTTGACTTGACAATCAAATGGCAAAATCATCCCAATAAAAATGTCTTGGCCAGGCACAGTGGCTTATGCCTGTAATCCCAACACTGTGGGAGGCTGAGGCAGGTGGATCACTTGAGGTCAGGAATTCAAGACCAGCTTGGCCAACACGGCAAAACCCCATCTCTACTAAAAATGCAAAAATTAGCCAGGCATGGTGGCACATGCCTGTAATCTCAGCTACTAAGGAGGCTGAGGCATGAGAATCACTTGAACCAGAGGCAGAGGTTGCAACGAGCCGAGATCGCGCCATTGTACTCCTGCCTGGACGACAAAGTGACACTCTGTCTCACACACACAGACACACACACACACAAAAAATGTCTTAAGCAGTGATGCTAAATTATGATAATCATATGCTTATACCAAAATCAAGTTTGTGTTATACTTTTTACCATATTTATATACTGGTGAATGTCAAATAACAATGTGCTCATGGTATATACAGCATAAAGTGATTTTATTTTTTAGAGTATGTCACCAAAATATTTTGTAGACTATCTAACTAGAATATCTAATCTGGCCCACAGGGGCCAGATGCTATGGGCGGCTCACACCTATAATCCTAGCACTTCGGGAAACCAATGCAGAAGGACCGCTTGAGCCCAGGCATTTGAAACCAGCATGGGCAACACAGTGAGATGCCATCTCTAAAAAAAAAAAAAAAAAAAAAAAGTTTTTTAATTAGCTGGGTGTGATGGTGTACACCTGCAGTCTTAGCTACTCAGGAGCCTGACATGTGAGGATTGCTTGGGCCCAGGAGTTCAAGATTACAGTGAGCTATGATCGTGCTACTGCATTCCAGCCTAGGTGACAGAGTGAGACCTTGTCTCTAAAGAAAATAGTTCCATTATATAATAATATGTAAAGGCTGGATGCAGTGGCTCACCCCTGTAATCCCAGCACGTTGGGAGGCCGAGGCGGGTGGATCACCTGAGGTCAGGCATTCAAGACCAGCCTGGCCAACATGGTGAAATCACATCTCTACTAAAAATACAAAAATTAGCAGGACATGGTGGCGCATACCTATAATCCCAGCTACTCGGGAGGCTGAGGCCAGAGAATCGCTTGAACCCGGGGAGGCAGACTGCAGTGAGCCAAAATTGCACCACTACACTCCAGCTTGGGTGACAGAGCAGGACTCCGTCTCCAAAAATAATAATAATAATAATAATAATAATAATAATAATGTAAAAAAGGAGATACAACAACTGCTAGCAATCCAAGAGTCATCATCAATTTCTCTTCCTTCAGGTGCAAAGTCCAAGTGGGTATTAGGTGGTATTTTATCCCTTCCTGGTCCCTAGGATTTATGTTCTGCTTTCTATTTCCATCTGATTGCCACATCATCCTTAATTTTGAATACATTCCTAATTCTCCCTGCCTCTAGTCTTTCTCTCTAATTCATTGTTTGTACTTTTCCTAAAGCTATTGCTATGAAACAAAAATGTGACCATGTCAGCCTTTGTTTAAATAAATACCTTTGATGTCTTCTCATTACATGGGAAGAAGTCCAGACTTCTTGGCCTGACCTCTAAGGCTTTTCATTCTGGATCTGTCCTGTCCGTTCAAGCCATAGCTTTTATATTATTCCATATTACCCTTCATATCAGTTCTGATTTCCCAAACATGACATCTACACCCAAACCTCTGGGTTTTAGTTTTAGTACATGAAGTTTCCTCTTCTTACAACACCCTTCATTCATAGGCCGTTTTTGACTGACAAATTTCTGCCCATCCTTCTAGGACCAGCTCAAGTGCTATCTCTGTAAGCTTGTGATTTGCCAAGGCATTTTACTTGCTGCCTCTTTTGTTGTCCCAAAGCACTTTATATGTATCTCTACTACAGGACTATAGTCATCCAAAAGAGATTCTCACATAAACAATCACCTGAATTTACATTAAAGTGATACTGCAATAAGAAAAGTTATCCTTTGAATAAATGGTGCTGGGTTAATTACTAAATATTAAGAAAATATATTTGTAAGACATGTAACTGACAAAGGTCCTGTATATAAAGTATACTTAAAAATTCGTATAAACCAATAAAAAAGACAGAAAACCCAATAGAAAAAAGAAGAAAAACAGACTTGGGTAGTTAATTCACAAAAGAGAGTATCTAAATATAAACATACAATAAACATACGATGAATAATAAACACACAGAAAGGTGTTCAACTTAGTCATCAGAGAAATGCAAAATAAAACCAAGAGACCACTATCAACTTGCTAGAAAACTTAAAATAATAATTTTTAAAAGACATTATCAAAAGTTGGCAAGGAGAACAACCAGAACTATTATATGCTAGTGATATACGTATAAGTTGGTACAACCACTCTGGAAAGCTGTTGACAGTATCTAGGGAAGCAGAATATAATGCAACAATTCCACTCCTAGGTAAGCACTCAACAGAAATGCTTACATGTTAACCAAAAAACATGCACAGGAATGGTGATAGAAGCATTATTTGGTAATAGCCAAAAACCGAAAACAACCAGAATGCCCATCGATAGGAGAATGGATGAAGTACAGTACACTCATAAATGGAATACCATGCAACAATGAAAACGAATTATCTATAATTACATGCAAAAATAGGGCTGAAACTCACAAACATAACACTGAACAAAAGAAGCTAACAACAAAAATAATACATACTGTATAACTTCCATACATACTGGGATACATATTGTGCAATATATATATACAAACTTTGTATAAGTATATAATTCTGTATATCTACATAAAATATATTTTAATATAATTACATATTCATAATTACACAAAGCTCAGACGTTTTAATAAGGATAATCAGAAAGAGAATATTACACATTTAAAAAACAAATAAGAATATATGTGAATGGGATTTTAGAAGATCCAGATACCAAAACATACTATAAAAACAGTATGATCAGAACAATGTCACACATATGGGTAAAACTAATCTTTAGCATCAGAAGGCAGAGAGTATGGCTACAGTTGAGGAAGTGAGGAATACTAAGTAAAGAGAAAGGGAACAGAAGGGGGTTTCTGGGATTTCTGAAATTTTCTTTTACTGATCCAGGTACTGGTTACACAGGTATATTAACATTTCAAAGGTTCGTTGAGCTGTACAATTATGGTTTGTGTACTTCTCTGTATATCTAGTATATATTAATACATGTTTATTTATCCAGCACATATCTAGTGTATCTATATATCTAGTATGTATTTATCTACCTAGCATGTATTAATAACATTTACCAAAAATAAAATATACCTTAAATCCTATTCCAATATGCATCCTATTGAATGCATCTTAAGGACTCCAATAAACCTTTAAGAATGGAAAATAATAAAAATCGAGAAGGCAATATAATAAAATTTAGCTATTCTAAAGTCAAGTATAAAAATTAATTTAAAATGTTTACACCCAGAAGCAGCAAACAAGCAGATCTGATTGATGGTGGAGGTATAGGAGACCAAAAACTTACTAAGGAAGCTCTACGAGACCTTCGACTCATTGGTTGGTCAAATGGTGGACTGTTTATCTGCAACTTTTCAAGATATCCATCAGGTATTCTGATGTCTGCAGGCAGTGATAACCGCTTATTTAAATCCTTAAAAAAAAAAAAAGGTAATCCAAAATAGTAAAGGCAAGGCATTTGGCTTTTGTATTCACAGGCTCTAACATATTATTTCTTAGTGATAAGTAATTGTAAAGTTTTATTGCAGTTGCAAAGTTACCTACATTGATTATATGTAATATACTCATGGCAAAAACATTTACTGTAAGCAAAAGTATACAGCGAAGTGTTACAGAAATGAAATTTTGCAACCTCAGTAATTTTTGAGTCCTTTCACTGGTAAATTCAACTTGAAATTTACTTTAAATTTATTATACCATATAGTAACATTAGGCAAACACTACCACAAACTCTGTGATCAGTT
The DNA here is from genome assembly GCF_000001405.40 of Homo sapiens. Lineage (NCBI taxonomy): Eukaryota > Metazoa > Chordata > Mammalia > Primates > Hominidae > Homo > Homo sapiens. Next base: position 96,311,509 of record NC_000012.12, read on the forward strand.
TAAATAACTAACCAAGTAGACATTATATGATCTTGTATGCAACATGGGGAAAGAGAATTGTATTTATTACTGCCATGTTAATGGCATTTCTACTTTATTTAATTATACAATGTGAGCTGGGATAAACTTGAAAAGAATCTTGCCTATATCATTGTATCAAGAAATTTAAGCCCTATAAAAAGAAATTCCTCCCATTCATAACAGCAGCCAAACCATGAAACGGAATGGAGAGGTATAGGAACTGCATAAATATTTACTGAGAAATATAAGACTTAAGTATAAAAACATACAATGCCACCAAATGGTAAGAATAAGTAAGGAGAAGATACTGGTCCTCCCTATATTAATTTTATAAGTTATATAACCACTAAGAAATCACAATAAGCTTATTCTTAGAACAAAATAAAATGCCTAAAATGTATCAATAGAATAAACAGAAAAAATCCAAAAACATTCTAAAATAAGAAAGAGTATATGTGTATATGGGGGAGGGATACAGAAAGAAGTCTTTCCAGATATTAAAATATACTACAGGTCAGGCGCAGTGGCTCAAGCCTGTAATCCTAGCACTTTGGGAAGCCAATATGGTGAAACCCTGTCTCTACAAAAAATACAAAAAAATTAGCCGGGCATGGTGGTGTGTGCCTGTAGTCCCAGCTACTTGGGGCTAAGGCAGGAGGATCACTTGAGCCCAGGAGGTTGAGGCTGTGGTGAGCTGAGATCCCACCACTGTACTCCAGTCTGGGTGACAGAGTGAGGCCCTGTCTCATAAACCAGAAAAAAATATATACTATAAAAAGAATATAATCTAGAGCATGCCTCCTTGGTGGTGGGGAAACAAATTATAGCTCAACGAAGAATGAGAAACTCCAGATACAGACCCTAATACTAAATAAAACAAATGATTTTAAAAAATCATCTATAAGGTGAAGAAAAATAAGAAATATTTTCATTAGTATTGTGTCACATAAATATATCGTTGATTTCAACAAGTGAAAATGTTAATTTATCATTTAGAAAACTGATAAGATTTCCTTAACTGATTAAGAAGAATCCTTTTATAATGAAAATATAATCAACCAATAGGAGAGATACCTTAATCATCATCTCAACAGCACCAAAAAAGCAACAATACTTTCATTTCAAAACATGTTCAATTTTTTTTTGCAGAAACCTATTTTAGTTTACAGTACGTACTGAAATAACAGTCACGATCAACTTATGTCCTCAAGGTTATACCACAACACTTACAAAGAAAAGAAAATGAATTCTTCATCCTTTTACACGGAGAAATAAATGTGCTTCAGAGATCAGTAGGTACAGTGAACCACAAAGGAAAGGACACCCACTTTTATAATATAATGCAAGAAAAAAAAGCTGTTTATTTATACCTCTTAAAATTTGAAACAGAGAAAATAAAATGCTAATTATCCAGATGAATCTCAAAAATATCATTAAAATCGTATTTTCTAAAAAGAAGACATTGCTAATGTATCATTCTGTATTTCCAGAATTTTTGAAAATTCACTTCTCCTTAATGGATAACCTAAAATAACGTTTCGCAAAAAATTAAAATAAAATGTTTCACAGAATGCGAACAACTATATTACATATCTACATTGGGATAAAAATTAAAAAAGAGGAAATATTCACAGACTGCAATTTATGAATGCAAAGAAGTAACTTTCTTACAAGTGTCACGTGTCTTCATGAAAATTTTTAAATGGGCATTTACTCCACTTGATATGTATGTGTATTAACATATACCAACACACATATTCACAAGTATATTTGTATTTTTTAAATGATTACCTCCATTGAGATCCGTCTATGTATACGATTTCTGAGACAAACACCTGTAGGTGACTGGACTTCATCAGATGATGTCCCAGAAGCTTGGTCACTCTCACCATCTGATCCCATTTTTAGATTTTCATGAACAATATCTATATCAAAAAATGAGACATTAAAAGAGATACATTATATTCTAATATATAATTTATTATCACTATGGGTAAAATATAGAAGGCCAACGAGTAAAAATCACAGCATAAAAAGTCATTTACATTCTGGGTGCCACAGGTATGCAGTTAATAGATGAAAACATGACTCAAATGTCTTAAAATAGTATGAAATCTTTTTACACTTTCAAATTATGAAAAAAATTAACATTCAAGTTATTATCAAGGGTTGAGTAATAAAATTATAAACTGGAAATAATATCTCTGAGAATGAGCCAGTTCTTTCATTTTCTAGATCTGGGAACTGAGACTTGAAAGGTTAAATGACTTTCAAAAGTTCACAAAGCTTAGATGCAGAGCTGGAATAGACACCTGGTCATCTGCCTCTTATTTAGTATTCTTTCAATTAAATAATGTGTCACTGGGTCTATGGTTAAATGGAGCTAATTCTTGGAATATTCTTTAAAACACCTCTTAAAAGCTTCTAATGCAGTTTCTCCTCCCTGCACCCCCAATGTTAAAAATAAAACAATAAAAAATTATTCACTGAATATCTATTTTGTACCAGAACTACAAAAACAAGTTTATGATCTTCAAATACTCAAAAATCTGTTCAGAGCAAAAACATACTACAAAAAAGGTGGGTTATGGCATGCTTAATAGAGATAAAAGTTAAATGGAAGTAGGGGGAGGAAGATAAATTCCATTTGAAAATATTAAAAACAGACATATACTGTTTTGTTTTTGAGACAAGGTCTTGCTCTGTTGGCCAAGCTGGAGTGCAGTGACACAACCATGGCTCACTGCAGCCTCTACTTCCCAGGCTCAAGCAATCCTCCTGCCTCCCAAGTAGCTGGGAGTACAGGCACCCATCACATCTGGTGTTTTGTTTTGTTTTATTTTATTTTATTTTTTTTGTAGAGACAAGGTTTTGCCTTGTTGTTCAGGCTCATCTTGAACTTGTAGCCATTTATGCCTAGTGTTCCATTATTGGAAGCTAAGCATGTGGGAGCTACTTATATCCTACTGCTCAAGGTCATCACCAAGGTCTGATTGCAAAAATTCAAAAAACTGCAACTTCAGGAATCCACCCACCTTGGCCTCTCAAAGTGATGGGATTACAGGCATGAGCCACCACATCTGGCCAAGTTGTATACTCATATACCTGCATTTGTCAGTCATTATCTAATAACCCAGCAAGAAGAGTGTACTAGGAAACAAATGCTGGATCTCTAGAACTCCTCTCTTGCCACTATTACTTTCTATACACGTATTCATTTTCCAGAAAGAAGCATGTTGTTTCATGCTGCAGTGCTTTAACACACTTTTTTTCTCGTTTTTAAAAGATGCCTTTTCCTATTTTATCAACTTTGTGAGATCAGGCTTAGTCTTCAAACTATGCTCATGTGTCATCACTCAGTGAAGTCTTTTCTAATCTCAGACACAGTTGACTACTGTGCCCCCACCCACTGCACTGAAGAACATTTTTTGGTGCATGTGATTTTATAAGATCCTTGGGGATGGGATTTAGCTTGTTCACTTTTCTATTTCCAGAACTTAACCAACTGTCTGGCACTCAGAAGGTGCTTAACAAGTATTCAAGGGAACTGCATATTAACTAACAATCAAGGAATGGCCTAGATAACTAGATCTCTTTTTCAAATAAAGTTATATAAAATATCAATGTGTGAGACAATTGTATTTTATAAGTATAAATGTTAACTTTTAATAATATTTACATATAAAATCATGAGGACTGCTTAGATTAAGGAGAAATTTGAACTCAAGGGTCTTATATCAACTCTATCTTAAAACTCACTTTATGTCTGTATTTTTGTCTTGGTTAACTCAATATTAAGAAAACTCCAATTAATATTCATAAGCAGTTGCAAATGGTAATGGATTTTTAATAGCTCAATATGTAATCTAAGAATACACTTCAGTTATGTTGAGATTTCCATAGAAATTTTATGGTGATATGTGAACAAAAAATTAATTTGGCAGCAAAAGTAATGTATTGGTGATTGATTCCTAACCTCTTAAAATTTGGTATATAACACATCTAAGGTCCTGTATTCATTTCTGTCACACCTTCAAAATGTTAAAAATAATTTAATCATGGCTTCCATTTCTAGTGAGATATGAAAATCTCCCTTTCCTCAAGAAAATGTTGACTAAAATACAATATTTTAAAATGCACAGCTAAATGTGCAAGAATGTATTGGTAATACCTAGGAAGCAAAAACAAAGAGAGGACTGAAAACCCAAAGCTGTTATACATAAATTGACTCTATCAGTGTCTTAGGAGAGGCTGCTGATGTTGATGAGAAGGTCCCTGGGTTTACCTTCCACATTGGGATAAAAAATGAAGCCCTGGGTTTCTGAGTTACAAGTGAGACCTTCCCACAGAAAGGCTCAACTCCCAAAGTGCTACACTTTTGAGACTTACAGGGTACATTTAAAAAAAAAATCAGAGGGAGGAGCCAAGATGGCCGAATAGGAACAGCTCCGGTCTACAGCTCCCAGCGTGAGCGACGCAGAAGACGGGTGATTTCTGCATTTCCATCTGAGGTACCGGGTTCATCTCATTAGGGAGTGCCAGACAGTGGGCGCAGGCCAGTGTGTGTGCGCACCGTGCACTAGCCGAAGCAGGGCGAGGCATTGCCTCACCTGGGAAGCGCAAGGGGTCAGGGAGTTCTCTTTCCGAGTCAAAGAAAGGGGTGACGGACGCACCTGGAAAATCGGGTCACTCCCACCCGAATATTGCGCTTGTCAGACCGGCTTAAAAAACGGCGCACCACGAGACTATATACCACACCTGGCTCGGAGGGTCCTACGCCCACGGAGTCTTGCTGATTGCTAGCACAGCAGTCTGAGATCAAACCGCAAGGCGGCAGCGAGGCTGGGGGAGGGGCGCCCGCCATTGCCCAGGCTTGCTTAGGTAAACAAAGCAGCCACGAAGCTCGAACTGGGTGGAGCCCACCACAGCTCAAGGAGGCCTGCCTGCCTTTGTAGGCTCCACCTCTGGGGGCAGGGCACAGACAAACAAAAAGACAGCAGGAACCTCTGCAGACTTAAATGTCCCTGTCTGACAGCTTTGAAGAGAGCAGTGGTTCTCCCAGCACGCAGCTGGAGATCTGAGAACGGGCAGACTGCCTCCTCAAGTGGGTCCCTGACCCCCTGACCCCCGAGCAGCCTAACTGTGAGGCACCCCCCAGCAGGGGCACACTGACACCTCACACGGCAGGGTATTCCAACAGACCTGCAGCTGAGGGTCCTGTCTGTTAGAAGGAAAACTAACAAACAGAAAGGACATCCACACCGAAAACCCATCTGTACATCACCATCATCAAAGACCAAAAGTAGATAAAACCACAAAGATGGGGAAAAAACAGAACAGAAAAACTGGAAACTCTAAAACGCAGAGTGCCTCTCCTCCTCCAAAGGAACACAGTTCCTCACCAGCAACGGAACAAAGCTGGATGGAGAATGACTTTGACGAGCTGAGAGAAGAAGGCTTCAGACGATCAAATTACTCTGAGCTACGGGAGGACATTCAAACCAAAGGCAAAGAAGTTGAAAACTTTGAAAAAAATTTAGAAGAATGTATAACTAGAATAACCAATACAGAGAAGTGCTTAAAGGAGCTGATGGAGCTGAAAACCAAGGCTCGAGAACTACATGAAGAATGCAGAAGCCTCAGGAGCCGATGCGATCAACTGGAAGAAAGGGTATCAGCGATCGAAGATGAAATGAAGTGAGAAGGGAAGTTTAGAGAAAAAAGAATAAAAAGAAATGAGCAAAGCCTCCAAGAAATATGGGACTATGTGAAAAGACCAAATCTACGTCTGATTGGTGTACCTGAAAGTGATGCGGAGAATGGAACCAAGTTGGAAAACACTCTGCAGGATATTATCCAGGAGAACTTCCCCAATCTAGCAAGGCAGGCCAACGTTCAGATTCAGGAAATACAGAGAATGCCACAAAGATACTCCTCGAGAAGAGCAACTCCAAGACACATAATTGTCAGATTCACCAAAGTTGAAATGAAGGAAAAAATGTTAAGGGCAGCCAGAGAGAAAGGTCGGGTTACCCTCAAAGGGAAGCCCATCAGACTAACAGTGGATCTCTCGGCAGAAACCCTACAAGCCAGAAGAGAGTGGGGGCCAATATTCAACATTCTTAAAGAAAAGAATTTTCAACCCAGAATTTCACATCCAGCCAAACTAAGCTTCATAAGTGAAGGAGAAATAAAATACTTTACAGACAAGCAAATGCTGAGAGATTTTGTCACCACCAGGCCTGCCCTAAAAGAGCTCCTGAAGGAAGTGCTAAACATGGAAAGGAACAACTGGTACCAGCCGCTGCAAAATCATGCCAAAATGTAAAGACCATCGAGACTAGGAAGAAACTGCATCAACTAATGAGCAAAATCACCACCTAACATCATAATGACAGGATCAAATTCACACATAACAATATTAACTTTAAATGTAAATGGACTAAATTCTCCAATTAAAAGACACAGACTGGCAAGTTGGATAAAGAGTCAAGACTCATCAGTGTGCTGTATTCAGGAAACCCATCTCACATGCAGACACACACATAGGCTCAAAATAAAAGGATGGAGGAAGATCTACCAAGCAAATGGAAAACAAAAAAAAGCAGGGGTTGCAATCCTAGTCTCTGATAAAACAGACTTTAAACCAACAAAGATCAAAAGAGACAAAGAAGGCCATTACATAATGGTAAAGGGATCAATTCAACAGGAGGAGCTAACTATCCTAAATATATATGCACCCAATACAGGAGCACCCAGATTCATCAAGCAAGTCCTGAGTGACCTACAAAGAGACTTAGACTCCCACACATTAATAATGGGAGACTTTAACACCCCACTGTCAACATTAGACAGATCAACGAGACAGAAAGTCAACAAGGATACCCAGGAATTGAACTCAGCTCTGCACCAAGCGGACCTAATAGACATCTACAGAACTCTCCACCCCAAATCAACAGAATATACATTTTTTTCAGCACCACACCACACCTATTCCAAAATTGACCACATAGTTGGAAGTAAAGCTCTCCTCAGCAAATGTAAAAGAACAGAAATTTTAACAAACTATCTCTCAGACCACAGTGCAATCAAACTAGAACTCAGGATTAAGAATCTCACTCAAAACCGCTCAACTACATGGAAACTGAACAACCTGCTCCTGAATGACTACTGGGTACATAACGAAATGAAGGCAGAAATAAAGATGTTCTTTGAGACCAACGAGAACAAAGACACAACATACCAGAATCTCTGGGACGCATTCAAAGCAGTGTGTAGAGGGAAATTTATAGCACTAAATGCCCACAAGAGAAAGCAGGAAAGATCCAAAATTGACACCCTAACATCACAATTAAAAGAACTAGAAAAGCAAGAGCAAACACATTCAAAAGCTAGCAGAAGGCAAGAAATAACTAAAATCAGAGCAGAACTGAAGGAAATAGAGACACAAAAAACCCTTCAAAAATCAATGAATCCAGGAGCTGGTTTTTTGAAAGGATCAACAAAATTGATAGACCGCTAGCAAGACTAATAAAGAAAAAAAGAGAGAAGAATCAAATAGACACAATAAAAAATGATAAAGGGGATATCACCACTGATCCCACAGAAATACAAACTACCATCAGAGAATACTACAAACACCTGTACGCAAATAAACTAGAAAATCTAGAAGAAATGGATACATTCCTCAACACATACACTCTCCCAAGACTAAACCAGGAAGAAGTTGAATCTCTGAATAGACCAATAACAGGAGCTGAAATTGTGGCAATAATCAATAGTTTACCAACCAAAAAGAGTCCAGGACCAGATGGATTCACAGCCGAATTCTACCAGAGGTACAAGGAGGAACTGGTACCATTCCTTCTGAAACTATTCCAATCAATAGAAAAAGAGGGAATCCTCCCTAACTCATTTTATGAGGCCAGCATCATTCTGATACCAAAGCTGGGCAGAGACACAACCAAAAAAGAGAATTTTAGACCAATATCCTTGATGAACATTGATGCAAAAATCCTCAATAAAATACTGGCAAACGGAATCCAGCAGCACATCAAAAAGCTTATCCACCATGATCAAGTGGGCTTCATCCCTGGGATGCAAGGCTGGTTCAATATACGCAAATCAACAAATGTAATCCAGCATATAAACAGAGCCAAAGACAAAAACCACATGATTATCTCAATAGATGCAGAAAAAGCCTTTGACAAAATTCAACAACCCTTCATGCTAAAAACTCTCAATAAATTAGGTATTGATGGGACGTATTTCAAAATAATAAGAGCTATCTATGACAAACCCACAGCCAATATCATACTGAATGGGCAAAAACTGGAAGCATTCCCTTTGAAAACTGGCACAAGACAGGGATGCCTTCTCTCACCGCTCCTATTCAACATAGTGTTGGAAGTTCTGGCCAGGGCAATCAGGCAGGAGAAGGAAATAAAGGGTATTCAATTAGGAAAAGAGGAAGTCAAATTGTCCCTGTTTGCAGACGACATGATTATCTAGAAAACCCCATCGTCTCAGCCCAAAATCTCCTTAAGCTGATAAGCAACTTCAGCAAAGTCTCAGGATACAAAATCAATGTACAAAAATCTTATACATTGTACAAGCATTCTTATACACCAACAACAGACAAACAGAGAGCCAAATCATGAGTGAACTCCCATTCACAATTGCTTCAAAGAGAATAAAATACCTAGGAATCCAACTTACAAGGGATGTGAAGGACCTCTTCAAGGAGAACTACAAACCACTGCTCAAGGAAATAAAAGAGGATACAAACAAATGGAAGAACATTCCATGCTCATGGGTAGGAAGAATCAATATCGTGAAAATGGCCATACTGCCCAAGGTAATTTACAGATTCAATGCCATCCCCATCAAGCTACCAATGACTTTCTTCACAGAATTGGGAAAAACTACTTTAAAGTTCATATGGAACCAAAAAAGAGCCCGCATCGCCAAGTCAATCCTAAGCCAAAAGAACAAAGCTGGAGGCATCACGCTACCTGACTTCAAACTATACTACAAGGCTACAGTAACCAAAACAGCATGGTACTGGTACCAAAACAGAGATATAGATCAATGGAACAGAACAGAGCCTTCAGAAATAACACCGCATACCTACAACTATCTGATCTTTGACAAACCTGAGAAAAACAAGCAATGGGGAAAGGATTCCCTATTTAATAAATGGTGCTGGGAAAACTGGCTAGCCATATGGAGAAAGCTGAAACTGGATCCCTTCCTTACACCTTATACAAAAATCAATTCAAGATGGATTAAAGATTTAAACGTTAGACCTAAAACCATAAAAACCCTAGAAGAAAACCTAGGCATTACCATTCAGGACATAGGCATGGGCAAGGACTTCATGTCCAAAACACCAAAAGCAATGGCAACAAAAGCCAAAATTGACAAATGGGATCTAATTAAACTAAAGAGCTTCTGCACAGCAAAAGAAACTACCATCAGAGTGAACAGGCAACCTACAACATGGGAGAAAATTTTCGCAACCTACTCATCTGACAAAGGGCTAATATCCAGAATCTACAATGAACTCAAACAAATTTACAAGAAAAAAACAAACAACCCCATCAAAAAGTGGGCGAAGGACATGAACAGACACTTCTCAAAAGAAGACATTTATGCAGCCAAAAAACACATGAAAAAATGCTCATCATCACTGGCCATCAGAGAAATGCAAATCAAAACCACTATGAGATATCATCTCACACCAGTTAGAATGGCAATCATTAAAAAGTCAGGAAACAACAGGTGCTGGAGAGGATGTGGAGAAATAGGAACACTTTTACACTGTTGGTGGGACTGTAAACTAGTTCAACCATTGTGGAAGTCAGTGTGGCGATTCCTCAGGGATCTAGAACTAGAAATACCATTTGACCCAGCCATCCCATTACTGGGTATATACCCAAATGACTATAAATCATGCTGCTATAAAGACACATGCACACGTATGTTTATTGCGGCATTATTCACAATAGCAAAGACTTGGAACCAACCCAAATGTCCAACAATGATAGACTGGATTAAGAAAATGTGGCACATATACACCATGGAATACTATGCAGCCATAAAAATTGATGAGTTCATGTCCTTTGTAGGGACATGGATGAAATTGGAAATCATCATTCTCAGTAAACTATCGCAAGAACAAAAAACCAAACACCGCATATTCTCACTCATAGGTGGGAATTGAACAATGAGATCACATGGACACATGAAGGGGAATATCACACTCTGGGGACTGTGGTGGGGTGGGGGGAGGGGGGAGGGATAGCATTGGGAGATATACCTAAGGCTAGATGACGAGTTAGTGGGTGCAGCGCACCAGCATGGCACATGTATACATATGTAACTAACCTGCACAATGTGCACATGTACCCTAAAACTTAAAGTATAATAAAAAAAAAAAATTCACACTTAAAAAAAAATCTGTCCTGTTGCACAAGGAATTGGACGACAAAGAAAGCTTACTAATCTCAGACTATGAATAAATACTTGAGTACCATCTGACCCAAACAAGAAATTACTCACGTCATTAACAAACAAGTGTAGTTCTGACATGACTACCAGTCGGTATTTTCATTTCCATCAAGACAAACGTGAAACAATGATGGCTTGTCAGAACTTTACTCATCTGTCAAGGGGGGAAGAGGGATATCTCTCTGCTGATCAGGTAATGTAACAGCGGCAGATACAACATACTTTTCTCCTCCAGCACAATACCCTTTAAATTTAATCTGCGTTACTAACATTTTCAATACACTGTCTTAGTTCTAGAACAAGGGTCTAGAACAAGTGTGGCTTCTTTTTATATGGCCCATGAGCTAAAAATGTTTTTTGTATTTTTAAAGGATTATTAAACAGAGAAGAATATGCAATGGAGACTGTATGCCCATAAAACCTAAAATATTTATTACTAACTGCCCCCTTACAAAAAAAAAAAAAACAAACCCTGGTCTAGACAAACAAGAAAACAATAAGCCAGGGCCTGATCTGTAGTGTTTTCTGACTTCTCTCTCCATGGACAACTTCAGGCTACCAACATGACAACACTGAACATATGGTTGGGAAGAAATGTGCAGTAGCATACCATTATATAGTGTTTTTGACTATAACTAGAACAGAAAAAAATAACGCCGGTGGCATAGATAATAGTTAAAAGTGGTAAAAAATTAGGAAGCAATGACTTTTGCATATTCATTACCTTTGTTTTTAATTTAGTTTACCTATTTGTAAACTTATATAATTTAAAATTTAATAGCTATGTTTAACAACCAGTTTGCAAAGTTCCTGAAACTTTAACAATCATCTCTTATGAACTAGTGTGAGCCAACTCCAGCATACCATTCTGTAGAGACACACCTACAGAGATAAAGGCTATATGCAGTTCTCACAGAAAAAATCTCACTGTAGATAAGCTCATACTCCCAAAATTAAAGAAACACATTTGGAAATAATATACTATTCCAAGAGTAAGCACATAAAACGAGCAGTAGAATAAAACCCCAAGGAGCTTCAGTAAATATAATTATCTAAGAAGACTATAAAATAGTTGTACTTGAAGTGATTTTAAAAATCAAAACATAATAGGCCAGGTGTGGTGGCTCATGCCTGTAATCCCAGCCCTCTGGGAGGCTGAGGCAAGTGGATCACTTGAGTCCAGGAGTTCAAGACCAGCCTGGGCAACACAGTGAGACCCCGTCTTCTAAAAAAAAAAAAAAAACAAAAACAAACAAACAAACAAATTAGCCAGGCGTAGCGGCATGCACAGGTAGTTCCAGCTACTCAGGAGGCTGAGGTGGGAGGATCATTTGAGCCTGGGAGGTCAGGGCTGCAGTGAGCTTCAATAGCACCACTGCATTCCCCTCCAGCCTGGGTGACAGAGTGAGACACTGTCTCAAAAAAAATAAAAATAAAAATAAAAACATAAGGCATCATCAAAAAAGGCCAGAGGAATAAACAGAAACTTGCAATTCTTTTTTCTTGGATATTTAAAGACATAATGACAGAAGAAGAAACAATTCAGGTGATAACCACATATACTATTCATTATAATAGGCTTTATATGGTGATGATCTGAAAAGTTACTGAGGCATTACCCTAAAATAAACACCATCCCAAACTGCCATTCATCTTGAAATACTGCATCCATTTATTATGGGTTTCATTTCCCTCCTGATGGACAGGTTTTTCAAATATTACTTCCCTGTATTGTCAGCACTACTACCTCTCTAGAACTTTCCATCCTTCTGCTATTCCTCTTGATCTCAACTTGATTTTTATCTGACAGAAGAAACGAGATAATAAAAGTTGCTTAATTAAAACTTAACTATGTGCATGACGTATAATCAGAAAGGTAAACACAACAGACAAGTAATCAAATTACCTAATCTGCTTCCATTTCTGGGCATTGCCATGAAGGAGCCAAGGCTCCCTCCAATAACACTGTGTGGTCTCCGCAATGGGGGCTTCTTGAAAGATCCTGTGTACTGGTGGAGGAAGGAATGCATACTGTGAGACGTTGGAGGCCTGCCATTCTTCACAATAGGCTCTGTGGTTCATAGAATTCGAAAATCATTCCATCATCAGTCCAAGATCCAGGATCACATGAGAAGGATTCAGAAAGCAAAACAAAAAGTTGTAACAGAGATTAGTACATTTAGCCTCATTGCTTTGCTTAACTATACACAGTATTAAAATTAAAATAGTTTCTCTGAAAAAATACTTAAGAAAATACTTGAATATTTTAAGTTGGTCTAATAACCATCTATTTCTTATATAATCAAAAGTGGCTAAGAACCACAAAACTACTAATATACCCAACCAAATTTTCATCCATTTGTTTATTTTAGTGTATCTCAAGATTGTTTCCATACCACTCCTCCATTTATTGACTACCTGTGTGCCTTATTTTAAGCATGCTTGGCTGGGTGCATGGCTCACACCTGTAATCCCAGCACTTTGGGAGGCCGAGGCAGGCGGATCACCTGAGGTCAGGAGTTTGAGACCAGTCTGATCAATATGGTGAAACTCCATCTCTACTAAAAACACAAAAACTAGCTGGGCATGGTGGCATGCGCCTGTAGTCCCAGCTACTCAAGAGGCTGAGACAGGAGAACTGCTTGAACCCGGGTTGCAGAGGTTGCAGTGAGCCAAGATCACGCCACTGCACTCCATCCTAAGCGACAGAGCAAGACTCCGTCTCAAAAAGAAAAAAAAAAAGAAATTAAGCATGCTTTAGAATATAAAAGACATGGTCCCGGCCTAAAGGAATTTACATCCCTGTTTGCTGGACATTCAAAATGGTATGTCAATTAGTGAATAAAACCGAAGTACCTAAATACATATCAATACAGAGGCTCCAAGTTTATTCCCCTGAATTTGGGATTAATATAAAGAGTTTTTAAACAATCACAGACCCATAACCAAGCAGAAACATTAAAAAAATATAATACTTAAAAGCTATTTAATTATGCATGGGGGAGAAACTGTTTTGTAATGTTTATCAGGAATCTCTTGACTCCTTTCCACCTCCAAAGAAGAGCTCTGATACAGGTTAAAGATACAAGTCTTGTGATACACAATTAGTCTTCTATATTAGAATTTTGTTTTTACTGATAGCAGCCAAGGAGTTTTAAAAAGAACTGGGCTGCTCTGAATACCTTCTTTTTAAAATGAAGCCAACTATTCTTCTGTAGCTAACAATCAGGCATAAGGATACCTCCTGATCAGGGGATTCCTTTTTAAAATGAAGCCAACTATTCTTCTGCAGTTAACAATCAGGCATAAGGATACCTCCTGATCAGGGGATTCCTCTACCTGTTTCTCAACTAAGGTTTCTCAACTAAGGACAGGTTGACAGGAGTTGGCTACAAGCCTTAAAGTGAAAGGCTTCTCTCACAAGAAAATCTTAGGATCCGCAGAACAGGACCAGGGTATGGGCTCCAGAGAAATGGGCCAAGAAGGCCATGTGGCCTGAGCCTCTACGAATACTGGTTGCCTAAAAGGGTATAAGAAGGATGGGGCATAAGGGCCCAAAGGCTCACCCAAGGTCCAAGCTATCTAATCTGGGTCAAAGACAGACTGGAGGTAGGGGCAAATGCCTACCTAGTAATACAGAACATGTGTCTAAAGTTTCCTGTGATCTGTACATTCCCTGGCAGTACCTAACTGATAAAGAATTTGGGGATCTTAAGTGAAGCAAAATAATCAATGATTTAATAATGAATGAAGAGGGGCTATCTGATATAAATGCATAAATAATTACAAACAATGTGGGATAATACAGGCTACAGCATACAATAAGATTTTTCTCAGCCAAGCATGATGGCATGCACCTGTAGTCCCAGCTACTCAGGAGGCTAGAGTGGGAGGATCACTTGTGCCCAGGAGTTTGCGGCTGCAGTGAGCTAAGATAATGCCACTGCATTCCAGCCTGGGTGGCAAAGTAATACCCTGTCTCAAGAAAGAGAAAAGAAAAATGAAGATTTTTTTCTCTTTCTAGGTTATTTCACATGTGAAATATCACAACATTCAAATATTAAAAACAAATTATGCAAATCTTTTGCCTACAGACAACATTTTAGTTGCTCTGTAAAGCTGTCCTGGAGAATACAGCTTGATTGTTCTGGAGAATATAGAAAAAAAATGGGGATCATAAGGACATACTATTTGATAAACACTATTCTAGGCACTGGGCATCAACTGGTGAACAAAACAAAGTACTGATCTCAGAGTGCATAAAACCTAACAGGGAAAAGACACACACACGAAGTCAGGTAATGACAGGCGATATGCAAAAGACTAAAATAGAGGGATGTGGAAATGAGTAGCTAGTTATTTTACACTGTATATTGAGGAAAGTTCTCTCTGCTGAGATATTTTTAACAGAAATTTAAATGCAAGAAAGAGCCAGTCAGGGAAGATGGTTAAGTTGTGGATAACAGGATATTCCAGATAGAGAAAAAAGCTAATGAAAAGCCGACATATGGCAGAGTTCGACTTGTTAGAACAGTGGTCCTCAAACTTTAACATGCTTCAGAATCATCAAGGATCTGTAAAACATGAGATTGCTCGGTCTCACCCACAGACTTCCTGGTTCAGTAGGTCTGGTGTGGAATCTAAAAATATGTGTTTCTAACAAATTCCCAGGTCCTGCTGACATTGCTGGTCCAGGGATCACACTTTGAGAACCACTGTGTTAGAGGACTAGAAAGAAGGCAAGTGTAGCTATAGTACCTAACCGTGCGGGCAACAGTGGTACCAGGTGAGACCACAGAGGTAAGGAGGGAACAAGTCATTCAACACTTTATACTTCACCATAAAAGTTTGAATTTTATTCTCAGATTGGAAGCAGTTACGGTAGCTTTGAAGCAGGAGAGTGATATGATCTGATTCATGTTTCAAAAATATCACTGTGAAGGGTTAAAGATAGTAGGAGGTAAGGGGGTAGGGAAGACTACAAAAGGTAACACGAGAGATCTATTGTCATGATGAAACAGTTCTTAATCTTGATTGCAGTGGTTATACGAATCAACACAGGTGAGGACATGACACAGAACTATATTTAGACTTTATTCCAGTATCTGTTTCCTGGGTTCTATAGTTACATAAGATGGAACCAATGGTGGGGGGATTGGGAGAAGGGTACAAGTATGGGTCCTTTCTATATAATCTTTGTAACTTCCTTTATATTTGTAATTACTGAAAACAATTTTTTAAGATATCATCTTGGTTGCTGTTTGAAAAACAGGCAATAGGGAATCAACAGCAAAAGGAGGAGATTACTACAGTACCCTAAGTAACAAATGTTGGTGGCTTAGACTAGGGTGGCTGTACTGAAGATGGAGGGAAGCAGGCAGATTTAGGACATATTACAAAGGCAGAAGCAACAGGCCAGCAGACACGACTGCTAAATTAGTTTCACACACACTCCTACCACCCAGCTTTTAGTCAGCATTTATAGTAAAAACATCTATTCAAATATTTTTTTTTTCTTTTTTTCCAGGCAGGGTCTTGCTCTGTTGCACAGGCTGAAGTGCAGTGGTGCAGTCACAGCTCACTGCAGCCTCAACCACCTGGGCTCATGTGGTCCTCCCACTTCATCCTCCCCACCATAGCTGGGACTACAGGCACACACCATCACACCTGGCTAATTTGTGTCTTTTTGGTAGAGATGGGGTTTTGCTATGTTTCCCAGCTAGTCTCAAACTCCTGGGCTCAAGTGATCCTCCTCACCTCAGCCTCCCAAAGCACTGGGATTACAATGAGCCACCATGCCTAGCCCCAAAATATTTTTAAATCTTTACCAGATCAACTGTTAAACATATATGAAATATGATGTGTTAATGGACTATAACTGGAATTGTGTATCAGTCACATTGATCAGGGGTCCCCAACTCCTGGGTCACAGACCAGTACTGGTCCATGGCCTGTTAGGAACCAGGCCAAGAGGTGAGCAGTTGGCAAGTGAGCAAAGCTTCATCTGTATTTACAGCCACTCCCCATTGCTCACATTACTGCTTGAGCTCCACCTCCTGTCAGATCAGTGGTGGCACTGATTCTCATAGGAGTACTAACGCTGTTGTGAACTGTGCATGCGAGGGATCTAGGTTGCATGCTCCTTATGATAATCTAACGCCTGATAATCTGTCACTGTCTCCCATCACCTTCAGATGGGACCATCTAGTTGTAGGAAGACAAGGGCAGGGCTCTTACTGATTGTACATTATGGTGAGTTATGTAATTATTTCATTATATATTACAATATAATAATAATAGAAATAAAAGGCAAAATAAATATACTATGCTTGAATCATCCTGAAACCATTCCCCCAACCTCAGTCTGTGAAAAAACTGTCTTCCACAAAACTGGTCCCTGATGCCAGAAAGGTTGGGGACCACTGATACAGATGACTATCATAATCATGAGTTTCTAAGTTATTTATGTGGTAAAAAATAGGAAGCTACAATGGTGGGGGTTGGGGGCAGGGAGGAGACAACAGTAAAGTAAAGGAGAGAAAAGAATTGGGGACAATGCCTAGATTTTTAGTTTTAGTAACTGGTTAAGTGAGCAAAGTTTGAGTAGAGGCAGATTTTGGAGAAAGGAAATCAAGAATTCTGATTTGGTCATGTGAAGTCTAAGATTCCCATTACACATCCATGTGGAGAAGACAAGAAGGCATTTAAATATGAATCTAGAGATCCAGATGAAGATCCTAACTGGAGATTCAGACTTAGGAGTAGTCAACATATATATGGTAGTTGAAATTGTAGGGTTGGAGGAGGTCACCCAAGGAGAGGGTATAGACAGAGAAGAGATTGCGGCCCATGAGAGAGCCACAATAAAATACAATAAAATATTCTAACACTTCCAGAACTTGAAACTAATTAGCTGGCCAATTCAATAAGATAATAACACTCTGTATTTTAAAAAGTAATGGAAACCTTGGCGACAATATGCTAAGGGAAATAAGTCAGACACAAAAGGACAAATATTATATGGTTCCACTCATATGAGGTACCTAGAATAGGCAAATTCATAGACAGTAGAATGGTGGTTACCAGGGGCTGGGGAGAGGAGGGAATGTGGAGGTATTGTTTAATGGGTACAGAGTTTCAGTTTGGGATGATGAAAAAGTTATAGACATGGGTAGCAGTGATGGTTACGCAATGTAAATAGACACGTATTTAATGCTGCTGAACTGTATACTATAAAATGTTAAACTTTGTATTATATATATTTTACCATAACTTTTAAAAAGTAATAGAAATCTATATGAAAAATTGCAGATCTTTTATACTCTATAATTAGTTCCAAGTAAGGATTTCCAATGATTTTTACCACCACAACATGATAATCATTATGATTCCACTAAGAAACGTTATTTGGCATCTTATTTATCTAGATCTTTTCATTACGTGAACTATGATCAGGAACATGCAATTTCATAGCCCAACTTGTAGCCTAAGCCATTCCCTCCTCCCAAACCTGCTCTTTCAAACATTATTACTAGCCTGATCCCATTCTAGATCCTACATATATCCAATGGAGTTTATGCCTTCAGCGTCAACCTTTCAAGGAACTTGTGCTATTTGTTGGAGTTAGTCCTCCTTAAACTCCCTATGTTATCCACTGTTGTAAAAAACAATTACTGTTATGATGTAACCACAAACTGTCGAAGACAAACTGTCACAGCTAACATGTAAGAGATCAGCAAGATAAAGAGACCTAGGTGAAAGACAGAGGCTCACAATATCCATAAAACTGGAATTTGTTGACTCCAAACTTGACAAATTGCTCCAGTGTACAAACGGAGCTGTTAAGAATGAGAATTTGGAATATCAGGAAAACCAGGTCATTTTAATCTTTGCTTTTTGGTGTTACTTCTAATGCTAAATAATCATGATAAGTGACATTCTGTTAGGTTTATCTGACTACACTTCTTGGGAACATGTACATTAGCTGAAGAATTTCAGTTGGTCAAGAAGTCTCAAGTAGTATATGTGCAATAAAACATAATTTTACCTTTCTACAACTGTGATTTATTCTCTTCCTCACATTTAAATTGTCACCTATTCTCATCAAATTCAATAATCTCAATATATCGTCCCATTACAAGAAAAAATAAGTTCAAGGCTATGTAAACACAAGATTCTGAAATATAACTTTCTGTGATAAGTCTTAAAATAGAATTAAGACTTATCAAACATCTGTTCTGCTGCAGTGACAGCAAAAAAAAAAAAGACATCAAATACATTGAGTGTTTATGAGGGAAAGCTGAAGCTCAGATGAACTGAATTTTTTATTGAGATGAAATTCTTATAACATTAACCATTTTAAAGTATACAATTCAGTGGCATTTCATATACTTACAATGTGGTACAACCATCACCTCCCTGTGTTCCAAAACATTTTCATATTGCTAAAGGAGATCCCATACACAATAACCAGTCACTCCTCAGTCTTTTCTCCCTATCAGCCTCTGGGAACCACTCATCTACTTTTTGTCTCTATGGATTTACCTATTCTGGATACTTCATATAAATGGAATCATAGAGTATTTTGGGTCTGGCTCCTTTCAGTTTTCAAAGTTCATCTATGCTACAGCACATAGCTCTTCATTCATTTATGTATTGAATAATATTCCATTCTATGGACAGACCACATTCTGTTTATCCATTCATCTGTTGATGGGCATCTGGGTTGTTTACACCTTAGCTGTTGTGAATAGTGCTGCTACAAATATAAATATTTGTGTACAAGACTTTGATTACCTGTTTCAATTATTTGGGGTATATTCCTAGGAACAGAATTGTTGGGTCATATAGTAAGTCTATGTTTAACTTTTTGAAGAACTGAGGTAAATTAATTTTTGACAGGTGTGTTTGTTTGTTTG
Source organism: Homo sapiens (assembly GCF_000001405.40). NCBI lineage: Eukaryota > Metazoa > Chordata > Mammalia > Primates > Hominidae > Homo > Homo sapiens. The sequence continues at coordinate 96,330,960 of NC_000012.12, forward strand.
TTTTTGAGATGCAGTCTAGCTCTGTTACCCAGGCTGGAATGCAGGGGTGCCATCTCGGCTCACTGCAACCTCCGCCTCCTGGGTTCAAGCAATTCTCCTGCCTCCTGAGCAGGTGGGGGACTACAGGCGTGCGCCACCACATTCCATTAATTTTTGTATTTTTAGTAGAGACGGGGTTTCACCGTGTTGGCCAGGCTAGTCTAGAACTCCTTACCTCCAGTGATCTGCCCACCTCGGCCTCCCCAAAGTGCTGGGATTACAGGCATAAGCCTGGTACCATGCTTGGCCTTGACAGGTTTTTAAAAACTGAACATTAAACACTTCTCAGTTAGTAAAAAGAAAACTGATGGGCTCAAAATTCTTTTTCTTCCAGGCACTACAGAAAAAAATATTTTGTACATTTCAGTTTGGAAATTTTTCTGCAAAAATTTTATTTCATATTTAGGGAAAGGTGTATTGAGTTAAGGCCAGAATCCTTAAATGAACCAAATTTGCAAACTTTCAACTTTTTTTTTTTTAGCATACTGAATACAAATTCAGGATTCATCATTCCTTGGGTTCAACCCACCTGTCAATGTGCAAACATACTAGTTTCTATAAATAGACAAAGTAATTTGATTTATAGATTTATAACTGAGTTAAAAACCTTCATATATGACTCAGTTATCAAAATAAGAGAGATAATATCTCATTTGGGATATTCTATTGTATTTGGATAGAGGTAGAGCATGCATGAGTGAGATTATGGGTATAAGTATAACCAAACGCATCATACCCATAATTTCTCCAACATGTTTATAGTATTACCCCCAATTAATGTGTTCTGGATCTAGAGTATGCATGAGAGCCATGTGCCTAGATATGCAAGAGTAATAGGACTGTGATCATGCCTGTGACTAATCAAGAGACAAGTGATCAAAAATTGGTCCAAAGGCAGTTTATTCAGGGAAATTATAAACTACTGTTATGTGCCATGTGACGTTTCAGACAATGACAGACATCATATACAACAGTGGTCTCATAAGATTATAATGGACCTGAAAAACTCCTATAGCCTAGTGATGCCAGTGATGCCACACCCGCTGTAACATAGTAGCACAATGCATTTCCTTTTCTATGTTTAGATACACTTAGATACACAAACAACATTGTGTTACAACTACCTACAGTATTCAGTACCATAATACACTGTACAGGTTTGTAGCCTATAAGTAACAGGTTGTACCATGTAGGCTAGGTGTGTAGTAAGCTATACTACCTAGTTTTGATATACTCTGATGTTTGCACAATGATGAAATGGCCTAATAACGTATCTCTCAGAATGCATCCCCACTGTTAAGCAATGCATGACTGTATATTCCTCCTACTCCTTCAGCTAGCATTATGCTACTATTTGGCATTAAAGCTCACTTTTGCTTCATAAACTGCTTACATTGTATGTGAGAAGATAACTTTAAAAGTATATACGTGTCATTCATTATGCTATATTCTCTGTATTCTGGCATGGACTGTGTCTGTGTATGTGACCTGTCTAACAGCTTTTATACTCTAAAATATGTTCCACAAGAAAAGAATGTGTTGGAATCAGCTATCAGGCACTGACAGGTGACCAAAAAGGTGTAGAATCTCTGTGAAAGCTGTTGGTGAAATCCATGTGCTATTACAGAGAGAAAATAAGCATAGTAGATTATGGTAGCCTATGCTACTAGCAATCTTTGTAACCCAAGAGGAATCAATGTCTCTTATGACGTCTTGAAGTATTACTTCAAGGTCAAGGAGAAACTCAATAGATCGCCTATTTGCCCTTATTTACTACCTATTAAAAGTTACTACTGTAATAAAATAAGTTTTAAAAAACATATACAACTTGAGAAAACAAATATTTTTAATCTTTCACCATTTGTTAAAAACAAAGCATGTTTTATGATAGTTAATACCAAAATATTCTAGAAAATATGCAATTGGTCTAAAATATTAGCTAAAACATACGTTCATTTTCTTTGACTCATATCTTTTCTTTAGGAAAAGAGGATTGTCTTGTAGTCAAATACTAAAAATATGTCCCAGAAACCAACCACTAAGATATATACTGTGTTTATTTTATTCCTGATCATCATTGGCAAACACATTGGCAAGACCCTTCTATCCTAAGAGTAGGCACACTGCGCTTCCCACCAAAAATTCAATGGGGGGGGGTCCCACCAAAAATTCAATGAGGGGGTCTAAAAGAGAATTAAGGATTTTGCTCTGTGTATCTAGAATAGGTCCTCTGGCAAGAGGAACAACAGTAAAATCATGATGTTTGAGATTTGACCCAAATGTACAATTTTCCCCTCCTACATATAATTCTATCCAAATTATTATATTAAATTTCCTACTGAGCCCATCCCTCTCTCCTCCCCACCATGACAAAAACAAAACAAGGCCAGGCGTGGTGGCTCACACCTGTAATCCCAGCACTTTGGGAGGTCGAGGCAGGCAGATCACTTGAGGTCAGGAGTTCAAGACTAGCCTGGTCAACATGGTGAAACCCCAACCCCATCCCTACTAAAAATAATAAAAAACTTAGCTGGGCATGGTGGCCCATGCCTGTAATCCCAGCTGCTCAGGAGGCTGAGGCAGGAGAATCACTTGAACCCAGGAGGTGGAGGTTGCAGTGAGCCAACATTGTGCCACTGCACTCCAGCCTGGGCAGCAGAGCGAGACTGTCTCAAAAAAAAAAAAAAAAGGTAGATGTTATCAAGGAAAACCTTAACAAATGAATGAAAGGGTCCTTGCAGAACAGTAGCATTGTTATAGACTCTGAAGTGAAGAAACCTGGGTTCTAAAGTACTGGTTCTGGAGCTGGGTAACCTTGAGCAAATAATGACCCTTCTGAGTAAAGGAAATAAGAAAACTGAAGCCTGGGTAGAATAAACGGCTTAGCCAGTCATCAACTAGGAAGTGTTTAAGTGTATCCAAAATCCAAACCTATGACTTTAAAAAGTCCAGAGCCCACTCCACTATACCTTTTCCTCTCTCAAAACATAAGTATGTGCATTCTAGTGGAAGGGGTAAGGGTGTCCATGCTTTCCAGCCACTGCCACAAATCTCTAACAGCAGAATTTCAGGCACAGGTAAGGAAGATCTGCCAGATACTCTGCACATCATGACACACTGAAAGCCAGTCACGTAAGTTCCTTCCCAGTTACTACTATGACATCCCTAGGGCTATTTCAGATTTGAATATGTAGCCTTCCTCTAGAAATTTCACCAGGATTTTGTATTTAACACACTTAACAAGCTCTTTTTATTTTAACATCTGGATACTACTACTTTATGTTGTAAAAAGCACTGTCAAATGCATGAAACATTATGAAACTGATGAAGCCACAAACAGAAATTTCACAGACTTCCTATGCACTTTTAAGCTGTATTAACTTGGGTTATAAGAATAAAAAAAATTAATAGTTATTTAACAATCAAGATAATATTATAAAATGCATTCTTCTTTAAGAACTAGTGAAAAATGGAAGGATATGTGGAATAGAACAATTCATCAGGGTTTGAGACCAGGTATCGTAATGTTGGAGTGAGAGGGAAATATTCCAGTTAGTAACCAAACAAAAGTTATATAGTCTTCAATTTCCTAAGAAACCATGGAATGAGACAGAAATAAACAAAGGGAAGCTATTATGAACTTATCTAAAAAGTAAATTTACATTCTATTCATAAAGTAATTAAAAGGAGGAAGCATCTCCCCCTATGCCAAATATTTACCATTATCCTTGCTGCTGTTTTCTTCAATAGTCATTTGTTCAGCCAATTCAGACAATGATTCATCAATAGTCTGACTTCCTCGGAGTGTGAGGGATAGCCTTCTCTTAAATTTTTTCATCCTATCAATTGAATGTGGCTTGAAAAATCCTGAAAGAAAAGAATAAACACAAAACTAAAGCTATAAATATTTTACCACTGAAGAAAAATACCGCCTGGGTTTACTGGAAATCTTTAAAATAGGAATATAATGAGGAATTCTCACTTCTGCCAAACATCACCAAATCCAACCCCTTTTTTAAAAAGATTCACCTACTCCGAATAATGCTGTATTTATTTGGCATCATCAGAAGAGCAGGAATTCCATGTAACTAAAGAGTGGGACTTTAAGCATCACAAATAAGTTTAGAAGGATTGGAAATTTTCTTAAAATGTGTATTTTAAAAACCATTATAGTAAAATATCAATATTATTTTGATGCTTAGGTTCCATAACATAAATATCAATCATTATATTGGAACCAGCCAGTGATATCTTCAGATATAACAGGGAGGCGGGTGAGGTAATGGAGGAAGACAAAGAACAATGTTTGACAATTAAACAGCTCCAACAAGAAATTTTCCTTTTTACGCTCTTACACAGCCAGTACATTAGAGTTTGGTTTTGTTTTTACTTGTTAGGCTTTCAAGTGTCTCTTTCATCCTAAGAGAACCAAGCTTTAGAAGGAAGAAACGAAAGCCAAATTAGCGGGTACTGAATGCCTGCCACACAGCAGACACTTTCATATCTCTAATTGTGTCTTCCTAATTCTGAAAGGTAAAGTATACTATCCCATTTTCACACATGAGGAAACGTGCTCAAAGAAGTTCCCTGACTCATGTCAAACAAATAAATGACAGAACTGAGATTTAAAACCAGAATTACCATTTACTTTTTCCTTCACACTTTAACATCTTTGAAATCAGAATGTATCTCACAATTAATGTGATGTCAAAATGTAACTGACAGTATTTTTTCTTACAGGTACATAAATTAATGGTATAATTCATAGTAGAGTCTTGGATATGATGAAACAAGGTACTTATGCCAAACCCAAATTCTTGACCCACAATTTCCTTTCTAACTTGGTATTTCTATGATGAGCTGGCTTACCAGATTGCCATGCACACTATAACCATTATCCCAACCAACCAAGAGTAAGGGCCGTACAACTCCTCTATATTAAAGTACAGGGGTTTTACCATCCAGCTCCAGATATCTATTTTATAGCTGTAAATGTTTTGCTTATTTTCTCATTCTAAGGATTTATTCTAAGTAACTGAGTTTACTGAACAGGTAATCTATGCATATTAGTTACAGAATAATTTATTTTTGCTTAAAAGCTGGGGGGGGAGGTATCACAAATAAACATAAGTAATAATTTTATATTTTACTACTTTCATATTATATTTTAAAATAGAAACCAGCTGGGCATAGTAGCTCATGCTTGTAATCCTGGCATATTGGGAGGCCAAGGCAGGAGGATCTCTTGGGGTCAGGAGGTTAAGACCAGCCTGGAAAACAGCGAGAATTTGTCTCTACTGAAAAAAACAAAGAAAATTAGCCAGGCATGGTGGCATCTGCCTGTATGCCCAGCTACTCAGGAGACTGGGGTGGGAGGATCACTTTGAGCCCATGAATTTGAGGCTGCAGTGAGCTACAAATGTGCCACTGCACTCCAGCCTGAGTGACAGAATAAGATGCTCTCTTAAATAATGTTTTTTAATAATTTTTTAAAAATCCACTAAAATAAAAATACCAAAAAATACTAAATACACATTAAAATAGCAAGAGTTGCGACTGCACTTTAATAAGGACTCTTTTCACCCACATGCTCTAAAATAAGAGACATACTTTGGTGAGATATTGAAAAGTTTCTATTCCTTAGCTCAGTTTAAAGTCGAGTTTATGCCTAATGTTTTCTACTAACGTATCCTCCAGTTCACAAATCCTCTTTTCAGCTGTGTCTAATCTGCAGTTAAACCCATCTGTTGTGCTCTTAGTTTTAGTTACTATATTTTTCAGCTCTAGAATTTCCATTTGACTCCTTCCTGCAGATGCCAGTTCTCTAGTGAAATTCTCCACCTCAGCATCTATTTTCATGAACCGAATACAGTATTTTAAAGCCCCTGCTTTTAACTCCAAAGTCTGAACAATCTATCAATCTGTTTCTCTTGTCAATTTTCTTCTCTTGATCTTTTTGTATGCTTAGTAATTTTTTATTGTATGTAAGACATTGTGAGTTATCATATGCATATGTATACGGAAAAAACGTAGAGCCTCCAGATGATGTTACCTTCCTCCAGAAAGGATTTAATTTTTATTTTTTTTAACAGTCTCTGTAGGAGCAGACTGATGCAATCCAATTGGGACTGAGCTGACTTGAGACTGAGTTTCAGACACTACAAAGATAGGTAGGCCTCTGATTTGTCCTCACTCTATGGTGTGGCTCTTCACTAGGGCCAGAACACCACCACAACAAACTATTGAAAGCTCCATTCAACTTCCTCAGTCGTTTTTTGCTCATCTCTTATGCCTTGCTCAGCTTTTATCTTCTTACCCCCAATAGCTTAAGAGCTGGAAAATGGATCAAGAGGAAAACCAGCACAGAGTGTGTCTGTCTCCCTTCTCTCCTGAATCTTGACTCTTCAAGTGTTGATTCACTGAGAAGCTTTACAATGCCTTCAAAATGATTTTTTCCCCTAGCATTTCTAGTTTTCAGCAGTTTTAGTCTGTTACAAGTTACTCCATCATAGGCAGAAATGGAGGTTTTGATGTGGATTAGATGAGATAATATATGCACTTCCCAAGCAAAGGAGAAAGTAAACCATGAAGTTCATTCCAATTAAGAAACCTGTTAATTGTAGGGTTACTCTAAATGCTATTCTTTACTTCTGATAGTCAACCTTTATAGCTCTACCTTGACAGTCAGTAACTCATGCCATTTGTTTAAACACACTAGATATTTAAGTTGTACTGAGCTATTGCCACTCTCATCTACCCTTTGTTTCTGTAAGACTTTACACTACTTTACACTAGAGACATCTTCCTTTGTTAGGCTCCCAAATCATCCTGTGCAGTCAAGAAATAACTAGGGAGGCTTGGGGTACTCTAACTCTGCACATTCTGAAAAAAGCACTAGTCTGTGAGAGGCTCCTGGGAGATAACCTCCGAGCCCTTGGAATATCCTGCCTGATAAGAGTGTCTCTACATAACTGACACCTTGGATCATATCAGGTAATCTATATAAACAATATGAATTATGGTTAATGCTTGTTTTTGTATGCCTGGGGCTCTGGCCCACACTATATCAGTTTGATTTCTTAGGTGAGGAAGGACCTGCAGGAGAGGCTGGAGACTGAGTAACTAAAGTCAGTCATATGAGCACTCCATGCCTATCTAATAGATCCACAGTAATTTTCTTGCACAACAAGACTCAGGTGAACTTCCCTGGTTGAAGCTCTTTGCATGTTGTCATAGCCCATGCAACTCCACTGGAAGAAGGCAAATGAAAGCTCACATCTGGATCCTCTTGGACTTCAAGCTACATACCTTTTCCCTTTGTTGATTTTCATCTGCATCTTTTAGCCATAACAAATCATAACCATGAGTTTAACAGCTTTTCTCTTAAGTTCTATGAGTCCTTCGAGCAAATCATCAAGCATGATGGGTTGGTCTTGGGGATTCCCAACGCACACTCCAAGAAATCTACGTGCCCCAGCAAAAAGTCCTAAGAGATGGTAGCTCATAACTACCAACATTTCGGACTCCAACTTTTTCAAACACAGGCATCTAGTCACTAATTTTTGTATTTTTAGTAGAGATGGAGTTTTGCCATGTTGACCAGGCTGATCTTGAACTCCCGGCCTCAAGTGATCCGCTCACCTCGGCCTCTCAAAGTGCTGGGATTACAGGCATGAGACACTGCGCTTGGCCCTCAACATGTTATTAATATAATAGTTATTAACTTTTTTTTTGGTGAGCGATAATAAATGTTATTGTCTGAAGCCACTAAGGTTTTTTTTTTTTTAATTTTTAAAAAAGTTGTAAAATACACATAACAAAATTCACTATCTTTACCATTTTTAAGTGCAGTTTCAGTGGTATTTATTTCATATTGTTCTGCATCTACCACCATTTTCCATCTCCAGAATTCATTTCATCTTGCAAGATGTAAACTCTGTACCCATTAAAGAATAAATTCCCATTCCTGTCCTTCCCCCAGCCCCTGGCAACCAAAGTCCACTGTGTATTTTACAGTTGCATTATCCGACTATACAGACATCACCACTTCAGAATCTTGCCACACCATTTTTGAATGACCCTTTTGCTATTTTGCTGACCACGGGACCTGCCTATTGTTCTGGATGACAAATAAGGACAAAAATAACAAAGTATTATAGAAATGTTATTACAGAATTAATTCATATAACAGTAACATTCTGTAACACAGAGTAACTATAAATGGATTCAGTATCTATTACAGCACAGAACTGAGCTATCCAAAACTGTAGCCAACAGCAGGCTAATAAGCACTTGAAAAGTACGTAGTCCAAACTGAGTTGTGCTGCAGCTGTAAAATACACAGTGGACTTTGGTTGCCAGGGGCTGGGGGAAGGACAGGAATGGGAAGTTATTCTTTAATGGGTACAGAGTTTACATCTTGCAAGATGAAATGAATTCTGGAGATGGAAAATGGTGATAGATGCAGAACAATATGAAATAAATACCACTGAACTGCACTTAAAAATGGTAAAGATAGTGAATTTTGCTATGTGTATTTTACAACTTTTTTAAAAATTAAAAAAAAAAACCTTAGTGGCTTCAGACAATAACATTTATTATCCCTCACCAAAAAAAAGTTAATAACTATTATATTAATAACATGTTGAGGGCCAAGCGCAGTGTCTCATGCCTGTAATCCCAGCACTTTGAGAGGCCGAGGTGAGCGGATCACTTGAGGCCGGGAGTTCAAGATCAGCCTGGTCAACATGGCAAAACTCTGTCTCTACTAAAAATATAAAAATTAGCCAGGCATGGTGGTGCACGCCTGTAATCCTAGCTACTTGGGCTGAGGCATAAGAATCACTTGATCCCAGGGGGCAGAGGTTGCAGTGAGCTAGGATCGTGTCACTGCACTCCAGCCTGGGTGACAGAGACTCTGTCTCAATCAATCAATCAATAAAATAAAATAAAATAATGTTGAAAAATATTTTAGATGTTTAAGTAAAAAAATCACCAAAATTAACTCTGCCTTTTAAAAAGTTTTCAAAAAATATGCCTACAAAAATCTTAAAAATTACATATGGGGTGCACATTACATTTCTACTGGACAATGCTGACATAGAGCATTTTATATGCTCTATGTCAGCATGGTTTTAAGAGAGTCTAAGAGAAAAAAATAGAATCACATAAACCTTAACCTTTTCTTCATATAGTGCATTTGAACAATGTATCAGGGGACATTCTATGCGCTTCTAACTCAGAATAATACGCATGGCACTTATTTCATCATCAAAGAGTGAAGAAAATCCTGGTCTATAAAGTAATTTTAACTATACTTATTTTATATTCTGTCAGGAGTAAGAAAGATATTTCTAATTCATAAAAGCAAGAGAAAAATACTTATAAAGCTAAACCTTACTATAAAATTTTCAAATAAAATCACATCTTCAAATTGTTCCTATTTTTAATCTGTGGTATAATTGTAAAATTTTAATTAAGTTACAATGATTTGTAAACACAGATAATAAAGAATTTCATTACCACAGCCTAGATCATTATTAAAGAAAAAATATTCCCAAATGAAATAGGTTCCCTGACATTTCTAATTATCTTTAAGTAGAACTGTGCATATCAACTTTTTTCGTTAGCTGAGAACAAAGGCACATATGCTAAACTAAAAACACCTTTTGTGACATAAAAACTACTACTTACACTGGCTTTAAGGTTAATCTTTAATATTTACTATAATAGGGCAGTGCTAAATTACTGATTATCTAAAATTGGAACACTCAAGAGTTTGGTTAAAATATTTTATCAGTTTAATAAAAATTTTTGAGATTATGAAGATCTTTACACTATCATTTCTTTTTTTAACTTTTATGCTCAGGAGTACATGAACATGTTTGTTATAGAGGTAAACTGCATATATGGGGGTTTGCTGTGCAGATTATTCTGTCACCAAAGTAGTACGTATAGTACCCAATAGGTAGTTTTTTTATCCTCTCCCTCCTCCAATCTTCACCCTCAAGTAGGCCCCGGTGTCTGTTGATCCCCTCTTTGTGTCCATGCGTTCTCATTGCTTAGCTCCCACTTATGAGTGAGAACATGTAGTATTTGGTTTTCTGTTCCTACATTAGTTTGCTTAGAATAAATGGATGAATCTGGAGGCCATCATCCTACGCTATTGTTTCTATGAATATTAAGATAGATTAAACAGTGTGACTTAATGGTAAATGACTAAATATTCACATTTCAGTGTAAATGTCATTCTTCAGAGGGCCCTTTTCTGACTCTATTCCTCTATCCTTAGTTTTTACTCATAGCACTTATCATATACATACACACACACACACACACACACACACGTCTCATATATGTACGTGTGTGTACTGCAAAACTAATGTTTTTCTAGATGTCAAAAACACTTCTAGCTTTTTGTAATACTTAGATCAAATTTAAAACGGTAAAAGGGCAGTAAAGGGTTACAGAATGACAGCATATAACTCTCCATTTAAAGACAGTTGAAAATGTTCAAAAATCAGTTATCAACAATAAGTACATAAAAGGAACATGCAAATATAATGAATTATCTTACTTCGCCTTGGGCTAAACTTGTTCTTGGATTATCTGCTATACAATTAAGGAAAGGTAAGAATTCTATTTACTTAAGGAATATAGATAATGATTCTAGAATGCCAACTCAGTTTGGGCCTTAGGAATAGAAAAATATGCATACCATACACTGTTTTAAAAGAAGATAACAGCTAAAAATACTCCCAAACTAGATGTTCTAGTATGAGTCTTTACTTGTAAAAATGGTGTTATAGTGTGGTTTTCTCAGCACTTGCAGTAAGAAACTCTTTGCATACAATTTCACCTTATAGTCAAGCTACTCTAATATAAAAGGACTTATTAGAGTGGCAATCCACTGTTTATGTTTTTGAAATATTCTTAAAACAATTTTTTGTTAATAATTGCAAAATATTAAAGAAAAGGCTAAATATTGTTTTTAAATGACTAAATGACTTTCCTTTAGGTAAATAAGCAAAACATACACGTAGAACAAATCAAGTATTGTGAAGAATAAAATCTAGGATTTATTGGGAAACTAAGATTATTCCACGTAATGTTGCTTTTGTCAGTCTTTCTGAAATATCAAACAGAGATAAAGACAGATTTATTTCTTCATAACATTTTCAGCAACGATGACTATAAATAAAAACTACTGTAAAAAAAGTGAACTCATTAAGTGGCATGTAAGCAAATATTCTGTTATTTTCCCCACAATAATTAAGCCATGACAAATACCCAACACACTCTAGGACATGTAAGCTAATCATACAGAATGAGGAATAACCAGTGTTTAAAACTTAAACTTTTTTCATTAGAGACAATGTTGTTATTTGCATAAAACACAAAGTAAAATACAAAAATTAGCCAGGCGTGGTGGTGTGCACCTGTAATCCCAGCTACTTGGGAGGCTGAGGCAGAAGAATCGCTTGAACCTGGGAGGTGGAGGTTGCAATGAGCTAAGATCATGCCACTGCACTCCAGCCCAGGTGACAGAGCAAGATGCCATGTCAAACAAACAAACAAACAAACAAAACCATGAAGTGATTGTACAAAACACTGACAGAGCACTGAATTAAAATTTCAATCATGCTATAGGTTTTTTATACAAACACTTAAAATTTTTAATCCTTGGCCAAGTGTGGTGGCTCACGACTGTAATCTCAGCAATTTGGGAGGCCAAGGCAGGCGGATCACCTGAGGTTGGGAGTTCAAGACCGCCTGATCAACATGGAGAAACCCCGTCTCTACTAAAAATATAAAATTAGCTGGGTGTGGTGGTGCATGCTGTAATCCCAGCTACTCGGGAGGCTGCCGCAGGAGAATCGCTTGAACCCAGGAGGCAGAGACTGCAGTGAGCCAAGATTGTGCCATTGCACTCCAGCCTGGGCCAACAAGAGAGAAACTCTGTCTTAAAAAAAAAAATTAATCCTTGATGTGTTCAAATCTGAGGCTGATTCTTTTCTTTTGATAGTATGAATAGTGAAACACACAAACTAGAAAAAAAGAAATGTACCAAAGATTTTCCTCCATTCAAAAATACCATAAGAAAGACAATATTAGTTTATTATGACACTTGAGGTGTAAAATGTCAGAGAAGAATGCTCTAGAGCTTGGTTCTTGTACCAAAAACAACCAGTAAACTGGAAAAACAACAAGAATCAACTATCTTCCAAGTATGGAACCTAATTAGACACTAAAAACAACCAGGAAAGTGCTTCATGCAGAGGCTGCTGATCTTGACTCACATGGGCAAACCAGTAGCTACCATTCCCCATTTCTCAGCTTTGCCACAACAGTAAGGAATAGCAGCCCCCATCTCTGGAGCGACTTATTAGTGCCATAGCAGGCAGTGGGAGAATTTTGTCCTCCAAAAATTCAAGTTTGAATATTTTGGTCAGTTTGGCAGATCACTGAGAGACAGGCACAGAGGCAGATGCTTGCCTTTATTTAGGCCCTCTGGGGCTACCGGGCAGGGGAGGCGCACCTGCATCTACTGGAAGATCTAATAAGACAGCACCTTCTTCTTTAAACCAGATATTGTTATATCATTGTCAGGTCACTGACTTACTACAGAGATAATGTAATAGAAACTTCAGTGACTATACACACAAGAAATACACAGTTTGCAAAAATGGTTTTGGAAAGTCACAAAGGGATGACAACAGCCTTCAACTAGCCAAGAAAGGCCTGATGAGTGGGAGAATCTGATAACCACAGTTACCACATTGTACTACAGTGGCTAGGTCTCAACAAATAACCACAAAGCACACAAACAGGAAAGCATGGCCCATTAAGAAAAAAAGCATTTGACAGAAACCTGAAGCAGCACAGAATTTGGAATTGCTAGTCAAAAATGTTAAATCAACTGTCCTAAATATACTCAAAGAGCTGAAGGAAATCAGGAAAACAATGTATGAGCAAAACAAGAATATCAGTAAAGAGACTGAAATTATAAAATGGAATCAAACAAAAATTCCAAAGCTAAAAATTACAATAACTACAATTTAAAAATTCACTAGAGTGGTTCAACAGATTTGAACAGGCAGAAAAAATGATTAGCAAATTTGAAGACAAGGCAATTAAAATTATCCAGTCTTAGGGATACAAAGAAAAAAGAATGAAGAAAAATGAATAGAGCCTGATGAACCTACCGGACAGGGACACTATCAAGTGTACCCACCTACACAGCATAGGAGCCCCCAAAGATAAAAGAAAGGGGGAAATATTTGAAGAAATAACGGTGAAAAGCTTCTCAAAGCTGATGAAAGACATGAATACATACATCCAAAAATTTCAAATAAATCCAAGAATAAATTCAAAGGAGATACAATATTCAGACACATTATATCCAAAGTGTAGAAACCCAAAGACAAATAAAGTATCTTGAAAGCAGCAAGAGAAAAGCAACTAGACATATACATGGGCTCTTCAGTAAGATTAACAGCTGATGTGTCATCATAAACTGTGATGACCAGGCAGCAATAGGAACGGCATATTTTAAATCCAGAGAGAAAACAAAAAGTCAACCAAGAATTTTATATTCAGCAAAACTATCCTTTAAGAATGAAGGAGAAATTTCCAGATAAAAGCCAAGGAAGTATGTTACCAGTAGACCTACTCTACAAGAAAGATAAAGGGAAACCTTCAGGCTATAATGAAAGGACGTAAGACATAACACTGGTAAAGGTAATTACACAGGTAATTATAAAAGAGAGTATTAACGCACTTTTGGTTTTTAACTTTTTGCTTTTCTTGTTTTTTTAATTATTTTATTGTTGTTGTTTTTGAAGTTCTGGGGTATATGTGCAAGATGAGCAGGCTTGTTACATAGGTAAACATGTGCCATGGTGGTGTGCTGCACTTAACCCATCACCTAGGTATTAAGGCCAACATGCATTAGCTCTTTTCCCTAATGCTCTCCCTACCCCTGCCCTCCTCCGACAGGCCTCAGTTAAGTGTTGTTTCCCTCCCTGTTTCCATATGTTCTCACTGTTCACCTCCCACTTATAAGTCAGAACATGAGGTGTTTGGTTTTCTGTTTCTGTGTTAGTTTGCTGAGCATAATGGTTTCCAGCCTTAACCATGTCCCTGCAAAGGACATGATCTCATTCCTTTTTGTGGCTGAATAGTATTCCATGGTGTCCATGTACCACATCTTCTTTATCCAGTCTATCAATGATGGGCATTTGGGTTGATTCCATGTCTTTGCTGTTGTGAATAGTGCTGCAATGAACATACACATGCATGTATCTTTGTAACAGAATGATTTATATTCCTTTGGGTATATACCCAGTAATGGGATTGCTGGTCAAATGGTATTTCTGGTTCTAAATCTTTGAGGAATCGCCACACTGTCTTCCACAATGGTTGAACTAATTTACATTCCCACCAACAGTGTAAAAGCATCCCTATTTCTCCGCAACCTTGCCAGTATCTGTTGTTTCTTGACATTTTAGTAATCGCCATTCGACTGGTGTGAGATGTTATCTCATTGTGATTTTGATTTGCATTTATCTTAAAAGGTAAAAAAAATTATAAATCTGCTGCTGGGCACATAAAATATAAAAAGGTAATCTGTGACAATAACAATATAAAAGGGAAGAGACAGAGATATACAGGAGCAGACTATTTATATACTACTAAGTTGGTATTATTCAAATGAGGTTACTATCATTTTAAGATGTTAACTATAATCCTCAAGGTAACCACTAAAAAACTAACTATAAAATATTACAGAAAAGAAAAAAAACAAAGGAATTAGAATGGTATGCTATTTTAAAAATTAGCAAAGTGCAATAAAAGGGCAAAAATAAAAAAATTAAGGAGTTAGAAACAAATAAGACATACAGAAAACAATAGCTAACTAGAAAAATTAGTTCTTCCTTATCAGTATTTTAAATGTAAATGAATTAAACTCTTCAATTAAAAGGCAGAGATTGTCAGACTGGATTTTTTAAAAACCCAATCCACCTAAATGCTGTCTATAAGAGACCGGGTGCAGTGGCTCATACCTGTAATCCCAGGACTTTGGGAAGTGGGTGGATCGTGTGAGGTCAGGAGTTCAAGACCAGCCTGGCCAACATGGTGAAATCCCATTTCTACTAAAAACACAAAAATTGGCCAGGTGCAGTGGCTCACGCCTGTAATCCCAGCACTTTGGAAGGCGGAGGCGGGCAGATCACAAGGTCAGGAGATCAAGACCAGCCTGGCCAACATGGTGAAACCCCATCTCTACTAAAAATACTAAAAAACAGCCGGGCATGGTGGCACACGCCTGTAGTCCCAGCTACTCGGGAGGCCGAGGCAGGAGAATCACTTGAACCTGGGAGGTGGAGGTTGCAGTAAGCTGAGATCATGCCACTGCACTCCAGCCTGGGTGACAGAGTGAGACTCTATCTCAAAAAATAAATAAATAAATAAATAAAATTAGCCAGGCGTAGTGGCGTGCACCTATAATCCCAGCTATTCAGGAGGCTGAGGCAGGAAAACTGCTTGAATCCGAGAAGCGCAGCTTGCAGTGAGCCAAGATTCCACCACTGCACTCCAGCCTGGGCAACAAGAGCAAAACTCCACTAAAAAAAAGGCCGGGCATGGTGGCTCACGCCTGTAATCCTAGCACTTTTGGAGGGCAACACAAGTGGATCATGAGATCAAGAGATCAAGACCATCCTGGCCAACATGGTGAAACTCCATCTCTACTAAATATACAAAAATTAGCTGGGCATGGTGGCAGGTGCCTGTAGTCCCAGCTACTCAGGAGGCTGAAGCAGAAGAATCACTTGAACCCAAGAGGCAGAGGTTGCAGTGAGCCGAGATCACACCACCGCACTCCAGCCTGGTGAGGGAGGGAGACTCTGTCTCAAAAAAAAAAAAGAGAGAGAAGCACTTTGGATACAAAGACACTAAGAAACTGAAAGTGAAAGGATAGGAAAAAATATTCCATGCAAATAGTAACCAAAAAAGAGCAAGTGTAGCTATGTTTTTGTCAGACAAAACAGAGTATGATAACAAGACACGAAGGCCATCATATATTATAAGGGGTTCGATACATTAAGCTATATCAATTATAAACGTTTACACACCTAAAAACAGAGACTAAAAATATATTAAGCAAAAACAGAATTGAAAGGAGAAACAGACAACTCTACAATAATAGATGGAGACTTCAATATCCTATTTTAAGTACTGGACAGAAGAACCAGACAGATTTATAAAGAAATACAGGACGTGGCTGGGTGTGGTGGCTCATGCCTGTAATCCCAACACTTTAGGAGGCAGAGGCGGGCAGATCACCTGAGGTCAGGAGTTTCAAACCAGCCTGGCCAACATGGTGAGAACTCGTCTTTACTAAAAATACAAAAGAAGCTAGCCAGGTGTGGTGGTGCATGCCGGTAATCCCAGCTACTCAGGAAGCTGAGACAGGAGAATTGCTTGAAGTTGGGAGGCAGAGTTGAAGTGAGCCAGGATCACACTCCAGCCTGGACGACAGAGTGAGACTCTGTCTCACAGAAAGGGGAAGGGAAGGGAGGGGAGGGGAGGGGAAGGGAGGGGAAGGGAGGGGAAGGGAGGGGAAGGGAGGGGAGGGGAGGGGAGGGGAAGGGGAGGAAAGAAATATAGGACTTGAACAGCACTATATACCTATTGTATTAGACCTATCAGATATACATAGTACACTCCACCTAACAAGCAGAATACACACTCTTCAAGCGCATATGGAACATTCTCCAGGACAGGCCATAAGGCAGGCCATAAAACAAGTCTTAATAAACTTTAAAAAACTAAAATCATAAAAAGCTCTTTTCCAATCAAAATGGAATGAAACTAAAAATCAGAAACAGAAGGAAAACCGGAAAATTTGTGCATATGTGGAAATTAAGCAACATATTCTCAAACAAGCAACTGATCAAAGAAGAAACCACAAGAGATATAAAAAAGACCCTCATGCAAATGAAAACAAAAACACAACATACATAAGCATATGAGATGTAGCTAAAGAAGTGTAAAGAGGATGTTTATAGCTATAAAAGCTTACATTAAAAGAGCTCAATAACCTAACGGTACACTTTATAGAATTAGAAAAAGAACATCAAACAAAACTCAAAGCTAGCAGAAAGAAGAAAATAATAAAGTCCAAATTGGAGATAAACAAAATAGAGAATAGAAAAAGAATAGAGAAAAAACAAAACAGAAAGTTGGTTCTTTAAAAGATCAACAAAATAGGCTGGGCACAGGGAGGCTGACGTGGGTGGACCACCTGAGGTCAGGAGTTTGAGACCAGCCTAGCCAACATGGTGAAACCCCATCTCTACTAAAATACAAAAATTAGCTGGACGTCAAGGCAAGTACCTGTAATCTCAGCTACTTGGGAGGCTGAGGCAGGAGAACTGCTTCAACCTGGGAGGTGGAGGTTGCAGCGAGCCGAGGTCGTGCCACTGCACTGCAGCCTGGGCAACACAGCGAGACTCTGTCTCAAAAAAAAAAAAAAAAAAACAAAAAAGAAAAAAAAAATCAACAAAATAAATTTTTAGCTAGACTGACTAACAAGAAGAGATTACACTCAAATGACTAAAATCAGAAAGTGGAAACATCACTACCAATTATACAGAAATAAAACGGATTATAAAAGAATGCTATGAACAATTATATGCTAACAAATTGGATAGCTTAATGAAATAGACAAACTCTTACAAACACACAAACCAGCAAAACTCACAAGAAGAAAGAGACAACCAAAATATACCTAAGAAGTGAGCTGACAATCAGTATAAAACACTTCCAACCAAAAAAGCCCAGGACCAGATGACTTTACTGGTAAAGTCTACCAAACATTTAAAGATGAATTAACAACCTATTCCTAAACAACTGAAGAGGGGGTAACACTTCTTGACTTCTATAAGGCCAACATTACCCTGACACCAAAGCCAAACAAAGACATCGTAAGAAAAGAAAATTTTACAAGTCAGTATCCTTTATAAATATAGATGCAAAAATCCTTAAGAAAATACTAACAAATTGAATTCGGCAGCTTATTAAAAAGATTATACCAAATGGGTATATAATGAACCAGGATTTGTCTCAAGAATGCGACGGTGGTTCAACATAAGAAAATCAATTAATGTAGCCAGGCGCAGTGGCTCACGCCCATAATCTCAGAACTTTGGGAGGCTAAGGCAGGTAGATCACCTGAGGTCAGGCGTTGGAGACCAGCCTGGACAACATGGTGAAACCCCGTCTCTACTAAAAATACAAAATTAGCCGGGCATGGTGGCGCATGCCTGTAATCCCAGCTACTTAGGAGGTTGAGGCGGGAGAATCGCTTAAACCCAGGAGGGGGAGGTTGCAATGAGCCGAGATTGGGCCATTGCACTCCAGTCTGGGCAACAAGAGCAAAACCCTGTCTCAAAAAAAAAGAAAATCAACTAATGTAATACATCACATTAGCAAAATGAAGATAAACCACATGAACTTCTCAATTGATTTAGCAAAAAAAAAAAAAAAAAGGATTTTACAAAATTCAACACCCTTTCATGATAAAATCACTCAATAAACAAAAGAGAAAGGAATTTCCTCAACATGAAAAGGCCATATATAAAAACTCACAGCTAATATCGTATTCAATGGTGAAAGACTGAAAGCTTTTCTCTTAAGATAAAAAACAAGACAAAGATGCCTGCTTTCACCACTTCTATTCAATACCGTGCTGGAAGTTCTAGTCAGAACAATTAGGCAAGAAAAAGAAATATAAGGCAGCCAAATAGGAAATGAAAAAATAAAACTATCCCTATTTAGAGATGACATGATCTTATATGAAGAAAACCTTAAAGAATCCACAAATAAAACCCCATTAGAGCTAATAAACTAATTTCCTTAAGATGTAGAAAGAAAACTGCCATGATGAAATCAGTTGTATTTCTATAGGTTAGCAATGAACTATATGAAAGGGAAATTTTAAAAAGAATCCATTTAGAATAGCATCAAAAACAGTAAAATACTTAGGAATAAATTTAACCAATGCAGTGATAGACTTATATGCTGAAAATTACAAAATATTGTTGAATAAAATTAAAGAAACCTAAATAAATGAAAGTATATCCCATAGTCATGGATTGGAAGACTTAATATGATGTCAACATTATCCAAATGATCTACAGGTTTAATGCAATCTCTATCAAAATTTCAATGGTGCTCTTTTGCAGAAAAAGAACATGGTCTAAAATTTGTTCCGGTTTACAGTGAGCTATGATTATGCCACTGCACTCCAGCCTGGGTGATAGTGGGATCCTGTCTCAAATTTAAAAAAAAAAAAAAAGCAAGACAACGACGATATCTTAAAATTTATATGGAATTCCAAGGAACCTTGAATAGTTTTGAACTAGAAGAACAAAGGTGGAGGTCTTATGTGTCCCCATTTCAAGACCTAATAAAAAGATAAAAAGCTACAATAATCAAAACATTATGGTATTGACATAAGAATAGATATATATAGACCAACAGAATAGAATTGAGAACCCAAACACAGACTCTCACACCTGATTTTTGACAAAGGTACCAGGACCATTCAATAGGGAGGGAGCAGTTTATTTAGCAAATGGTGCTGGGAAAACTGGATGTTTTCATGCAAAAGAGTGAAACTGGACCATTACCTTACACCATATACAAGAGTTAACTGAAAATGAATCAAAGGCCTAAATATAAGAGTTAAAACTGTAAAACTCTTAGAAGAAATATTCCTGATATTGGATTTCACAATGATTTCTTAAATATGACACCAAAGGCACAGGCAACAACAAAAAAGACCCCCAAAAACAGACATATTGGACTTTAAATTTAAAATGATAGTAAAGAGAGTGAAACAACCCACAGAATGGGTTAAAATACTTGCAAATCATATATCTGACAAGAGTTTAATATCCAGAAAGAACTGCTACAACTCAACAGCAAAAAACAAACACCCAATTTAAAAATGGGTAAAGGTCTTGAATGTACATCGCACCAAAGATATACCAATGGCCTATAAGCACATAAAAAGATGCTCAACATTATTACTCATTGGAGAAATGCAAACCAAAACCACTATGAGATACCACCTCATACCCACTAGGATGGCTACTATCAAACAGAAAGCAGTGTCAGTGAGGATGTGGACAAACTGGAACACTGATGCAACTGTAAAATGGTGTAGCCATTGTGAAAAACTGGTAGTTCCTCAAAAAACTAAACACAGAATAATCATATGACCCAGCAACTCTACTCCTAGGGATATACCAAAAAAAAAAAAACTGAAAACAGGGACTCAAACAGATACTTGTACACCAATGTTAATGGCAGCATTATTCACAACAGCCAAAAGGTGAAAACAAACTGCCAATCAACGGATAAACAAAATGTGGCATATACATACGATGCCATAAAAACAAATGAAGTTCTGACATATGCTACAACACAGATGAGCCTTGAGAACATTATGCTAAGGGAACTAAGTCAGACACAAAAGGACAAATATTATATGATTCTACTTACATGAAAAAGCTCTAGAAATAGTTGTGATGGTTACACAAAATTTCAATCTTAATTGTCGTTGAACTTTATGCTTAAAAATAACTAAAATGGCAAATTTTGTTTTGTATATTTTATCACAATAAAAACATTTTAACTGTCGTGTTAGCAGGCATTTATATCAGTTTTCCATCAAGCCTAAATATGGTCAATATTTCATTTGAGTGGAGCTTTACTGAAATAATTGGCTAAATAATTTCAATATGACCTATACCAATTATGCTGAACACAACAGAATATATCAGGATTAGCGCTTTATGGTTATGATATAGACGCTCACAAAAGACTGTTGTTGCTCCCAGCTTAACAGTAAGAATGAGCCAGACAAACTATAAAATCATAGTTTTTTAAACTCAGAAAGCTGAGGATGCAAAGAAAATAAATCAACTAAATTCTAGAGGAACAAGCCCTTTCTGGAAAAGAAAACAGGGCTGGGATCATGGTGAAAGGAGAAGTGAACCTGCAATAGGAGGGGGAAACCAGCCAACTTTTAACAGACTTTTCAAGGGGAACACGGGGGCAAGATAGATTAAAATCTCAGAAATCTCATTCACAAAGCAAATCTGCACTTTCCCAATAGGATCCCTTCCAAGTATTGAAGCTGAATAAGGGAAGGTGAGGCGATGGGACCACAGAATGCTGAGGACAAGGCAGAAGAGCTGAGAGAAACCCCTGTTCAAGTGGCACACTAAGTGTAAGGTGGCCAAAGGAAGGTGGCAGGGTATTAGTTCAGTGCTCTCTCCAGAGGTAAGGACCGAAGCCAGAAGTGGGGCTAGAGAGAGAGAAAAAAAAAAAACATGTCCCAGCTGCTCCAAATGCCAACAGCTGTGCTGTGAAACAGAGAGGGATCTCCCACAGTACAACAAACTGGGCTATAAAGGCTGGGGTGGGCTATAAAGGATGGCGAGATTGCCTGAATCTCACAGGTACTCAGATGGCAAACTCTAATAAAGGGAGTGTCCTCATCCTGCCTTCACAACATCTGATACCAGTGGTAAACTAAAGACAACTAAAACTGCAACAAGGTCCCATCCCAAACTGAACTGACTCAGCCCCTAACACTAGTGACCTGACAGAATACTTCAGTCTGTACTGTCCTTTTTCACAATGTCTGACAGCAAATAAAAAATCAGAGACCAAGAAACAGAAAAATGTGACCCATAATCAAGAGCAAAGATGTAATATGAAGTCTTTCAGTGACAACATTTCAAATTATGGCTATTTTGCTACTCAAATAGATGACAATTTTTTAAAGTATTAGAGTTTATGAAATAGTTTAATTGGATCAGACACAGGTTTTTGGTAATAAATACTGTTTGTTTTTCCATATAAAGGTATTAAAAGTGGTGTACAGAATTCATACAACATAGAAACCACCTGTCCCACTACTATTAATAGTTTGGTCAAATCTGGAAAGCTAAATCAAATAAAGTAGAAAAACTATAAAATTTTGCAGAGACTTCATATACTAATAAGTATTACTGACACTCCAAATATATTTGGCCATGTAATATCAATGACACTTTTAACACTTTACAAAACCTAATGTTCCAAAAAACATATATAAATACATTCACATGAATTCCATCAGGCCATACATGCTGTTTCATAGGCTGTTTTCCCATGAAGTATTACATTTCAGCTACTTCCCCTCAACTATTTCATGGAGATCCATTTATATAAATAAATGTAGCTATACGTCATCTTTCTAAATGGATGTTTACTATTCCATTGTATGGCTATACTATGTAGCAGAAATGTCTTATGCTTTGGGTTTCATCACACAGACATTAAGACAGACATGGTGAGATTTAATAAAATTAATACATTTTACTTCTTCATCAAGAACATTCTTAAGTGAAACTGTTTCTGTTTCTTTCCCTGTATGTGTGAAGTAAAGAATGCCACTGCCATTATTTTGAAATAAGGAGCCAGAAGTTTTACACACACTGCATATGTACCACCAGAGCAAATGTCAACAGAGTTTAAAAGGTGGCGGGGGGGGGCGCGGGTACAAATATTTTAGTATTATGAAAAATTAAGTTTTGACCTTGTGGGCTTTCTGAAAGGGTCTCAGGATCACAAATCACACTGTGAGATTTGCTAGGTTAGTTTCCCAAGCTGAATTTCAATTAACCTATCTTAGCAAACAGAACATTAATAATTCAATAAGAAAGGTAATAACTAGTAATAATAGTAACCATAATCAAAATTACTAATTGCTGAGCACAGGAAGTAAGTTTGGGGGAAAAAAGTAAATTAAGGATTGAACCTATTGGAACAAATTTAATCTAGAACTCAGAAAAAAAGTCAATGTTTAAAGTGTGAGTCTGAGAGCTGCACTTATATAAAACCAACTGAAGCCAGAAAGGGTATGTGTAATAAGAGGGAAGGTCAGAAACTTGACGAATACTTAAAGTTAACAAGTAGACAAGGGCAAAGTGTAATCAACCCAGTTCCAAACAGAATGGATAGAGACATCAATTCTGACAAGTGAAGAAACATTAGAGACAACCTGGGCCAAGCAATTTATTTTATGATTAAAGAAACAGAGCCTGAAGAGGCTCAAAAAAGTGAAGTGATCTGGCCAAGTCTCTGAAAGTGAGAGAGTCAGGTCTTAAAATTTCACCTTAGGGATCCCAACTCAATTTTCTTTCCACAGTAGCAAATTTCCAGAGTTAGGAAGCAACTCTCTTACCTGCTAACTACTGAAGAATTAAAATCTAGCATGAGACAGATTTCAGCAAGAAAATAGCACGTGTATCTCTACTCCTTCAAACTCTGCTCCTCTTGCAGTCTTCACCATGGCAGTAAATGGATGGTAACTATAGTCTAACATTTGCTCTGTCTTTCCTTTTCTCACATTCCACAATCAATGCATCACCAAAGCCTTCAAAATGTATCAAGTCTGATCACATGAACTGCTCAAATCCTGATCCAAGCCCAGCCTCATCATCTCTTTGCTTAGAATTTAATGTTTAGAGCATCCAACTGGGCATGGTGGCTCACATCTGTAATCCCAGTGACTCGAGAGGCTGAGGCGGGAGAGCTGTTTGAGGCCAAGAGTTCCAAGACCAGCCTTGGCAACATAGTGAGACCCCTCCTCTTAGGAAAAAAAATTAAAAATTAGCCAGGCAGGGTGGCACATGTCTGAAGTTCCAGCTACTCAGGAGGCTGAGACAGGAGGATTACTTGAGCCCAGAAGTTTGAGACTGCAATGAGCTGTGATCTCATCACTGCACTCCAGCCTGGGAATCAGAGTGAGACCCCAACTCTTAAGAAAAAAATTTCGAGCATCCTAACTCGTCTTACTGCTCCCACCGCAACACCTCTGCCCTCCCTGCCCCACTGCCCATAGTGTATTTCTATACAGCAGCCAGAGCAAACATATTAAATCATAAATAACATAATCACTCTTCTTCAAAACCCTACAATGACTGGCACTTACTAAACTGTTAAACTCAAAGTTCTTAAATGGTTTATGAGGTCCTGATAAGCCTCATAAATGGCCTGCCCATCTCCTTTTTAACCTCGTTTTCTGCCATTCTGCTCCTACCCATTCCACTATAGCAGCTGTCTCTTTTTTTGCACTTGCCCTTCCTCTGCTTGGAATGCATTTTCTCCAGATGTTAATGGCTCATTTCCTTATTTCCTTTTAGGTTCTACTCAAATATCACTTCCCTGGTCACCTTGTACAAAACAGTGAGAACTCTACACGCAGCTAACACTCTATTCCCCTTAACTGCTTTAATTTTCTCCACAGTCTTGCTGTCTAACATTCTACATTGGGTTTTTTTTTTTTTTTTTTTTTTTGGAGATGGAGTCTCACTCTGTTGTGCAGTCTGGAGTGTAATGGCACGATCTCAGCTCACTGCAGCCCCTGCCTCCCGGGTTCAAGCGATTCTCCTGCCTCAGCCTCCAGAGTAGCTGGGACTACAGGCACGCGCTACCATGTCCACCTAATTTTTTCTGTATTTTTAGTAGAGACAGGGTTTCACCATGTTGGCGAGGATGGTCTCCGCCTCTTGACCTTGTGATCCGCCCACCTCAGCCTCCCAAAGTGCTGGGATTACAGGCGTGAGCCAACGTGCCCGGCATATATTGGTCTATTGTCGATTCCCTCCACTAGAATGTGGTCTCCTTAAGAACAGGGAATTAATATATTTTGCTCATTATTGTATCCTCAGCATTTAGAACAAATCCTGACACTCAACAGGTGCTCATAAATACCTACAGAATGAAGGAATGATAGCAAATACTAACATAGTACTAGAGATTAGTCATTTTTTTGACTTAGGCTCTGTCTCCCTGATTGAAGTCAATCTATTAACTGGCAAAGTTTCTGATCACTGTCTCACACAAACTGCTGTGCTTAGGTTTTCTCCTATATATTAAAAAGTATTATTCATTCATTTCAACAAACATTCACACACAGGCCCTATCATGTCCCCAGCAATATAGGAGGCATTAAGGGCAAAAAGATAAAATATTAACTCTGTTAATATTACTTAGTCTTGGGAGGTGTTATATCATTTTCAGAATGAAGTTATTCTGCAAATGAGTGAAACTCCAGGATAATAACGATGAATGTTTTCATAATTATTTCAAAGGCCAAAAATTCAAATAATAGCCCACATACTCAAAGTGAACTTTACATGAAAACTGTTTGAGCCATGTGACAACATATATAAAATTTATTTATTTTGAGACAGGATCTCACTTTGTCACCCAGGCTGGAGTGCAGTAACGGGATCATGGCTCACTGAAGCCTCTGTTGCCCAGGCTCAAGCAATCCTTTTGCCTCAGCCCCCCAAGTCGCTGGGACTTACAGGTATGCACCATCACACCTAGCTAATATTTGTTTTTGTAGAGATGGAGTTTTGAACTCCTGAACTCAAGCAATCCTCCCACCTGGGCCTCCTAAAGTGCTAAGATTACAGGCATGAGCCACTGTGCTAAGTCTTAAAATTTAATTGGCTGCCTTTATTAAGCTTGTAGAGATCAAGACATTATAGTTCACTATATTGGAACCCCTACATGAAATGATACCAGCCATTACCTCCTGAGTTCAGTAAGAACTTAGACAAAAATAACCAGTAGCTGAGAAGCTTCAAACAGGTTTATTAAGGTTGTTTCTCAACACCATCATTTGTATAAATAATCCCCCAGATCCCTCTGACTTTCACAAGATAATATTTTTCAACTGAAACTTATTTTCATTATTTTCTTTAAACATATTTTTGTATACATTGTCTGCTGGGCAATAAATTAAAATTCAAAATATAAAATCTGATTTAAATGTCACTCGGAATGTAGATACTTCCATCATGAATAATAAATTGATTTGCAGATGATAAATCCCCACAGAAAGGGCATTTGTTTTAAACAGCTGTTCAGTTTCAGAGAATTCAGATAGTGATCTATTAGAAATGTCATCTGATGCTTTTGATAATAATGGTCTTACTCAGAATAGAACCAAGAGAGCAACTGTAACCACTTGAGATAGTGCCTCATTTTGATATACAAATGGTTATATACAAAAGGGGAAAAAGCCCATTAAAAGGAAGCTCAGGCCAGGCACTGTGGCTCATGGCTATAATTCCAGCACTTTGGGAGGCTGAGGCAGGAGCATCTCGAGGCCAGGAGTTTGAGACTAGCCTAGGCAACACAGTGAGACCCTCAATTCTACAAAAAAAATTTAAAAATAGCCAGATGTGGTGTCATGTGCCTGTAGTCCTAGCTACTTAGGAAGCTGAGGCAGGAGAATCGCTTGAGCCCAGGAGTTTAAGGCTGCAGTGAGCTGTGACTGCACTCCAACCTGGGAGACAAAGTGAGACCCTGTCTCAAAAAACAAACAAACGAAAACAGGAGAGACGAGAAGGCAATTATTTTACATCTCAGTTATGTGATGAACACTCTCGGTCGTGAGTGTGCATATAAGTAATGCGTCTCTCAAAGTACAACTACAGAAAGGTTATAGTAGACTACTGATAATTCTGAGATTCAAATTACCCTACCTAGCCATTTGAAAACCAACCTTTTTAACTGATAAAGCAAGCACTGAGAGGTTACACCTCTGGGTTGTACATGCCCTACCTTCTCTGTGAGAGCAATCCAGCTTATTTTATCTGGTGAAATGTTAACTAGTAATAATATTAGGCCAGTAAATTCAAATTCTTCCTGAGAAAGGTATCCTGAGATTTTAATCCTGGGTACATATCCAAGAGAAACTGTAACACATTTACCCAAAAATATGAACAGAAATAGTCACAGCAACATGTCCGTAATAGCATAATACTAGAAACAACCTAAATGTCTATTACAGACCAGATAATAGGTAACAAATTACGGTAATTCATAGAATAGAATGTTATTATACAGCAGTAAAAATGAATGAACTACAACCACATGCAACAAGGACAAATATTAGTAATGTGATCTTTAACAAAAAGAAGTCCCAGAAGACTACATTTAGTATTTTTTATAAAAATAAAAACACACAATATATTTACTGTTTAGGTAAACTATATATAATGCTTTTTAAAAATACAAAGGATTAAAATAAAGTTTATGATGACAGTTACAAATTAGGGAGAGGCAAGGAGAAAAGCACATAAAAAGTTAAGTTACTGACAATAAGAAGTTGGGTTAACAGATATTAATTATTTTATTGCTGTATAACTACATACACACACAGATATGCAGATTATGCAGGGACCAGTGAGGATCTTGTCATAAGCCCAGAACTCTGTGCAAACTTGTAAAAAAAAAAAAAAAAAAAAAAAAAAGTTTAGGGAAAAAAGAATAAAAACAATAGCATAATTAAAAAGTAAAAGTAGATTTTAAGACAGTAAAATGTATACATATATTTATTTACCTGTTTCTTAGTAAGTGTGCAAGGTCAAATATTTTAATAATAAAAAGGATACAGGGGCCGGGCACATGGCTCACATCTGTAATCTCAGCACTTTGGAAGGCTGAGGCAGGTGGATCACCTGAGGTCAGGAGTTCGAGACCAGCCTGGCCAACATGGTGAAACCCCATCTCTAGTAAAAATACAAAAAAAGGTAGCCAGGTGTTGTGGCACACACCTGTAATCCCAGCTACTCAGGAGGCTGAGGCAGGAGAATTGCTTGAGCCCAGGAGGCGAAGGCTGCAGTGAGCTGAGATCAAGCCACTGCACTCCTGCCTGGGTGACAAGAGTTGAGACTCGGCCTCCGTGCCCGCCCCCACCCCACCCCACCCCACCCCACCCCAAAAAAGGGATATATGGCTAGAGTCAAAAGAGTGAATTTCTTTTTCCCAGACCTGCCACTAGGTAACCGTATATTCTCAACAGATGACTTTCCAAAACTGACTGGTCAGATGGCTTTTTTTTTTTTTTCCTGAAACAAATGGCCTATATTTGACATCATTAGGTATAAAATTTGATGTCATCGGGTATGAAATTTGGTCTCTTTTGTAAGATGTATCACTCCATTCTTGGCTTCCCTTCATTTCTTGGCCCACCAACGTATCTAATACCTGCTACTATTTGGCCCACAAATAAAGCACCTTACTAATCATTCCAGCAGATTCTCTTCATAATTTATACAGATTATTATAACCACTAAGGACAAACATGAAGATACATACACCATGGGAGAACAACTGTTTTTATCTGAGATGTGTTTATTTGATAAATGTTCCTTTAAAGAAGACATTAATTAATACCAACTGTAGCAGTCAGATTTGACTAGGTTATAATAACAAAGATTTTATTCTCTTTCATGTTATACATCCACTGAGCACTGACTGGAGGCTCTGCTCCAAGTCTTCAAGGATCTAGGCTGAAGGAGCTGCTACTATGGCAAGAGGATAAACAGTGGCAAAGTACTGTCTATACAAACTCACTCAAAGTGTCCATCTGGGGTATTACACATTACTTTTGCTCAGATTTCATTGGCTAAATCAGGTCACATGGCCATGCCTAATTTCAAGTAGGTAGCAATTCCTATCATATTCCCAAGAAAAAGAATATAGCTAAACAATTTTCACAATTTCATAACATTTTGGCATTTGGAGACAAACACTATATTAATTAGCATACTATGATGTATTAAAATTCAAGAGTAAACAAAAATAAACACAATTTCTTAAAAAGATTTATACTATAAAACTCAAAGAGCAGATAAAGTTTAAACCAAATCCCCATCAAAATTCTGAAAGACAGAAAACAAATTATCTATATCCCTTGATAAGTACATAGAAATTTCAAAGAAATATTTACTTTTTCCTCTAAAAATCCCTATAAAGTAAACCGAGACATTCAAGCTATCTATAGTCAACAAATCTCCACTATAAAGGAAATAAAGCAGGAACAGACATAGTAATTATAGATTTGTTTAATTATACTTAGGGGAAGGTAACCTACACTAAAAGGTATTAAGACAGAAATGACACAAGAGCCTATAACATGCACTATGATGGGGGAAGGGATCTGGAAGTGGGATTTATACAGGCCAAGGTGACCCCACTAAATAATGGAGAGGAAAGCATACTGCAATCAAAATATCTAGAAGTCTTGGAAACTCTCAGCATGACCCTGTATCCAGCATACGTTTAGGTACTAACGAAGAAAGTACATTGAAGGAAACAGGGTTCACTCTACAAGCGTAATGGAGGTGGAAGGGTTGACGGGAAGAGGCCTGATCATTTGAAAGGTATCTTGATAGATGGATTTACATTCTTCCCTGGAACAGTTTTACAAGAGCTGGTAAGATATGCCAGTGAGAATGAGGCATATTCAATCTCATTAACAACTGAACTAGAAAAACCTAATCAAGCCTCAGGTAGGTGACTTCTGGAGGGTATCACATAATCTTTGATACCAGGTTAAGATTTGGTTTAAACATCTCATTTTCTGAAGAATTTTAGATGCCAAAAATTATCAAAATAAGATCCCTCCCTTCATCAGGTAATTTTATCATGACTCACCTAGTTTATATGAATCCTGTGTTAGGAACTAAGGACAGAGAGACAAAAGACATCAGCACTGGCCTCAAGATGAGAAACACTACAGAAAAGCAGACAACAATGCAGTGTGATAATGACGTATACCCAGGCAGCTCTGGGACCACAGAAGACATCCAACAGGATACCAAGAACAGGGAAAGGCTCTGCACATTGCAGAGGCTCAGTAGCTATTAATGTGATCTCCTGGACTTTGGCTGGCAAAGGCCTAGTATTCTGACCAGTGTATTAGGCAGGGTTCAGTCAAGAGACAGAAACTACACCTGTAATTTTAACAGACAATTTAATAAAAGTTGCTAACCAGGAAAATTGGAGAACTGAAAAGGCAAAAAGGAGGACAGACATGTATCACAGACATAGTAAATGCAAAAAGCAACTGTCAATACCAGAGCTGAGAGGAACAAAGGGAAGTCGTAGGAACTATGAAAACTCAGAGGCTTGAAGGAGAAACCCTATGAAACTGGGATCCAGACCTCCGAAAAGAAAACTACGTGTCAAGAGCTTGGAGCGGGGAACCCTGCAAAGCTGGAACCCAGATTTTTCAGAGGGAGGAAATGGCTAGTTGATGCTGGCATCTCTGAGGGGATGTGATGAAGATGGTTTTATGAGTGTGGAAAAACTGCAAACTGGAACCATTTGCCACTCCTTTTCCTACCAGGGTGAAGCTTTGTTGCTGTGGAGACATGAACAGGAAGAAGAAGCAAACAAAAAGGAGAAAAGTCCTTTGTCCCTCCTCTTTTACTTTCCTATCTCCATTGGTACCATCTATTGGCAAAATCTAACAGGAAACTAGTTACAAAAGAGAAATATAGTCTGTAGGATCTCAGCTCCAACCTCGCAAAGCAGTTTCAATGGGTAAGTCTGAAGCTGAAGGAAAATAGCTTAATACCTGTATGATTTTATTTCTCCATTTTAAATATTTAAGGTAATATTTTGCAAATATTTAGAGTTACAAAATCTAGTTAAACTAGGCTGTTTGAGTTTTCTCATGACTTATGAGGAAATTAAATAATCAATACCAAAATAACGGTATCTATTTTAATACACCAAACTTTGAAAGAATGACCCTTCTGTCCTCTATAATAAAGGCAATATACAAATCTTACAAAACGGAATCAAGACCTTAAGAATTGGGGGAAAAAAATTTTTCCCACATCCATGCATACCTAGATGGAAAATTGGCATTTATGTGAAAACTTGAAACTCTCACTTATTCAAAAATCATCAGAAGAGAAGATTAATGTGGATTAGTGAAAGGACTGAATTGCTAAAATTTTAGATGAATGCTATTTCATTACTTTCAAATATAAATAGCTTTTTTCTTTAGACCAAATCTTCTTCTAGTAACTGATTTTGATATTTTTATTGCCTGAGATGTACTTAGTCTTTCTCTGTAATAGTTGACTTTTTATTAATATTTATCTTGAAACAAACAGGCCACATTTCACCAAATCTATAGAATATAGCATTACTGAATAAACGAAAGAAAAAATGCTGGAAATTAAACTATGACTTCATGTGTCCTTTCATGGACTTTTTAAAACTTAGTCAAATAACTAATAAGATGATAAGAACATAAGATAGTTACAGCACACTTTGATTTTTTTTTTCTTTTTTTGAGACAGAGTATCACTGTCACTCAGGCTGGAGTGCAGTGGCCCCACATCGGCTCACTGCAACCTCTGCCTCCTGGGTTCAAGTAATTCTCCTGCCTCAGCCTCCTGAGTAGCTGGTATTACAGGCATACACCACCATGCCTGGCTAATTTTTCTATTTTTAGTAGAGACGGAGTTTTACCACATTGGCCAGGCTGGTCTCAAACTCCTGGCCTCAACTGACATGCCCGCCTCAGCCTCCCAAAAAGCTAGGATTACAGGTATGAGCCACCATGCCCAGCCTCCACTTTGATTTTTATAAAATCTTGGTTTTGAAAATAACTATATTAGAGGATTCTCTAATATCCTATCTGTAAAACTTCATCTGTAAATCACCCAACAGTAAATATTTTAGGCTTTGTGGGCTATATACAGTCTCTGCTAAATACTTTTAAGCAACCTTCAAAAATGTAAAGCAATTCTTAGCTCTAGAGATGTATCTTTGGCCCTTGGCTCTAACCACATACAATTTTTTTATTTTGGAAAGCAAGCAGTCCAAATGTAGCCCACAGCAATGATGGTATTAATGAGAGGACACCAAACATCAAAGCAGTTTTGGTCTTGGAGGAATGTATTTCACCTATCATTCTGCTGGTGGAGTTAGGGGGATGGAGGGTTCAATACTGACTAAAATGATTTCTACACCATAAATCAGATGTTCTAGATGTGTCTTCTCAGCATCCAAGGTACAGTGATGAAAGAAGAAAGACCTCACACATTTATTAAGAATTCATGAGCTCTTTGACCTTAAAAAAATACTTGAAGGGACAAAGATAATTACAGAAATGACTCACAGATATACACTCTATATATCTAATCAAAGTTCATACCACTTCCAGTTACGAAAGTAAGAAAACAAGTCATCAATTAGCATTTTAAAATTAGAACCCCCTGGCCAGGCATGCTGGCTCATGCCTGTAATCCCAGCACTTTGGGAGGCCGAGACGGGAGGGTCACCTGAGGTCAGGAGTTCAAGACCAGCCTGACCAAAATGGTGAAACCCCGTCTCTACTAAAAATACAAAAATTAGCTGGGCATGGTGGTGGGCGCCTGTAATCCCAGCTAACTGGGAGGCTGAGGCAGGAGAATTGCTTGAACCCAGGAGGCAGAGGTTGCAGTGAGCCGAGATGGGCCACTGCACTCCAGCCTGGGCAACAGAGCAAGACTTCGTCTCAAAAAAAAAAAAAAAAAAAAATTAGAGCCCCCTGTGCAGGGGTTCCACAGAACTCTAGTATTCTATGAAGTGCTACTTTTTCAAGAGATTGTGACTTTAAAAAATAAATATTGTTGGGCCAGGTGTGGTGGCTCATGCCTGTAATCCCAGCACTTTGGGAGGTCAAGGCGGGCAGATCATGAGGTCAGGAGATCAAGACCATCCTAGCTAACACAGTGAAAGCCTGTCTGTACTAAAAAAAATACAAAAAATTAGCTGGGTATGGTGGCATGTGCCTGTAGTCCCAGCTACTCTAGAGGCTGAGGCAGGAGAACTGCCTGAACCTGGGAGGTGGAGGTTGCTGCGAGCTGAGACATGCCACTGCACTCCAGCATGGGCGACAGAACGAGACTCTGTCTCAAAACAAACAAACACATAAATACTGTTTTTTGAACTTTACACATCTCAAAATGCTAGAGGTTCACAGTGCGAGAAGGCAACCAAGTAGCCCCATTAGCAACTTCTGTCTTTCAGTCCCTTACAGCATAATCCTCTTTAGAATTTCACATAAACTGGATCACATAAGGATATGTACTCTTATACACGTAACTTCTTTACTTGGCATAAGAATTCTGAGATTAATCTATGTTGTTCTGTGTATCAGTGGTTTCTTTATTTTTATTGCCTAAGAGTATTCCACCACTATATGGATATGACACATTCTCATTTGCTTGTTAACAAACATTGGGTTGTTTTCAGTTTTTCAATACTGTAATTAAATTTGCTATGAACATTCTTGTATAATCATTTTATGGACAAATGTCTTCCTTTCTGTTGGGTAAAATACCTGAGTAAAACTGCTGAGTCACATGGCAGATGTATGTTTAACTTTCTAAAGAATTCCTGGTTTTCCAAAATGGCCACACCATTTTGTATTCCCACCAGCAATGTGTTCCAGCAATCCAGATCTTCAAAAACACAGGTATTACCTTTTAAATTTTAGCCACTCTGATGAACAGTATATCACCATAATTCTAATTTGCATATTCCTGGTGACTAATGTCGCCAATCATCTTTTCATGTCCTTCCCCCTATCCATTTCATTGAGGACTCCAATCATACTTATGTTCAATCATTTGGCTGTGTTCTGTTTGGTTTTTGGCTGCTCTGTTCTTTTCCCATCGTTTTCTCCTTTGTGCTTTAAATATATCCTCCTTACAACAACCACTCTCAGCTGAGTACCATCAAGAAATACGGCACATACTACAGGAAATCACTTCCATAGGCTTGCTCTTTACTTGAGTCCCTAAAAACAGAAAATATTTTTCTCTATGTTTCACAAATGAACTTCAACAATTTCCTTGAAAACAAAATTACTGGGCTGGGAATTTGGTCCTACCTTTAGTTTCATCAAGCACCATGGAAAAGCAATAAAGTATATTCAAGGACTCAGGAAGACCTCACAAATATGAGACAGGATCAAGGTATATAAAAAAGGTGCAGAACTTGGCAAAAGCATTACTTGGTTACCAGGAAATTT
This sequence comes from Homo sapiens, assembly GCF_000001405.40. Classification (NCBI taxonomy): domain Eukaryota; kingdom Metazoa; phylum Chordata; class Mammalia; order Primates; family Hominidae; genus Homo; species Homo sapiens. The sequence continues at coordinate 96,364,969 of NC_000012.12, forward strand.
TCAGACACTGAAGTTTTGTCTGTTTATATATATCACAAATAGGTTTGCCAATCTAATAATTTCTGAATGTCTATACATTATATTAATATTTTCTGTACATTTATCCATAAAAATTAAAGAGTTTTAAATTGTCCTTAAATATATATTCAATGTTAAATAAAAATAAAATTGCTTTTTTCTCAAAGATGAGATATTTGATAATGGTACATTATCTTCCCTATGCCAATCATTAAAATAATTATTCCACAAAGTTGATAATTCATTCATCAATTTAAAAATAACATGAATAACATCACTATATACCTAGCTTTATGGAGTTTACAGAGTCTTTACATCCATCATTTTATTTGACTCTTAAAACAATTCTATGAAGTAAAAAAGATAAATTTACCATTCCTATTATATAAAGGAGAAAACAAAAGCTCAAAACTTAAGACTCACCCAAGAGTCACTATTTAGTAAACCCTGATAAGACAAAATGCAAATCCTGTGTGTTCCTTCACTAACCTCACACAAATAAGCTGGTTGATGTGTAGATTATGAGGGAAACACAAAATGCCTTTCCTTTCAATTTTTGTGAAATTAAGCAATATTCTTGAATAGTCAGAACCCTCTTGATAATCTGTTTCAAAAGAAAAACTACACCTAAAAGCAATTTTAGCAATATCAAATTATATGAAAGTTAACAAATTTCACTTACTATGCTACCAAAATGTGTTTGACAAATTATTTCCTAATGAGGTCAACTTATCTGATTTTTCTCTTACGTATTTTTAAACTAGGTTTATAGAAGCTGGGCATGGTGCCATGCACCTATCATCCCAGCTACTTGGGGGGCTGAGGTGGGGAGACTGTTTGAGCCTAGGAGTTCAAGACCAGCTGGACAGCATAGCAAGACCCTGTCTCAATTAAAAAAAAGTTTTTATTTTTAAAAACTAGGTTTATATGAGCAGATAATACTATAAATAGTACTTCTACAGGAGACCTATAAGCATTCCTCCTTCCTCCTTTGGTAGGCCTGTGAATCTCTCTCCTTTGGCAGAATCAAAAGACAAATTCCAGACTCAATTCCACAATTAGTAAGGAAAATTTTTCTACTGCTGGTTACATTTCAACACTTCTGAGAAGAGATTTCAGACACCGGGAAGGCCAAAAAGCCTCTAGCAAATACCTTCCATTGCTATCCACCTTTCCTAGACTGGCCATGTATTTTTAAATGATATCAAGTTATTTAAAATTATTAACAAACTCTTTTTGAGAACAGTACTGGCAAGTGTTAGACATTCCACCAGAGAACTAGGCTACATCCATTTATTGTATGAACACAGATGTTACCCTTCCTACACAGCAGGCCATTTTAGTCACTTCTTTTGTAAGCAGTATGACCCAGTCCCTCATATAAGGGAAAGTAAAATATCCATCTGAAAACCACTCTTAGTTCTAGGTATAATAAATCACAGCCGCTATCATATATCTCATACATTACTATATCTAGTGTATCACAGTATCTAGGACAAACAGACATCAAGTAAAAATTATCTCTGAAAAACAAGTGAAATTATAAGCAGCTTAAACAGCACTGTCCCAAATTTTTTAAAAAATCAGTTCGTAGTACCTCATGCTTGTTTAAATTGTTTGACTAAGGCTAACACCCACAGTTTGATCCTTTTTTATAAATCAGTCAGATTTTCAACCAGTGACATAATATACCCATAACTCTGGACAATCAGAGGTAGTAAATATTAATATGTTATCAGTGGTCTTATAAGGATTTAACCAAGATTATAGATAGCTCAATACCATCAATTATCAGGAAGGTACACAAACATATGTGACTTCTCCTAAATATCTGGATCTTTTTCTCTTTTTTCTGAGTAGAAAGATATCAACTACACAAGTCAGTAAAATTTTAATAGTTATAAAACACCTACGCATATTTTAACCTCCTTATTTCCTTTTCTTTCCTCATTTCATGACATTTCTAACTAAAGACCTTTGCTCTTACTTATTTCACTGTAACTCAGTATGTCCTCCAAGTCAAGCACGGAGACTTCTAGCAAAGTAGTAGTTCCCTTTCTTATTAAGAAATCTTATGGCCATGTGCGATGGCTCACGTCTGTAATCCCAGCACTTTGGGAGGCCGAGGCGGGCGGATCATGAGGTGAGGAGTTCAAGACCAGCCTGGCCAATATGGTGAAACCTCGTCTGTACTAAAAATACAAAAAAATTAGCTGGGTGTGGTGGCGCGTGCCTGTAGTCCCAGCTACTCGGCAGGCTGAGGCGGGAGAATCACTTGAGCCTAGGAGGTGGAGGTTGCAGTGAGCCGAGATTGTACCACTGCACTTCAGCCTGGGTGACAGAATGAGACTCCACCTCAAAAAAAAAAAAAAAAAAAAAAAAAAAGAAATCTTATAAAGTAAAATAGTTCTCAAGTCTGAGGTTAATTTCTTCAATTACTATTTAGTGCTCACATTCTGAGCATTAGAATTTGTTACTAACAGTCGAAATAAGAAAATGTGAATTATACTTAATGAACTAGAGCAGATTCAGAACTATTATTTAATATTACTCTCAGTTATGAATGGGAGAAAAGAGTACAATTACAACTTAAGAAGTGAGAACTGCTCACAATTCTCAGTCCCTCTTATCAATCCAGTAACTTACAGTGTTCCATATGTGAGATTACCTATCCTGGCATGTGAGTCACAGCAGAAGCAAAGTTGAAATCTCTAGAAAATAAACTTCAGTAAAACTTTTATATTAATGAGCTGGGCACAGTGGCTCATTCCTATAATCCCAGCACTTTGGGAGGCCAAAGCAGGAGGATCACTTGAGCCCAGAGTTCAAGACCAGCCTGGACAACACAGCAAGTCCTCATCTCTACTTAAAAAAAAAAAAAAAAATCCCTTATAGTGACTGGTAGGGATATTCAGAGAATAATGGGAGGCCTAAATTTACCAAAAGAAAGCATGCATTTAAAAACGTATACATCAAAAAACACTGGTCTGCCATATAACACAGGTAAGAAATGTCACACTGCAGTATGATATTTCAAGAAAAGGGTGAGTTTACGAACAGTCCAAGTCTATTTCATCTAGGCTGCATCTATATGAATGGCCTAGGAAAAGTTCAATAGGAAAAAAAAAAGAGTGTGTGGAAGGGAAGGAATTATTTCTCTATTCAACACAGAACAGTAGATTAAGACTAATGTTCCTTGTATTCCAAGGGAAAACTGGAAGATGGTATTCTGAATCTACCTAAGTTATAAAGAAAATCAGGAGATCACAATCTTTAGATGTGGCTATATCTTCCCATGTATTTTTGTGGCTAGATGTTAGGAAGTGACTGAACTGTTCCCTCTTGTTCCCTCTTTCAAAGGTAGGAAATGAGAGGTTATCCTGAGGTCAGGAGCTTCTAATGTGGCTCTTGATTTAAATTGTGTGAACTTGCTCTACTCCAGGATGAAAGCAATCATGACCAGATCAATGTGCTCTGCAGCTGGCCAGTCAGCTGCTCCAGAAGAGGCAGCCAGCAAAAGAGCTCTGGAGCCCTCTCTGGGCACCGTGCCTCCTAAAATTTGAGCACAGGCCAATCTTGTTGCCCCTCATTCTTAGACGGCATTTTCAGTTCCCTAATAAGTAAAATAAATCTAAGTAGGAAATATCCTCCTTTTAATATTCCAATTGTTGAAGTGTTCCACATTTTCGTCTAATATTCACTAGAAAATGAAGTATTTTGACACTTTGATATGAAACCATAATACTGGCTCCAGAGTCTGCCTTAGAAGCATCAGCTGATTCCTTGGAAGAGGAAATTTAGAAAGAAGCTACTCTAAGACGGGGGGGGGGGGGGGGGGCACAATGAATAAGGCTGGAAAGGAGCACAACAGAGTCCCAAACCCTAGGTAACTACAAAGTCTTCTTTAAAGAAACAGTTTGAATATAAAATGTCATGATAGTTGCTGGAAGCTACAAGTGGTACTATGAAATTGCTGTATTATTCCAATTTTACTACAAAATCCATGTTAAAGTTTGAAAAAGGGCTTCAGTCCCACTACTGACTTTCAAGTTAGAATTCAAAAAGTAGGCCTGTGATAGGTGTATTCACTAAAAAACAAGAATCTGGTGAATCAACTAACTCAGGACCAGTCCACTAATCAAATTGGTAATTCAAACAATCACAAAAAAGAAAAAAAAAGTATATATCTATATACATATCTTTACAATTATGTACCTTAAACATGTTAACTTAAAACACTCAAATGCACTGATTTTTTGCTGTGAGATGAAGGCCTGTATTCATGAAAGGAATTCTTTACATAAACCAACACAGTCTCTACCATTTCTGGTTGATTTCTTTAAAAGTAAAGAAAAAACTTGACAACACTAAGAAAAAGGAAAAAAACAAATTAAGTATTTCTTATAAATGAAAATTGTGTTGAGCAATCTATCAGCCCATCCAGTTATTAATAATGTCATAGATACATCTCATGTATATGTGGTGAGGATTTCTTTTTAAAAAAATGTTGGCTGGGCACAGTGGCTCATGCCTATAATCCCAGCACTCTGGGAAGCCAAGGTGAGCAGATCACTTGAGGTCTAAAGTTTGAGACTAGCCTGGACAACACGGAGAAACCTGGTCTCTACTAAAAACACAAAAATTATCCAGGCGTGATGGTGCATGCCTGTAGTCCTAGCTACACTTGGTGGCTGAGGCATGAGAATCGTTTGAACCCGGGAGGTGGAGGTTGCAGTGAGCCAAGATGGGGCCACTGGGCTCCAGCCTGGGCGAGACTCTGTCTCAAAAATAAATAAATAAATAAATAAAATAGGTCTGGCGCGGTGGCTCACGCCTGTAATCCCAGCACTTTGAGAGGCTGAGGTGGGCGGATCACGAGGTCAGGAGTTCAAGACCAGCCTGACCAATATGGTGAAACTCCTTAACTGTTTCTTTAGTTTAAGCACAAGATTATGAACACCCCAGGGAAGGATATTTTGCTATTTTTGTTTTAAAATCCCCATTTATTTGTGAAGGAACTGGCTCTAAGAAGCCGCGAGTGTAAGAGCTGGACAGAAGGAAAGAACGGAGGGCATTTTAAAAATAAAAAAAGTCACTGCAGAGTAACAAGGAAGACACAAATCTTATCAGGTGTTTAGGATATTCTGCAAATTTAACCAAAATGTATGTGAGAAAATTGGAACATGTGTCAGGCAATGTTTTCTTCCAAAACTCCTACTAACAGCAAGATTTGATTAGCAACTGTATATTGCTTTAATTTATTTGGTTCACACCGAAGTCTTATGAGTTGGTATTACTCTACCCATTTTACAAAAGAGGAAACATTCCAAAATGTGAATACATTTTCCTGAAATGATACAGCTAGCAAGCCTTGCCTTTTCCAATCAAAGCCTATGGCTCCAACTATTTATAGTAGAAGTTACCTGCGAGTAACTTCCACAATGGAATTTAATGAGTTACTACAGCTTGACAGAAACAGCCTGTAAGAATATGCAATTCAGAGCAAGATCAAAAGTAGGATAAGCAACCCACTTCATTTTGCTCTAAAGCAGAGATTCTCCAAGTATGTGTGGTCTGGGGAACCTTTATGGGAGCATCCTGAGGTAAAAACTATTTTTATAAAATACTAAGTTATTTGCCTTTTTTACACTTCTCTCACCGGTGTACAATGGAGTTTTCCAGAGACTACACTGAATATTGTAATAAACTAAAAGGCAAAAGCAGATGTGTGAATCCGGCTGTTTTCTATTTAGCTTGAAATTAAAGAGACTTGCAAATATGTAAAACAATGCTATTCTCATATTTTTGAAAATAGTTTTTTTAAGATTTGTTAACTTCGTAATGTTTGTTATTTTTAAGTAAATTACAATTTTTTGTAACCTAAGGTTTCTGTTTTCGTATCATTTCTGAAACGTTTAAGAGTATAAACAGGTCCTGAGACCAAAAAGGTTGAAAACTCACTACCCTAAAGCTATTCTCAACCAACCCTCAGATCTGAAATCAGATCTTCTAAATTGGTTTACTTACCAGGATCAAGTGGGCTATGTAAATAAAAACTTCCTGGGTTTCATCGTATTATAAACTCCTTAAGGAAAGAAACATATTTTTAAAATCTTTGTGTCCCTCCCTGCCCCCACTGCATCACTCATATCCCCCCCTTAAAACACTGTTGTATCAAGCCAGATTATTTCTCATTGTGTATTTCTAAATTAACATTATACTTTATCCTCTAATTAGCATAAGAGATTCTACAATACCAGATTATCTCAAAATGAACTGAAGAGGAATGTCACAGAACAAAGCTGAAAAGATCAGACTTCACCACATGGTGACATATCATGACCCACTGACGTAAAGATATCCCGTGAAGCCCAGCTAATTGTTCACCCTTTAACCACCTCCTAACTCCAACAATAAAAAATTAAAACAGCATTTTAAGGGGCATCATTTTAATAGGAAGAACTAAATATATATTTAAATATTTAAAAGGCCACATTTGACAGCTACTGTAAGAATGAAATTTCAGCAGGGCACAGTGGCTCAAGCCTGTAATCCCAACACTTTGGGAGGCTGAGGTGGGCGGATCACCTGAGGTCAGGAGTTGGAGGCCAGCCTGACCAACATAATCTCAGCTACTCAGGAGGCTGAGGCAGCAGAATCACTTGAACCCAGGGGGCGGAGACTGTGGTGAGCCGAGATCAGGCCATTGCACTCCAGCCTAGGCAACAAGAGTGAAACTCCATCTCAAAAAAAATAAAAAGAAAAAGAATGAAATTTCATTTCCCTTCAAAAATAACTGAATTATTACATGACATATTTTTCAATCATGATCAAATAGTATTATGTATTGCCTCTTATGTTTTTAAACTGCAAATCTCACAAAATCACCTACTTTCTAAATATTCATGTAGGTTTCATTAAGAATGTTCTTAGCATACTTGGCACAAGGTAAATATGAATTTGCTTATCATGTTAAAAAGAGGGGGGACGGAGAGAGAGAGACAGTGTGTGAGTGAGTGTGTGTTTGTGTGTGTGTGTGTGTGTGTGTACAACTTTCTAGTCTTTCTCTCCAAGAGGCATCTGAACTGGACAAATGCTATTTTGTCATTCTGTAATTTATGACAATAATAGTTATAACATCTTTTAAAAACTAACACTATTAAAGCCTTTATAAGACAAATTCTACTAAGTAGTGGCCAACTTTCCATGGCAACAGTAGAAGACTTGGCAACATATTAAAAATGCCAGCATTCTTCAATCTTCTGGTAAAGGTTTTCTTTGGGGGAAGAAGAGCTGTGAAGGAAAAAAATCTCCCTCTTATATGGCCAGTTAATTTCAAAGATATTGAAAAGGCCTCAAAATAGAGTCTTCCTAGGGCCGAATCAATTGATCTCAAAACTATAAAACTACCATTATCTTCAGAAAAGCTTTTTTTGTGATTTGGTGAGGGGTGGGAGGCACTCTAATCCTCCATCACATTACTTGCTAAGTGGAAAATTAGAAATTGTTCACATACCAATCCTAACAGGAAGGGAGCATAACAATGAGCCAATTTCCAAGCATACTCTATCATCTTTATAAGATCTAAGGTAAAGGCCAAATTGTAGATTTTCACCAAAACAGTAAGAAAAGGTGTACCTGAATAATCAACTGAAAAAAAATACTCCACAGCCACTTTTTTTCAGAGGTTTTCATTTTTATTTGCAGAACTCTCTATTCTTCTAATTTTACTTATTTAGGAAACCTCAGTATATTATAAATAGAAAAAATAAAGAAATTAACACAAAGTGAAGAAAAAGAGGGTAAAATATGCATATACATTACAAATGATAGCCTTTAAAAAATGTTGAAAGATTTCCTATGAGGATATAGAAAAGCATTTTAAAACAGTAATATTTGAATTAACCAGAATTCTGACAAACAGAATATTGTTTGGGCTATCTGAATTTTCCATTAGGTGAATTAAATGGATTCTAGTTAACCAAAGGATGGCTTTATGAGCCTAGATTCTCTCTTTGCTTCATTATTGCTTACTACCTATTCAGTCTTCTCAAAAGCTTAGAGGTTAACACATCACTACATTTAATTAACACCTACAGTGAAATGTTAATTATGGTACACACAACTTTGGCACTAGTGATAAAGAGTTTATAGCACATAGGAAGTTCACTTTCTTTAAGAGAAACTGAGAATAAGTCCTAGGGTAAGCCTAACCTAGGTTCAAATCCTGATTCCTTCATTTAAACACTAGAGAGACAGTGAGAAGTATGACACTGAGAAAACTGCATTTAGTTTTCTCTTCAGAGAAGGCAATTAACAGGCCAGCTGCGGTGGCTCCCAAAGTGCCTGTAATCCCAGCACTTTGGGAGGCCTAGGCAGGCGGATAACCTGAGGTCAAGAGTTGGATATCAGCCTGGCCAACATGGCGAAACCCCGTCTCTACTAAAAATACAAAAAATTAGCCGGGCGTGGTGGCAGGCACCTGTAATTGCAGCTACTAGGGAGGCTGAGGCAGGGGAATCACTTTGAACCTGGGAGGCAGAGGTTGCAGTGAGCCGAGATTGCGCCATTGCACCCCAGCCTAGGTGACAAGAGCAAAACTCCATCTCAGAAGAAAAGAGAGAGAGAGAAAAGAATTAACAATTACCTCAATGGCTGGGCACAGTGACTCACGCCTGTAATCCCAGCACTTTGGGAGGCCAAGGCGGACAGATCACAAGGTCAGGAGATCAAAACCAGCCTGACCAAGATGGTGAAACCCTGTCTCTACTAAAAATACAAAAATTAGCTGGGCGTGGTGGTGTGCCCCTGTAGTCCCAGCTACTTAGGAGGCTGGGGCAGGAGAATCGCTTGAACCTGAGAGGTGGAGGTGGCAGTGAGCCAAGATCGCGCCATTGCACTCCACCCTGGGCGACAGAGCGAAGACCACTCCACCCTGGGCGACAGAGCAAGACTCCGTCTCAAAAAAACAAAAAACAATTACTCCAAAAGGATGTGAGATCTAAATCAGAATGCATGTATTGTACCTAGCACACAGTAAGCATTTAACATATACTATTTTTGCCACTGTATACTCCCAAATTATGAACATCTGATTTATGTTCTGTATATAAAATTGCAAGCTACATATCACTAACCCTCTTTCCCCATTAACAGCCAAAATGAGAAATTAAGTAACTTTCATGGAGCAACACGGCAGCCAAATTGGTAAAATTATTTCTATGAAAATATTATCAAATTCAGATAACTAATCTGCAAACACATTTTCCCACTAGGCAATTCTTAGGTGAAGAATGTCATGAACTGAATAGTTCTGTGAACAGCCGTTATTTTGTACATGCGTAGAAAAATTGTTAAGTAAAAATTAATCTCTGGGGCCAACAGGTCATTCTTCACCTAGCCTTACAAGAACTTTGTGTTCTGACCCCACTACTTTTCAGCTCCATCTCCAGAGATACACAGTGAGTGCTTCATTGCCTCAAAGAAATTATTTGTAGCTTCTATTCCCTTAAGGTGTTTTGCTCAGGCCTCTTAACTTTGCACAAGCATATCCCTCTACCAGGAACAATTAACCCCTTCCCCTTCATCCCATTCTCTGACCTCTTGGCAAATTCTTATACTTCCTTTATAAATTTAGTCAAATGCCCCTTCTTCCTAAGAAGCAACATCAGAGATCTCAAGACTCTGTGGAAACCAGGAAAAGGGGGGAACTAATTTACTTCTCCACAGAAGTAAAGTAAGTTCAGATGGGCTGAATACCAGTCAAGCAGTAAGCTTTCAAGCAAGTGAGGTCATGAGAAGAGCCCATCAGAAATAAATGAAACAACACAATGCTACAGCCACTCCAAAGGCAGAAAGGTACATATACTTGGATCTACTGTAATGCACAAATATATTCTTGTCCATCCCAATCCTAATCCACCTAAGACTTTCTCCACATCAGCACCAGTTCATCTCAGCACTGCTGAACAGTCACACAACAGAACAGTTTGATCAGCGAACCTAAATGGGCCTCAACACTGGCCAATAATCTTACTATATTTCTCTGCTGCACTTGGTCTCCTACTCTCCCCAATGTCTACTTCAAACCATCTCCACCATCCACAATTATATGATGACCCTTTCCCTAACCCATACAGTGTGCCTGTGTGTATACATATGTACACAAAAATGAGTTAAACATAGAGCTTTCAGGTAGAAATTTCCTGAACTAACCTACACCAGTTATCTTCACTGCTCCTTGCCTATAATTATAGGAGTTTGACCAGTCCTTCATTATCCTAAACACATTTTCCTTGGCTTCTCTATAACAATATCTTGGTTTTCTTCCAACCTCTCTGGCCACTCCTCTGCAGATTTATTCCACCCCTTTACCCCACCCTCAGCCACACATACACACACACCAGTGTGGCCTAAGTCCTGGCACAAGCATTTTTCTTCTATGTTTCCTCCTTAGGCAAGCTCATTCTGGGTGGACAACATCTACACACAGTGACTCCCAAATTTCCATCTCTGATCCTAACCTTTTTTTTTTTTTTTTTTTTTGAGACAGAGTTTTGCTCTTGTTGCCTAGGCTGGAGTACAATGGCGCGATCTCAGCTCACTGCAACCTCCGCATCCTGGGCTCAGCTCACTGCAACCTCCGCATCCTGGGTTCAAGTGATTCTCCTGCCTCAGCCTCCTGAGTAGCTGGGATTACAGGCACCCACCACCACGCCTGGGTAATTTTTTGTATTTTTAGTAGAGATGGGGTTTCACGATGTTGGCCCGGCTGGTCTCAAACTCCTGACCTCAGGTGATCCACCTGCCTTGGCCTCCCAAACTGCTGGTATTACAGTGATCCTGACCTCTTTATTAAGCTGCAGACTCACCTATCCAACTGCCTACTTGGGCATGTCTGACACCTAATTGTTAAAGTCAGGCCTCATTCCCCAGGGGAAAAATTGAAAGTCAAACTATTCACCAAGAGAATGCATTGTCTTTGCAAATGAGCCTAAGAATCAGACTTTTTATAAATACATGTTCAAGTTTCTTGTGGTTCTAAATGGACACTGAGAACTGAAACTGTCTACACCAAGTTTACAATCTATATTAACTATCATTATACAGCTGTCTTCAACAACATGACTTTGCTATTCCAGGAAACTCCTGCTCAGGCAGATAAGAGCTACAAAAAACTTCATTGTTCATTTCAGGAACTTCCCAAAAAACCCATATAAACCAACATCAGACTATTCAATTTTTCAATAAATAGTAGCAAATGATTGTTCACTTTCTAAGACACTGAAAAAGCTTACCTCAAAACTCTTACCTTGGTATGTCTGTCCAATCAAACTATTATATCATGATCCTCACCTAATTCTAATAAAGCTTTGAAATACTTAAACCAGACTCCAAAACATCAATAATAAACACTCCAACTTTGATGTTCCTTTCTGGTTTGCCATTCTTATCAACACCCACATGGCCCCCTACAAATGCTTATAAGCAATATACTCAACAGATAATTTTTGGTGGTATTTTCCAGCAGCCAAAATTCCGCAGTACCACCAGACAGCTTCCCAAATGTCTGTTACAAGCTCAGTTCAGTGACACTAGTCTCATCACAAGCAATGTGGGGAAAATATTAATACTGTTATAAAAGGTTAAGATAAATCATCACCCTATATTAGGCAGTATCCACTGACACTACTGGCCAGTTTCTTAATGAGTTAAAACAGCAAACTGGCCTACTAATTAAACTTCTGAAGATTATAAAATAGAGTTTAGTAATCAGAGGACCATAAAACCAGTAGGAGTTCTAAGGAAGATGAGAAACAGATCACAGACAGGTTTAATAATCTAAAAAGGAATCCTATAAGAAACAGGATAAGGAAAAAACCAATTGATACATGAATAATCCACAATACTGATAATCAGTAGAAAAAATACTACAAAATATACAATTTAACAGTGAAAAGAAACTCTAAAGGAGTTTCCATTTACTATAATAATCATGATCAGTAATCAGAAAGTTGAGACTTCTTACTGAGAGTAAATGCCTAAGTATTTCTTTTACTATAAGTCATCTGAATCACCTATATGGCCACAACCATGCTGATGCAGGTATAACCAGAAAGCAAGGGGTAAGCATTTAAAATGCCTCAAAGATTGAGAGGAACTGAAGGATCCAAATTTTAAAATCCAAATGTGAAAAACACAACCACAAGTATTAGAAGAAAATGTGGATGAACTTCCTTATAACCTTGGAATGGTGAAGACTTTTCTAAATATATTTCAAAATCCAAAAACATAAAAGAAAAAATTACTTCACCATATAAAAGTCGAAAGTTATGCATGAAAAAACATAATCTAAAATATACATATTTGCAACCCACATCACAAATAAAGGGCTAATCTCCCAACAGAAAATTCCTGAAAACAAAGACCAATGACCTAAGAGAAAAATAAAGGACATGAGAATTCAAAGAAGGGAAAAAACGTAAAATGCCCCTTAAACATATGAAAAAATGTCCAATGTCATTGATAATGAGAAAAATACAATAACCTGAGTTAAACCAGTTCTCATCTATCAAATGCAAAACTCAAAAAGTCTGACAACACATTCAGTTGCTGAGGTTATGGGAAACAGGCCTGTTGCACATTTAGGTGGTAGTACAAAATGGCAATCTGGCAGCATCAGAATTACAGAAGCAGTTTTTTTTTTTCGTTTTTTTTTTTTTTTTGAGATGGAGTCTCGCTCTGTCGCCCAGGCTGGAGTGCAGTGGTGCGATCTCGGCTCACTGCAAGCTCCCCCTCCCGGGTTCACGCCATTCTCCTGCCTCAGCCTCCCAAGTAGCTGAGACTACAGGCGCCCGCCACTACGCCCAGCTAATTTTTTGTATTTTTAGTAGAGACAGGGTTTCACCGTGTTAGCCAGGATGGTCTTGATCTCCTGACCTCGTGATCCGCCCACCTTGGCCTCCCAAAGTGCTGGGATTACAGGCGTGAGCCACTGCGCCCGGCCCAGAAGCAGTTTTTTAAAAGTGAACTTTTAGTATCGTTTTAGATTTACAGAAAAATAGTAAAGAGTTCCCTTAAACCACACACTCAGTTTCCGCTAGTAAGATCTTACATTAGTATGGTACTTATTGGCAGGAAGTCACCTCATGTAGCTCACACTTGAAAGGTGGGGAGTTGTATTATACTTCCTTGAGGGCTGTGTATCTAATTATGCACAGATTTGTCTATTCTTCCCCCATTTATTTATTTAGTCAGTCATTTACTTCTATCAGCATGAACTCATGGATATTATTTTATACTTTGGGTTATAATTCAATATTACTTTTTTGTTGCTCAAATTATTCCAGTATTGGCTACTGGGAACTCTTTCAGTTGGCTGTGTCCCTTTGACATAACTCATTCGTGTTTTTGTTTGAATAGTTCCTTCCTTTCCAGCACTACAAGATACTCCAGGTTGATCTTACAGTTTTATTAGCTGCCCCAGTCCTAGAATCAGCCATTTCTCCACAAAGGCCTGGTTCCTTTTACTGGAGAATGGTGTTAGAAACCAAGATCTGGGCACCAGGTGTGCTCACTGCTACAGGGATATTGTTGCTTCTAGGTTCTCTCAGCTGACAGTGGAAGAAAATACTTGACCTAAAGATCTACAATTGCTTGTTCAAATAGAAAATGTTACATGTATATTGTTATTCATTTGGCATTGTAACAGCAAAAAATAGAAAACAACCCAAATAGCCACAAAGGATTGAGTGACTAAACTACGGTACATCTACATAAGAAAATACTATGAAGCTATTAAAAATAAAGATCTTTATCTAGATATGGAAAGATCTCCAGAATAAAATACACATTTGTTTGTAACTACAAAAGGAAAACACTGGAAGGATAAACAGGATACCAAAAAGTGTGGAAGGAAAATAAAGTAGCAAGCAAAGGAAGAAATAAGACTTCGTGTACATCTTTCTACATACTTGAGTTTTATCTATCCCAAAAAAATAAGTTTAATTTTAAAAAGAACTTAAAATGGTTATAATAGTGGAAGAATCTGAAGGTTCAAATACTAAGAAAGAAAAAGATATTAATTTCTGAAGCATAAATACATACTATGAGACAGAGTAGCTCAAACCTAGGGACAATTATGTACCAAAAAAATCTAAATTTAGTAAAATGGAGGTATTTCAAGTCAAACTCAGTTGAATTTAAAGTGCTGAAATGCAGTACAGCTGCTAAAATTAACATATTATCAGAACCTGTATGTAAGTTTACTGAATTACTGTTAAATGGAAAGTGATTTATGATCACCTATATTAGCAGGGAGATAAAGGCTAAAGAAATGCAGAACAATTTATAGAAACAATTAATGTTTATATTCTTGATTATAAGATATGCTGATATTTATAGTTAAACAAAAGCATCTATCATTTCTATATTTTTTAAATCTAATTTTTTTTTTTGAGACAGGGTCTCAAGTCTGTCCCCCAGGCTGGAGTGCAGTGCCATCATAGCTCACTGCAACCTCAAATTCCTGGGATTAAGCAATCCTTCCACAGGTTGAGCTTCTTGAGTAACTAGGACTGCAGGCACACATTACTATGCCTGGCTAATTTCTTAAACATTTTTTGTAGAGACGGGGATCTCACTATGTTGCCCAGGCTGGTCTCAAACTCCTGGGCTCAAGCAATCCTTTCACCTTGGCTTCCCAAATTTGCAGGAATTACAGCCATCAGCCACCGTGTCCAGAAGTAAATCTACTATTTATATCTCTTATTTCCCCAAACAAAATGGTGAAACCAATTTCTAACATATCGAAACATTTCCTCATCGGAAGATAAAAATGGCAGAGTTTCTAAATTAAACACACATTTCCAAGTGCTCCTAAGAGACAGTAAAACAATTCTCCCTGGGCGCTGTAGCTAACATCTTTAATCCCAGCACTTTGAAAGGCCAAGGCAGGAGGATCGCTTGAGCCAAGGAGTTTGAAACCAGCCTGGGCAACACAGTGAGACCCCATCTCTACAAAAAATACAAAAATTAGCTGTGCATGGTGGCACACACCTGTAGTCCCAGCTACTATGGAGGCTGAGGTGGGAGGATCACCTGAACCCAGGAGGTTGAGCCTGCAGTGAGCCATGATAGCACCAATGCACCCTAGCCTGAGAGACAGAGGCAGACTCTGTCCCCCGACCAAAAAAAAAACAAAAAAAAAACCCAAAAAAGAAAAACCAGTAATTCTCATGTCTCTGAGGTGAACCAAAAAATTACCCAAAAAAGGCACAAGTAGCTCTTTTTAGCTGGTTTTTTTTTTTTTTTTTGAGACAAAGTCTTCCCTGTTGCCCAGGCTAGAGTGCAATGGTGCGATCTCAGCTCACTGCAACCTCCGCCTCCTGGGTTCATATAATTCTCTGCCTCAGCCTCCCGAGTAGCTGGGATTACAGGCGCCCAAGCATCCACCACCACGCCCGGCTAATTTTTGTATTTTTAGTAGAGAGACGGGGTTTCGCCATCTTGGCCAGACTGGTCTTGAACTCCTGACCTCGTGATCCACCCGCCTCAGCCTCCTAAAGTGCTGGGATTACAGGCGTGAGACACTGTGCCCGGCCATTTTTTAGCATTTTCAATATTGTAAAGCAACCCTTTGAGAGTACTTCTGAAGCACCAACATCACAAAAGGTTGTCCATTTAACTTGCAGAAGTTCATCTGTAATTGTACACAACTTTCCCAATGGCTTCACTATAGAAAACAATGATATTCTGCCTAAAAAGTGTTCAACAGCCTCCTTACTGGAATATCTCCCTCTTTGACCTCATTTCCTGCCACTACCTCTATGAGCAACCTTTATCTCTATTTCTATCACATGGAAATACTCATTAGGCTGGTAGAGAATAACATTTTTAAAGGAATATAAATTTTTTTCATATCCCTTTTTTACATGTTCTTTTATCCTACCTAGGAAGTGGTTCTCTTCTCTCATCTCTCTATTTGTAAAGCTAATTACCTTTAGTGTCAGTTCATCTGAGACATCTACTTAATACCCTCAGCTAAATGTCACTCTTTCCTCGTCATGTTAATCCTAAATTCATCTTTAACCATAAGTTCATCTTTGGTAATAACACAAATAAACTAATACACTCTATCATAAACCACATAACCTTTTATCAAGATGCTCTCTAAGCCTTCTGAGGACATTCCAAGACAGTATACAGTCCTATGGTCTCCTTGGAAATCCATATAGATAACATTTCAAGGGCGATACCTTGTTGGTTTTGACTGGATATTCATATAAACTTTTCAAAGAGATGAGTGATACAACTAACCCTTATCTGTAAGTTTTGAGTTTACATTGTTTCATCCCATGTACAAAACCATTTTTTCCTACAAAAAAAAAAAAAAAAGATGCTCTTTACAGTGTACAACCTAGACAACGGGTAACAGGAAGTCTATTTCAATTACGGAGGCAACTCTTATAGATATACTGACATACCTACAGTTCAAATTTTATAGCAGGGAGACCAGTTTTGAAGAAAAAAATAGAGACTTCTAGTGAGCTGAAAGGATCATCCGCAATTTTCCTCCCATAAACTCTACTACTGTCCATAGATCTACATTTTTTTGCCTGCCATTTACTAAAGTAGAATTAAAAATACATATATAAGAATATCAAAATTATTAGAAAAAAATTAAGTGTTTTGCCACACTAGATATTAAAATATATTACAAAGCATTGAAAAATAAGCTGGAATGAATATAAAAAGAGATGGATCACCAAAACAACTTATCTAGTTTTTTTTATTATATAACAACTTGATAAAAACCAAATATCAGAAAAAATTAAAAAAAGAAGATGCCAGGATTCAGGGAGCAGTCAAAGTCTCCTCCTTAGCAATCCGTGGGGATAATGGGGGTGGGAGGAGGACCAACATCCCAGAAATCAAAGAAATGCAAATATAATTATATTTTTCTAAAACCAATGATCAAAAGCAAACATTTTAGATAATTATATCACTAAAAACAGATGTGGCACATTATTCGTGGTACTGGTACAACAGAGATATCAGAAAAGGGTTCACAGACTTTGGTTTGGGAATTCCACTTCTAGACATCTATCTACCCTAAGGAAATGCAAAATGGTGTGGGCGGGTGGGAAAGGGATATCGCATGTTCAAGTTTGTCACAGCACCGATTTAAAATAGTGAAAACATAAATACAAAAGATATTCAGCCTACTATCAACACCTCTATGCACACAAATTAGAAAATCTAGAAGAAAAGGATAAATTCCTGGAAACACACAACCTCCCAAGATTAAACCAGGAAGGAAGTGAAAACCTGAACAGACAAATAACAAGTTCCAAAACTGAATCAGTAATTAAAAAAAAAAAAAAAAATCCTACCAACCAAAAAAAGTCCAGGACCAGATGGATTCACAGCCGAATTCTACCAAACGTATAAAGAAAAATTGGTACCAATCCTACTGAAACTATTCCAAAATATCAAGGAGGGTTTCCTCCCTAACTCATTCTAGGGAGCCAGCATCAGCCTGATACCAAAATCTGGCAGAGATACAATGAAAAAAGAAAACTTCAGAACAATATCCCCGATGAACATAGACACAAAAATCCTCAACAAAATACTAGCAAATGGAATCCAGCAGCACATCAAAATGTTAATTCACCATAATTAAGTAAGCTTTGTTCCTGGGGTGCAAGGTTGCTTCAACACATGAAAACAATAAATGTGATTCACCACTAAAACAGAATTAAAAACAAAAAGCATATCATCTTCTCAACAGACAGAGAAAAAGCTTTCGATAAAACCCAGCATCCCTTCATGAATGGGCAAAAGTTGCAACAATTCCCTTGAGAACTGGAACAAGACAAAGATGCCCACTCTCACCACTCCTATTCAACATAGTACTTGAAAGTCCTAGCCAGAGCAATCAGGCAAGAAAAAAAAATCAAAGGCATCTGAATAGAGAAAGAAGACATCAAATTATCTCTCTGCAGATACAATTATGTATCTAGAAAACTCTAAAGACTCTGCCAAAAGGCTCCTAGAACTGTAAACGACTTCAGTAAAGGTTCAGGATACAAAATCAATGAATAAAAATCAGTAGCATTTCTATATTACAACATTCTAGCTGAGAGCAAAATTAAAAACACAATCTTATTTACAATAGCCCCCCAAAAAATGAAGTGCCTAGTATTACATCTAACCAAGAAGGTGAAAGATCTCTAGAATAACAACTACAAAACACTGCTGAAAGAAATCAGTGATGACACAAACAAATGTAAAAACATTCCATGGTCATTAATTAGAAGAATCAATATCATTAAAATATCCATAGTGCCAAAAGCAATATACGGATTCAATGCTATTCCTATCAAACTATCAATGTAATTCTTCACAAAATTAGAAGAAAAAAAAAAAAAACTCTTCTAAGATTCATACAGAACCAAAAAGCCCAAATAGCCAAAGCAACCCTAAGCAGAAAGAACAAAGCCAGAGGAATCATACTACCCGACTTAAAACTAAACTGTAGGGCTAAAGTAAGCAACACAGCATGGTACTGATACAAAAACAGACACACAGACCAATGGAACAGAATGGAGAATCTAGAAATAAAGTTGCACAACCACAACCGTCTGATCGTCTGATCAACAAAGTTGCCAAAAATAAACAACGGGAGAAGGACTCTCTATTCAATAAATCATGTTGGGATAACTGGATAGGCATACACAGAAGAATGAAAGTGGGCCCCTACTTTTTGTCCTATACAAAAATTAACTCAAGATGAATTAAAGACATTAGACTATAAAATCCTAGAAGAAAACCCAGGAAACACTCTTCCAGACATCAGCATTGGCAAAGAATTTATGGCTAAGTCCCCAAAAACAATTGCAAAGAAAACAAAAATTGACAAGCAGGACGTAATGAAACTAAAGAGCTTCTGCATGGCAAAAGAAATTATCAAGAGTATACAGACAGCCTTCAGAATGGGAGAAAAGATTTGCAAACTATGCATCCAACAAAGGACTAATATTCAGAATCCATACGGAACTTAAATCCACAAGAAAAAAAAAATCCCATTAAGAAGTAGACAAAGGACATGAACAGACATTTCTCAAAAGAAGACATATAAGCAGCCAACAAACACATGAAAAAAATGTTCAACATTACTAATCATGAGATAAAAGCAATGAAAACCACAACAAAATACCATCTCACACCAGTCAGAATGGCTATTATTAAAAAGTCAAAAAATAACAGATGTTGGCAAGACTGCAGAGAAAAGGGAAAGCTTACACATTGCTGGTAGGAATATAAGTTAAGTTAGGTTAGCCACTGTGGAAAGCAGTTGGAGATTTCTCAAAGAGCTAAAAACTGAACTACCATTCAATTCAATAATCCCATTACTGGGTATATACCCAAAGGAAAACAAATCATTTTATCAAAAAGACTCATGTATTCATAGGTTTATGGCGGCACTATTCACAATAGCAAAGACATGGAATCAACCTAGGTGCCCACTGATGGTGAACTGGATAAAGAAAACATGGTATATACACACCATGGAGTACTGTATAGCCATAAAAAAAGAATGAGACCTTGTTCTTTGCAGCAACATGGATGCAGCTGGAGACCATTATCCTCAGTGAATTACTGCAAGAACAGAAAACCAAATACTGTACGTTCTCACTTATATTTGGGAGCTAAACATTGAGCACACATGGACGTAAGATAGGAACAGCTGAGCAGGGTGGCTAATGCCTGTAATGCCAGCACTTGGGAGGCTGAGGCAAGAGGACTGCTTGAGCCCAGGAGTTCAAGACCAGCCTGGGCAACATAGACCTTGTATCTACAAAAAATCAAAGTTAGCCAGGTGTGGTGGTACATGCCCATGGTCCCAGCTACGTGGAAGGCTGAGGTGGGAAAATCACTTGAGCCCAGAAGGTCAAGGCTGCAGTGAGCCATGATCATGCCACTGCCTTCCAGTCAGGGTGAAAGCAAGACCCTTTCTCAAGGGAAAAAAAAAAAAAAAAAAAAGCCAGGTGCAGTGGCTCACACCTGTAATGCCATAACTTTGGGAGGCCTAGGCGGGCAGATCATAAGGTCAGGAGTTGAAGACCAGCCTGGCCAACATGGCAAAACCCCGTCTCTACTAAAAATACAAAAATTAGCCAGGCGTGGTGGTGGGCACCTGTAGTCCCAGCTACTCAGGAGGCTGAGGCAGGAGAGTTGCTTGAACCCGGGAGGCGGAGAGGTTGCAGTGGGCCAAGATTGCGCCACTGCACTCCAGCCTGGGCGACAGAGTGAGACTCTGTCTCAAAAAACAAAAAAAGATGTTAACAACAGACACTGGAGATGACTAGAAGGGGTTGGCAAATGGGGGCATGGGCTGAAAAACTACCTATCACATACTATGCTCACTACCAGAGTGACAGGCTCATCCATACCCCAGACCTCAGCATCACGCAATATACCCATGTAACGAACCTGCACTTGTATGCCCTGAATCAAAAATAAAAGTTGAAATTATTTTTAAAACAAAATAATGAAAAATGAGAAGTAATAATTATCAAACAACATGAAATGGTTAAGCATCTTTTGCAAACACTAAAAGTAACAGCCACAATTATTTGGTACCTTAAAAAAAACATAAAAAGGATCTTAAACAAAAATACAAAACATATTGGAGAAAAGCCAAGATAATATTTGAAAATAGTAACCACTGTGTTAGAGAACGTACATTGTACATTTTTTATATGATTATACATTCTCACATTTTAAAAATAATTTTCTAAAACTAATAACTGAGACCATACAGATAGGAAACAGTATCACTGATAAGAAACAAGCTAAAAGAGTCAGACAAAAACATCCACTAAAGGAAAAAACATAAAATAATTGAAACAAAAGACAATTATACATAAAATTAAGAAAACTGCCAACTCCCGGTAAAACTAAAACGCTCCAAGTAGAACAAAAAAAAAGGGAGGGAAAAATAAGATGGAACGACAGGAAGGTTTCTTGGTTTTTGCTTTGTTTTGAGATAGGGTCTCTAACTCTGTCACGCTGGCTGGGGAGCAGCGGCACAATCACAGCTCACTGCAGACTTTACCTTCCAGAGGAGTAGCCAGGACTACAGGCATGTGCCACCACAGCTGGCCAATTTTTTAAAACACTTTTTAAAGAGATGGCATTTTGCCATGTTGCCCAGGCTTGTCTTAAACACCTGGGCTCAGGTGATCTGCCCACCTCAGCCTCCCAAAGTGCTGGGATTACAGACGTGAGCCACTGCACCCAGGTAGAAAGTTTTAATCACTTTGCCTTCACTTCAAAAAATTTCCACATTTATGTTCGTTAAAAACTGACATACTGGCCAGACACAGAGGCACATGCCTGCAATCTCGGCACTTTGGGAGGCCAAGGTGGGAGGATCACTTGAGCCCAGAAGTTTGAGACCAGCCTGCAAAATATAGTGAAACCTCATCTCTACTCTCCACAAAAATCTTTAAAAAATTAGCCAAGCATGGCGGCGGCACCTGTAAGTCCCAGCTACTCAGGAGGCTTAAGTGGGAGGATCTCTCGAGTCCATGAGGCGGAGGTTGCAGTGAGCTGAGATCACGCCACTGCATTCCAGCCTGGGAGACAGAAAGAGGCCTTGTCTCAAAATGAAAAACAAAACAACAACAAAAAAACTGACATATTACATGGACATACTGCATAATGGTAAATTTTTTGATAGAAAAAAATTTAAAAATAAAAATTGACATAAGCGAAGAAAACCTATACAGAAAATATCTCAAATCACATATTACCTTGAAACAGTAATCTTAAGAGACATTACCACCAGGACCCCCTCTCCCTCTGCCATGGCCATGTACTCTTCCTCTACCTCTTCTTCTGCATTGGCCTCTTCCTGCAACAAACAGCTTCCCTTTTCTTAGGTTTTTACTTTAGGCTCAACATCCACAAGTAGTGTATCCAGAGGTAAACTGTCTGGTAGAGTAAAATATCTAATGTTACTTCCTCAAATTTGTGTTTCCAACTGTACAGGTTCTCTGTCTTCAGGGTCATTTTCACGCTTTAAGATGTGTATCACGGTGACATCCACACCTGTGACTGTTCCATAGACCTGTGTTCCACTTTTCAATTCAAGGTTACAGTTTCATGAACCATTTCATCAAAAATCTCATGAGCTTCATCCTAGCAGTGCCGTCATTCCTTGGGTCCAATAGCACACAGCATCCAGCAACCAAGGACCGACCAACCCACTAGAAGTATGAATCTACTTTAAATTTAATGTATGAGTGGTTCCTTCCCTTAACACTGTGCTAAACCCTAGAACAGTGTTTCTAAAACTCCAGGATCTATCAAGAATTGTCTGAAACATTAAAAACCCAAACCCAGAGATTCTCATTCAGAAACAGAGTTTGAGATTACACAGTTACAAGCATGCCTTTAGATTTTTTCTTATTTTAGTCAACAAGAATGATTCTGAAGTTGAGGTTAAAGCCATTACTCTGGAATAATATATAATAGTAAACAATAATATAATACTAAGCATCCAGGCAGATTTTATGACAAAGAATAAAATGCAAAGTCAGTTTCTTCTTTTGATGGGTAAACTTTATAACCAGTTACTCTA
This sequence comes from Homo sapiens, assembly GCF_000001405.40. Lineage (NCBI taxonomy): Eukaryota > Metazoa > Chordata > Mammalia > Primates > Hominidae > Homo > Homo sapiens. The sequence continues at coordinate 96,387,638 of NC_000012.12, forward strand.
TTTTGATTTCAGAAAAACGTGAGGCAGGGCATGGTGGCTCACACCTGTAATCCCAGCGCTTCGGGAGGCCGAGGCTCGAGAATCACTTGTGTCCAGGAGTTCAAGACTAGCCTGGGCAACATAGTGAGACCCTGTCTCTATCAAAAAAGTAAAAAATCAGCCGGGCATGGTGGTGTGCACCTGTGGTCCCAGCTGCTCAGGAAGCTGAGGTGGGAGGATTGCTTGAGCCCAGTAGGTTGAGGATGCAACGAGCTGGGACTGCACTGATGTGCTCCAGCCTGGGCAACAGAGTAAGACCTTTTCTCTAAAAAAAAATAATAATAAAATAAAAGAGAAAAAGAAAAACAATCAGCCAGGTGTGGCAGCTCACGCCTGTAACCCTAGCAGTTTGGGAGGCCAAGGTGGGAGGATTACTTGAGCTCAGGAGTTGGAAACCAGCCTGGGCAACATAGTGACATCTCATCTGTACATAAAAAAAAAAGAAAAGAAAAACTCTAGAGTCACATACAAGAGTCATAAACAAGGAAAGCAAATACTGTCTAGACTATTAAGATGTCAAGTAAATGATAAAGCACAGGCCTAAACAAGTGGAACAGAACAGGGAAAATGGTTCAAAGAAATATTTGGTTGGCCCTAAGGAAAGCTTACAGATATGCTTACAAAAGATTATGACCTATTTATTCCTAATGGTCATTAGATTAGAAACAACAATGCACATCTTAGACTATTTAGTCTACTGGTATGTCTATATGTGCCACCTCCACCCCCAAACATACAAGAAGGATGCAACACACACCCATTAATAACTTGAACTCACTGCTACAGTTACGCTCAAATCTGGTGGGAGTAGAGGCATATTAGAAAATCTGGGAAATATGCAAAGTTCAAAAAGCCAGAGACGATTTTCATTCAATTGTCCTTGTGAATCACTGATTTAGACATTCCTTCAATGTGAAGCAATGGATTAAACAATTTTATTACCACTACCAATAGTTCTTATTTTATAAAGAGTTATAGCAAAAACAATCAATGTTTTACATGCTGTGTTGGGCTGTTCTTACATTGCTATAAAGGAATCCCTGAGACTGGGTAATTTATAAAGAAAAGAGGTTTAATTGCCTCATGGTTCTGCAAGCTGTACAAGCATAATGCCAACATCTGCTTGGCAACTGGGGAGGCCTCGGGAAGCTTTTACTCATGGTGCAAAACCAAGTGGGAACAGGCATGTCACATGGCGAGAGCAGGAACAAGAGAGAACAGAGAAGAAGCTACAAACTTTAAAACAACCGATCTCACATGAACTCACTCATCACCAAGGGGATGGTGCTAAGCCATTCATGAGGGATCTGCCCCATGATCCAAATACCTCCCACCAGGCCTCACTTTTTTTTATTATTATTATTATTATTTTTTGAGACAGGCTCAAGAGAGCCTTCTGCCTCAGCCTCCTGGGTAGCTGGAACTACAGGCATGTGCCATCTCATGCTCAACTAATTTTTTTTTTTTTTTAATTTTTTTGTAGGCATGGGGTCTCCCTATGTTGCCCAGGCTGGCCTCAAACTCCTAGGCTCCAGTGATCCTCCTCAGTCTGCCTCCCTAAATGCTGGGATTACAGGCATGAGCCACCTTGCCCAGCCAAGAGTTAAAATAACGAGCTTATAGTAATATGGTTATTATAAGTTATTACTGAAGTAGGCTTTATGAAAAGAAAATTGAAAACATATAACCAATTCTAAACTTTATACAATAGAAACCTAAGTTGCAGATCTTTTCCAAAAAATTGTACCTGAAATAAATGTTTCAACCATTTTATAGCTTCTTAGGAAGAAAGGGGATGAGAGCAAAATGGAAATGGAAATGATATCTGGAGAAGGGAGGGATCAACAAAAAAATCCATGCTCACCAACTTATGGGCAAAAATTATTGCAACACACAATACCCCACTGTTTCTGAAATGATAAATGTTGGTTAATAAACCATGATCTCAAAAGCTCAATACAAAAAGTGTTTTAAGAAGACTGTGTAAGCTGAGGAATTTAAAAAGGCACTGACTCCCACAAATTATGAAAATTCATTTTAAATGTCACACTTCAAACAAGACGTTACCAAGCCATAATCTCGAACTAATATTTAAAATAAATTTATTACTTATAACACACCTACTATAGAAGAGGGTTTTTTTGTTTGTTTGTTTTTTGTTTTTTTTTTTTTGAGAGGAAGTCTCACTCTGTCACCAGGCTGGAGTGCAGCGGTGTGATCTTGGCTCACTGCAATTTCCACCTCCCAGGTTCAAGAGATTCTCCTGCCTCAGCCTCCTGAGTAGCTGGAATTACAGGCATGCACCACCACACCCAGCAAATTTCTGTATTTTTAGTAGAGACGGGGTTTCACCATGTGGGCCAGGATGGTCTTGATATCCTGACCTCATAATCCGCCTGCCTCAGCCTCCCAAAGTGCTGGGATTACAAGTGTGAGACAGCGCGCCCGGCTGAAAAGAGGTATAATTTAAAACTCAATTTTTTTTTTTTTTTTGAGATGGAGTCTTGCTCTGTCGCCCAGGCTGGAGTGCAGTGTGGCGATGTCAGCTTACTGCAACCTCCACCTCCCAGGTTCGAGTGATTCTCCTCCCTTCAGGCACGTGCCAACACGCCCGGCTAATTTTTTTGTATTTTTTAGTAGAGACGGGTTTCATCATGTTGACCAGGGTGGTCTCGAACTCCTGAGCTCAGGCGATCCACCCACCTAGGCCTCCCAAAGTGCTGGGATTACAGGCATTTTAAAAAAGCCTTGGCCAGGTGCGGTGGCTCACGCCTTTAATCCCAGCACTTTGGGAGGCCTAGGTGGGTGGATCACCTGAGCTCAGGAGTTCAAGACCAGCCTGCCCAACATGGTGAAACATGGTCTCCACTAAAAATACAAAGATTAGCCAGACACAATGGCGTGCACCTGTAGTCCCAGCTGCTCAGGAGGGTGAGGCAGGAGAATCGCCTGAACCTGGGAGGTGGAGATTGCAGTTAGCAGAGATCGCACCACTGCACTCCAGCCTGGACGATGGGGTGAGACTCCATCTCAAAAAAAAAAAAAAAAAAAAGACAGAAAAGAAAAAGAAAAAAAATCCTTCAAGTTTAAAAGTAGACCATGGAACAGTTTTTATTTAATTACTGTAATTCCATTTAAAAACAAGGCTGGGTGTGGCGGCTCAAACCTGTAATCCCAACACTTTGGGTGGCCAAGGTGGGTGGATTACCTGAGCTCAGGAGTTAGAGACCAGCCTGGCCAACACTACTAAAAATACAAAAATTAGCCAGGCATGGTGGCACACGCCTATAATCCCAGCTACTCGGGAGGCTGAGACAGGAGAATTTACTGAACCCGGGAGGTGGAGGTTGTAGTGAGCTGAGATTGCACCACTGCACTCCAACCTAAACGACAGAGGGAGACTCCATCTCAAAAAAAAAAAGAAAAACAAAGCTTCTAGTCAACTGTATACATAAACTACCACAGCAGAATGAATAACATTAAATGCACTGTTTGATCCTTTGAGTACAATTCTGCACTGCAGTAAGCGCATTTAAGCCAATACTACACAGTTAAATAGCTAGATTTCATTAAGGACGATTTTGGGGCGGGGGGTTGTTTTGTTTTTGATTTTTTTTTTCTTTTTTTTTTTGAAACAGAGTCTCACTCTGTCACTCAGGTTGGAGTGCAGTGGTGTGATCTCAGCTCACTACAACTTTCACCTCCCGGGTTCAAGCAATTCTCATGCCTCAGCCTCCCAGGTAGCTGGAATTACAGGCCTGAGCCACCACGCCCGGCTAATTTTTTGTATTTTTAGTAGAGATGGGGTTTCGCCATGTTGCCCAGGCTGGTCTCGAACCCCTGACCTCAAGTGATCTGACCGCCTTGGCCTCCCAAAGTGCTGGGATTACAGGCGTGAGCCACCGCGGCAGGCCAGTTTTTTTCGGTTAAACCAAATTTTACTCCTGATACACTGACCAATATTTTTAGACCTTCAGAAATGAGTACTTTCTTTACATATTAACATTATAATTTTATATTTCCATTTTGTCTAAAAGACAACAATCTTTGAAGGCCACACCCCTTTTCTCTCCATTTTCACTAACAAGTTAGTACAGCTCACATGCAATTAAACAGTCTCAATAATGCCAAGTTACTGTCCCTCCAAGTTGGCCTACAAACTGCTCTAGATTGCTCTCACACAAATACCACCAAAACTGTATAGCTCCAATATTTGAAACCTTTTACACTTTTTATTATCTACTATATCAAAATGTATTCTTGATTGCTTCTAAGCCTACTCTGACCTTAATTTACCAACTCGGTGTTGTTCCTCCTAATTCCATCACTTTATTCAATTTAAGAGTATGATAATACGGGAAGAAATACAGAAATGAAAAAAAACACGGCCTCTCTGGAGCACAACGCCAGCCAAAAGAGGGAGAGACCTGAAAATAATTAATTACAACATAACATATTAAGTACTACAGTATACATAAATACTATATAGCAGAACCACCATAACTGTCAGAATGGAACAAAGATCACGTTGGAGAAAGAGACGTTTGGGCTTAAAAATGAGAATTTCTCTACAAGTGTCATAGCATTGTAATATCAACATACCAGTTTCTTCATCTTTGTATCCTAGCCCCTACCATAGTGTCTAGTACAGAGTAGGCAGGTACTTCAGACATGGATGGATGAATGGACGGCAGTACGGAAAAAAGGATAAAATAAGATACATATATAAACATAAAGAAAGAATATGGTTAGATTAAAATGGGACAAAACTGGAGCCAGTAAATCAGATAAGACATTCCAAAACCCTTACGTAAGAAAGTGACACAGGAAAAAATAAATTTAAAAGATATTTAGGAATTAAAATTAACAGGACTTGGTGTGACTAACTGGACTAAGGGGAAATGAGCATAACAGAAAAGCGTAAGAAAGAAGCTGCCAAAGTTTTTGGCTTACGTGACTAGGCTGACAGTGGTACCATTCACTGAAATTGGGAACAGAAATAGGGGATTCGAGTTCAGTTTAGGTAAGGGAGCACTAAGGCAATATCGAGTAGGAAGCTGGAATGCAACTCAGAAAAAGAGGTCTAGATTAGAAATAAAGAGGTGGAGATTATTGCATATGGGTGATGAGAACAAAGCCCTAAATATAGACCAGATTGCCAGGAACACATAAAACCTGGAAAGAAGGCTGTGGACAGAATACTCAGACAACCAACATTGCTGTTATCTTATATGTTACAATATTGCCACATTAAATTATATTGTTACAACACAGATAACGGCTAATACAATATTGAGGACGTAACAAATGCTTTAAAAATACCAACTGCAAACCTGAGTTAATTGAAAAATTAAATTTATTAACTCAAATTGAGACATAAAGGACCACTTCTTAAAACCAATTTAAGGCCAGGCACAGTGGCTCACACCTGTAATCCCAGCACTTTGGGAAGCTGAGGCGGGTGGATCACGAGGTCAGGAGTTCAACACCAGCCTGGCCAAGATAGTGAAACCTCATCTCTACTAAAAACTACAAAAATTAGCAGGGCATAGTGGCAGACACCTGTAATTCCACCTACTCGAGAGGCTGAGGCAGGGAGAATCGCTTGAACCCGGGAGGTGGAGGTTGCAGTGAGCCAAGATTGTGCCATTGTACTCCAGCCTGTGAGGCTCCGCCTCAAAAAAAAAAAAAAAAAAAAAAAAAGCTAATTTAATAGGTCAGACTCAAGGTGCTTAAGTCTAAGGAATCCAATTTTACTTCAGAATCAGTAAAAAATCTGGGCACAGTGGCTCACACCTGTAATTCCAGCACTTTGGGAGGCTGAGGCAGGCAGATTGCTTGAGCTCAGGAGTTCAAGAACAGCTTGGGCAATATGGCAAAACCCCATCTCTACTAAAAACACAAAACTTAGCCAAGACTGGTGGCGCTGAACCTGTAGTCCCAGCTATTTGGGAGGCTGAGGTGGGAGGATCACTGGAGCCCCAGAGATCAAGGCTACAAGAAGCAGTGATCACACCACTGCAATCAACCTGGGTGGCAGAGTGAGACCCTGTATCTTAACAAACACAAACACACACACACATACTCAATGAAAAGCTTCTTTTTCCACCAGAAATAACATTACAAGTCAATAATATAAAATACTAAAATCTAAGTTGTTATACTTCAAAAAATGTTTATTCTAAAATAATACTAAAAAACACATATTAACTAATTTAAAGAAGAGCAAGTCTAAATTTGGAGTGATAAGGGCTTCAATGCTGTTACTTGATAGTTTCTCACAAGTATAGACCAGGTGCAGTGGCTCACACCTGTAATCCCAGCACTTTGGGAGGCCAAGGCAGGCAGATCATGAGGTCAGGAGCTCAAGACCAGCCTGGCCAACATGGTGAAACCCTATCTCTACTAAAAATACAAAAATTAGCTGGACATGGTGGTGCACGCCTGTAATCCCAGCTACTCGGGAGGCTGAGGCAGGAGAATCACTTGAACCCGGGAGGCGGAGGTTGCAGTGAGCCAAGATCACGCCACTGCACTCCAGCCTGGGCAACAGAGTGAGACTCCATCTCAAAAAAAAAAAAAATTTCTCACAAGTATTTACCAACGTTGTTTACATTATTGAATATTAACACATACTAATAACAAACATTACCCATCAATTATAAGAATAGTAGATTAATATGACTTGAGAAGGCCAAAGTTAGTAACTGAACTAGAATACAATGAAAGAGAAATTATCTTTGGGTCCTTTTCCCTTGTTTACAAACATGTACACAAAATGTAGAGTATTCTTGAACATATTTACACTAACAAATGCATAAAAAGAAACAAAAATGTGTTATTAAAAGGTAGAGAAGCACGGGTACGGTGTCTCATACGTGTAATCCCAGCACTTTGGGAGACCGAGGTGCACAGATCACCTGAGGTCAGGAGTTCGAGACCAGCCTGGCCAACATGGTGAAAACCCATCTCTACTAAAAATACAAAATTTAGTTGGACGTGGAAGCTCACACCACCTGTGGTCCCAGCTACTCCGGAGGCTGAGGCACGAGAATAGCTTGAGATCACGCAACTGCAACACTGCACTCCAGCCTGGGCCAACTGAGGGAGAGACTCCGTCTCAAAAAAAAAAAAAGAAAAAAAAAAGGTAGACAAAAAATATTTATTATTTTATTTTTATTTATTATTTATTCAAAAAATCTATAATTTTTTTCCCCCGAGACAGAGTCTTGCTCTGTCGCCAGGCTAGAGTGCAATGGTGCGATCTTGGCTCACTGCAACCTCTGCCTCCCAAGTTCAAGCAATTCTCCTGCCTCAGCCTCCCGAGTAGCTGGGATTACAGGCATGCACCACCGTGCCCAGCTAATTTTTGTATTCTTAGTAGAGACCGGGTTTCACCATGTTGGCCAGGCCGGACTGGAACTCTTGACCTTGTGATCTGCCCGGCTCAGCCTCTCAAAGTGCTGGGATTACAGGCGTGAGCCACCATGCCTCGCCCATATAAATGTTTTAAATTTTTTTAGCATCTTGATTTTTAATTCATTTTGAGCAACATGTCCTACCTTACATATTTTATATACTGCAATCTTTTAATGTAGTAAAACCAGTTCAATGTACTTTAAATCGCATTTTGATGAGCTTTTCTAATATCTCACTCATTGTTTATAGAGTGCAGACAGTAACATTGACTTTTTAACATCTCATCCTCATGGAGACAGTGTAGAGTAGTGGTTTGAATGCCTAAACTGGAATGTCAATGTTACCACAGAGGTCGGTCCCTGGAAACAATGACTTAACCTAAGGTCTTTGTTTCTTCATTTGAAAACAGGCAGAATACCTATATGAAGCGCTTATTGTGAGGATTTCACAAAATAATACTTAGCATAGTGCCTAGTAGAGGAGGTAAATAATTAACGTTAATTTCTTTCACAAAGTTTATGTTATGGACTGAAGATCTGTGTACCCCCAAAATTCACATGTTGAAGTCCAAACCTCCCAGTGTGATGGCTATTAGAGGTGGACCTTTGGGAAGTAATTAGGTTTAGATTAGGTCCTAAGAGTGAGACCCTCTCATGACGGGATTTGTGCCCTTTTAAGTAGAAAAGAAAAAGACATCCTCACCTCTCCCTCCCCTCCCTCCCACTTCACCTGCAGACAGGGAGGAAAGGACTTAAGAGTGCCCAGGGAGAAGACAGCTGAGAGGGCAGGTGCTTAGCTGATTTCAGACTTCCAGCCCCGGACCTGTGAGAAAATACGTCTGTGTTTTAAGCCACCTCAATGTATGGTATTTTGTTATAGTACCCCAAGTAAAATAAGGTGATATCAAAAAATATTTTCAAAAGGAGACTTTGGAGAGCAAGATAATTTTCACCTCATCCCAATATGCCATAGATCTGTAAATCTACATCCTCAAACAGTATTCAGTATTGCAGGTTACTGCAGAACACGGTAACATTACTTATTAGATTTACTGGTAGATGTCTATTGATTTTCCATGTTGGCCAACAGGGAGAGGCAGACAGGCTGGGAACAATAAACTACACTGAGGTATATTCAATACACTTCTCTGGCCCTTGGCAATTCCTCTTGCCAGGTCAATATTTTGCAGATATCAAAAGTAACCACCAACTAACTATATTGGAAGCAAAATAATGACAAAGAATCCACTGATGACAATAAAAATTCTTAAAAGCCAGTCTAACTGGTCCTCTCCCCATCAGTTCAAAGAAATTGCCAACATTGTAGATTGAATGCTAGTGAACTACACTAGGTTCGCTATTACAGGCAGTTTTTTTAACTTCAAAAATGCTACATAAAGCACATTTTTAAATGCCATAAACCTATTGTTTATCTTCTGCATTTAAAATGCAAAATGCCATTATCACTTTATGAAATATACTTTAAATACCGATTTCCTGTTTAAAAGTTTAGGCAAAAATTATCCATTCAAAATTCAAAAGAACCTAAAACTATTCATCCTTCCCATGTATGAAAACTGAGACAATTTTTTAAACAGGTAAAATTCCCTAGAGAATATAATTTTTACAATATAGCAATAAAGTAATTATCCATCCTGAAAGTCTAAAACAAACAAAACAAACAAACAAACAAAAAATACAAAGAACATCCTGGAAATCTAAATGCCATGTAAAAGAATGCTAGCCCATGACGGTAAAATTTTCTAAAGACTAGGAAACATCAATAAAGATTCAAAATGTAATGTCTTATAAATATTCAGCATTAGTAGACAATAACAAAGAAAATCATAGGGTAAAAATTTTTGTGTTCACAGATAACTGTTATAATATTAAGGGACATCGTCATCTCCACTTTTGAATAGCTACCCCAGTTGCCATTACAGCTTCCATTGTTCAAAATAAAATAGTTGCATTGTTTTTCAGTGAAAGGAAAGAAGGAAAATATTGCTGAAAATAAGGAAAAAAACAAGCCTCAACAAAGCAACAAAATGATTTTATATGCCATCTAGTTTCGCCATAATTGTAGGACTGAACTGGTATCTGAAAACTAAATATATCAACAAACATATACGTTAAAATCTGCGCTTAGTCAACATAGCTATCCCTGTGCTACCGGGCAAATAAAATTTAAATTTTCTATTTTTTTTTTTATTAAAGCAATGACTTATTAGAGACTACTGGTATATGAAGCTGCAATACACATGGGGATCAATTCCTCCAATTTCATGTTTCCTTACTATGTATGTATCTCTTTTTGTTTTTTCATTCTGGTAACCAGAGTACATATGACAGGCTGCATTATTTCAAATACCTAACACTGAAAGTTACTTTCTGGCCTGAATCTAAGGATGAGAATGATACATTTTATAGAAGCTTCTTTTAGTACAGCAATAGGCAAATTACGATATTAACAAGACTTTAATTCTACATTTACATTTTTTTCTCATTGTAAATGTAATGTGAAACTTATAAAATACAGGAAAAAAATGTTTAATCACCAATAAATCCCACCATTCGTAAACCTTGCTACTTTTTGGTAGATTTCCATCTAGTAACACTGAAGGTTCAATTTTCTAATTCGATACTGATAAATATGCAGGAAAAAAAATCAATGGAGCCTCAATATGGCCTTTCAATAAATGTACATAAAACAACAATTATTAATTATATGACCTGTTAATTTCACAAAAGTCTCTAAAATGTTTTAAGTGGTGGAGTAGGGTAAGGAGTCCATAATTCAGACACTAGCCCTCAAACTGAAATCTCTTCCACAATGTTTGTATGTCAACCCTTTAACGGCAGTGAGCAGCAAGCTATGACTGTTCGTACAGTGATATCAACATTAATGTCTCTATATTAAACAGGCTTTGCTTTTATTTTCTTTCCATTTATACTTCAATAGTGTTTTATTTTCACTGTAAAAATAAATAATAACCTATATTTGCATAGTAATTTTACATAAGCTTAAATTCAAAGACTCCCGTTTTTTTTTAAGCCAACCATTCAAACTGTTAGTGCTTCTGGCCTATGAGATGGTTTACCAGATAAAGTAACATTCTTTATATTCCAATATTCTCTCTCATAACATAAAAAAGAATTTAAGGAATATCCCTTAGTCACATTTTCTTTTGTTCCAACCCACTGTTTATGGAAGCATGCAGATGTTAAGAGTTGCAAAAATTGAAATGACTTCATTAACAAAGCAACATCCCAACGTTTAATGTCAACTCCTCAGACTCATAAAAAAATGAAACAAAACCAATTATATTACCACTAGCAAATTTTTTCCCCTTAAAATCTAGTTTCGTCTTATTTCTAGTTTCAAGGCAAGCTTTGTCTACCCAAGGTATCAAAGGTCTTCAAATCTCATTCATTTTCTTCTGCCCAAGAGTTAAGAAAGTAAGTCTAAAACAGAACAAGCCAGATTTGTTGCTGTGATCTTCTCACACGAACGCCTTTTAAAAGAAATCTTTCAACAAAGACTCAAAAAAGAAACAGCAAAGTTTGGGGAAAGAATTGTCTGTCTTTAGGTCAAGCATTTCCTGATAAGTGACTGAAGGTCTGGCTGCCAGGAATACACTTTGCTGACCCTAGGAATGGCCAAGTCTCAAAACAAAATTTGCCTCTTCTGTATCTTGAAAGTGACCTGTTAGGACCTGATGTCAATTTGACGAAGAGGTGATAGAACATGACCAACGAGGTGTCTTTGGTGGACATATTCATGTAAAGGAGGCGAGAGCCACAGATTTCAGCTAAACGCTTTTTGCCACTTTTGCAAAAGAAAAGCTAATTGTTAACGGCCATGTGACATTATAGATCCCAGAAAAGGAAAGGGTGGGAGGAAGAGAGAGAAGTTCAAGGCAGTTCAGGGTCAGAACAAGCTCAGACATCCTGTCATTAACAAATGTTCCCCAAGCTGAAAGCAAAATACTGCTTACCCGAAAAGGAGTGGGTGAAAAGTAGGGGGAGAACGAGGGAAAAACCACAGGAGAGTCAATGTGGCAGTGTGGGGGTGACAGGAGGGAGGGAATCTGGAGCTATCCAGCTGAGTTGGGGAGCAAAAGCATCGGGCATAGCATCGGGCACAAAAATGCTGAGAAAAGCAACTGCGACGGAGACAGCACTAGGCACCCTCCTCCCCCCATTTTCCCCTCCCCATCGGTTTGCTGGGTTTCCCACCTTCCCTCTACCTCCGCTCTTGACCAACACTCCGGGGTGTGACCCGCCAGCAGGAGGCTGCCCTGATCTTTGTCTCTACCCGCTCCCACGCGCGGGCTCCTCCTCCTCCTCCGCGCTCCCCACCCGCGCACAGCGCCAGCGTCTCCAAGGAGCTGCAGGCGCCGCGACCGCCGCCTCCTCGCCCACCTCCCGCGGACCCGCGCCCCTTCCTTCCCCTCCCGGGCAGCGTCGCCTGCGCCTCCAGCTCCACCCCCGCCGAGGGGACCTTTGTGTCTCGGGGGACTTTCTGCCTCTTTCCCCTCCTCCGCCTCGCGAGGAGACCGGCCTCCCCCGCAGACCAAAGCGGCAGCGAGCACCGGAGGCGGCGGCGTCTATATCTGTCGGCGCCTCCTGGGAAGCAGCTCGCAGACACTCACACCCCACCCGAGCCCCGGAAATCCCCGGGCGACCCAAGGTCCTCGCTGGACCGGAGAGGTGACAGGCGCACGCTAGCCCCCCGCGCCGCGCCTCCTCGCTCAACTTCCCGACCGGGCCTGAGCCACCCGCGCCCCCAGTAGCCCCCGCCCCCGCCTCTGTCCCACGCAGCCTCCCGGCCCCGCGGCCGACCCGACACCAGGGGAAAGCGCGGCGCGGACGCCAGCCGCCAACTCACCAGCAAGAGCGGGGACCGCGGGTCCCGAGGCGAGGCGAAGAGAGGCGCGGGGGGAAGCTGCTCCGCGGACGCCCGCGGCGACCGGATGCAAGTCCGGGTCTCAGCGGCCGGCAGACGTGAGGCGCTTCCGAGCGCAGGCCTCCGCCGCCACAGCCGCCTTCCGGCTCTCGCCGCGGGTCCGGAGCCTCGGGAGGGGCCGCGGGTGTCTCACGCGTTGCCAAGTCCCTCGGTCAACATGGCTCCCGCGCCGACGAGCCGCGCGGACGGCCCACTAATCCCCTCGGAGCAGCCGGGCGCGAGCGCGGCGGGCGCCGACGGCGGGCTGAGACTGTCTGGCCGGGCGCTGGCTCCTTCTCCGCGGCTCTGCGGCGGCCCGCGGGGAGCTCAGGAGACTGCGGGCGGCCGCGTTCGCTCCTTGCGTGTGCGTCGCTTTCACACTCGGCGGCTGCGGATTGACGCCTCCGCCTGTTCCCCGGAGGAGAGCGAGTGCAAGAGAAAAAACACTTTTATTGAAACGATCCAACCAGCGGCGGCGGAGAAAAGCGACCGGCCGCGGGAGCTTACCCCACCCCCGCCTGAGCGGCTCGCCGGGGGCAGCGCGACCCCTGCCGGCGGCGGCGGAGGCGGGGGCGGGGCCGGCGGCCGGGGGCGGGGCCTGCAGGGCGGGGCGGGTGTCCCCGGGAAACTGCCCGCTCCGAAATGCGGGCGTCGGGGGAGCGGCGGAGGGGGCCAGGGGACCCCACCGGAATGAGTGCCTGTCCGCAGCGACTGGGGGAGAAATTATGTGAATAATTCAGCCCCTCCAACATCCCCCTGCCCCTCAACTTCCCGCTACCAAACCAAAACTCGTGCTTCAGTTATACAAGTAATTACTGTACAAGGTGTCCATGCCACAGTTCTCCACTGACTTTCTAGAGAGTCCATGTCAAAGGACCCACACTGAAAGATGTTGATGGCTGCAACTTTTCTCCTTTGTTGTGTGTGGGTACGTGGGTACTAGTGCCGCAGTCTCTCACACACACGGCATCTATTCATTTAAACTACAGTACAGTGTTTTGTATATATTATCATGTGCCCGGCAATATGCTGAGTCCTCTAAGGACGGAGAGTCTAGCTGGGATGAAAGATGATCAATAACTATCATAAAAATCTGAACGTTATGAGCGGAGAAATACAAGGTGCTATGAAAACAGAAAGGACTACTGTTGCACGGGTTAGGTTTTGTTTTCTTGGGGGAGGCGGGCCGCGAGAGGTTGGCCCAGTTTCTGCAACTGTTTTTACTTTCTCCTTTCCCAGAGGCTAAAAGCTAGTTCAGGAATGAACAGCAGAGTGGCAGTGAAGACAAACTAAAGTAATACTGACCCACTTTTTTCCACTAATAAGGATAAAAGCATAAAGTTAAAACAAACTTAAACCCCTAGAGGGAGATAATGAGAGGATTGAAAGAAGAGAGTAGGGACCGGATGTAGACAACATAAACAAGAAAAAAAAACCCACATAAAAGTCCTGTGAAGTGAGATAAATTTTTTTTCCCATGTTAACACCCGGAAGTAGAAGCTGCTTTGAAGTTTCAAATCACATTATGTGCTAAGAACTTCGGGGAATTATCTTTTTGGATTTAGGGATGAATCCTTTCCCCCTTAAAAATGCTGCATGCTGACATCTTTCTCTTATTTTGTTTGGCAAAGTTAAATGCATCTACAGTTATATCCAACGATCGTACGTGTCAATCAGGCTTTTCCCATGCCTCTAAAATTACCAGGACCCGTAAATTAGCAACAATTATGCTCTACGCGTATTTAACACTTGTTTACCAACCAAGAATGCAAATATACATAACAAGCTTTCCGTTAGAACAAGTGCGCTTTGTTTAAAAGCACTGTTAATGAGGCTTTTTAGATTTGTCCAAGTCAAACTTGGAACTTTATAATATAGCAAGATGTAGCATCATTTTCAGAGTTCTTTTTAAGTTAAAGAGAAACACTGATATTTATACAAGGCCTATTTATATGAAAGGATTTTCATATACTTGCCTCATCTAAATTAGTACTTTAGTAAATATCAAAAAATCACCAAAAAAGGGAGTCTATGAAATGGCATTCTGAGTTTCAGCATTAATACTTATACCTTCATATCATTAGATTAACATTACTCCATGAGAAATAAAAAGATTATTCTGTCTCATCCAAAGCACCCTCTCCTCTTTCTACATCTTTCATTAGCATAACAAAGAATTCGTAATTGGGAGGCTGAGGTGGGAGGATCCATTAAGCCTGGGAGGCGGAGTTTGCGGTGAGCTGAGATTCTGCCACTGCACGCCAACCTGGGTGACAGAGTGAGACACCGTCTCAAAAAGAAAAAAAAAAGACGAATTCATAATGAAAACTTAGGTGATTATTTGATTGATTGGTTTGTTATTTCTTTTTTTTTTTTAAGACAGAATTTTGCTCTTGTTGCCCAGGCTGGAGTGCAGTTGCGTGGTCTCAGCTGACTACAACATCCGCCTCCCAGGTTCAAGCGATTCTCCTGCCTCAGCCTCCCAAGTAGCTGGGATTACAGGCATCCGCCACCACGCCCGGCTAATTTTTTGCATTTTTAGTACAGACAGGGTTTCACCCTGTTGGCCAGGCTGGTCTCAAACTCCTGACCTCAGATGATTCACCCTCCTCGGCCTCCCAAAATGCTGGGATTACAGGCGTGAGCCACCGTGCCTGGAGGATTTGTTCTTTCAATGAAAAAAAAAATTACAGATTGCACAATATTTATTTCATTACTTTTCATATTTATTTATTTATTTATTTATTTAAATGAGATGGAGTCTCACTATGCCGACAGCCCAGGCTGGTATTAACTCCTGACATCAAGCAATCCTCCAACCTCGGCCTCCCAAAGTGCTGAGACTACAAACAGGAGCCACCACCCCTGGCCTATTTATTTATCTGTTTATTTATTTATTTTTAGAGGGAGTCTTGCTCTGTCACCCAGGCTGGAGTGCAGTGGCATCATCTCAACTCACTGCAATCTCCATCTCCTGGGTTCAAGCAATTCTCCTGCCTCAGCCTCTTGAATAGCTGAGATTACAGGTGCCCATCACCACGCCCGGCTAATTTTTGTATTTTTAGTAGAGGCGGGGTTTGGACATGTTGGCCAGGCTGGTCTCGAACTCATGAGCTCTAGTGATCCAAAGTGCTGGGTGAGCCACAGCACCCAGCCCCATGGCCTATTTAATTACTTTTCTAAACCGATTTAAAATTTGGCCAGGCGCGGTAGCTCACACCGGTAATCCCAGCACTTTGGGAGATCGAGGCAGGTGGATCACTTGAGCTCATGAGTTCGAGACCAGGTTGGCCAAAATAACAAAACCCCATCTCTACTAAAAATACAAAAATTACCCAGGCGTGGTGGCAGGAGCCTGTAATCCTAGCTACCCAGGAGGCTGAGGCAGGAGAATCGCTTGAACCCAGGAAGTGGAGGTTGTAGTGAGCTGAGATCACACCACTGCACTCCAGCTTGGGTGACAGAGCAAGACTCTGTCTGAAAAAAAAAAAAAAAAATTATATGTAATATTGTGAGCATGTTAGTTGTTTTTTCCGTAGGTTGTAATATAGGCTTTTTTTTTTACCTTGTAAAACTATGTTAAATTATAAAATTACTTAGAATATTTCCCTAACTGTCATTAATAGATATTCCATAGTGCTTAGTGGAGGAGAAAGATTGAGGAAGAATTCCAAGATCAAATCCACTTGAGGAATGCCACATACTTTATCTCCCTTTTGGAAATTCACAATATACATTTACGTATTTAAGGCTCTTAGAAGTTCTGAGATTGAAAAATAATCTTCTTTCCAGTGAAACAAGTATATCCCAAAATGTTTTCACCATAGAATAGCTATATCATGTGACATATATAAAAATATTGAGGGGAGAAAATTTTGAAGGTCATTGAACTTTGGACAAAGAGAGTTAAATGTGGTAAGTCCAGAAAATCTTTGCTGGGATTCACATTCTGAAAATGACACTGTCTGGGAAACAAATATGAAACTTTCAGGTAAGATACAAACAAGAAACACTTAAGCTGGTTTTCAATTGCTCTACATCAGTGGTTCTCAGCAGTGTTACCTGGGAATTTCTTAGAAATGCAAATTCTCAGTTCCCGCTCCAGACCAACTGAATCAGAAACTCTAGTGTGGGGCCCAGCAAACTGTTTACAGAGATTTTCTAAGATTCTGCTGAACAATAAAGTTTGAGAATCACTGCTCTATACAACATCAATACATAGCTTTGTTTACAAAACAATTTTCCATATGTCTGAATTTCTGGACTATTTCTAATTATTTCATATTCCTTAAAAATTCTCAAAGAAATTAGATTACTGACCAAATAGAAAAAACACTTTTTGTCTGGGTTCATTCCCTGTTTTACTAGGCTGAATCATATAGGAAGTCTGTGTGTTTGTTTGCTTGTTTTGCAAGAAGAATAAAGCAAATTAAGCTAAGGACAGCAATCAACAATTTTCCCCCAATAGCAAAATAATTTTACATTTGGCAAAAATGAAGCTGTAGGCAAGAAAGGAGTTTTGTCAAAGGCTTTTTAAAACCTGCTTCAAAAATGAAACATCTAGCCAGGCCTTAACATTTATTTTTAATATTTTGTACCATCCCAACACCTGCAAAACAGCTATATACCATTGCATAATGATACAGTTGTACCCTGTCACTTAAAGCTTAATGGTAGAGATTTTACAGAGCAGATCTATTTGATATTATCAGAATACCTCCATAGATTTACAAGTTACAAATTTGGGGAGGGAAAATTTCTTCCCTATTTACATGTAAAATTTCAAATTTGGTGTACCAGATTTAACCCTAGAGGATGAATAACATCTGAGACATTTGGTCTCGTCCAGGGAGCGTTATAAAAAGCTTTCAGCAGAGTGATGTCATGTGTCCTTACAAGGGAAATGAATCCAGGAACCAAACTGAATCTTGGCAGTTAAGGGGGACAAAATTTTCAAACATTTTATTTTGAAATGAAAGTTTTCTCTAGTTGCTGACAAAATGCTTAGGGAGAGTTAGTTTCCAGGCTTCCAGTAAGACTGCATACACGTCTCTATTATGAGATTAAGATGGGATTAACTAGTTTTTTCTTCATTTCTTTTTTAAATGTAATATCAATACCTCTTAACTAGATTGATGTTCTGCCTCTGAGAAAAACCAGATGTGGGTCTTAATCAAATACAATACATTTAAAGTTTATTTGAGCTTTTTAAAAAAAAATGAAGCATAACATGAAGCCATTGTTTTTTGTTTTTGTTTTTGTTTTGTTTTGTTTTGTTTTGAGATTTTGAGATGGAGTCTCGCTCTGTTACCCAGGCTGGAGTGCAGTGTCACAATCTCGACTCACTGCAACCTCCACCTTCCAGGTTCAAGCAATTCTCCTGCCTCAGCCTCAAGAGTAGCTGGGACTACAGGTGCCCGCCACCACGCCTGGCTAATTTTTGTATTTTAATAGAGACGGAGTTTCACCATGTTGGCCAGGCTGGTCTCGAACTCCTGACCTCTAGTGATCCACCTGCCTCGGCCTCCCAAAGTGCTGGGATTACAGGTGTGATGAAGTCATCTTTAAGCTTTAACAAATGTCTTGCTTAAAAAAAAAAAAAGTTGGAAAGTGGGAACTGGGGCAGTATAGGTTTTCCCTTCTTAAGCAGGTTGAGAAGAAGAAGAATGTGGCAACTGGCCATTTCCCCAGGAGCTTGTGGGAATTATCACTATCTTTTTTCATCTTTTCATCTTTTGTTTCTTTTGAGACGGAGTCTCCCTCTGTCACCCAGGTTGGAGAGCAGTGGTGTGATCTCGGCTCACTTCAAGCTCCGCCACCTGGGTTCTAGTGATTCTCCTGCATCAGCCTCCCAAATAGCTGGGATTGCAGGTGACTGCCACCACACACAGCTAATTTTTGGTAGAGGCAGGATTTCAGTATGTTGGCCAGGCTGGTCTCAAACTTCTGACCTCAAATGATCTGCCCACCTCTGCATCCCAAATTGCTGGGATTACTGGCGTGAGCCCCCTCGCCTGGCCTTTTTCATCCTTTTTTTTTTTTTTTTTTTTTTTTTTTTGAGACAGAGTTTCACTCTTGTTGCCCAGGCTGGAGTGCAATGGTGCAATCTCGGCTCACCACAACCTCTGCCTCCCAGGTTCAAGCAGTTCTCCTGCCTCAGCCTCTCAAGTAGCTGGGATTACAGGCATGCATCACCACGCTCAGCTAATTTTGTATTTTTAGTAGAGATGGGGTTTCTTCATGTTGGTCAGGCTGGTCTCAAACTCCAGACCTCAGGTGATCCACCCGCCTTGGCCAACCAATCTGCTGGGATTACAGGCGTGAGCCACCGCGCCTGGCCTTTTCATCCTTTTTTTTTTTCCTTTTTTTGAGATGTAATTTTGCTTTTGTTGCCCAGGCTGGAATGCAATGGCGTGATCTTGGCTCACTACAACCCCCACCTTCCGGGTTCAAGAGATTCTCCTGCCTCAGCCTCCAGAGTAGCTGAGATTACAGGTGCCCACCACCATGCCCGGCTAATTTTTGTATTTTTAGTAGAGACGGGGGTTTCTCCATGTTGGTCAGGCTGGTCTCGAACTCCTGACCTCAGGTGATCCACCCGCCTCGGCCTCCCAAAGTGCTGGGATCACAGGTGTGAGCCACTGTGCCCGGCACCTTTTCATCCTTTTAATGGGAGAAGGGAGGGATGGTTTGTCATCTTTGAAATCTGGCCCAGTGATATGCTTTTAGGTAAGCTGATAGGACTGATTTGTAGTCTTCTAGTATTAGTAGTTCAGAAGTGCAAATTTCAGTAAACTAACTTTGCCTTGCCCTAGCCTACATGACTCCCAGGACCATCCTAGAATTGATATGATCTGTGAAGAAGACTAGAGCAAATATTTGGAATATAGATATTGGAAAAATGGAAAAATAAAAAACGAGGAAGAGGGGAAAGAAGACAAAAAAGGTAAGAAGCAGGGAAAAGGGAGAATTAAGTCTTATACAAGTTTTATTTCAGCAATAAGAAAGCTGCAGATGTTGTTAGTGTTAAGCTTCATGTAATAGAAAGAAAGAGTAGAAAAGCATAAATTAAGCAGGTCAGGGTTCTAGCCCTGAAGGAACATTGCATAGTAATAGGGCTTTGCAATCAGTTGGATTGGATGGGAGTCCTAATTTTGTCACCATGAGATTTTGCTAAATTACTTAACTAAAAGTTTCTCCATATGTAAAATTGGGTTAACAGTTTACTTGCCAGGTTGTAAGGATTAAATAAGATAATGAATGTAATGCATTGTATCTCAAGTTTTTCTGTTGTAAGTGACATGAATAACAACTCAAACAATACAGAAAGGGGATTTTGTTGTTGTGTGATTGAAAAGACTAGGGGCCGGGTGTGGTGGCTCACGCCTGTAATTCCCAGCACCTTGGGAAGCCGAGGTGGGTGGATTACCTGAGGTCAGGAGTTCGAGACCAGCCTGACCAATATGGTGAAACCCCTTCTCTACTAAAAATACAAACATTAGCTGGGCATGGTGGCATGCGCCAGTAGTCCCAGCTACTCAGGAGGCTGAGACAGGAGAATTGCTTGAACCTGGGAGGTGGAGGTTGCAGTGAGCTGAGATCACGCCACTGTACTCCAGCACAGGTGACAGAGCAAGACTCTGTCTCAAGAAAAAAAAAAAAAGACTAGGGATGGCGCAGACTTTAAGGTCATCTTAGCCAACAGCTGTCCCGATGTCATCAGAACCTGGTTCCTCTCCTTTCAGTTCTGCTTTTGGTGGCCTTGGCTCTCCACCCATTAGGTCAAAAGATGTCTGTAATATTTATAGCTCTAAGCTTCTAGGTTCAAGTCCCAAAGGAAAAAGGGAGTAACATCTTTAGTAGCACAAATATTAGCTTTATTTAGCTCAGCTTAAATCACTGACTGTCACTGTGGCCAAGGCAGATGAGTGATTGGCTAGGGCCTGGACATATGCTTAACCCCAAAGACAGGGTGGAGTCTGCCTCAGCTGAATCACATGTGCTGAGAGTATGGGAAGGGCGGTCCTCCCAAAACAAGAAACAGGTGCTTTTACCATAACTAGGGTGGTGGATGCGGGGCACCCACTTAATTAAAATGCAGGAAGCCAGGGATGAGTGGGCTTTATCACTAGCCAGATTCAGGAAGATTGTCTTTCATCTGGGCTTCTGTCTATGTGCCAACCTCATTCTTTATAAGTTCACTGACAGCTCTGAGATCACACCTTCACAGTTCCTAATCCAAGGGGAAGGAGGTCCATTTAGAAAATTCCAAGGAAAGACTCTGATTGGCCTGCATCATACTAATCAGAAGGGTCCCACCAGACTACATGGAATGGGGAAGACGCAGTTGTCCAAAGGAGTGGAGGGTGCTTCTAGCAGAAGTAACAGGTGTGGGGTGGAATGCACGACGGTCAGAAACCACTGGTGTCCACTATACATGGGTAAATGCCAAGGGCATAATCAGAAATTGAAAATCAGAGAGGGCCGGGCGTAGTGGCTCATGCCTGTAATCCCAGCACTTTGGGAGGCTGAGATGGGCAGATCATTTGAGGTCAGGAGTTCGAAACCAGCCTGGCCAACATGGTGAAACCCTGTCTCTACTAAAAATACAAAAATTAGCCTGGCATGGTGGTGGGCGCCTGTAATCCCAGCTTTTTGGGAGGCTGAGGCAGGAGAATTGCTTGAACCCGGGAGACAGAGGTTGCAGTGAGCTGAGATCACACCACTGCACTCCACCATGGGAGGCAAAGCGAGACTCCGTCTCAAAAAAAAAAAAGAGAAAAAAAGAAAATTAGAGAAAGTATAAATTTTGACAAGTATAGGAGGGCAAAACAAAAAAAGGGACAAGTGAAGGGATAAACAAGTTGATACTGTAGGATACTACTCAGCAATAAAAAGGAATGAATTACTGATACATCCAACAACATGGATGAATCCCAAAATAATTACGCTGAGCGAAAGAAGTCAGACCAAATAAAGAGCACACACTGTATGGTTACATTGTTATAAAACTATAGAAAATGCAAAATATAGTGACAAAAAGCAGATCAGTGGTTGCCTGTGTCTGAAGAAGGGAAGGATTACCAAGGCGCATGACACTTGTGGAGGATGACAAATGTGTTCTCTTTTTTAAATCATTGTGGTGATGGCTTTATGGGTGTACACTTATCAAACTGGACACTTTAAAGATGTGCAGTTTATTGCATGTTAATCTTTCGGTTAAAAACAGAAAGAGAATGGGATCCAAAACACTGTGCTGTTTAATGGCCATTTGAAACCACTGTATTATCTGACCTGTCTGTACAAGCCTGAATTTTTCAAAACACACTGTTAAAAATGTGGGCTTTCTGTAAGTATATCTATATAGAAGTCACATCGCTTAACCCATAGTTGGTTTCTAGCCTCAGGGTCAAAGAAGAGGTTAATATAAGCTATAAGTATACTTTAAAAATACTTCTTTTTTCTTTTTTTTGAGATGGAGTCTTGCTCTGTCGCCAGGCTGGAGTATAGTGGCATGATCTTGGCTCACCACAACCTCCATCTCCGGGGTTCAAGTGATTCTCCTGCTTCAGCCTCCCAATTAGCTGGGATTACAGGCACGTGCCACCACACCCAGCTAATTTTTGTATTTTTAGTAGAGAGGGGGTTTCACCATGTTGGCCAGGATGGTCTCGATCTCTTGACCTCGTGATCTGCCTGCCTTGGCCTCCCAAAGTCTGGAATTATAGGCGTGAGCCACTGCGCGCCCAGCCAAAATATTTTTTTTGACATTTTATCTCTGTAGTGCAAGAGTGTAGCAGTGGGCAACAGTGAGTGAGGCGTGCCTGAAACCTACTTAACTCTATGTAAAATATTGACCTGGTAAATCCAGGATATCCTGTTAAAGCAGACTGTAATATGCAATAAATGTCAGTTCCCTTCTCCCTCTACTTCCTCAATGTGGAAATAATCTGAAAAGTTTGAGATATTGTTCCATCTCATGTGTGTATTTAATGTAAATTTGCCTCTTTTTATATTCCTAGTCTGAACTGTAGATCATCTGTGCAATTAAAGGTGCTTTCCTTCTAGGCAGGGAGAAAATTGCCATTAGGTAGGATATCTTATTTCTTTGGGCACCCTGATACTCAAAGTCATTAGATAAATCACAATTAAAATTGTTTTCTTGAGCTCATAACAATTACTCATCCTTAAATTCTAGTTTGATTGGAAGGCATCAGAAGTGCTGATGCCTTCTGCAAATGCAAAGACATTTCCAAAGACCACTTGTGTTGTTTACAAGATCATTTTCTTATAGTGTTAAGAAAAAACACTTAGTAATGTAATCTGTTTAAAAAGATTTTTGAAGAATCGTGGTGTGTAATGAAAAAATAAAAAATAAGATAAAATAAAATAAAAAGTTATTTTACATGTTGGGATCATTCACATCATTTTAAATGAACCCACTGATAAGGTAGTCAGTGCCTGTCTGTGCATCATGCTTTATTCCTTTACTACTTTCTATCAACTGCTAGGCATGATGGAATAAAATATTTCAGGCCTTTTTTATTTCACATAAATGTTCTAAAAAATTTTAGCATGATGCAGCAGAATATAGAATTCAAAGTGGGACAGGTGTTGTGGTTCATGCCTGTAATCCTAGCACTTTGGGAGGCCAAGGTGGTAGGATCGCTTGAGGCCAGAAGTTCCAGACTACCCTGGGTAACATGCCAAGACCTGGTCTCTAAAAAAGAAAAAAAATTAGCCTGATGCAGTGGCTTGCACCCGTAGTCCCAGCTACTCAGGACATTGAGGCGGGAGGATCACTTGAGCTCAGGAGTTCAAGATTACCATGAGCTATGATTGTGTCACTGCACTCCAGCCTGGACAGCAGAGTGAGATTCTGTCTCTAAAAAAAAAAAAAAAAAATAGTGAAAGGAACCTGAGCCTGGGTTTAGATCTGGGCTCCACCATTAATTGTAAGATATTGAGAAAGATAGTTAATCTTCCTGAGCTTCAGTTCCTTCATATGTAAAATGTTTGTATCTCATAGGGCCTTTCATGAGGATTCAACATGACACCAAATATAAAAGTGCCCACCAATAATTGGCACTTTACAGGCAATGAGTAAACGTTAGTGTTCTTCCTTCCACTCCCGCACACCATGACTGCAAAAGTCATGGAAAAAAATACTTTGAAGAAAATGCATCTAGGAAGGCAGAGTTTATAATGCTCAAAAGAAGTCATCTGTCTTCTATGGAGATGCACTACAATATTTAGCAAAAAGTAAAGCAGAAAAAGAAACATTTTTTGCTTGAAGATTTGCAGCCCCATTTAGGCCAAAAAAAAAAATCTATGTTTATTTCTTAGTGTATTATTCATCATAAGTATTACCTAACATTCGGAATATGAAGGGTCAGTAATAGCTACTGTGAACAAAATACATGTCGTTTGTGATCTGAAAAGATTCTCCTGTAAGGGGACCAAAGCACCTGAACCACAGATTCTTATTTACCTGCTTTCTATAACCTGTATTTACAAGTACAGCTATAAATCTAAATTTATTTTATCGGAGGAACTCAAACAATTTTAGGATTGGAAACTAGAAGTTATCTAACTGTCATATATACTTTTTTTGAGACAGAGTCTTGCTCTGTTGCCCAGGCTGGAGTGCGGTGGTGAATCTCAGCTCACTGCAACCTCCGCCTCCTGTGTTCAAGCTATTCTCCTGCCTCAGCCTCCCAAGTAGCTGAGACCATAGGTGTGCGCCACCAAGCCCAGTTAATTTTTGTATTTTTAGTACAGACAGGGTTTCACCATATTGGCGAGGCCGGTCTCGAACTCCTGACCTCAAGTGATCCACCCCCGGCTTGGCCTCCCCAAGTGCTGGGATTACAGGCATGAGCCACCGCACCCGGCCTCATATATACTTTTCAACTACCATTTCCTTCAAGAATTCCTTCAAACAATTTATATTTCATGTCTACAATGAACCAGGCACTGTAAATAATGGAAACATGACACAGGCAATGTCCCAGTCCTCAAAGGGCTTAGTGTCTATCGGGGTGAAGAAGGTCTGGCCATAACTTAAAAAGAGCTAATAGCCTAAGATAAAAGTTTGAATATGCTGCTCAGTAGAAGAGGGGGACTTCTAGCTGGGAGAAGTGGTAGGAGTAGGAAACCAAAGCAGGTTACATTGCTTAAGAGACAAGTTGATGAGCACTTACTGGTGCCTAATTAGGAATCTAGCATTGAGTGCTATAGAGAATGCAGCAGTACCTTAAGTGGCAATCCTTGGCCTCAATGAATGCATAATATGTAGTTTGACCAAATATCTTAGCACAAAGCAGAATTTGGAAGGAAGTCAACCTATTTCTATTCGTTCTATAGCTTCTGACATATTTACTTCAAATGTTAATTGTTTATTAACAGTAAAACTACATGCAAGGTTTTTTATTTGCTTACCTGAGAAACACTGCCTTTCTTTTTGTATCTGATTCCTGCCTTTTGCTGTTTTGCAAACTGAATATCTCAGCTTTTTCCTGCAGGTCACATACTTCCAAATCAGATTGAGACAAGTCTGTATGGTTCACACAAGTGACACCAAGCTAGCAAAATACAACAGGCTCAAACTATGCTGGAATTGAGCCTGAGGGGGACTGATCAGTTTTATTCAAAACAGAGAATGAACTGGAATGAGAAGAAGCTTTAAGTAGACTTTGAAAAGATGATAGAGGAAGAATGGAAGAAAAAGTCATTAGGTTTTTAAGAACTTTCCACTTTTCCCATATAATATAAAATATTAATTTATCTCTTCCCCTTTTATCTTTTTTTGGTAAACACTTTTAAAATCATACATTAGCAACATCATAAAAAAATTTAGAAATGAAAGAAAATTGCCCATAACTTTACAACTCCAACACAGTAACTTGTATCATTTTGGAGTATTTCTTTTTAGCCTTTATTTCATATTCATATATGCTTTAATAGTATACAGGTAGATTTGTATTATGTTCTTCATTTGTCATTATCGTAAATACTTGTTCCTGTTGCTATAGAGTCTGCATGATTATTCTATTTGTTGGCTGCCTAATACTCTGTGACCTGTGTTTTGTGAACCTTCCCTAACTCCCTGCAAAGTCTTTCCCAAAACGTGCCTAGGAGTCATTGGAGTGAAGGGGTGCCACTCTTGTTTGGGGTCCTGCCCAGTCAGCTACCATATAGATCATTTAATTCCCCTTCTCCATTGCTGGGTACCACAATGTTTTCATGCAAGCGGAGTCTGCACATGCTGCTTTGAATGAAGGGTTTTAATTTTTTTCTTTGGTGTTTGCACACATTGGATTTATTTCAGATTACTCCATTTATGTGAATAAACAAAAACGAGGGAAGAAAATTTTTTCTAAGATTTTTTTTCTATATGAAGGAAGTCAATTTCTAATGCATTAAGATGCAGTGTTTACCAAAATTGGGGATGGGGGGGTGTTTATGTGCATTTTTGTGAGAAATCAGATACAGGGATGGCTGCCTCTGCCACCATTTCCCTGGATACTATTAACTTCCCAGATGGGATGTCCATTTTAGTTTATTCTCCCAAACCACCCACCTTGATTTCACCCACTGCTGCTACAAACTAAAGGATTCCTGCTTACAGTGGGGAAATTGGACTGGGAACTAACAAAGGCCGTTGGGATTCCCAGCAGTAGGTACCTGTTTTTCCTAGACTACCTTTAAATTATACTCATTCATGAAAAGAAAGTTTTTGTCCACATGCTGGGCTTAATATGAATTTTTAAAAAATATTTGCTCCTGGGTTCCAACTCTGACTCTGTCACTTATAACCGTGTATTCCTACTTAGCAAGTCACTTAACTTCTTTGATCTCCATTTTCTCATCTGCAGATTGGGATAATACTTTCTGCTTTGCAAAGTGATTGTAAGGAGGCCAGAGGCAATGCTTATATAGTTCTCAGCATCACAGCACCATATTGATATTGATAGCTAATGTTGTTATTTATTGTTCATATACTAACAGCAGATGTAATTCAAATAGCCTACCCCATCTTCGAAATGGCAGACAGGAAATACCAAGAGTCAAAATCTCAACTCTCTTTTGTTGTTTTGATCGGCAATTAAAAAGAAATTCTTGGCTGGGCACGGTGGCTCACACCTATAATCCCAGCACTTTGGGAGGCTGAGGCGGGCAGATCACCTGAGGTCAGGAGTTCGAAACCAGCCTGGCCAACATAGTGAAACCCCATCTCTACAAAAACTGCAAAAAAAATTAGCCAGGCATGGTGGTGCATGCCTGTAATCCCAGCTATTCGGGAGGCTGAGGCAGGAGAATCCCTTGAACCCGGGAGGTGGAGGTTGCAGTGAACCGAGATTTCACCATTGCACTCCAGCCTGGGTGACAAAAGTGAGACTCTATCTCAAAAAAAAAAAAAAAGAAAGAAAGAAAAAAAGAAATTCTTGAACTCAAAAAAAAAAAAAAAATTCAGGCTATGAAAAGATATTTTATTGAATTAAATGTGAAAATGTATGACTTTTTTATACTTGAAAATTAAAAAAGCTTTAAATTAGCTTCCTGTACCTTTTTCTCTTTAAAGCAATGGGTTTATTTCAACATATAGCCCCAAGAACTCACCAAACTGTAGTATAAAGTATTATATCCAGAGTTCAGACAATGGCAAAGTGACACACCAGGAAAAGCCAGAGTTTGGGTTTTGAGAATAGAGACACACCCAGGTAAAGGCTGGTGTTGGTTATTTCAGATGCTTAAATCTGCTATTGGATTTGTAACTGGGACATCTGTCATTAAAGAAGAAAAACAAGCAGGAACAAGATGCGGTAGGTGGCAGATGGATTTTCCAAGCAGCTGGCAGTTAGCACAGGTTTGGACAGGTTGGAAGTCAAGGTTGAGAAAATCTGATAGTCACACATTTGGAACAAAAGACTTCACTTTCACATAATTTTGTTGTTTGTTTTATTGGTTGTTTTTTTGTTTTGTTTTGGTTTGGTTTGGTTTGATTTGTTCTGGTTCCAAATAACTTTCTTATGTCACTATGGGATGCCCCATTGAGGAAATGTAATGGCTACATATATAGTAGTTCATATAGTACATGTCTCTTACGCCTTAGACATAAGATAACTGGATTCAAATTCCAGTCCTAACACTTACTAGCTGTGTCACCTTAGGCAAATGTTTGATGTTCCAGGGGCTTCACTTATTCACTATAAAATAAAGTCGCCATTTATTTATTGAGACAGGGTCTCCATCTGTCTCCCAGGCTGGAGTGCAATGGCATGATAATAGTTCACTGCAGCCTCTGCCTCCCAGGCTCGAGGTATCCTCTTAACCTCTCAGGTAGCTGGTACAACAGGTGCATGCCATCAAGCCCAGCTAATTTTTGTATTTTTTGTAGAGATGGGGTCTCACTGTTTTGCCCAGGCTGGTCTCAAACTCCTGGACTCAAGCAATCCTCCAGCCTTGGCATCCCAAAGTGCTGGGATTATAGGTGTGAGTCATTGTGCCCAGCCTAAAGTGGGTGTTTAAACGAGCAATTCTTAACCCTGTTTATTGGTGGGAGAGGGTCATTCACCTCTTTTGACCTGATCAAAGATAAGAATCACTTTCTCACAAAAATGCACATAAACATCCCGCCTAATTTTGGCACATATTTTATCTTATTGTATTAGAAATTGACTTCTTCACACAGAAAAAAAATCCTATAAAAAATTTTCTTCTCTCATTCTTGTTTATTCACGTAAATGGAGTAATCTAAAATAAATTCAGTGAGCAAATACAAAAGAAAAAAATTAAAATTCTTCCCCCAAAGCAAATTTCAACATAAAGGCTGCCATTACTTGACTTGAGAAGAAATTACAGCATAGTCTTACA
This sequence comes from Homo sapiens, assembly GCF_000001405.40. NCBI lineage: Eukaryota > Metazoa > Chordata > Mammalia > Primates > Hominidae > Homo > Homo sapiens. The sequence continues at coordinate 96,415,919 of NC_000012.12, forward strand.
TGGTAATATGCTTGTCATTTGTGGTAAGTCTATCAATTTTGATAGCAACAAATGTAAGAAAGCCCAGATTAACAAAAGTATGTTGTCGCAAATGAATAGGTTTAAGTCCAGATGCACTGGATTTCTCTAGGACCCTTCAAGCTAATGCAGTTGCATCATTTCCTCACATCTACAAAGTTGGTCATCTTTGCAAAGTCTGCATCATCTATGTTGCATATGTCAGCAAGAAAATGGTTAAAATAACCATTCCAATTTTAAGGTCAAACCAGTTTAACCTTTAGAGGTATTCTGCAGTGTTTCCGGAAGTCTGTAGATTTCTACCTTGTGAGAAATCAACATGTTTCATCACTCTTAAACAGAGCCAGGAGAATATCCTCCGGCGTGGAAAAGTTGTTCATATTTGTCTGTTCCCAATCTCCTCTCCCTCAGTGGCAACTTAGCCAAAAGGACTCACAGATTTTTTTTTTTTTTCTGGTCGGTTTCCAAAATGGCAACCTCAGGATCTTATGCTGAACAAAAGCCTTACCTTATTCATGTATTCTGCTTTTATTTCTTGACAAAAATCTCTTTAAACACCAATGAGTCAAAGCCTGGGATCTGGAGAAATTGATGACGTCTGCAGCTATAGGTAAAACATCTTTCAGGACTATTGGCAGGGACTTTAATGCTTTTGCAAGATGCTATAGAAAGCCGTGACACATAGTGACGTGTTGAGCTTCTTTCTTCATCAAAGCAGAAAAACCAGATGCATTGCCAAACATTGCATGTGTACTATAGTCTCAAGGTTCTGTTTGCAATTAGAGTTTTTACTTGAGGAAGTAACTCTCTACCATTTTAAGTAATTCAGAACCTTTGAGGTTTCCAAAAGGGAATAACAAAATTTCTTTTTAAAAATTTCAACTCATATATGACAGATAAGCATTAGAAAATGACTGAACTGAGATATGGCACTTTTTTGCCAAACAGAAATGGCATAATTGCAAGTTACTCCATGTTCTAATTCAGAATAATAGATGAAATGTCAGTAAATTCAGAATAGAGTATTTTATTTGGCAAAGGGGCTAATTCCCTATTATTCCTTTATTCCAAGTCATAATTCAACTTGACCATTTAAAAAGTACGAGGCTTACATTACATGTGGCTTCCTGTGCCTAGCAATGCAATTAGAAGCCTTGTCAGATGTTTCAGGATGGGAAGTGTTAGGGCAAATACAAGCTTTTGGAAAATTCCAGCCTTTTCAGATTGAATCTTCTTCACAAAACAACAAACAACAATAGCAACAACAAAACCACCACACTGTCTCATGAATTCTTAGGATAATATAATATAAAACTGTGTTTTTGTTTTTGTTTTTTCAGTTCTTTCTCTGCTAGCTGCCATGAGCCAGAATCAAGGTGCTCAGTAAGCAATCTGGCTTTCACATTCATAACCTTCTAGCAAAGCATATCAAACCAAGGGATACCTAAGCCTAGAAGCACTTTTTGCTCTTTCAATTTTAGCTACATGCAATATAAGTAGATTATCTGTAAACATAATGCCACATATAATTTTAATTCTTACCAAGAAAGCACTATTGAACTATCATGATATATAGTTATTTATTCTGTATAATAACTGCCCATACCACCCTGCCATTTTTTTTTTTTTTTTTTTGAGTCTCCCTCTGTCACCCAGGCTGCAGTGCAATGGGGCGATCTCGGCTCACTGCAAACTCTGCCTCCCGAGTTCAAGCGATTCTCCTGCCTCAGCCTCCTGAGTAGCTGAGCATGTCAAACATGCTCTTGGGGTCAGATGAGGAGGCTTACAGTTGTAATTCAGAACTTTGGGAGGCTGAGGTGAGAGGATCATTTGAGCTCAGAAATTTAAGGCTGCAGTGAGCAATGATAGAGGCACTGCACTCCAGCCTGGGCAATAGAGCAAGATCCTGTCTCAAAACAAAACCAAAACCAAACACAAACAAAAAACAGCCTCTTGGGGTTTGAGCAGTATGAGACAATTTTTCTGAAACCTGATCATACACCTGCCACCACACCCAGCTAATTTTTTTTTGTATTTTCAGTAGAGATGGGGTTTCACCATATTGGTCAGGCTGGTCTCAAACTCCTGACCTCAAATGATCCGCCCGCCTTGACCTCCTGAAGTATTGGGATTACAGGTGTGAGCCACTGCACCCAGCCTGTAAATGCATCTTATTAAGTAAATTTGTTACATAAAAATATTTTCTTGGCTGGGTGTGGTTCAAATTAGCTGGGCATGGTGGCACATTCCTGTAGTCCCAGCTACTCGGGAGGCTGAGGTAGGAGAATCGCTTGAACCTGGGAGGTGGAGGTTGTGGTGAGCCAAGATCAGGCCATTGCACTCCAGCCTGGGCAACAAGAGCGAGACTCCATCTCAAAAAAAAAAATTCTTTATATAAGCAATTTTCAAAGGTACAGGTTTGACTGTACTGTGTTGGCTCATTCAAGTAAATATTTATTAAACACTTACCATGTGCTATCTGCACTAGAACAGTGAAGAAACATGGAAACATGCTTAAGATATGGAGTTAAGATTTCTGTCTGTCTATATCTATGTAACATATATATAACTATGGAAAAAGAATTGCTTGCAACAAAAACTTGGAAGGAAATATAACAAGATGCCTTTTTTTTGTTTGTTTTAATTGAGATGGAGTTTCTCTCTTATTCCCCAGGCTGGAATACAGTGGTGTGATCTCAGCTCACTGTAACTTCCGCCTCCTGAGTTCAAGCGGATTCTTCTGCCTCAGCCTACCAAGTAGCTGGATTACAGGCACCTGCTACTACACCTGGCTAATTTTTGTATTTTTCATAGAGACGGGGTTTCACCATGTTAGCCAGGCTGGTCTGGAACTCCTGACCTCAGGTGATCCACCCGCCTCAGCCTCCCAAAGTGCTGGGATTACAGGCGTGAGCCACCATGCCTGGCCAGACAAGATGCTTTTAATGGTTGTGTTAGGATAGCAAAATTAAGAGATATTGCTACTTTTTCTCTAATTTCCAATTTTAACATAATGCTATTGTATTATTTTTAGAATAAAAATGAATTACATATCAAAATTAAACAAAATATTGGAAAAAATGAAACACGCCAACCTCAGAAACATTGTATGCCACTTAGATATGAGAGCAGATACTATCAGAATACAGTTCTGTTAGCTATAATTAATTGGGCTAGCTGTTTGTTTGTCTTATTTAATCTTTTAACAACCTGTGAGACAGTTACTATTATTGCCTCAATTTTCTAGATGAGAAATTTAAGGCTCAGAAAGGATAAGCAGTTTACCCAATGTCACACAGCTAGAGGCTGAGCCAAAATTTGAACCTAGGTCTCCTTGACTCCAAACTCTGTGTTTTTAATTTCTATACCAATATGAAGGAATCAGAGATGTAGGTGAGCAAATAAGTATAAGCAAAGGAAGCAGGATTCTTAGCTGAAGGGTAAATATGGACTATTGGGGTGGGGTGGCATTAATTTAAAGAGAAATCAATAAAAGTGTCTTTGGAGAAGGTACCATGTTTCAAACAAATATAGTTCTCTTTGCTCTAAGTCTGTGTTCCCAGAGTCTTGTGATCTGTGACTTATGCTCCCTTGTGGGTGTTTATCACTAATGGAGTCTCTATTCACAATCCAAGTTCTTAAAACTTTCCAGTATAAACTGATGAATCTTTTTCATGTCAAACAGGCTCTTGGGGACAGGTGGGGAGGCTCACACTTATAATCTCAGAACTCTGGGAGGCCAAGGTGAGAGGATCACTTGAGCTCAGACATTTAAGACTGCAGTGAGCTATGATAGAGGCACTGCACTCCAGCTTGGGCAGTAGAGCAAGACCCTGTCTCAAAACAAAACAAACAAAAAACCCCAAAACCAAAAAACAAGCTCTTGGGGTTTGAGCAGTATGAGACGATTTTTCTGAAACCTGGTCATACCACCTCCTTTTCTGTTTATTTTTTTTCCCCCTTTCATTATTATTATTACTCTATAGAGACAGGGTCTCACTATGTTGCCCAGGCTGGTCTTGAACTCCTGGGCTCAACTGATCCTCCAGCCTCAGCCTCCCAAAGTGCTGGGATTACAGGCATAAGCCACCATACCCAGCCCCACCTCCTTTCTCAGTTCCTTGTTTTATTCACCTCGAAATCCTGCCAGCACAGCACTGCCAGGCTCCAATATTTACTAGCGGGCACCCAGCAGATGTCAGCTGAATGATGAAAACAACACATGAGGTTCTGAAAGACGCACCGAGTCTAAACACCCAGCAGACTGTTGAAAGTGGCCTGCAGGAGAATATTTAGACAAAGCCAATCAGCTACTTCCTCCACCCTTATCCCATCAGCACCGTAGAATTCGACAATGCACAAAACCATCTTGCAATTCCTGCATGGCAAACCTTTGCTTCGACAAGCACATGCCTGAATTGTGCAGGCCTTTAATGGTGTTGACTCATGCACATCTTTAGGAACCCTGTGCCTCTTTTTGTTTTTGCAACCATCTTATGCCATCATTTTCTTATCTTTAGAAAGCATATTTTTTCTGTTATTCTTAACTGTACTAAATTTTGTTCATTTGATTTCCGACAATTGTGATAATATGCTGCGGTCAATGTGCGCTTTTTCTATTAATTCCTTTCAAAATGAAAAAGAGAAGAGCTGAATTTGTCTTGGGAATAAATTCCAGTAATTCCTTTTTCTTTACAAATTGTCTCCATAAAAATGTAAAACCAATCTTGGCTGACAGAGAATGCAGAGTTATTTATGTGTTAAATGATATAAAAATCTCCCGATGAGCTCAACTTGAGTGTCTGAAAGAGCCAGGAACCCATGATCCAATTCCCAACTGGGAGCCAATCTTATATTAAAACATGGCAGGTATTATCTAAGAAATTTCACTGCAGTGCAGTTGGGAACTCTCTCTCTGAAATTTACTGCAGTGTGCTGGGCCACAATTTGAATTGGAAAATTTGACATATTCTTTATCCGGACTGATATTCCGATGAAAATTTAAATAAAATTGCTTACATCTTAGATTTGTATTAAAACTGCATTTAAAAATGCTTGGCTGGGCACAGTGGCTCACGCCTGTAATCCCAGCACTTCGGGAGGCTAAGGTGGGCACATCACTTGAGGTCAGGAGTTCAAGACAAGCCTGGCCAACATGGTGACACTGTTACCAGTAGAAGATGGCCAGGTTCTTGGCATCTTGAACAAAGAATTGGACAAAACGCACAAACAAAGCAAGGAAGGAACGAAGGGTGTTATTGAAAATGAAAGTACATTCTGCAGTGTGGAAGCAGGCCTGAGCGTGGGGCTCAAAGGCCCTGTTACAGAGTTCTTGTGAGTTTAAATACCCTCTACCTGGGGTATGCCCTATGTAAATGAAAGAGGATGAAGTAAAGTTATAAAGACATTTATTCGGTGTATGCCCTGTGGAGAGGATATTTCCTCTCATGGCTGAAGTGTGAATCGGCCTTATGTTCCCTGCCTCCAGACCCTATTTTCTTGCCTCAAAATCCTGTGTCTACTAAAAAAAATACAAAAATTAGCCGGGTGCGGTGGCACGCACCTATAATCCCAGCTATTTGAGAGGCTGCAGCAGGAGAATCGCTTGAACCCTGGAGACAGAGACTGCAGTGAGCTGAGATTGCGCCACTGCACTCCAGCCTGGGTGACAGAGCAAGACTCCGTCTCAAAAAAAAAAAAATACTCTATCATTTATGTCCTACTCGTTTATATCAAATAATCAAAGGGTTAGTGGACTTTGTAGGTTTCATAGTGACTACCAAATATCATGTGTGACTTGAGGCCAGGAGTTTGAGACCAGCCTGGCCAACATGGTGAAACCCCATCTCTACTAAAAATACACACACACAAAATTAGCTGGGTGTGGTGGCGTGTGCCTGTGGTCCCAGCTACTCAGGAGGCTGAGGCAGGAGAATCACTTGAATCTGGGAGGTGGAGGTTGCAATCAGCCGAGATCACACCACTGCATTCCAGCCTGGGCAACAGAGCAAGACTCTGTCTCAACAAACAAACAAACAAAAAACCAAATATAATGTGTGAGATAGGTGATCAACACCTACTGTAATTTGTTTTTAATTCAATTCAAATCATTTTACACAAATATACTTATGTACTGATAAGCATACATATATATATATATATATATATATATATATATATATATATATCTCCTCCTCTTTCTTGAAATTGTTTTAAGAGATAATACTCCACATGATAAGACATTAAAATACAGCATAGTGGGGAAGCCAGACTGCCTGGGTTCAATCCAGGCTCCAATATTTACTACTGTTTGATAAGTACTCTAAGCCTTAGCTTTTTTCATCTGTAGAACCCAATATTGTTGTGAAGATTAAATGAGATAACTCGTGTAAAGCACTTGGCACAGAGCCTGGCAAACTGTTTTTATTAGTCATTATAAGAAGAAAAGTCAGGATCTGGGAAAAGAAAAATACAAATATTATAACCATATGGATAAACATGTGGCTTAAATTGTTCAAATTAAACAGTTCAACTGACTTTGAGTTTTCTAGCACCGTAACAGTAAGGAGAAGCACAATCCATTATACAAATGTTGGATTCAGAAGGGAGAAAAAGCAAACCAGTTCAGAAGTGAAATTTTTGCTAGTACTGAATTCTGAAAAGAGCTCATATAGGACATATTGAATAATGTATTAAACAAGATTTTCAGTAACATTTTACAGAAGATATTTTAATGAATATGGCTATGACAGCAACCTTTGGTAAAAACTTAAAGTATACTATTAAAATGTAGCTCAATAAAATGTTCTATAATTGGCTAAGTAAATATGGTCCCAATTTACAGTATTATAGAATTCAAAAAATAGTTGCTGAACATTTGTTTTGTGCAAGATACTATTATAGGTGCTGTAAGGAAAACATAGATGAATTAGACTTAATGATTGCCCTCAAGAACTTATGAATTAGTAAGGTATGCAAACAGTGATAAGAAAATAACAAGGATTATGGCTGGGCACGGTAGCTCATGCCTGTAATACCAGCACTTTGGGAGGCCGAGGTGGGTGGATCACGAGGTCAAGAGTTCAAAACCAGCCTGACCAACATGGTGAAACCCTGTCTCTACTAAAAATACAAAAATTAGACGGGCGTGGTGGCGAGCGCCTGTAGTCCCAGCTACTCAGGAGGTTGAGGCAGGAGAATCGCTTGAATCCAGGAGGCGGAGGTTGCAGTGAGCCGAGATGGCGCCACTGTACTCCAGCCTGGGGGACAGAGTGAGACTCTGTCTCAAAAAAAAAAAAAAAAAAAAAAAAAAAGAAAGTAACAAGGATTATGATCAAGGCAAACGAATATTAACCTCAAAGGAAGATATGAAATACTCTGGAGGTTCAAAGGAATGAAAAGTCGGATTTCTCAAACATGTAAAACTCAACCCCACCTCGTGGCTTTTGCACATGTTCCCTGTGCTTGGAATGTGCCTCTCTCCATAAGTGCACATGTAACTCCTCGTCTCCCTTTAGCTCTCAGCTTACTTTGCTTCCCTGTAGAGGTCTTTCCTGACCATCTGCCACGATGAGACGTCCCTATATAGTTCTCTGTCTCAGCACCTTGTTTGTTTCATCAGGGCATTCATTACAATTTACAATTATTTCATTTATTTGTTGATCCACTTGCTTTTTATGTCTCCCCATGTAGAAACTCCATGAAGACAGGATACTATGCCTGTCTTATCTACCATTTTATCCTTGATGCCTGGAACAGTGCCTGAGACATAGTAGGCATTCAATACATGTTTGTTGAATGAACCAACCAACAAACAAAAGATCACATTTGATTGGTAGGATCAGGACAGGTTTGACGAGAGGAAGAAATCTTTAGAAACTGGGTAGGTTGTAGGTAGAGGTAGGGAGAGGAGAGATGTTCCAAATGGAAGGAAAAGCACATGCAAATGTCTGGAGCCCAGGAAATGCAAAGCATTTTCTGAGAGCAACAAACACTGTATATATTTGAACTTAAGATGCACGCTTTACCCTTCTGCTCCCCCCTTCCATTTTAACATTTTCAAATTTGTGTAATTGGTACATGTCTTATAACCACCATCTGAACGTACTATGGTTGTGTTATTTTTTCCTTGAAATGTTCATTAATTCATGGTGTGCCTTATAATCATCAGTTGCATTTTAGAAATAGGAACATAATTTAGTTTTACTGGAACATAGAATATGTCTACGGGAGCTGATAAAACTAGTACTGAAGAGCTCTGTTGAAAAGTTATGCTGTAGACATATAACATGGCCAGAGTAGTAAGTTTATACTTTTTTTTTGTTTTTGAGATGGAGTTTTGCTCTCGTCACCCAGGCTGGAGTGTAATGGCATGATCTCAGCTCACTGTAACCTCCGCCTCCTGGGTTCAAGCAATTCTCCTACCTCAGCCTCCCTAGTAGCTGGGATTACAGGCGCCTGCCATCACGCCCGGCTAATTCTTGTATTTTTAGTAGAGACAGGATTTGCCATGTTGGCCAGGCTGGTCTTGAACTCCTGACCTTAGGTGATCTGTCTGTCTCAGCCTCCCAAAGTTTTGGGATTACAGGCATGAGCCACCATGCCTGGCCAGTTTATACTAAATTTATCAGCAAGGAAAAGGAGTTCCTACTGAAACTGTAATGCTATATTGTCTCCCGAAATAGTTGTAAATCTTTCTCTAGAGAGAGATTTTTTCTTTGCCATTTGTATTTTTAAATTTAACCTCAAGACAAAAATGTCTGTGTACAAGGTACAGAAGATACATTTTTCCCTACTGGACTATAAGCTGTTTGAGGGCAAGAAGTGTATCTCTAGTAACTGTCACAATACCTGGTATGTAGTAGTGGCTTTATTCATGTTTATGGAATGTTAAATTCCTTAAGTAATTATTGAATGAGTGATAAATACTATTTTAAGATCTTTATGGCTGGGCGTGGTGGCTCATGCCTGTAATCCCAGTACTTTGGGAGGCTGAGGCGAGTGGATCACCTGAGGTCAGGAGTTCCAGACCAGCCTGGCCAACATGGTGAAAACTTGTCTCTACTAAAAATACAAAAAATAATTAGTTGGGCATGGTGGCGGGTGCCTGTAATCCCAGCTACTCGGGAGGCTAAGACAGGAGAATCTCTGGAACACGGGAGGTGGAGGTTGCGATGAGCCGGGATCGTGTCACTGCATTCCAGCCTGGGTGACAGAGTGAGACTCCATCTCAAAAGAAAAAAAAGATCTTTATGAGAAAAAAATTATTAGGATAAAAGAGATGAAGATAATGGTAAGAATTTTTGAAGCCAAATGGAATTAATCTAGGAAAAGGCCTTGGAGGGGGGAAGTATTTAGTGCCTGTTTGGAAGCAACGGAGAGAGGTGGGTTGGCAGAAAAGAGGAATCAGCACCCTACTAGGGAAAACAGGACATTTAAGGCCTGTTAAGATTTATGGAGAAAATGTTGAAATGTGCATAGGAGCCAGGAGTACGCCAGGGAGAATGAAATGCATCAAGTGAAGGCAGGGACAGGAGGAAGAGGTTAGCCATGGACCACAGACAGCCTGAATCTGTCATGACTCACTTTTACTGAAAGTCAGTTATGAGCCAGAAAATATGCATAAATATTTGCATGTGAATATTGATTGAAGTCACCCAGAATGTAGGCAGGATCCTGCTCACACTTGTCACCAGCAATCTCTATGACGCTAAACACAAGGGATATTTTCAGTCCTCCCTATCCCCGACCTTTCAGCTGCATCTGAATCTGCTGACCTCTCTTTACTTTTTCTAAAAATTGTGGTAAAACTACCTTTAAGAGTACAGTTTAATGACATTAAGTGCATTCACATTGCTGTGTGATCATCACCACCATTCATAAAACTCCTTTTGTTTCTCTTTTCCTTTTTTTCTTTTTTGAGAAAGGCTGTTGCTTTGCCCCCCAGGTTGGAGTGCAGTGGCATGATCATAATTCACTGCAGCCTTGATCTCCTGGGATCAAACGATCCTCCTGCTGCAGCCTCTCAAGTAGCTGGGACTACAGGTTCATGCCCCCACGCCTGGCCAGTTTTGGGGATTTTTTTATGGGGAGGGTGGGATTTAGTAGAGGTGAGGTCTTGCTCTATTGCCCAGGTTGATCTCGAACTCCTGAGCTCAAGCAATTCTCTCACCTTACCCTCCCAAAGTGCTGGGATTAGGGAACCACAGTGCCAGGCTCACAGAGCTCTTTTTAGCTTGCAAGACTGAAACTCTATACCCATTGCACAATAACTCCTGTTTACCATCTTCCCCCAGCCTCTGGCAACCACCCTTTACTTTCTGTCTCCATGGGTTTGACTACTCTAGGTACTTTATTTTTTTTATTTTTTATTTATTTATTTTTTTGAGACAGAGTTTCGCTCTTATTGCCCAGGATGGAGTACAATGGAGCCATCTCGGTTCACTGCAACTTCCGCCTCCTGGGTTCAACCGATTATCCTGCCTCAGTGTCCCAAGTAGCTGGGATTATAGGCATCTGCCACCACGCCAGGCTAATTTTTGTGTTTTCAGTAGGGACGGGGTTTCACCATGTTGGCCAGGCTGGTCTCGAACTCCTGACCTCAGGTGATGCATCCACCTCAGCCTCCCAAAGTGAGAGGATTACAGACATGAGACACCACACCTTGCCTACTCTAGGTACTTTATATAAGTGGAACCATACAGTATTTGTCACTTTTGTGACTGACTTATTTCACTTAGCATAATGTCTTCAAGCTCATCTCATATTGTAGCATGTGTTAGAATTTCCTTCCTTTTTAAGGCTAAATAATATTGTATTGTGGCCAGGCGTGGTGGCTCATGCCTGTAATCCCAGCACTTTGGGAGGCCGAGGCAGGTGTATCACCTGAGGTCAGTAGTTCCAGACCAGCCTGGCTAACATGGCGAAACCCCATCTCTACTATAAATACAAAAATTAGCCGGGCATGGGGCCTGTAATCCCAGCTACTCGGGAGGCTGAGGCAGGAGAATCACTTGAACCTGGGAGGTGGAGGTTACAGTGAACTGAGATTGCGCCACTGCACTCCAGCCTGGGTGACAAGAGCAAAACTCTGTCTCAAAAGCAAAAGAAAACGAGAAAAAATAATATTGTATTGTGTGTATAGGCCGCATTTTGCTTATGCCTCTTTACTGTTCGAGACATCTTTTCCCTTGGCTTCCACAACACCACATTTTTCTGATTTTCCTCCTACCATCCTCCTAGCATCTATTTTTCTGCCTCCTTTTAGGCTCAGCCCTCACCACTTGGCCCCTCAACGTTAGAGTTTCCTAGTTCTTAGTCCCAATTCCCGGCTACCCTCTTACCCTAGACAATTTTGCTCCAGATCATGGCTTCCCTTCCTGTTTGTTTGCCAGTGTCTCCATGTGTGCAGCTCCAGGGGGTTGGGGGGCAGGGTGCGCAGAGAGAGCAGTGAGGAAGGAAGGGGACATCTGCCTCCTCAGTCAGCTCAGCCGAGTCAGTGCTGACGAACAAAGGGGCAGCAAATGTCTCAGCCAGAATGCTCTCACATCTGGATCAGGAGCTTAAGTGTGATTTGAAAGGCGTGAGGCCAAAATGATGCTGGAGGAAGCTGACTCGTGCTGTGATTTCACAGAAAAGAATGCAGTTAGAATAAGATCATGGGAGACAGCTGTGATGGCAGTACAGCCACAAGATGACTGGTCTCCAGGCTGACTCTGACAATAGGAATGGATGTGAAGAAAAAACATGTTTATAAGAAAAAATGGACATAAATCGGTGGTTGAAAATGTGGGAATGAAAGAAATGATAAACAGTGAAGTTAATGCTTTCTCTAAGGCTTTTGCCTATAAATGCATCATGGAATCTTTTTGACCATGCTTGAGGTCAAAAGGGTTTCTCTTCTGAAAATTAAAGAAAAGACCCAGTTAGACCATTAAGATGCTTTCCTATCCATTTCTCCTTTCCCTTTTTTACTTCACTCTCTAGGGCTAGAATCTGCAAAATTGACAGAAGGATAGATAAGACAGGCTGATAATTGTGTCCTCAATTGTATATGCTTTCCTCCAATGTTTTTCTTTAATACTGGCATTTTTTTTTGTTAACAGCCTCACTCTTAACTCTGCCTCTCCCATCCTTCAAGGGCTATAACAGCCTTGTTATATCCCTCCATAATTATCATTGACAGGCTTCTCGGTCTTAAAAAAACTGAGACAAGAACATGTGTTTTCCTTTGGACTGAGTTTTGAAAATACAAATGATCCAAACAGGCATGGTGGCTCATGCCTGTAATCCCAACACTTTGGGAGGTTGAGGCAGGAGGATCACTTGAGGTCAGGTGTGGTGGTGTGTACCTGTGGTCCCAGATACTTGGGAGGCTGAGGTGGGCAAACTGCTTGAGCCTAGGCCTGGTTGACAGAAAGAGACCCTACCTCAAAAAAACAAAAAACAAAAAAGTGAAATCGAAGAGTAATTTTTAGCCAGCGGCCTTTGGAACCAAAGTGTTTGGCTTTATTCTTTTGTGGGCCTCTTCTCTTTCCTTTCTAGATTAGGAGATCTTGATCAATGCAGTGGGATGACATTAGGAGAAGGAAAAATGACTTCAGGAGTCATAAGTATAAAAACTGGCTTCAGATTGAGAATCAACTGACTATTCAAATTGTAAAAGAGCAGAAGTGTTTTGGATAGTCTCCACAAAAATACAAAAATTAGCTGGGCCTGGTGGCACACGCCTGTAATCCCAGCCTGAGGCAGGAGAATCGCTTAAACCCAGGAAGTGGAGGTCACAGTGAGCCAAGATTGCACCACTGCACTCCAGCCTGGACGACAGAGCAAGACTCGGTCTCAAATAAATAAATAAATAAATAAATAAATAAATAAATAAATAAATAAAGGATGTTATGCAATGTGATATGTAGAATACATAATCTTGTCCTAAAAATATAGTATAACAAATGTAGAATAACCAATGGTGTTAGGTTGTTTGTTTTTCACTTTACTCCTTTTTCTTGTGACAGCATTTCCAGTTTGCCTTGGAGCACTATTGGAGACGATCCCGGTGCTCCAAGAACCAAGGTACTTCGTTAGCCAAATAAGAGGTGAACACACAGCCAAAGCCAGACCAATCAGATGCTTGTCCCCAGGAGTTTGAATCTCAAGCAGAGAAACAAAAAGACTGAAAAAGATTACTTCTTGCTATTTGGATTCCCAAGGCCACCCTGGTCCTTGTCTTTTCTGAGCCTGGTTATTGTGCTGGGCTTTCCATTCTGTAAGCTACTAGCACACAGAGTGGAAAGTTTCTTTTCTGCTACTTTATCTGGTTTCCTTTACTTCCAATCAGCATTTTTATCTTGAATGCTTACGAGTGCCAGGCACTGTTATGAGGTCTTCGTGTAGATGACATCATTTGAGCTTCACACCAATTCTTCAATTATTATTTGGCTCACACCTGTAATCTCGGCACTTTCAGAGGCTGAGGCAGCAGGATTGCTTGAGTCCAGGAGTTCAAGACCAGCCTTGTCAACATAGTGAGACCCTGTCTATATAAAAATTAAAAATTATTTGACATTTGGCAGATGAAGATGAGCCTCAGAAAAAATAAGCGCCTTATCAAAGCTTACACAGCTAGCAAGACGTGGAATTGATGTTCACACTTAGGTAGTATGACTCCAGGTCTTTAGCGTCTAATCTCTGGGAAAGAATTCTTTAAGCAAACTCATTAAGTGGGTCTTTTGGTAATGAGGTGGTGAGGAGGGGACCCTGGAGGCTGGATTGGAGAAATGGAAACAAAAGGGAATTGTTCCCCATAGTAAATTAATAGAATTTTGGAGTTATTCTCTGATGTTCAGAAAAAGTAGGTTTAGAGATCCTGGGACTCAAAGAAGGCTACAGATGTTAAAAGGAGAGGAAGTCCTTGCAATGGCGACAGGCGGGAGTCACCGGAGAGAGAGAAGCCAAAGTGTCCATTAGGATATTTTCTGCTGTAAATAACAGAAAACTGAACTCAGAATGGGCATAAATAATACTATATTCAAAAAGTCCAAAGGTAGGAATGTCCAAGATTAAATATGTTGATGGGCCAACAATAAAGGTGAGGTTTTTTTTCCCCCAACTTTGCCTTTTTCACTCTGTGTTTTGTTTTCTCTGTCCTTAAGGAATGCCCCCTTAGTTATGAGAAGACTACAGCAGTTCCATGTATAACCTTTGGACAGGACAATTTTAGAGGAAGAGGTGCTCTCTGTTTATCTCTCTTGAAAGGAGGAAACCTTTTTCAGAAGCAGCCTGAAAGATTTCTTTTTACATTTAATTGGCCAGAATGCACCACATGCCAATAGCTAAACCAGTCACTGCCAAACATACTAATAAGAACAATTGGAATGGAGCTCTCAGCAGTAGATGTGGAAGAGGTTGGGATACTGAATAAAATCAGCGTTCAGCAAAGAGATGCTGGGTGCAGTGGCTCATGCTTAATCTCAGCACTTTGGGAGGCTAACATGGAAAGATTGCTTGAGCCCAGGAGTTCGAGACCAGCCTGGGCAACATAGTGAGATCTAAATAAATAAATAAATAAATAAATAAAAATTAGCTGAGCATGGTGGCAGGCACCTGTAGTCCTAGCTACTTGGGAGGCTGAGGGAGGAGGGTCACTTGAACCCAGGAGTTTGAGGCTGCAATGAGCTATGACTGCATCAGTGCACTCTAGCCTGGGCAATAGAGTGAGACCCTGTCTCACAAAAAAAAGAAGGAAAGAGAAATAGAGTGAACATTGAATAGGCAACTAATTTGTTGCCTGCAGAGTAAGAGACTTAGGATGCAGATGCAGAGGCACATGGGGTGAGATATAGAGGAAGGTGCATGGAACTTCCATACCCTTCATGAGTATACCACCAACCAGGACCCCTCCACGTGTTCAGCTATCTGGAAGCTCACTGAACTCTGTCCTTTTGTTTTTGTTTTTGGACACAGTTTCACTCTTGTCGCCCAGACTGGAGTGCAGTGGTACAATCTCAACTCATCGCAACCTTCGCCTCCAGGGTTCAAGCAATTCTCCTGCCTCAGCCTCCAGAGTAGCTGGAGTTACAGGCACCTGCCACCATGCCTGGCTAATTTTTTGTATTTTTAGTGGAGATGGGGTTTCACCATGTTGGCCAGGCTGCTCTCAAACTCCTGACCTCAAGTGATCCGTCCGCCTTGGCCTACCAGAGTGCTGGGATTACAGGCATGAGCAACCACGCCTGGCCCTCCTTTTGGGTTTTTATGGAACCTTTATGACGTCAGCATTCCTTTCCCCAGGGTATGGGCAGGATCCTCTCTGGGAAGAGTCCTAAGACCCACAGTCAGAAAGGTGGGGGTGGGGCAGGAAGAATTAGAGTCCTGCCTTGAAGCAGGGGAGAAGAAGGCAGGAGGTCAGAGGCCTGCCCCCGAGGCCTAACACACCCCACATTACACCAAAAGATTGTAATGGCTAGGCTCGGTGGCTCCTGTCTGTAATCCCAGCACTTTGGGAGGCCCAGGACTGGGGATCACCTGAGGTCAGAGTTTGAGATCCGCCTGGCCAACATGGTGAACCCCTGTCTCTACTAAAAATACAAAATTAGCCAGGTATGGTGGCACATGCCTGTAGTCCCAGCTACTCGGGAGGCTGAGGCAGGAGAATCGCTTGAACCCAGGAGGCAGAGGTTGTGTGGTAGGCCTGGTCTCACAGATGCAGACCTCTGTAACAACTGTTTCAGCACTGACTAAGTAGTTAAGTTAAATATTAAAAGCTGAAAGAGCCAGGATCCTTATACAAAGGCTGGAATGTAACAAAAGCCCACCAAGAGTTTTGGCTAGCTTTTCCTGGGCCTTGAAGCATGACAAAATAATGAAGCAATTCTTAACAGGACCCTTTTAGGATTAAACAAGTTTTATTGGGGGTCTGAAGAAACTCCCCAGGCCTCCACAAACAAGTTTATTGGGGCCTAAAGGAACTCCCCAAACCTTTATGATTTAGCAGGATACAAATAAGGGCAATTGGCTGGGCACAGTGGCTCACGCCTGTAATCCCAACACTTTGGGAGGCCAAGGCAGGCAGATCACAAGGTCAGGAGATCCAGACCATCCTGGCCAACATGGTGGAACCCCATCTCTACTAAGAATACAAAAATTAGCCGGACGTGGTGGTGCGTGCCTGTAATTCCAGCTACTCAGGAGGTTGAGGCAGGAGAATTGCTTGAACCCAGGACAGGGAGTGTTGCAGTCAGCCGAGATTGTGCCACTGCATTCCAGCCTGGGCTACAGGGCAAGACTCCATCTCGGAAAAAAAAAAATACAAAAATTAGCCGGGCATGGTGGCGCATGCCTGTAATCCCAGCTACTTGGGAGGCTGAGGCAGGAGAATCACTTGAATCCAGGAGGTGGAGGTTGCAGTGAGCCGAGATTGCGCCACTGCACTCCAGCCCGGGTGACAAGAGTGAAACTCTGTCTCAAAGAAAAAAGAGAGATAAAGGTCATCACCCCAGCACCTAGACCCATTTAGACTAAGTAAACTTACTAAGGCTTCAGAAAAAGATCTACAGGACTCAGACCCTAGTTACAGATTAAAAGAAGTTCATCACTTATGTCTTTAGATGAATATAGCTTAGAAAGTATATAAGCTTTGGAAAACTTTGTAATTTGGAGTTGGTCTGGCGATAATTTCCAGACCTTCTCCCTGTAACCAGTTACAGAAGTAAAAGTTCTCTTCCTCCCCAGTTCATCTGCATCTCGTTATTGGGCCATGAAAAATAGAAGCCTGGCCCTCAGTTTGGTCTGGTAACAGTTGCAGTGAGCTGAGATCTTGCCACTGCACTCCAGCCTGGGCAACAAGAGTGAAACTCCATCTCAAAAAAAAAAAAAAAAAAAAACAAAGACTATAACAAGGGCTGTGGGAATTCTGAGCCAGGAACCGTGGACAAAAACCTATATATATATCATAACACCACAGGCCACTCCCTGGTTTTCACCCATGGATCACTTACATCAAATAATATACACAATCATTAATAGTTAATGAATAGTTATTAATACAATTATTACTAGTAATAATGCATTAATAATTAACACAATGTGTTTCAGTCCATCACAGTGTGTATCTCCCAGGATGAGGCCACTTAGGTTTTCAGGTTTCATTTAGATCTTGTCAGGTTCCAAAAGCAGGAGTGGCCTCCATAGATATGCTGCCTCACCCTTTCAGGCATCTGGGGAATTGAGGTAAGTGGCTGGGCATGGTGGCTCACACCTGTAATCCCAGAACTTTGGGAGGCCTAGGTGGGCGGATCACTTGAGGTCAGGAGTTTGAGACCAGCCTAGCCAACATGGTGAAACCCCATCTCTACTAAAAAAAAATACATAAATTAGCTGGTTGTGGTGGCAGGCGCCTGTAATCCCAGCTACTTGGGAGGCTGAAGCAGAATTGCTTGAACCCATGAGGCGAAAGTTGCAGTGAGCCAAGATTGTGCCACTGCACTCCAGACTGGGCGACAGAGCAAGACTTTGTCTTTAAAAAAAAAAAAAAAAAAAAAAAAAAAAAGGCCGGGCACTGTGGCTCACGCCTGTAATCCCAGCACTTTGGGAGGGTAAGGCTGGCAATCACCTGAGGTCAGGAGTTAGAGACCAGCCTGAGTGAAACCCCATCTCCACTAAAAATACGAAATTAGCCGGGCATGGTGGCACATGCCTGTAATCCCAACTGCTCGGGAGGCTGAGGCAGGAGAATTGCTTAAACCCAGGAGGCGGAGGTTGCGGTGAGTTGAGACTATGCCATTGCACTCCAGCCTGGGCAACAAGAGCGAGACTCCATCTCAAAAAAAAAAAAAAAAAAGAGGAAAGCGAGTGTAGGAGGCAAGATGGTGAAAGAGGATCAATAATTACACTGGGAGTAGAGGTTTGGAGGAAGTGTCAGTACATTCAAGTGTTCCCTTAGGAGAACCAAGTTATGTGCAGTAGCTTCATTTATTTTATTTTATTTATTTATTTATTTTTTAAGATGGAGTCTCGCTCTTGTTGCCTGGGCTGGAGGGCAGTGGTGCGATCTGGGCTCACTGCAACCTCCACTTTCCAGACTCAAGCAATTCTCCTGCCTCAGCTTCCTGAGTAGCTGGGATTACAGGCACGTGCCACCATGCCCAACTAATTTTTATATTTTTAGTAGAGACGGGGTTTCACCATGTTGCCCAGGCTGGTCTTGAACTCCTGACCTCAAGTGATTCGCCCCTCTTTGGCCTCCAAAAGTGTTGGGATTACAGGCATGAGCCGCCGTGCCCAGCTGGCTTTATTTATTTTATTAAACACTAAAGAGAAGGGCAGAGGTCTTGGAAACATTTCGGTTACACAGACACACTTACAAAGAAGACTAACAGTGTAATAGTGCAAGCCAAAGATGCGTAATGAGTGATGCAGATCATAAGTGCAGTAGAGACTTGAAAGGAAGGGAAACCACAGTGGATTACAGTGGTCAGGAAGGGCCTCACGTGACATGTGAGACTTGAACTTTGAAGAATGTTTAAGAGTCAGTTAAGGGAAGACAAGAGAGCATTCTTGATAGATAGAGAGATGGATAGAGAAAATGGAAAGAGCAAAGTTGTGGAATGAAGAACATGCCAAGAATACAAGAGTGCCAATTAGGATTAATACAGTGGTCTCTTAAAATGATAACGCTATGAACCAGGAAGTTGGTTCTGTTTTAGCAATTTAAAAATCTGGTTGTGAAATTATAAAGGTGGAGCTAGTTACAAATTACTGTTTCAAAAATAATTATAGCCTGGGCACGAGGGCTTATTCCTGAAATGCCAGCACTTTGGGAAGCTGAGGTGGGAAGATTACTTGAGGACAGGAGTTCAAGACCAGCCTGGACAACATGGCAAGACCCCATCTCTACAAAAAATTAAAAAATTAGCCTGGTGTGGTGGTGTGCACCTGTGGTGCTACTTGGGAGGCTGAGGTGGGAGGATTTCTTGAGCCCAGGAGGACGAGGCTGCAGTGAGCTGTGTTCATGCCACTGCACTCTAGCCTGGGCAACAGAATAAGACCCTGTCTCTTAAACAAAATTATAACAAATACAGACTTAAATTCAAAATAATATAGTTGGTCAAATTGTTAATTTATTAAAAACTATAGCACTGGTCATTTCTATAACCACAAATATCAACATAAAGTTACAAGATTATACAAACATGCTAGTCATGACTAGTTGACTAAAATATATAAGGTACAAGGTAAAGGACAAAATAGAAAGTATCCATGTCTATGAATAAAGGGTTATTAAAAATTATTGTGGCCAGGTGCGGTGGCTCATGCCTGTAATCCCAGCACTTTGGGAGGCCGAGACAAGAAGATCACGAAGTGAAGAGATCAAGACCATCCTGGCCAACATGGTGAAACCCTCTCTACTAAAATTACAAAAATTAGCTGGGTGTGGTGGCACATGCCTATAGTCTCAGCTACTCAGGTGGCTGAGGCAGGAGAATCACTGGAACCCAGGAGACGGAGGTTGCAGTGAGCCGAGATTGCGCCACTGCACTCCAGCCTGGGCGACAGAGAGAGATTCCATCTAACAAAAAAAAAATTGCATATAAGATATTCTAAGAACTACGTGAGACAAAAAGTTATGGCATAGAACTGTCCTTAAAGAACTAAAATCTAGAGATGTCTGTGTGTGGCAAGATGGTAGGGCGAAAGGCTAAGGAATGTAGACTTTTTTTTTCTTTTTTTGAGATGGAGTCTTGCTTTGTCACATAGGTTGGAGTGCACTGGCTTGATCTCGGCTCACTGCAACCTGTGCCTCCCGGGTTCAAGCAATTCTCCTGCCTTAGCCTCCCGAGTAGCTGGGATTACAGGCGTGTGCCACCAGGCCCAGCTAATTTTTATATTTTTAGTAGAGGTGGAGTTTTGCTATGTTGCCTAGGCTGGTCTCGAACTCCTGGCCTCAAGTGATCAGCCCACCTCGGCCCCCAAAAATGCTGGGATTACAGGCGTAAGCCACCATGCCCAGCCCCACAGTGATTCTTTAAAATGTCAGTATCACCCCTGTTTCACACAGCTGGAAGTACATGGAGGAAGGCCTCCAGGAACTCAGCTGACACGCTCCCAGCACCTCCTCAACATTTTCCCAGCCTGTTCCCCATACTGCATACTGAGATGCTCCTGGTCCTCTCTTCCTACTTACTGTTCTACCTGGCCCTTTGGACTTCACCTTGCCACTACACCCCTAGTTATCAGTTTGCTGTCTACACATATAGGATGTTCTTTCAGCTACAAGAAACAGAAATCCCAACAAATAGTGGCCTAAGAGCATAATAATATTTGTTGTTCACTAAACAAGAGGCCAGTCTCAAGGTTAGTTTGGTAATTCAACAATGTAATCAAGAAGGCAGAGTCCACCATGCCTCCTCAGTAAGTCAGCAATGTCTGTCTTTGCGAAGCTCTTGCCTTGAGATCCCCTCATACAACGGCATTCAAGCTGGAATCGAGGGAAGAGAGGCCAAAGGCTTCCACTTCCCTAGCGTTTCTTTTATCAGGAAATAAATTTTTTCCTCATACCCTCAATTGACTACTTCTGACAATGCACTGGTTAAGTCTGGGCCATGTGCCCAGTCTCCTACCAATACTGGCAAAGGAGAATAAGTCCACTACGATTGGCTTAGACCAATCATCACTCATCCCATGGGCTGGGAATGTTTTCCTGAACAAAACCGGGGCTCTGTTAGCAGGAAAGAAGGGGAATGGCAGTGGAGTAAGCAATTCAGAGTATCTGTGATGGACTGTGAGTACAAAACCTTATCCTGTCCTGTGTAATCACTTCTCAATTAGCCCTTGGAAGCTCCACCTCACTGCCTTCAGCCCCTATCTTCCCTACTACTCTTTTGGAAAGTTCTTGGTTTGATTTGTCCTGCATCCTTACGCAAGTCATAGGTAAGTCTATAAGATGTAGACAGTAGTCCTTACAAAAGAATTGCCCAGAGAGGGCCCTTGCTTGGATCCGCAAGGCAAGGCTGACTGATGCTATGAGAGATATCAGTGAGGTCTTTTGAACCTCTGTCACTAGTTTTATCTTATATGTACAGATTTGAGAGTTTAGCTCTTGCTTTTAATCCCTAGAGTCTGTCAAGTGTTGGATTTTATGGGGGTGGATAATATAAACATCAAGGATTAGGGGAGAACAGTTTGAGGAGGAGCTGAAAGAAAAATAGAGAATGCCAGTGTCTGCAGATGACAGGGCCTTTGTAAGACTCTCTCATTATCATCTCTTTTCTGTGGTTCATTTCACATTAAAATTTCCATCAGCATTTTGGCATGGATAAACCTTGGCAATGTCTCCTTGAAAAAATAATTATCATGTATTTTTCTTGTTAAAGCTGAGCAGATTTTTTAAAATGGTTACAGCTCTGGAGTATTCATTAGTAAAATCTACTGGGCTTTTAGATAGTAGGTATCATTAGTGTTCTGTAATGTAGCTAATTTCATTCACTGACCTCTCTTTGCGTCTATGCTTTTATAGTTCTTTATTCCAATAGTTCTAATTATCATAAATATAAAAGGGGTACACATGTCCATTTTTCTTTCTTTCTTTCTTTCTTTTTTTTTTTGAGACGCAGTTTTGCTCTTGTTGCCCATGCTGGAGTGCAATGGCATGATCTCGGCTCACTGCAACCTTTGCCTCCAGGGTACAGGTGATTCTCCTGCCTCAGCCTCCCAAGTACCTGGGATTACAGGTGCCTGCCACTATGCCTGGCTAATTTTTTGTATTTTTAGTAGAGAATGGGTTTCACCGTGTTGGCCAGGCTGGTCCTGACTTCAGGTGATGCACCCACCTCGGCCTCCCAAAGTGCTGGGATTACAGGCATGAGCCACTGTGCCTGGTCTACATGTCCATTTTTTAAGAAGTTTTTGCTTCATTCCACCCCCGATGCTGTGTTGCTCTGTCCTTATAAGCATACCCGTTAACCTCGATGTCCTAGGACTTATCTATTTATTTATTTAATTTGAGACAGGTCTCGCTCTGTCATCCAGGCTGGAGTGCAGTGGTGTGATCATGCCTCACTGCAGCCTCATCCTCCTGGCCTCAAGCAATCCTCCCACCTTGCCTCTGGCATAGCTGGGACTGCAGGCATGAGCCACCG
Source organism: Homo sapiens (assembly GCF_000001405.40). NCBI lineage: Eukaryota > Metazoa > Chordata > Mammalia > Primates > Hominidae > Homo > Homo sapiens. The sequence continues at coordinate 96,438,070 of NC_000012.12, forward strand.
TGCCCAGCTAACTTCTTTTATTTTTAGTAGAGACAGCTATGTTGTCAGGAGCTGATCTTGAACTCCCAGGCTCAAGCAGTCTTGCCACCTTGGCCTCCCAAAGTGCTGGGATTGCAGATGTGCCACAGCCCTGGTCCTAAGATTTATTTTTGATTTGAGAGGAACAAGAGGGCTCGTGACTAATAGGGGCCAACTCTTTCTGGTCCAGTGGGCTTCTTCCTCTATTTTCCCTAAAATAGATTGTTTATACATTATCCTAAGCCATGTTTACGCCAGGGATTTTCATGTATGCCAAATAACATTTATAAGAAAATTTAAGTTCAGTTGAGAACTGCAAATAAAAAGCTTTTAGTTAAAAAGAAAAAAGCTTTTAGTTAAAAAGAAAAAAGCTTTTAGTTAAAAGGTGACCTCATCTCTCATTCTGCCCATCTTTCATACCCCTTTCCTGTGTATACACACACGTGCCCTCCCTGCTCTCTGGCCACCCTGGATTCATCATCATTCAGAGGAAAAAGATCTCTGACCTGCATGCCTTTGCTTATTTTATTCCCTTTGCATATGGGGCCATCTCCACCTCTCTGCCTAGTTATTCCGTCTTATCCTTCAAGGCCCAGTTCAAAAGCCATCTCAGTGTGAGACCTTTCTAGAACTCACTTCCATCCTGCTTCCTAGGGATATTTCAGCCCTTCCTATTCTCTGTATTCCTATAATAGTTTGAAATAGCTTTCCTCTAAAGCTTATAATGTCTTAGTCCCTGCCTGTCCTAGCCCTGCCTACTTTTGGCTAGAGTCGACCCTCACCCTGGAGAGTTCTTAGAACCAGGGCACTACCTTTCATCTCCCTGTTAGCCCTGATACTGCTTAGAGTGCCAGCTGCAGTGCCCCTGGCCATCAGATGGAGTATTTGGGTACCAATATGAGCCCTCATCATCTAAGTGCATCATGCCTCTTTTGGCATTACAATTGGGACAGCTGGGTACTCTTTAGCCTGATTTGCTCTCTTCTCTCCATTGTCTTTATTGCCAGACTGTGAACTCACTGAGTGTGTGAACTAGACTTTACAACTTGGAGATGACAGAAATTTCAATATCTCAAGCAGTGATAGTGAGAAGTGTGTTAAAATCCTCAGTTTACTTTTCTTTGAGTCGTGGTGCACAGGGTTTTAGAAACAGAGGCTCCAAATTTAGCCAGGAGTGGTGGGGGGCACCTGTAGTCCCAGCTACTTGGGAGGCTGAGGCAGGAGAATGGCATGAACCCGGGAGGCGGAGCTTGCAGTGAGCCGAGATCGTGTCACTGGACTCCAGCCTGGGGGACAGCGAGACTCTGTCTCAAAAAAACAAAAAAAAACAAAAAAAAAACAAAACAGATGCTCCAATGATTGTTCCCTTGGTGAAGATTTCTTCAAAAACAAGCAGTTCTCAAAAAAGGAAAAACAAATGGCTTACAAACATCTGAAATTATATTTAACCTCACTCATAATAAGATAAGTACAATTTAAATATATGCTGAGATACCATTTTTTACCAACAAAATAGGCAAAAAGCAAAAACTTTGTTAACAGGCTGTACTGTTGAGGATATGTAATAATGCATGCTCTTCTGTGAATCTACATGTTCTTTGACCCAACAGCATCACTTCTATATATATATATTTTTTTTGAGACAGAGTTTTGCTCTGTCACCCAGGCTGGAGTACAGTAGCATAATCATAGCTTACTGCAAACTTGACCTTCCAAGTTCAAGCAGTCCTCCCACCTCAGCCTCCTGAGTAGCTGAAACCACAGGTGCACTATTTTTTTGTTTTTTGTTTGTTTTTTGAGACAGAGTTTCACTCTTGTCACCCAGGCTGGAGTGCGGTGGCGTGATCTCAGCTCACTGCAACCTCCGCCTCCCAGATTCAAGTGATTCTCCTGCCTCAGCTTCCCAAGTAGCTGGGATTACAGGCGCTCACCACCACGCCCAGCTAATTTTTGTATTTTTAGTAGAGACAGGTATTCACCAAGTTGGCCAGGCTTGCCTCGAACTCCTGGCCTCAGATGATCCACCTGCCTCAGCCTCCCAGGGTGCTGGGATTATAGGTGTAAGCCACTGCACCCAGCCTTTTATTTTTTTATTTTTACTTTTTGTAGAGACAAGGTTTTGCTGTGTTGTCCAGGCTATTCTCAAACTCCTGGGCTCAAGCAATCCTCCTTCCTCAGCTGCCCAAAGTATTGGAATTGCAGGTATGAGCCACTGAGGCCAGACTAGAAATTTATCTTATAGACATGCAGGCATATGTGAAAATCAGCTTACATATTATGTTATTCATGTCTGTATTATTTGTAGTGGAATCAGAGTAAAACAACTTAAAGTTTTATCAATAATGGTTGAACTAGTTTACAGTCCCACCAACAGTGTAAAAGTGTTCCTATTTCTCCACATCCTCTCCAGCACCTGTTGTTTCCTGACTTTTTAATGATCGCCATTCTAACTAGTGTGGGATGGTGTCTCATTGTGGTTTTGATTTGCATTTCTCTGATGGCCAGTGATGATGAGCATTTTCTCATGTGTCTGTTGGCTGCATAAATGTCTTCTTTTGAGAAGTGTCTGTTCATATCCTTTGCCCACTTTTTGATGGGGTTGCTTGTTTTTCTCTTGTAAATTCGTTTGAGTTCTTGGTAGATTCTGGATATTAGCCCTTTGTCAGATGGGTAGATTGTAAAAATTTTCTCCCATTCTGTAGGTTGCCTGTTCACTCTAATGGTAGTTTCTTTTGCTGTGCAGAAGCTCTTTAGTTTAATTAGATCCCATTTGTCAATTTTGGCTTTTGTTGCCATTGCTTTTGGTGTTTTAGACATGAAGTCCTTGCCCATGCCTATGTCCTGAATGGTATTGCCTAGGTTTTCTTCTAGGGTTTTTATGGTTTCAGGTCTAACATTTAAGTCTTCAATCCATCTTGAATTAATTTTTGTATAAGGTGTAAGGAAGGGATCCAGTTTTAGCTTTCTACATATGGCTAGCAAGTTTTCCCAGCACCATTTATTAAATAGGGAATCCTTTCCCTATTTCTTGTTTTTGTGGCAATTCATCAAGGATCTAGAACTAGAAATACCATTTGACCCAGTCATCCCATTACTGGGTATGTACCCAAAGGATTATAAATCATGCTGCTATAAAGACACATGCACATGTATGTTTATTGTGGCACTATTCACAATAGCAAAGACTTGGAACCAACCCAAATGTCCATCAATGATAGACTGGATTAAGAAAATATGGCACATATACACCACGGAATACTATGCAGCCATAAAAAAGGATGAGTTCATGTCCTTTGTAGGGACATGGATGAAGCTGGAAACCATCATTCTCAGCAAACTATCGCAAGGACAAAAAACCAAACACCACATGTTCTCACTCATAGGTGGGAATTGCACAATGAGAACACTTGGACACAAGAAGGGGAACATCACACACCGGGGCCTGTTGTGGGGTAGGGGGAGTGGGGAGGGATGGCATTAGGAGATATACCTAATGTAAATGATGAGTTAATGGGTGCAGCACACCAACATGGCACATGTATACATATGTAACAAACCTGCACGTTGTGCACATGTACTGCAGAACTTAAAGTATAATTAAAAAAAAGGTTTATCTATAATGAAATGAGTAAATAAATTATGGTACATTCACACATTGGAATACTGTGCAGCCAAATATATTGTGAAACTATTTTATGTATTGATATGAGATTATTTCCCAGCTCTATTATTGGGAGGGGAACAGGAGGCAGAAGTCATGGAGTGTCAGGGGCACATGTGTGGAAGGGAGGTAATATGGTTTGGCTCTATGTACCCACCCAAATCTCATCTCAAATTGTAATCCCCACGTGTTGAGAGAGGGACCTCGTGGGAGGTGATTGGAACATGGAGGTGGTTTCCCCCTTGCTGTTTTCATGATAGTGAGTTCTCACAAGATCTAATGGTTTAAAAGTGTGACTTCCTTTGCTCTCTCTCTCCTGCCATCGTATAAGACACACCTTGCTTCCCTTTCACCTTCCACCATGATTGTAAGTTTCCTGAGGCTTCCCCAGCCATGCAAAACTGTGAGTCAATTAAACCCCCTTTCTTTATAAATTACCAAATTTCAGGTATGTCTTTATAGCATTGTGAGAACAGACTAATACAGGAGGTTTTCACTGTTTATCCTTTCAAGACTTTGCTTTTTTGACCATATGAATTCATCAAAGCAAACAAATAAAATATTTTAAAAAGTATTTGTAACACTAGAACATGATGTCTTTTCCCTAATACCTAGCACAGGGTTTGGCATTTGAAAGTGGTTCACATTTCCTAGAAAATAGAGGTTATAGCCGGGTGTGGTGGCTCACACCTGTAATCCCAGCACTTTGGGAGGCCGAGGCAGGCAGATCACCTGAGGTCGGGAGTTCGAGACCAGCCTGACCAACATGGAGAAATCCTGTCTCTACTAAAAATACAAAATTAGCAGGGTGTAGTAGTGCATGCCTGTAATCCCAGCTACTCGGGAGGCTGAGGCAGGAGAATCACTTGAACCTGGGAGGCAGAGGTTGCCGTGAGCTGAGACCACGCCATTGCATTCCAGCCTGGGCAACAGAGCGAACTCTGTCTCAAAAAAAAAAAAAGTAGAAAAAAAGAAAATAGAAGTTATATATCCATCATTCTGGAGAGAGGTACAATCCCAGGGCACTAAGAGAGAAGAGAAAAAGAAATTGAGTCCGCAAAGGAAGGAGAGCAAATAAAAAGTGGTATATGGTTTTACTGGAGACACAGCTTCACAACAAAACACCGTTGATAGTTTGGTGTCCAGAGAGGTTATAGAAATCCAGCACATCTCAGAACAGTTCATGGATAGGACAAACGACAATTTATCTGTTGGGTTCTCTCTGTCTCTGGTCTCTCTGGTCTCTCACTCATTAAAGTCCGCTCCTTTTGCCCTTCTGTGATTTCTAATGACTCCTGGAAGCTTCTGGTGAAGGCACAGCCTCCAGGGATCCCAGACAATGTGAATATACAAAGGTCCCTCTTTGTCAGGCCATGCCCTACACAGGAACTCCTTCTTCTATCACAATGATTGTGGAAACTTGTCAAGTGACTGAGGTTTGGGGGTGGGGATCAGATACTACTGAGCAATCTGGTGTGGTACGTAAATGGTTCAATACAACAAGTGCTGAGAAGGTTTTTTGTTTGTTGTTGTTGTTTTATTTTATTTATTTTATTTTATTTTGTTTTTGAGACAGAGTCTTGCTCTGTTGCCCAGGCTGGAGTGCAATGACGCGATCACAGCTCACTGCAACCTCCACCTCCCGGGTTCAAGCAATTCTCCTGCCTCAGCCTCGTGAGTAGCTGGAATTACAGGTGCGTGCCACCACACCCAGCTAATTTTTGTAGTTTTAGTAGAGATGGGGTTTCACCATGTTGGTCAGGCTGGTCTCAAACTCCTGACCTCAGGTGATCCACCCACCTCGGCCTCCCAAAGTGTTGGGATTACAGTCAGGAGCCACCACGCCCGCCCTTTTGTTGTTGTTTTAATAGACTTTATTTTTCAGAGCAATTTTAAGTTTACAGCAAAATTAAGAAGAAGGTACAGAGATTTCTCATGTACCTTCTAACTCCACACAGGTACAGCCTCCCCCACCATCAACATCCTACACTCAAATGGTATATTTGTTACAGTCAATTAAGCTATATCTGCACAGGTGCAGTCAACAAACCAGGTATCATTATCAGCCAAACTTAGAAACTTCTGTTTGCTTTTGCTTGTTTAATAACTTGGTTGATTGGTTGGTTAAAATGGTCAAGGCATTTCCTGTAAAATTATAAATCTGAGAGTCTATAAGAATTTAACCTATTTAAATTGCCCAAGCCAATAATTATTTTATTGTAGTGCAAGATCATTGTATTCCACTTAAATATATACATGGTTATGTTTGTACCTGTTTAATACTTGTGCTTTCAATAAATTAATCTAAAATATGATTGAAGACACTATATGGTCTTTATATGGTGTGAAGGCATAGAAAGAAGTAAGACATATAATCTTCCTCCTGAAATTATTACAAAATAATACAAACTTAAACAGGAATGCAAGATTTAAGAATCACTACCGCATAATAAAACAGCACAAGAGGCCGGGCGCAGTGGCTTACGCCTGTAATCCCAGCACTTTGGGAGGCTGAGGTGGGTGGATCACCTGAGGTCAGGAGTTCGAGACCAGCCTGGCCAACATGGTGAAACCCCGTCGGCACTAAAAATATAAAAATTAGCCGGGCATGGTGGCAGGCGGCTATAATCCCAGCTATTCGGGAGGCTGAGGCAGGAGAATCACTTGAACCTGGGAGGCGGAGGTTGCAGCGAGCCGAGATCGACAAACACTCCAGCCTGGGCAACAAGAGAGAAATTCCATCTCAAAAAAAAAAAAAAAAAAAAAAAAAATCAAGATGCGCTCCCTCTGTGAAGTGGTTAACGGCCAAATGAGAAATAGAGATAATAAATACTACAGTGATTGTGCAATTTCTTTGTACCCGAAGTAGTTGTGGAAGACCTAATGAAGAAGCAACTGAAACTGGACTTGAATTACAAACAAAAACAGAAATGGTGAGGACATTTAGGATGATAGCCCGGCCTAAGCCCAAGCTCCAAAAACTTGGAACACTATGTATGGACTCTTTTAAAAAAAACTTCGCCGGGTGCAGTGGCTCACACCTGCAATCCCAGCACTTTGGGAGGCCGAGGCAGGCGGATCACCTGAGCTCAGGAGTTCGAGACCAGCCTGGCCAACATGGGGAAAACCCATCTCTACTAAAAATACAAAAATTAGCTAGGTGTGGTGGGGCATGCCTGTTAATTCCAGCTACTTGGGAGGCTGAGGCAGGAGAATTGCTTGAATCCAGGAGGTGAAGGTTGCAGTGAGCTGAGATAGTGCCACTGTACTCCAGCCTGGGTGATAAGAGCAAAACTCTGTCTCAAAAAAAAATAGTGGGATAGTTTGAAATAAGTCTAGAAAGGTAGGTAGGCAATAGATAGTATAAGGCTTTCAAATTATTTGTAAAGAAACTAGAATTTTATACTAAATCAAGGAGAAGTCATTAAAATTTTTAAATAGAATGGTCATATGCCCTATTAAGAATATTTGGGGCTGGACATGGCATGGTGGCTTACGCCTGTAATCTCAGCACTTTGGGAGTCCAAGGTGGGCAGATCGCTTGAGTCCAGGAGTTTCAGACCAGCCTGGGCAACATGGTGAAACCCTGTCTCTACAAAAAAAATACAAAAAAAAAAAAAAAAATAGCCGGGTGTGGTGGTGCACACCTTTAGTCCCAGCTACTCGGGACGCTGAGTTGGGTGGACTGCCTGAGCTCAGGAAATTGAAGCTGCAGCGAGTGGAGATTGTACCACTGTACTCCAGCCTGGGCGACAGAGCCATACCCTGTCTCTAAAAGGAAAGAAAGAAAAAAGGAATATTTGGGATACAGATTCTAACAAAATGTCTTTAAAACACTCCTACCTACCACTTGACTAAATCAGAAGACATTTTTCCCATGGAAATGTCTGTGGTGAGCAGACCAAAGCCTGAAGGAACTAATTTCCCTGGAGACAGATCTTGTGTATTTCTGGAGCTTGATAGATTACCAGGGAGCTGTTTATAAATAATAGATTTTCATTCTAGGCTCTCTATATCTTACGCAGCATAAGCAGTTGAAATTCTAGTTAGCTAAGGGATTCTTAAAGGGAAAGCTCTGAAGTCTGAAGCTAGATTAGGTCAGTAGAAAACCATGAATCACTAGCCACTGAATGGAAGGTGGAGCCTTTATCAGCAGCATCTCAGAATCAAACCCCAGCACCATAACATCACATCCTCTTCGTTCTGCTATCAGTCAGATGCAACAGGAAACTGACGAAGGTACTAGGCAGTTTCCTTTCTGCTCTGACCTGACTAGTTTCCTCTGCAGCTTGCTCCAAGCTTATTGTAAAGGAAAATAATGAAATGCCAGTCAATTTCCTCCAGTTGGATTAAGCCTAGGACAAGGAAGGAAAAACAAATTTCTAAGATTAGTCAGTTTCCCCTTGCAACTATGAAGTTGGTTCAGGGCCTCCGGCTGACCCTTCTCTCAGTATTTCCCTCTCAGAGCTCAGCTTTACATCATAGGCAAGATAAAGACTTGGCAAAGTGAACAACACATATTGTGTAATTCTTATAGGAAATCTTGGGTTCATTCATGGGAAAACCATCTATACAGAAGATTGTGTTTGATAAGCATTGAAGTCTCCTTTGACGTCTAGCAAATTCATTAATTCAAGAGAGTAAAAAACAAAAACAAACCAAAAAACCTACTGATAATAGTAATTGGTATACCCAAGCAGCCAGGTTATTTTGCTCCTTTCTCAGTATGACTAACAAGGAGCTGTTTCCATGGAGAACATTTATACAAAATTAACAAGGGAATCAAGTTAGTTTAGTGAAAGAGACAGGGTTGGACTACTTCGAAGAAGTAGTTATGTCTGTGGTAACCTGGATTTTGCTGGGTATTAGAGATGCTATGGCCTGCTGAAAAATATAACTAAGAGTCTGGCATCTGAGGAATCTGACTGGCTTACTTTGTAAAAGTAATTAAACTTAACAGTGGAAGTTGCCACTTAAAATATCTTCTCAGTGAACTTAGTAATGTGGAGTAACAATACTGTATTGAAATCCACATTGAATGAGAGTTACTAATTTAGCAGATGGATGATTCTTCTTTATCACCTTCTACTTCCTGTTTCTTCTAATTTACTTACTTTTAATTTTCCCTAGTAAATTTCTGTATCTTCTGTACTTCATAGCTGTTATTAAAATAATATTCCATCAATCTTCCTTTCATACATTTGTGTGATTTTTATTTTTATGTATTTTTTTTTGAGACAGTGTCTCACTGTGTTGCCCAGGCTGGAGTGCAGTGGCGTGATCTCAGCTCACTGCAACCGCTGCCTCCCGGGTTCAAGCAATTCTCCTGCCTCAGCCTCCTGAGTAGCTGGGATTAGAGGCACGTACCACTATGCCCGGCTAATTTTTGTATTTTTAGTAGAGAAGGGGTTTCACCATGTTGACCAGGCTAATCTTGAATGCCTGGCCTCAAATGATCCTCCCACCTCGGCCTCCCAAAGTGCTAGGATTACAGGTATGGGCCACCGCGTCCGGCCTATTTTTAATATTTATACTGTAGAAACTCCTCTAGCTAAGCCATACATTGTAATTGCTGAAATTAATAGTGTAATAAAAAACAAGAAAACAAGTGTATGGAGCTTTAGAATACGAAGAGTTGATAAACAGACTGTGAGAATAAATAGGCAAGAATTCAAGGTTTCACTTTAATGGCATTTGGAGCAGCCACTGTAATAGACATCTGACAAGTAACAGATGTGTGGGGGCTGTGACATTCTCCTTTTTTTTTTTTTTTTTTTTTTTTTGGTTAAGGACTAATTATCTATTACTTTACAGACTTGCTAATATACTGTGGAGCTCCTAAAACAGCTTGGTTGATCAACCAGCAGTAGCATTATTAAACTAACAAACAAAAGAACTTGTACATGGATAAAGGTCTAATAATCTTTATTAAGGGATCTGTAGCCCTTTTTGTAACATTTACAAGAAGAATTTACCTTGTATTTTCAAAGATATATCACATATCTGAGGAAGTTAAAATAGCCCCCCCCCCTTTTTTTTTTACTTAATTAGCCTGAATCAGTAAAATGGTTTCCATGATCATCACTCCTCAACACAATTATGTCCCATTTTAATAGTGGGTTCTGGGTGAATTTGCCTTGATCAAATTTGAGGACAAAAATAGGGCATAAGATTAATTATTATTTTTATTTTTGAGATGGAGTCCTGCTCTGTCACCCAGGCTGGAGTGCAATGGTGCAATCTTGGCTCACTGCAGCCTCTGCCCCCCGGGTTCAAGCGATTCTCCTGCCTCAGCCTCCTGAGTAGCTGGGACTACAGGTGCCTGCCACCACGCCCTGCTAATTTTTGTAGTTTTAGTAGAGACGGGTTTTTGCCATGTTGGCCAGGCTGGTCTCAAACTCCCGACCTCAAGTGATCTGCCCACCTTGGCCTCCCAAAGTGCTGGGATTACAGGCATGAGCCACTGCTCCTGGCCAAGATTAATTTAATGTAGGCAAAATTTCAGCTGATCTTATATATCCAGTCAATTCAAAATATTTACCTTTTCAGAGTAAGCTATGAATATTTTATAACATATACTTTAATAGGCCTATAAAAATTATGAAAATGTCTTGGGTTTGCTTTGCTCCTACCTCCCCTGCCCTGTTCCTTATGTGTTGACGCCAAGGGTGCTCCTTAATAAACATCCTGCAAGCTATAAACTCTGTCTCAGTGCCTGCTTCCCAATGAATTCAGTCTACTACAGTGACTCTGTTTAAAAGCAGCAGTGACCACCTGGACTGTGAGTCACAGGAAAAGGATGGAGAATCGCATGTCATATGAGGAGTGACTGAAACGAGAGTGAGAAATAGGAGAGAAAAGTATAATACAATGATTAAATACATAGACTCAACTCCTAGCTTGACTATCCACTTACTGGGAGATCAAGGAAAGTGTTTTTTGTTTTGTTTTGTTTTTTTTGAGTCAGAGTCTCGCTCTGTCACCCAGGCTGGAGTGCAGTGGCGCGATCTCGGCTCACTGCAAGCTCTGCCTCCCAGGTTCAAGCCATTCTCCTGCCTCAGCCTCCCGAGTAGCTGGGATTACAGGTGACCGCCACCATGCCTGGCTAATTTTTGTATTTTTAGTAGAGACGGGGTTTCCCTATATTGGTCAGGCTGGTCTCGAACTCCTGACCTCAGGTGATCTGCCCACCTTGGCCTCCCAAAGTGCTGGGATTACAGGCATGAGTCACTGTGCCCGGCCGTTTTTGTTCTTTTTAATCCTATTTTTCTGCAGAGAATCTAGGTTTTTGTTTTGTTTTTGTTTTTTAATTCTACTTCTGCTGGGAATCTAGTTTTAATAGATAGTTATTAAATTGCAGTTTAATTTGTTAATCTATGGATTAATGTATTATCTCCCATAGGGGGCAAACTTTACTAATATTATGGAAAAAATAACTCAAAAAGTGACATAACTGTTATTACTACTGCAGAATGTGGAGACAGTGTTTGGGGACAGGTAAATCCTTCAGTAGCTTCTTTTTTTCTTTTTTCTTTCTTTTTTTGAGATAGAGTCTCACTCTGTCACTGAAGTTGGAGGGCAGTGGCAGGATATTGGCTCACTGCAACCTCCACCACCCAGGTTCAAGCAATTCTCCTGCCTCAGCCTCCCAAGTAGCTGGGATTACAGGTGCCTACCACCACACCCAGATAATTTTTTGTATTTTTAGTAGAGACAGGGTTTCACCGTGTTGGCCAGGCTGGTTTCAAACTTCTGACCTCAGGTGATCCACCTGCCTTGGCTTCCCAAAGTGCTGGGATTACAGGCATAAGCCACTGCACCAGCCTTCAGTAGCTTTTAATTGCACAATGTAGTCAACCATTTCATTTACCTATGCATGGGACTAGTCCATGAAAGTTAATAATGTTAATGGTGGTAAATGGTGTAGTACAATACTAAAGAATATCGGCTTTGACATCCAGAAGATAGGTCTCAAATTAACAACCTTATAGAACACATAATAGAACTAGAAAAACAAGAACAAACTAAACCTAAAGCTAGCAAAAGGGAAAAAAAAAACTATAATTAGAGCAGAACTAAACAAACTTGGACCAAGAAAACCATACAATGGATCAATGAAACACAAAGTTTGTTACTTGAAAGGATAAACAAGATTGAGGCTGGGCACGGTGGCTCACGCCTATAATCCCAGCACTTTGGGAGGCTGAGGTGGACGATCACCTAAGGTCAGGAGGTCAAGATCAGCCTGGTCAACATGGTGAAACCCCGTCTCTACTAAAAAATACAAAAAATTACCTGTGTGTGGTAGTGGGCGCCTGTAATCCCAGCTACTCAGGAGACTGAGGCAAGGAGAATTGCTTGAATCCGGGAGGCGGAGGTTGCAATGAGCCAAGATCATGCCACTGCACTCCAGCCTGGGCGACAGTGAGACTCCGTCTCAAAAACAACAACAACAGGCCAGGTGCGGTGGCTCACGCCTGTAATCCCAGCACTTTGGGAGGCTGAGGCGGGTGGATCATGAAGTCAGGAGATCGAGACCATCCTGGCTAACACGGTGAAACCCCGTCTCTACTAACAATACAAAAAAAAATTAGCTGGGCGTGGTGGCAGGCACCTGTCGTCCCAGCTACTCAGGAGGCTGAGACAGGAGAATGGCGTGAACCCCGGAGGCAGAGCTTGCAGTGAGCCGAGATCGCGCCACTTCACTCCAGCCTGGGTGACAGAGCGAGACTCCGTCTCAAAAAAAAAAAATAAAACAACAACAACAACAACAATACAAGACGATAGACTGCTAGCTGGATTAACAAAAAAAAGAAAAAAAGGAGAGAGAGAGAGAAGATTAAAATAAGCACAATCAGAAATGACAAAAGTGACATTGCAACTGATCCCATAGATATGCAAAAGATCCTCAGAGACTACTACAAACATCTCTATGTGCACAAACTAGAAAATCTAGAGGAAATGGATAAATTCCTGGAAACATGTAATCTCCTAAGATTGAATCAAAAGAAAGTGAAAACCTGGACAGATCAATAACAAGTTATGAAATAGAATCCAACCAAAAAAGTCCTAGACCAGATGGATTCACAGCTGAATTCTACCAGATGTACAAAGAAGAGCTGGTACTAATCTTACTGAAACTATTCCAAAAAACAGAAGAGGAAGGATTTCTCCCTAACTCATTCTGCAAAACTCATTCTGATACCAAAATCTGGCAAAGAAACCACACACACAATAAAACAAAACAAAGCAAAACAAAACTACAGGCCAATATCCCTGATGAACATAGACACAAAAATTCTCAACAAAATACTAGCAAACTAAATCCAGCAGCACATCAAAAAGATAATCCACCATGATCAAGTGGGCTTTATTCCTGAGATGCAAGGATGGTTCAACATACACAAATCAATAAACATGATTCAACACATAAACAGAATTAAAAACAAAAACTATAGATGATCTCAATAGGTGCAGAGAAAGTAGCCAATAAAATCCAAAATCTCTTAGTGATAAAAACCCACAACAAACTAGGCATCAAAGGAATATACCTCAAGATAATAAGAGCCATCAATGACAAAGTCACAGCCAATATCATACTGAATGAGCAAAAGTTGGAAAGCATTCCCCCAAGAACTGGAAAAAGACAAAGATGTCCACTTTTACCACTCCTATGCAACATAGTACTGAAAGTCCTGGCCAGGGCAACCAGGCAGGAGAAAGAAATAAAAGTCATCCAAATAGGAAAAGAAGAAGTTAAATCATCTCTCTTCACTGATGATATGATTCTATACCTGGAAACCCCTAAACATTTCACCAAAAAGCTTCTAGACTTGATGAACAACTTCAGTAAAGTTTCAGGATACAAAATCAATGTGAAAAAATCAATACCATTTCTATACACCAATAATGTTTAAGCTGAGAACCAAACCAAGAACATAATCTCATTTACAATACACACACACACACACACACACACACACACACCCACACACACACACAGAGTTAGGAATATATCTAAGCAAGGAGGTGAAAGATCTCTACAAGGAGAACTACAAAACACTGCTGAAAGAAATCAGAGATGACACAAATAAATGGAAAAACATTCCATGCTCATGGGTTGGAAGAATCAATATCTCTAAAATGGCCATACTGCCCAAAGCAATTTACAGATTCAGTGCTATTTCTATCTAACAGTCAATGTAATTCTTCACAAAATTAGAAAAAAAAATGCTTCTAAGATTCATGTGGAACCAAAAAAGAGCCTGAATAGCCAAAGCAACCCTAAGCAAAAAGCCCAAAGGCAGAGGTATCACATTAACTGATTTCAAACTATACCTCAAGGCTAAAGTAACCAAAACATCATGGCACTGTTATGCAAATAGTTACATAAATTAATAGAACAGAGTAGAGAACCCAGAAATAAAGATGCATTACCTACAACCAACTAATATTTGACAAAGTCAACAAGAATAAGCAATGGGGAAAGGACTCTCTATTCAATAATGGTGCTGGGGAAATTGGGTAACCATATGCAGAAGAATGAAACTTGACCCCTACCTTACACTATATACAAAAGTTAAGTCAAGATGAATTAAAGACTTACATGTAAGACCTCAAACTATAGAAATCCTAGAAGAAAACCTTGGAAATACTCTTCTGGACATTGGCTTACGCAAAAAATTATGACTAAGTCCTCAAAAGCAAACACAAAGAAAACAAAAACTGACAAGCAGGAACTAATTAAACTAAAGAGCTTCTTGCACAGAAAAAGAAACTATCGATTGAGTAAACAGACAACCTACAGAATGAGAGAAAATATTTGTAAACTATGCATCTGACAAAGGTCTAATACTCAGAATCATAAGGACCTTAAACAAGAAAAAAACAACCCCATTAAGAAGTAGGCAAAGGACATGAACAGGCACTTCTCAAAAGAAGACATAAAAGTGGCCAAAAAACACATGAAAAATGCTCAACATTACTAAACATCAGAGAAACATAAATCAAAATTACAATGAGATACCATCTCATACTTGTCAGAAGGGCTATTACTACAAGTCAAAAAAATAACAGATGTTGGTGAGGTTACAGAAAAAAGGGAATACTTATATACACTGTTGGTGGGATTGTAAATTTGTTCAGCCACCGTGGAAAGCAGTTTGGAGAGATCTCAAAGAACTAAAAATAGAACTACCATTCGACCCAGCAATACCATTACTGGGTATCTACCCAAAGGAAAATAAATTGTTCTACCCCAAAGATACCTGAACTTGCATGGTTATCATATCACTATCCACAATACCAAAGACATGGAATCTCCTAGGTGCCCATCAGGGGTGAAATGGATAAAGCATATGTAGTACATATATACCGTGGAATACTACATAACCATAGAAAGAATGAACATGTCCTTTGCAGCAATGTGGATACAGCTGTAGGCCATTGTCCTAAGTGAATTAATGCAGAAACAGAAAACCAAATACCACATGTTCTCACTTGTAAGTGAAAGCTAAACATTGGGTACATGTGGACATAAAGATAGGAACAAGGCCGGGCACGGTGCCTCATGCCTGTAATCTCAGCGCTTTGGGAGGCCAAGGTGGGTGGATCACCTGAGGTCAGGAGTTTGAGACCAGCCTGGCCAACATGGTGAAACCCTGTCTCTACTGAAAATACAAAAATTATCTGGGTGTGGTGGCACATGCCTCTAATCCCAGCTACTCAGGAGGCTAAGGCAGGAGAATTGCTTGAACCTAGAAGGTGAAGGTTGCAGTGAGCCGAGATTGCGCCATTACACTCCAGCCTGGGCAACAAGAGTGAAATTCCATCTCAAAAAAAAAGATGAGAACAATAGACACTGGGGACTCCAAAAGGGGGAGGGAAGGGGAAATGGTTGAAAAACTACCTATTGGGTACTATGTTCACTATTTGGATGATGGGTTCAATTAAAACCATCATATTTCCTCCACATATAAAAAGTAATGTAGTACAGAAGCTACATTTTTTTTTATATGTGGAGGAAATCTGAGCTTGAGATGAAGGAGAAAATCAACCAGTTAGCCATCTTCAAGTTTCTAATAACAGCTAGAATAATGACCCCCATTTGTTGAGTTCCTACTTAATATGCTAGATATATATATATATATATATATATATATATATATATATATATATATATATATTTAGTTAAAATGATTTTTACAACAACAGTATATTACAAATTGTAAAACTGAAGTTTAGCTAGTGGTCACATAGGTAGAAAGGAGTTGAACGTGGAACATGGATGGAGCTGGAGGCCGCTATCCTTAGCAAACTACTGCAGGAACAGAAAACCAAATGCTGCATGTTCTTACTTATAAGTGGAAGCTAAATGATGAGAACTCATGAACACAAAGAGGGGAACAACAGACGCTGGGGTCTCCTTGAGGGTGGAAGGTGGGAGGAGGAAGAGAAACAGAAAAAAATAACTATTGGGTACTAGGCTTAATACCAGGGTGATGAAATAATCTATACAACAAACACTCATGACATGAGTTTACCTGTGTAACAAACCTTCACATGTACCCCTGAATTAAAAGTAAAAAAAAAAAGCAACTAGCTCTTCTTTCATAGACATTAATTTATAGGGTCAATATTTCAAACCTTAACTCAGAATACACTCAGGAAGGAGTTGATGAATGGATGAATATAAATAAATTTCAGTTATAGAGGCCACTTAGCCAAGGTTACTTCTCCTGCCTTCTCCTCTTGTTGAAGTGTGGCAGGATATTCTCCTTAGCTTGATTTTCACAGTCATGTCCCAGAAAAAGCTTGTCTCACCTTTTGTCATCAAGGAGTGACTCAGATACTGAAGAACAGGGCTTTATTTCATTGACAGTGGTTTTAAGAGGGGTTAGAGAGATGGATAGATCATCCTTGGAAGCTCTTGATGAACTAGTTTAGCTTTGACCATCCTGGCTGATGAGATAATCAGTAATGCAGCTGGTTAATCAATGTAGAATCAGAAAAGTTCTTGCTCTAAAGATACCATTATCTTGAAGTTGTTCTGAATTATATTAATATGTTTTAATATTTTTTATACATATGTATAGATCCATAAACAATAATGGGCTGTCTTGCATCTTAAATTTTAAGTGGTATAATTTTCTATGCATTATTCTGCAACATTATGTTTTGAGGTTTGTCCATGTTGATAGATCTCTCTTGTGTGTTTGTCTATTTATTGTTTTTCTGGAGTCCATATTATGAATACATTGATTTCAATGTTAAGATTAAGTTTGGCCAAAGATGACTGAAAAAAACAAAATAACAGTGTTGATAAGAAAATTTTCTCTCTCTTGTGTGTATGTCTAAAGATGGTTTTCTTTTCTTTGTTTTTTTTTTTTTTTTTTTTTTTTTTTTTTTTTGAGCTGGAGTCTAGCTCTGTCGCTCAGGCTGGAGTGCAGTGGTGCGATCTCAGATCTCGGCTCACTGCAACCTCCGCCTCCCAGGTTAAAGTGATTCTCCTGCCTCAGCCTCCCAAGTAGCTGGGATTACAGGCATTTGCCACCACACCTGGCTAATTTTTGTATTTTTAGTAGAGACGGGGTTTCTCCATGTTGGCCGGGCTGGTCCTGAACTTCTGGCCTCAAGTGATCTGTCCGCTTCAGGCTCCCGAAGTGGTGGGATTACAGGTGTGAGCCACCATGCCTGGCCTAAAGATGGTTTTCCAGGGATGGTATGGAGTGTCCTAAGTTTAGGGACCCTAGCTTCCTCAATCTTGTTACTCCACTGTGCATAGGCCTTTATGTACAAAGTCACCTCAAAATTCAAGGTGGTCATTCCACCTCTAGTGAACACATCTGCATTACTACAGTACAAGGGAGAAAGGGAAGAAGCCTCATTCCCCCATTTTGCTTACACCAATTGGTGAAAACTTAATCACATTATCAGCTATAATTATCAGCTATAAAGGAGAGTGGGAAGAGGAATTTTCATTCTAAGTGACCACATGCCTCAAATTTGATTGTTCTATTACTGATGAAGAAGGGGAAGGGGAAGTTTAAGAAACAAGTCTCTACCACAATGGATGGACATCTAGGTAATTTCCAAATTTCTGCTTTTTTTTTTTTTTTTTTCCGAGACAGAGTCATGCTCTATGTGGCCAGGCTGGAGTGCAATGATGCGATCTTGGCTCACTGCAACCTCCGCCTCCCAGGTTCACGCCATTCTCCTGCCTCAGCCTCCTGAGTAACTGGGATTACAGGCGCCTGCCACCACGCCCGGCTAATTTTTGTATTTTTAGTACAGACAGGGTTTCACCATGTTGGTCAGGCTTGTCTCAAACTTCTGACCTCGTGATCCATTTGCCTCGGCCTCCCAAAGTGCTGGGATTACAGGTGTGAGCCATTGCGTCCCACCAAATTTCTGCTATTATAAGCAATGCTGTGACAAACATTCATACATATGTCTTCTTGTGTTCACGTAGGACAGTTTCTCTAGCAGAATATGTTTCTGGTAATTCATGTTTTTAACTGTGCCAGATATTGTAGATATTGTCAATTGTCAATTGCTCTCCAAAATGGGTTGTTCCTTTTTTTTTCTTTTTTTTTTGAGACAGGGTCTCCCTCTGTCACCCAGGCTGGAGTGCAGTGGTGTGATTATGGCTCACTGCAGCCTCGACTTCCTAGTCTCAAGTGATCCTCCTGCCTCAACTTGTTGTGTTGCTGGGACCACAGGCATGTACTACCATGCCTGGCTAATGTTTTTTGTTTTTTGTTTTTTGTTTTTTTTTGTAGAGATGAGGTCTCACTTTGTTGCCCAGGCTGGTGTACCAATTTTTACTCCAGCCGTATAAAAGTTCTTGTTTTCCCATATATTCCTAACACTTGGTATTAGAGTACTTTTTTTTAAGTAAGTTAAATTTTTTTTTACAATGTGATGGGATCGTGGGGTGGTGACGTTGGCAAAGGCAGTTTTGGTAGAGTGGTGGAAACTGATGCCAGAGTGCCTGGGTTGAAAGAGAGTGGGAGAAGGGGAAATGAAACTAGTGGGGTATCAGCTACCCTTTTACTAACCTTAGCCATAGAGGGAAGTGAGAGGTAAACCATTAGATGGAATTGGTGGAGCATTTGTGTTACGATTAGAATCCTGGGCTGCTGGGAGTAAGGCAGTAGAGAATGTACCAGAGAAAGAGAGAAAAAGGAATTAATAACTGGAGCAAATGTCTGTGGGGTTTACAATTTCAGAGGTGGGGCATTTCCAGGTGATGATGAAATGGACAGAGTGTGAGAGTTGCTAGCTGTTATGGAACAATAAAGAAGCTCCTTGAGCCCAAGATGCTTTTCATTTATTTATTTATTTATTTTTTAAAACACAAGGCCTAGTTCTCTACTGGAGTGCAGTGGTGCGATCAGAGCTTACTGCAGCCTCAAACTCCTGGGTTCAAGTGATCCCCCCACTTCAGCCTCCAGACTAGCAAGGACTATAGGTGCATGCTGCCATGCCTGGCTAATGATTTTATTTTTTGTAGAAATGGAGTCTCACTTTGTTGCCCAGGCTGGTCTCAAACTCCTGGGATGAAGTCATCCTCTCCCCTTGCCCTCCCAAAGTGTTGGGATTATAGGTATGAGCCACCACACCTGGCCCCAAGATGCTTTGAAGCTTCAAGGGAGTTAAGTAGAATTACTCATTCAACAAATATTTTCAAGCACCTCCTAAGTGTCAGGCATTGTTCTAGAAACTGGAGTTACATGTTGAGTAGAAGAGATAAACACCATTCTCTGTAACAAGAACTGACAGCAAATGTGTAAACAAACAAGAGAACTTTTTTTTATATATACAGAAAATATAGCTACTAGGAAAATAAAACAGGAAAAGGTGTTGTTTTAGCTAAGATGAGCAGGAGTGCAGGCTGGATGTTAGGTTGAATGTTACTCTGGTGCCCTTGAGGAGGAGGAACTAGAGACTTCAGTAGCAACAGGCAAATGGCTGGCCAGGTAATTGGGAATGGGGTGGAATGACGGCTTTTGCGGATTACAAGGAGGTACATCTGCAGAGGGAATTAAGGACAACCTGGGTGTCCTGGAAGCCCATTTGAGTTGGAAACGGTAATGGTGGATTTTCCAGCTCTGATACTTTCTTAGCTGGAGACAATTAAGGAGAGAAGATAGAGGGACAGGCATTAATTAACACGAATTATTGCTTTAATCTTGAACTTAGAGCTATGAGCAATGGGCTTTTTAGAATTTAATTTCTTTTTTTTTTTTTGAAACAGAGTCTTGCTCTGTTGCCAGGCTGGAGTACAGTGGCGTGATCTTGGCTCACTGCAACCTCCAACTCCCGAGTGCAAGTGATTCTCCTGCCTCAGCCTCCCAAGTAGCTGGGACTACAGTCGTGCACCACCATGCCCAGCTACTTTTTGTATTTTTGGTAGAGACGGGGTTTCACCATGTTGGCCAGGATGGTCTCAATCTCTTGCCCTCGTGATCTTCCCACCTTGGCCTCCCAAAGTGCTGGGATTACAGGCATGAGCCACCGCCCTGGCCTAGAATTTAATTTCTAACATTCTTCTAAATAGAGAGTATTTAGTGTCATTAGCTATTTCTTCCTTATAACAAGTGATAAAAACTAATCAGCTTATTTTTATTTTTCCTTTTTCTTTCTACATCTCCTTTTGGTCCTGGACAAGAAGGCTATTTTTATTTCTTTAGAATGTGAAATGTGAAATATTCATTTATCTATTAACAAATTGTGAAATATCTCTTATCTCCCTTTTTCTTCATTCCTGCCCCCCCGCTTTTTTTTTTTTTTTTTTTTTTTTTTTTTTTAAATGGAGTTTCACTCTTGTTGCCCAGGCTGGAGTGCAGTGGTGCAGTCTCGGCTCACTGCAACCTCAGCCTCCTGGGTTAAAGTGATTCTCCTGCCTCAGCCTCCCAAGTAGTTGGGATTACAGGTACCCACTACCACGCCTGGCTAATTTTTGTAGTTTTAGTAGAGACAGTGTTTCACCATGTTGCCCAGGCTGGTCTGGAACTCCTGACCTCAGGTGATCCGCCCAACTGAGCCTCCCAAAGTGCTGGGATTACAGGCGTGAGTCACCGTGCCCAGCCTCCCTTCATATCCCTTTTTTTTTTTTTTTTTTTTTTTGAGACAGAGTCTCGCTCTGTCACCCAGGCTGGAGTGCAGTTGCGCGATCTTGGCTCACTGCAACCTCCGCCTCCCGGGTTCAAGCCATTCTCCTACCTCAGCCTCCCGAGTAGCTGGGACTACAGGCACCCACCACCACGCCTGGCTCATTTTTTTTGTATTTTTAGTAGAGACGGGGTTTCACCGTGTTAGCCAGGATGGTCTCGATCTCCTGACCTTGTGATCTGCCTGCCTCAGCCTCCCAAAGTGCTGGGATTACAGGCGTGAGCCACTGCGCCCGGCCCATACCCCATTTTTTAAACCTTTCAAATATTGCAATTTTTAGAATGCATCTGCAACACAGAAAGCCTATGACTATCAAAAAACAATAAAACAGAGAAAAACAATAAAAATAGAAAGAAAAGCATTCAGTTTTCTTTTTGTTTCTTTTCCTTTTTTTTTTTTTTTTGGAGACAGAGTCTCACTCTATCGCCCAGGCTGGAGTGCACTGGCATGATCTTGGCTCACTGTAACCTCTGCCTCCTGGGTACAAGCGATTCTCGTGCCTTAGCCTCCTAAGCAGCTGGGACTACAGGTGTGTGTGCAACCATGCCCGGCTAATTTCTGGTATTTTTAAATTTTTTTGAGACAGAGTCTCCCTCTATTGCCCAGGATGGAGTGCAGTGACGCAGTCTCAGCTCACTGCAACCTCTGCCTCCTGGGTACAAGCGATTCTCCTGGCTCAGCCTCCTGAGTAGCTGGGACTACAGGCTCACACCACCATGCCTGGCTAGTTTTTTTGTATTTTTAGTAGAGACAGGGTTTTGCCATGTTGGCCAGGCTGGTCTCAAACTCCTGACCTCAGGTGATCCACCCGCCTGAGCCTCCCAAAGTGCTGGGATTACAGGCGTGAGCCACCGTGCCCAGCTCCCCTTCACACCCCATTTTTTAAACCTTTCAAATATTGCAATTTTTAGAATGCATCTGTAACACAGAAAGCCTATGACTATCAAAATCAGTAAAACAAAGACAAATAGAAAAGCATTCAATTTTCTTTTTGTTTCTTTTTTTTTTCTTTTCTTTTTTTTTTTTTTAGAGACAGAGTCTCACTCTGTCGCCCAGGCTGGAGTGCACTGGCATGATCTTGGCTCACTGCAACCTCTGCCTCCCGGGTTCAAGCGATTCTTGTGCCTTAGCCTCCCAAGAAGCTGGGACTACAAGTGTGTGTGCAACCATGCCTGGCTAATTTTTTGTATTCTTATTTTATTTCATTTTATTTTTGAGACGGAGTCTCCCTCTATTGCCCAGGTTGGAGTGCAGTGGCGCAATCTCGGCTCACTGCAACCTCTGCCTCCTGGGTACAAGCCATTCTCCTGCCTCAGCCTCCTGAGTAGCTGGGACTACAGGCTTGCACTACCATGCCTGGCTAGTTTTTTTGTATTTTTAGTAGAGATGGGGTTTTACCATGTTAGCCAGGCTGGTCTCAAACTCCTGATCTCAAACTCCTGCTCACCTCGGCCTCCCAAAGTGTTGGGATTACAGGCGTGAGCCACTGCACCCAGCTAAAAAGCATTCACTTTCAAAGTTCATGAGCCTTACAGTGGAGAAATATTCTTTATTTTACCCAGCAGAGGAGTGATATGGATTATTCCAGGCAGTGGCCTAAAAGCCTGTTGCTCCTGATAAGTGAGTCAGTTGAGATGAAAATGTTAACATATTTGAATAAATAAAAGTCAGTGCTATGCTGGGGGTGAAAATAATCATGGTTTATTATACCAGCACACATATCACAGAAAACTGAAAAATAATGTGGCGAGCCTCAACAGATACAGCAACCAATTTTTAAAGGCTTCCTTTAAATTTGAGATAGTAAGTTTTACAAAAGAATGTTTTGTTGGGTCCATATATTTGGGTCCAGAATATTTAGATCAAACCTACGTAAAACAACCCTTTCTAGACATGCAATAATATGATTCTGATGATATTTCATTTTGTTCCCAAAGCAACCAAGTAGAGGCAATGAGACAGAATGAAATGGAACTCTGGGTTAGTTAGGACACTGGGTGGTAATTCTGGCCTTATCACTAATTACAGTAAATAGCTAATATGATGATGGGGAAGTCACTCGATCTCTTTGGAATTTCTTATTTGCAAAATGATGGATTGGCCTTGGTTGTTACTGCCCCTTTCTGATTTAAAATAATATGATTTTTGGATTATTAACTATAAAAGGATGCTCTATTATGACCCTGGAGTGGCCCATAATGTACCTGCAGCTGAGTGTCCAGGGTCATGTAGAAATCTCCACGGCACCTTTCCTGCTTTTATGACAGATCTTCTTCTAGCTTTCTAGATTGATAAGGCAGTGGGAAGTAGCGTGTGAATGTTTGACTAATAGGTTGAAGCTGATTGCATGACAACAAATCATTTGGACCAGAACCTTCTTTAATTCAACAAGGCACAACACCTGAGTTTGAAACAAAATTTGAAAAGCTTCTGGTTTATGATAGTTAACCGAGCTCATGTGTTAACCTTTCCTTCCTTTCCAAAACCCTGCAGAAATAACCAAATTAATATAGAAGTGCTAAACCCTAAGCACTCATACCCCTGTGTATGAGTGCATTTTGTGTTGCTATAAAATAATATCCAAGGCTGGGTAATTTATTTATTTATTTATTTAGAGATGGAGTCTCTCTTTGTCCCTCAGGCTGGAGTGCAGTGGCGTGATATTGGCTTACTGCAACCTCCACCTTCTGCCTCAGTCTCCCAAGTAGCTGGGATTACAGGCGCCCGCCACCACACCTGGCTGATTTTTGTATTTTTAATAGAGACGGGGTTTCACCATGTTGGCCAGGCTGGTCTCAAACTCCTGACCTCAGGTGATCCACCTGCCTCAGCCTCCCAAAGTGCTGGGATTACATGCATGAGCCACTGCGCCCAGCCAAGGCTGGGTAATTTATAAAGAAAAGAGGTTTATTTTGGCTCATCATTCTGCAGATTGTACAAGAAGCATGGTGTCAGCATCTGCTTCTAGTCAGGACCTCAGGAAGCTTTCACTCATGGTAGAAGGTGAAGGGGGCGCCAGCGTGTCACATAGTGAGAGAGGGAGCAAAGTCTTTTAAACAATCAGCTCTCGCTTGAACTAATAGAGTGATATGTCACTCATTACCGTGGGGAGGACACCAAGCCATTTATAAAGGCTACGTATGCCCCATGAACCAAAGGCTTCCTACCAGGCTCCATTTCCGATTCTAGGAATCACATTTCAACAAGAGATTTGGAAGGGACAAACATCCAAACTATATCAGCCTGGAAGAGGACTGTCATTACACATGAGGGATTCAGGTGGCCATTGAGAATATGAACGTGAGAGCTGGGTTCTTGGTAAGTTGCTTACTCTCTTTGCGTCTTCTGGCCCTTGAGTAAATTACCCGATCTATGCCTCAATTTTCATATTTGGAAAATAGAGATAATACAACCCACTCATAGTGTTGTTCCCGTGAGGATTAATACAAGTCATGAGCTTTGAACATGCCTGACCCAAAATGTTTTCATATCTCAGCTATAATTATTGTTACGATAGGTAACATTATAAGTGCTATGATAAATTTAATGTGGAATAGTAAAGCAGATGGGGTAGACATGGATGATAACATGCATCAGGGATACAAAAACCTGCAATCCTATTTAGGTGAAAGACAATAGTTCTGATGACCCCTGATAAGGAAACCTAAGATCCTAAGTAACAAGGGCAAAGGCAGGCAGCCAACAGGATAATTAATTACAGAGCTGTGGGGTAACCGTATCAGTCTTTTATTCTCCGAGTGCTTGCTGTAGCATTTGCCCCCAGATTAAAGCTATGAGTTCTGTTCTCTAAATTAACTGGGATATTTGCTGCCAAATACTCCCAGGGCAGGTGCTGGGGCCAGCGAGAGAAATGGGACAATATCCCAGTTAACTTCCATCTGTTGTATGAAAGATGAAAATGTAATCTATTGTCTAAAATGGGACACTTTTGAGTGAAAGAAAGCACTATTAATAATTATGCCAGAAAAAGAGGTATAACCTGTCACTGTGGCGGGCAAATCAGGACATCTTTTTCCTGGTCTTAAGGAATGGGGAGCACCTGTATTTGGAAAGCAAGCTACCTACGCCCCCTAAAGAAAAGCCTGCTTGGCCACATAGTCTCTCTCCTCTCCCCAGGAATTGCATTAATTGCCAAGAAAACAAGGAATGTCACAAGCTGAAATGCTCCAGCTACCTAAATAGGTCAATCTAAATCTAAAATTATAAGTGTGAATACATAACCAAGAAGTCACAAACATTCGAGGAAAAGCAACAGCATGAAAGCAGGATACCACACCATAGAAAGAAAAGAAATTCCCTGTGAGGCAACAAAATTAATGCAGAAAATAGAGCGATCCATATGGACTTATTACAACTGTAAAACAAAAAGAGGCTGCTATTTTTAAAAGACGCAATCTAAGTTCTGGGAAATTAAAGAAATAATTGCCCCTCCCTTAGGGTTGCCTGATCAAGCAAATACAAATATAAGACATCCGGTTAAATTTTAATTATTTCTAATTACCTATGCATATGGACATCAGACTAAAAAATATTGAATGGGACATACTTATGCTAAAAATTACTTTTTCTTTCTTTTTTTCTTTCTTTCTTTCTTTTTTTTTTTTTTTGACACAGGGTCTTGCTCTATTCAGGCTGGAGCAGAGTGGCACCATCACAGCTAACTGCAGCCTCGACCTCCTGGGTTCAATAATCCTCCCACCTCAGCCTCCTGAGTGGCATCTTTTTATTTTTGTTTTTTTTACATAGAGATGAGGTCTCGCTATGTTGCCCAGGCTGGTCTTGAACTCCTGGGCCCAAGCGATCCTCTTGCCTTGGCCTCCCAAAGTTCTGGGACTGCAGGCGTGAATTACAATGCCTGGCCTTATTTCTCATTTATCTGAAATAAATTATAAGTATCTAAATTACATACTTCTTCCTTTAATTATGTTTCCCTTGGCTCTCCTTAATAATTCTTTCCTATGCATAATTTGTTTATAAAATTTCTTGCAGTTACAGCTTATGTTCCACTTACATAACAGAACTTCTACCAATTTAGTAGTCACATCGATTTATTTCATTTATTTGTCCATTGAACTTTCTTTTTTTTTGAGACAGAATCTCACTCTGTTGCCCAGGCTGGAGTGCAGTGGCACGATCTTGGCTCACTGCAACCTCCACCTCCCGGGTTCAAGTGATTCTCCTGCCTCAGCCTCCTGAGTAGCTGGGATTACAGGCGTGCACCACCATGCCCGGCTAATTTTTGTATTTTTGATAGAGACAGGGTCTCACCATATTGTCCAAGCTGCTTTCAAACTCCTGGTCTCAAGTGACCCACCCGCCTTGGCCTCCCAAAGTGCTGGGATTACAGGTGTGAGCCACTGCGCTCGGCCCAATCCATTTCTTTTCTAGGCATTTACTCTTCTGAAACATTCAAGTTTAGACATAAAAATATTTGCAGCATTCTTTGTGAATATATTGGGGCAATCTGTATGTATAATAACAGGAGAATGTATTGCATGTATTAAAACAAATTCTTACCATGAAATACTATTCAGTCTTAAAAAAAAAAAAGAAGTGGAGAAAGAAGGTCCACAATATAATATTGAGTAAAATAACACAAACTGAAGGAGAATAGCTAACATCAGCTGAGTTTTTGCGGTATGCCAGGTTCTGCTTTCAGTGAGTGAGTGTTAATTTTCACAACAATGCTATGTACTAATATTATTCCCATTTTAAAGATTGGAATATTTTGGCACTGAGATGTGTAGTAACTTGCAAAATGTAACATAGCTAGTACTGGTGGAGCTGGGATTTGAATCAAGGTGGTGGTGCTGAAAGCCTATGCTCTCAAGCACTATGCTATACTGGCTTTGTGTATAGTACAATCCTATATATTTTTTTAAGTATTTGTATTTGTATGTGCTTATTTTTAAAAGTGTGAAAAGATACCATAAAATATGGTAGGGCCGGGCATGGTGGCTCACACCTGTAATCCCAGCACTTTGGGAGGCTGAGATGGGTGGATCACTTGAGGTCAGGAGATCAAGACCATCCTGGCTAACATGGTGAAACCCCGTCTCTACTAAAAATACAAAAAAAAAAAATTAGCCGGGCGTGGTGGCAGGCGCCTGTAGTCCCAGCTACTCGGGAGGCTGAGGCAGGAGAATGGCGTGAACCTGGGAGGCGGAGGTTGCAGAGAGCCGAGATCGTGCCACCGCACTCCAGCCTGGGCGACAGAGCGAGACTCCGTCTCAAAAAAAAAAAAAAAAAAAAAAGAAAAAACTAATGGTGGTGACCCCATCTAGGAGTGGGAGTTATGGAGAGTCTTTTACTTTTTGTTTCTGTATGGTTTGGACTTTTAAAAATAACATATATTGTTTGCAACACAAATCTTAAAGTAAAAGTTTACAAGTTTGATGACATATGTTGAAGTGATCCAGTGCTACAATGCAGCAATTAAGATTTAGTACCCAGCAAAACATCTTGATTATGGCAAATACTTGATGAAAACTTATTATATGGAAGAATGGCCAATCTCTTCTAGCAGACTCCACATTCTTCAGGTCTAGGGATTGCAGTTTATATCTATAATTGGTCCCTACTCTGTTATAGTGCTCTCACTCAATAAATGTTTGTCAAATTTATGTATATATACCCCTAAAGTGTAAATGTTCTTCCTTATTTCTTGCCATAGCTGTTTCCTCTTCTTTTTTTATCACAGCCTTAAACTACCTAATATTTCATTTATGTTATTGACTTAAAAAAACTCAAAGCCTCTGGTAACACATCCCATCAATAGAAGTTATCAGTGCATATTAAGAATAAATATTTGTAGTGGCATATTATGATTTTCATTCCTAATAAAGGGAAGCTAATAATATGAAACTAATCTATAAGTCATCTCTGAGTTCCAAGTTGTAAGATCACTCTATTGAATTTTAGAGTTTATGAGCTTTCCCTTGCTTTGGGAAACTGGTTTTAATTTGAACTGGTTGAAATCCAATAGGTACTGTTTCTTTGTTTTTAGATAATATTGTATTTGAAAGGCAAGAACTTTGCTTCCGATTAGAAGCACATCTTTCACATTTGAGAGCAATCTGGAGCCTCTGGAACATACTGTGGCAATCCAGTGCACTTAGCAACTGAAAGAGCGTGGGCTGTGAGTATGTGCAGCCTAGTGACATAAAGAAATCACTTTGCAAAGAGGTGGTTTGAAATTTGCAGACTTTCTTTGCAAGGTATTGTGAAGAGGTGTTGACATCACGAAGCAATTAGAAAATGACATGCATTTCACTGCTTGTATAATATTCTGTAGCTCAAATTTCCCTGCTCTCTACACATGTCTTCTGTTCCATTTTTCTTCTGTTCCAAGAGAATAACATCTTGTCTGTAGACATGAGTACAAGAGAAAAACCCTCTGTCTACAGTGTTTGTCTCTGATGATCGTTCCCTTCTTGAAAGCTATTCCTTCTTCAGGATTATTCACTATAAACAGATGGAGACTATAATGTACTCATAGATTTAGAAAGTTAAGGATATTTTCTCTTTTGAGGTTAAGGTAGAAAAAATACACTTTGTTGTAATATTAAATAGCTTCTAAAAGGACAGGAAGAACAAGGCCTGGAAACTTATTAAAGATATAATGAAGAACATGCCTGTAATCCCAGCACTTTGGGAGGCTGAGGCAGGCAGATCACCTAAGGTTGGGAGATCGAGACCAGCCTGACCAGCATGGAGAAACCCTGTCTCTACTAAAATTACAAAATTAGCCGGGTGTGGTAGTGCATGCCTGTAATCCCAGCTACTTGGGAGGCTGAGGCAGGAGAATCGTTTGAACCCAGGAAGCAGAGGTTGCGGTGAGCTGAGATCGCGCCATTGCACTCCAGCCTGGGCAACAAGAGTGAAACTCCATCTCAAAAAACAAACAAACAAAAGATATAATGAAGAAAAGTGTAGAACAACTATGGTCAAATATACCAATATTTCTGAAAAAGGAAAAGAAATCAGATTTAACATGTCCAAAAATGAATCAATCACCTTCCTCCATGTCTAATCAATGATTTTTGCCTAAGTGCATAAGAAAACAAATCTAATTGCTTGCCCTTCTCCCCAACAAGGTGAATTTGTTGGGAGGATATCCAGAAACAAAGGCAGGAAAGCAGCTGGACCTCTGGAGGGATTACAATCAAGACCAGAAAACTCTCACTAACATAGGCAATCCTCTCTCTCCAGCTTCTGCCTTTGCTTTTCTGAGACATCATATTTCTCTCTCTCCAGACTGGCTTTCTCTGCTTCTCCAAGCTCTTGACAGAAATTGACCACCTGTATATTCAGTTCTACTATGCCCAACAGAATCTCAGTTTCAGATTCTCCAGGAGAAAGAATCCGATTGATTCAACTGGGTCAAGTGTTTATCCCTGGTCCAATCAACCATGACTGGTGATGAGGTCATTTCATACAAGACTGCTGGGTGAGTGGGGAATGGTTTTTGGAGTAAAGGAAGTTTACATGCACTGGCTACCTGCCTGAAAGTTGTATAGCAAGTGCCTCAAGCCATCTCTTACAGTTCTTATCTTGACTGATAAAATCATTAGAATTCGTGCAGGTGGTCAGGCTTGAAACTTTGAATTTATGTTCAAATCTTCCATTTTCCTTTACCTTTCACATTGGTCATTCATTTTTCTGTGCTTATTCACTCATCCATTCATTCAACAAATATTTGTGGAGTAACTACTAAGTGTGAAGCATTGTTCTAAGCATTTGGGATACAACAATTAATACACATGCACAATCCCTGGCCTCGCTATCAAGTTTATCAATGTTTTACTGATTTTAACTTCACACACAGAGAGTTGAAAGACATTAATTTGTGATGAGGAACTGGAAAAAAAAACAAACTGGTTTTGTTGACAGTGAACCTAGTGATTTTTTTTTTTTTTTTTTTTTTTTTGAGACAGAGTCTTGCTCTGTCGCCCAGGCTGGAGTGCAGTGGTGCGATCTCAGCTCACTGCAACCTCCGCATCCTGGGTTCCAGCGATTCTCCTGCCTCAGCCTTCTGAGTAGCTGGGACTACAGGCGCGTGCCCCTGCGCCTAACTAATTTTTGTATTTCTAGTAGAGATGGGGTTTCATCATATTGGCCAGGCTGGTCTCGAACCCCTGACCTCGTGATCTGCCTATCTCAACCTCCTAAAGTGCTGGGATTACAGGCGTGAGCCACTGCACTCAGCTGAACCTGGTGATTTTAGCATTGTACTCATGACACTGTGAATAGGGTTTATTATGAAGATGAGAATTGAAAATATGATAGTAGATAAACAGAAATGTAACATTTCTTTGTGAGTTGGTAGGGTCCCCAAAACAACTCTTTTGAAAGAATAAATTTGTCACCCTAACAATTGCTCTTTTATATTTTTATTCAAAAAATTAGTGGCTCTTATAACATCTTGCTCCAATTGTTCTCACTCATATATTTTGTTAACAAATGATAAAAACTAACATTTATTGAACATTTACTTTAAGGTGCGTACTGTTTTTTTTTTTTTTTTTGAGACGGCGTGTCCGTCAGCCACCCAGACTGGAGTGCAATGGTATGATCTTGGCTCACTGCAACCACCATCGCCCGGGTTCAAGTGATTCTCCCATCTCAGCCTCCCAAGTAGCTGGGATTACAGGCACCCGCCATCATGCCCGGCTAATTTTTGTATTTTAGTAGAGCTGGGGTTTCACCATGTTAGCCAGGCTGGTCTTGAACTCCTGACCTCAGGTAATCCGCCCGCCTCGGCCTCCCAAAGTGTTAGGATTACAGGCATGAGCCACTGCGCCTGGCTGGGTGCGTACTGTTATAAACATTTTGCACTTATCAATTCATTTAATCCTCACAACAAATATGTGCACTAAGTTTAAATTTATGCCTTTGTGTTAGTCAAGTCCAATCAGTTATTTAAATTTCATTGATTTCTGCTCTAATATTTATTATTTCTTCCTCTCTGTTTGCTTTGGGTTTATTTTGCTCCTCTTTTTCTAGTTTTTTGAGAGGAGAGTTTGGATTATCAATTTGAGACTTTTCCTCCTTTAGAATGTAATCATTCAGTGCTGTAAATTTAATGTGTCAGTACTACATTGCCCAGGTCCCATAAGTTTTGATATGTTGTATTTTCACTTTCTTTTAGTTCAATGCATATTTTGATTTCATGTGAGACTTCCTCTTTGATGAATTATTTAGCAGTGTGTCGTTTAGTTTCCAAGTGTTAGGAGATTTTTCTGTTATTTTTCTGCTATTTATTTCTAGTTTGAGTCCATTTTGGTCACAGACCACGCTCCATATAATTTTATTATTTATTATTTATTATTTATTTTTGCGGGGGGAACAGTTTCGCTCTTCTCGCCCAGGCTGGAGTGCAATGGCACAATTCAGGCTCACTGCAACCTCTGCCTCCTAAATTCAAGAGATTCTCCTGCCTCAGCCTCCTGAGTAGCTGGGATTACAGGCACCCGCCACCACACCCAGCAAATTTTTGTATTTTTAGTAGAGATGGGGTTTCCCCATGTTGGCCAGGCTGGTCTCAAACTCCTGACCTCAGGTGACCCACCCAGCTCGGCCTTCCAAAGTGTTTCTCCTTCGTTTCTGAAGGATATTTTCACTGGATATAGAATTTTGGGTTGGCCATATTTTGTTTGTTTTCAGTACTTGGAAAATGCTGTGCTACTTCTTTATGGCATTCACACTTTTTGGTGTGAAATATATTGTCTTTCAAATTGTTTTTATCCTATTGATAAGGTATTGTTTCACTGTAGCTGCTTTCAGATTTTTTTCTTTGTTTTTAGTTTTTGGAAGTTTGACCGTGATGTGTCTTGGTGTGGATTTCTTTGGATTTATTTTGTTTAGATAAACCAAGTTTATTAGCTTTTTTATTACATAGGTTCATGTCTTTAGACTATTCCTTTTTTTTTTCAGTGTACTTTCTGTCTGATGTTCTAATTGGGTAATTTGTTTTATTCTTCAAGTTCATTGGTTCTTTCCTCTTTCCTCTCTATTTTACTGTTGAGCCTATCCAGCAAGTTGTTTTTATTTCATTTGTTATATTTTTCAGTTCCAAAATTTCCATTTGATTGTTCTTTATAACTTCTATTTCTTTGCTGAGACTTCCTATGTTTTCATTTGTTTCAAGTTTGCATGTTCATTGACTCATTCTTATGATGGCTGATTTATAATTCTTGTCTGAGAATTTTAACATTTGTGTCATGTTGGTGTCTGCTAATTTTTTAAAAATTCAGATTGGGATATTCTTTGTTGTTGGTATGATGAATGATTTTTAAATGAAACTTGGACATTTTTGCAATTATATTATGAGACACTGTATGTTATTTAAATCTTCTGTTTTAGCAGCTTCCTCTGATACCACTTTGGCAGGAGAAGGTTCTCCTTTATTGATGGTTGGTCATGGGAAGTCAAAGTCCCCATTGGGTCTCTGTTGATATCAGCATGGCTGAAAGGGACAAGAGTACCTTGCTACTGTTTCCACATACTGATTCCCTGAGAGAGTGGCTTTGTTACCACTGGTTGGGTATGAAAATCCTGATCCTCCACTAGCCCTCTGCTGACACAATCACAGTCAGGAAAGGGAAGGGTGCCTTATTACCACCAGATGAGGAGAAATACCCTGATTTCTTACTAGGCCTCTCTGGAGGTAGTTGAGGCACCTTGTTACATCCAGGGTGAAAAATCTAGGCTCCTCATTTGTTCATTGCTGGTGGGGCTGAAGGTGGGAGTTGCAGTTTCTTCTGCGGTATTTGGCTAGAATAGAATGGTTACTGTCTACAAGTTTATGGTCTTGCTAAGCTACCCCTTTCCAGGTCCTTTGTCTGGGAAGAGCAGGCTTTCCTTGCCTTATTTTTTTTTCTTCTTCTTGCTTCCATTGGAGTTTCTAGGTTGCCAGCTTCTCTAGCACCCCACCTGGAATATGTGAAGCAAAAAGAAAACTCACTGCCATCTTGTTGCTTGGGTCCCTCCTTTCAGAGTCTGCTTTTTGTTGTTTTTTTTTTTGTTTTTTTTTTTGAGTTGGAGTCTCACTCTATTGCCCAGGCTGGAGTGCAATGGTGAGATCTTGGCTCACTGCAACCTCCACCTCCCAGGTGCAAGTAATTCTCCTGCCTCAGCCTCCCAAGTAGCTGGGATTACGGGCACCTGCCACCAAGCTTGGCTAATTTTTGTATTTTTAGTAGAGATGGGGTTTCACCATATTGACCAGGCTGGTCTCTTGGCCAGGGTAGTCTTGAACTCATGACGTCGTGATCCTCCTGCCTTGGCCTCCCAAAATGCTGGGATTACAGGTGTGAGCCACCGTGCCTGGCCCCTTTTTTACACATACTGTCCAAGATGTTTATCTGTACTTTGTTGGAAGAATAGGGAAAAGTATATCCACTCCATCTTTCTGGAGGCAAAATTCCACAATAAATTATTTTAAATAGCAAGAATAGGAATTTAATGTGAGTAATTAGTTATATGGGAGGACTGCAAAGCCAAATAGAGGACAATGAGGCATCCTAGACATTAATAACAGCAGGAAGGCATGCCAGAGGGACAAAGGGAGGCCAGGAGTTGCTCATCCAAACCATGATCACAGAGAGCCTGGCCAGTGGGAACTGGAGTCATACAGGGATCAGGCTGTTAGAGCTGCTGCCCTAAGCTATTGAGGACATAGAGACAAACACTCTGGCTTCTCTCTTTCTTTCACTCTCAAATTTTTTACCGGTGCCTCTTATTGACCAAATCAAACTAGAACCCGATTGGGAAGGGCATGAGAGATGAAGTTCCCTGTGACACAGAGCAGAGAAGGGGTAGGGAAGGAATGGATTTGGAAGCAAACAGGCAAATGTCTAGCACTCCCCATTTCACTGATGAGTCAACTGAAGCATAGCCAGTTAAGTTACTTGGTCAGAGTTCCACAGCAAGCAATGTTGTGGTGTCAGATTTGAACTTAATCATTTGGTCCAGGGCCCATAGTCCACATCCTTGCACTTCAGGACACAGTGAGTCCCTGAGGACATAAAATTTTTGGAATTTCTGGGTTTGAAGAATTTAGTGTCAATTTTTATTTATCCTTTAGCAATGCAAGAAACATGGATTATTGGTTAAAATCCAGAAGTTTGATATGTTAGCTTGAAAATATTCTGGATCATGAGGGGAATTCTGAAGTCATTAAGAGTTGTGTCAAATATGATATTGACCCACATACTTTTAAAAAATGTTGTTATTTATTCAGTGCATATTCTGCGTCAGACACCATTTTAGGCACTTCAATAGTTTTATTAATTTAACTCTCATAACAACTCTATGAGGTAGTTACTGTCCTTATTATCCCCGGTTTACAGATGGGAAAACTGATGCACGGAGAGGTTCAATGAATTTTCCAGGTTACACAACCAAGGCCGCTAAATCAGACACTCTGGCCCTGGAGCCCACATCCCTAACCACTCTTTTATATGCCCTGTGACTGTTCCCACAGTGACCTTGGCAGTGAATTTAGTGACAGCAGAGAACAACCACAATGAGGGAACAAATAAGCAGCAGCTGTCAATCTAAACAGCACAAGGTAAACATGTCTGTTTATTTACTACGTGAATTTAACAGATCTTGGTGTCTCTTGTTTTTTGTTTTAAATCCTGAGTAATAACTATGTGAAACAGATGTTTCAGCAACACTTAAAACTAATCATGTGGGCGTGGTGGCTCATGCCTGTAGCACTTTGGGAGGCCGAAGCCAGTGGGTCACCTGAGGTCAGGAGTTCGGGACCAGCCTGGCCAACATGATGAAACCCCGTCTCCACTAAAAATACAAAACTTAGCTGGGCATGGTGGCAGGTGCCTGTAATCCCAGCTACTCAAGAGGCTGAGGCAGGAGAATCGCTTGAACCCAGGAGGCAGAGGTTGCAGTGAGCCGAGATCGTGCCACTGCACTCCAGCCTGAGTGACAAGAGCAAGACACTGTCTCAAAAAAAAGAAGAAAAAAAAATACATTGTAGGGGCTGGGCGCGGTGGCTTATGCCTGTAATACCAGTACTTTGGGAGGCTGAGGTGGGCACATCACTTAAGGTAAGGAGTTTGAGACCAGCCTGGACAATATGGTGAAACTGTGTCTCTGCTAAAAAAAATACAAAATTAGCCGCATGTGGTGGTGTGCACCTGTATTCAGCCACTCGAGAGTCTGAGGCAGGAGAATTGCTTGAACCCAGGAGATGGAGGTTGCCCTGAGCTGAGATGGTGCCACTGCATTCCAGCCTGGGTGACAGAACCAGACTCCATCTCAAAAAAAAAAAAAAAAATAATGCCAATTTGGGAAAAACAAACAGCTTTCTTTGACTGCTGAAAAAAGAGAAGTCTTGGCAAAGAGTACTCCAATGATAATGAAAGTTGAACAGATAAATAATACCTGCATCTTCCTTCAAGGTCATTTCATAAAGTGCAATAAAAGTCAAAGTTCACATAATAAGAGAAAATTCAAAGAACTCCCTGCATAGCAAAACTGAAAAGTAACCTCTTCTGATGATGCCATGAAAAAAGCAGAAACAAGAAGTGATAATGAACTGGGGAAAGAGTGAGGGAGAATGTTCTGAGGCTACCAGGCTGAGATTGGCTGATAGGCTGAGCCCCCAGAATCAAGCTGAACATAGGAAGGTGTGAGCGTTGTGGGGTGGTGGTGCTAGTGGTGGTATGGGTAGCGTGGGTGAGGTGTCATCACAGATGAACTACATAGTTGTCTTCAAACTTTTTGTTTACTTTGCCCCATAAAAATATTCCCCAAATTCTGTATTTTATTGCATATTTTAAAATAAGTGTATAGCATATTATAAATATTATATTGTCAATACATCTTACAACGTGTAAGGAGGCTGTAATGTGCCTTGCTTAAATAAATTGTTTAATTGTTCCATCAATGACTCATAGTAAGATTCCAGATGCCTTTGTTTTGTTAGGAGATTAGAGCAATGGTGGAAGGGAAGGAGAGAAGAGAACTTTGAGTGCAAGTGCCTTCGAAGGTAAATAAATATGCAGAGAATACAAAAGTCAAGGATCTGGAAATGGACTCTCCTGAAATCAGACATGCCCATACATTTGGAAAGTCTTGGTGTATTCCAGGGCTAGAAGGACCCTAGGTTGAAAACCAGTGTCTAGATCATTAGGGAGGGCTTTCTGTATGGAGATACAAAATTAAAGGCAATGGAGACCTATGAAAGGATGTCAAACTGGTTGAGTTTGCGTGATTTGATTTGCATTTTAAAAAGATCATTCTGGCCACTTTGAAGAATGGGTTGGAGAGAGGCCAGACTGGAGGCAGAAAAAGTGATTAGGAGGTTTTTGCAGAAACCTCACTGAAGGCCAGACATGGTGGCACGTGCCAGTGGTCCCAGCTACTGGGAAGGCTGAGGTGAGAGAATTGCTTTAACCCGGGAGATTGAGGCTTCAGTGATCTGTGATCATGCCACTGCACTATGCCGCGGGTGCAGAACAAGACCCTGTCTCAAAATCAAAACCAAAACCAACCAAAACAAAACCAAAAACACAAAACCCTCCCAAAAACCTTTTGAAAGAGGATGAAGGCCTAAGTTAAGGCTGGGACAGTGGAGATGAAGAGGAAAAGACAGCCTAGAGTAGCAATGTTCAATAGAAATACAATGCAAGCCGAAAATGAGAGCCATGTGTGTAATTTAAAATTGTCTAGTAGCCACCTAAAAAAGGTAAAAAGAAGTAGTCTTCATTTTAATAATTTATTTATTTAATCAAATATGCTCAAAATATTGTCATTTAAAAATATCATCAATATGGCCAGGCGCAGTGGCTCATGCCTGTAATCTTAGCACTTTGGGAGGCCGAGGCAGGTGGATCACCTGAAGGTTGGGAGTTCAAGACCAACCTGACCAACATGGAGAAACACCCCTCTCTATTAAAAATACAAAAAAATTTAGCTGGGCGTGGTGGCACATGCCTGTAATCCCAGCTAATTGGGAGGCTGAGTCAGGAGAATCGCTTGAACCCGGGAGGCAGAGGTTGCAGTGAGCCGAGATCATGCCATTGTACTCCAGCCTGGGCAACAAGAGCGAAACTCCATCTCAAAAAAAAAAAAAAAAAAAAAAATATATATATATATATATATATATATATATATATATATATATGTCATCAATATAAAATTTTATGAAGATATACATGTCGTTTTTATACAAAGTCTTTAAAATCGGTTGTGTATTTTACACTTATAGCACATCTAAATGTGGGTAAGCCACATTTCAAGTGCTCATTAGTCACAGGTAGCTAGTGACTGTTGAATTGGACAAGTACGGGTCTAGAGACTGGGACTGGAAATGGAATAAGAGGATTCAAAGATACCATTGTTCTTGCTTGGGTAACTGAATGGTGGTATCCAGTGAAGGGCCAAGGGGGTGAGTTGAGGGAACATTGGCCACTTCATAATTTCCATCAGCTCTATCAAGCCAACTTAAATGATCATACGATCTAAATGAAAACAATGTGTTTGCTTATAAGGCCAAGGCGGGCGGATCACGAGGTCAGGAGTTCAAGACCAGCCTGGCCAACATAGTGAAACCCCATCTCTACTAAAAAAAATACAAAAAATTAGTGGGGAGTGGTGGCAGGTGCCTGTAATCCCAGCTACTCAGGAGGGTGAGGCAGGAGAATCGCTTGAACCTGGGAGGCGGAGGTTGCAATGAGTGGAGATCGCGCCACTGCACTCCAGCCTGGGCAACAGTGCAAGACTTTGTCTTAAAAACAAACAAACAAAAAAACAAGATGCAGCTTCAAAACTAGTTTCCTAGCTCTTCCTTCTAACCTAATTGCCACAGCCCTCTTCTAGCAAGACATTAATTGCTTTTAACCCTCTTCTAGTATGAAAATTCTGGAGCCTCCACTAATGGCATCTGTTACTTGCTGAGAGACCGAGAAAGAAGGAGAGAGGAGTAAGTTGGGAAAAAGATATTTGTTACTTTGAATGATGTTAAATTTAAGATACTCTGGTAGATGGTATTATTGTTCAAAATAGTAGGTGCTTCTCCCTGTGGGGGATTATACTGCTCAGCCCCACTGAGAGCAGCCTTGAACATTTGAGTTGATTTAGAAAATGAAATGTGAGTGCAAGTGCTGGGTGCCACTTTGGAGACAAAGCTTTAAGATGCCCTGAATTGTTCCTCTATCATTTTCTCCCCTCTGCCCTGAGACTGGCAATGTCCCAGATATGGCTTGGTCCTTCAGCCTGGGACCCACATTATTCAGGAATGTGAGCAAGGGATAAAACTTTGTTTTTGCAAGCCATGGGGATATGGGATTGTTTGTTACTGTAGCATAATTTAGCCTAAGGAGACTGTTGTAGTGTTTCATAGTGTTTTGTACTGGAATTGGGATGTTGGGGTAATGAAAAACTTACAATGTATGGCACTGGCTACAGAGATGTTGCCGGAAAATGGGCTATTGATCCAGACTCCAAGAGAGAGTTCTTGGATGTAACACAGGAAGGAATTCAAGGTGAGTCGCAGAGTGTAATGAGAAGAGATAGTTTATTGAAAGTTACTCAGATACAGAGTATGGCACCCTCAGAAAGCAAGCGGAGGAATGCCTTGTCTTTAAGTTTTATTATACTTATACAGGGGTCTTGACTATGTAAAGACCAAACTAAGCTGTGTCTATGTTGGGTGGGCTGACAGCATGACAAAATTTATTATTCTATTCATTTAAAGAAAACTATCTTTGACATTCTAGTGTGTAAGTACATCAAAGCATAACTCTAGTTATCTTGAAAGCATATGTTGTTATGGGTATCGGGACATCTGGACATTGTGTGTTCATAGAAGTTTGTCCTTGCAGGTGTTACTAAACTGCTTCCTTAGCCTTAGACATCTTATGGCCATGGGTCGTGACTGGCAAGGAATGTGCCTTGTAAGTTTTTTTTTTTTTTTTTTTTGAGACGGAGTCTTGCTCTTTCGCCCAGGCCAGAGTGCAGTGGTGCGATCTGGGCTCATTGCAAACTCCGCCTCCCGGGTTCACGCCATTCTCCTGCCTCAGCCTCCTGAGTAGCTGGGACTACAGGCGCCCGCCACCGCGGCCGGCTAATTTTTTGTATTTTTAGTAGAGACGGGGTTTCACCGTGTTAACCAGGATGGTCTCGATCTCCTGACCTCGTGATCCGCCCGCCTCGGCCTCCCAAAGTGCTGGGATTACAGGCGTGAGCCGCCGCGCCCGGCCGTGCCTTGTAAGTTTTAAGATGGAGTTGATTTGAAAATGGTGTCACCCTGGCTCTCTCATGCTCCTGTTTCCCTGACAGAGCCAGATAGTGAGCAGCAAGGAAACTGTTCATGGGAGCCTAGAAAGATGGCAACTCATGCTATTCAGTGATGAAACATTTACTAAAACTGTTACCTGCAATACTTTGGTAGTGTTTATTAAGTATTTATTATTTATTATTATTATTAAGTATTAACATAATAAATTTGGGGGCATGGTGGCTCACACCTGGCTCAGCACTTTGGGAGGCTGAGGCGGGCAAGACCATCTGAGATCAGAAGTTCAAGATCATCTTGGGCAACATGGTGAAACCCTGTCTCTACTAAAAATACAAAAAATTAGCTGGGCACAGTAGCACATGCCTGGAATCCCAGCTACTTGGGAGGCTGAGACAGGAGAATCCCTTGAACCTGGGAAGTGGAGGTTGCAGTGAGCCAAGATCGTGCCACTGCACTGCAGCCTGGGCAACAGAGCAAGATTCCGTCTCAAAAAACAAAAACAAACAAACAAACAAACAAACAAAAAACTTGGATTTTTAGGTGAAGGGTTGGGGAATAAAAAATGTGTTGGTTGCTAGTGGTTATATTTGCCAAGGTAATAAAAAAAAGAGAGGGGCTCAGAAAATAA
Source organism: Homo sapiens (assembly GCF_000001405.40). Taxonomy (NCBI): domain Eukaryota; kingdom Metazoa; phylum Chordata; class Mammalia; order Primates; family Hominidae; genus Homo; species Homo sapiens. Next base: position 96,477,841 of record NC_000012.12, read on the forward strand.
TTATAGTATCTGATTTTCAAACAAAGAAGAATGAAACAGTCCAAAAACTCTGGGACTTTGCAGAATTGAAAGATACAACTGTTTCTCATCCCAATTTGGTAACAGACAAAATCAACGGCAATTAACAATCAGCCTTCTGGCAAGAACCAAATTAAAAGTAAAATCATTATACTCTTTGTATTTCTTACCGCTCATTATAGTAAAAAGGTTTGGAAATCATTAGACTGGGGTTTTCTCACCAACTCAGAGAGTCAGATAAAACGTTCAGTTTTTCTTTGATCAGCATGTTATATGACAGATAAGATCCCAAGAACATTCTCCTCTCAGTGCTCTTCCAATTTACACTCTGCTTAAGCTTTTCCTTAGGGAAGTTAGCATTGTGGATTGCAATCTCTATTTGCATATCCCCCCTTTACTTCCTGCCTTGTTGTAAGCACAGAGTTGTACTCTTTGTTTTTTATTATTTTTTTTTTAGAGACAAGCTCTCACTCTGTTGCCCAGGCAGGAATGCAGTGGCGTGATCACAGCTCACAGCAACCTCCAAGTCCTGGGCTCAACCAATCCTCCCACCTCAGACTCCCAAGTAGCTAGGGCTACAGATGCACGCCACCACACCTGGCTAATTTTTGTATTTTTTGTAGAGATAGAGTCTCATTATGTTGCCAAGGCTGGTCTTGAACTGCTAGCCTCAAACAATCCTGCCTTGGCCTCCCAAAGTCCTGAGATTACAGGTGCAAGCCACCATACCCTGCCTCTTCTTTAAATTCATGTTTAAAGAAGAAAGCTAGGAAAGACGATCCAAGTGAGAGGTAGGATGTACATTTAAAGCAATATGCCTATTTTGGGGGTTCATGTAGACCCTAAGTCTTGGAGTTTGGTCTTAAAACTGCGTAAATGAGTCAAAATATTTTCTGCTTTTTTTTTTGAGATTCAATAAATGAAACAAATAGTATATAGTCCAAGAATGTGCTCCTAAATGCTTTCACCAGAATAATGCAGTTAGTGGAAATTTTGTCTAATAAAGTCTATAGAAGTCTTATTTTTAGTTTATAGTACTGTTGTCATGTGTCTATATTTTTACACTTTAGGTAAAAAAGTATTTTAGCCAGGCGCAATGGCTCATGCCTGTAATCCCACCTCTTTGGGATTCCGGGGTGGGTGGATAATGAGGTCAGGAGTTCAAGACCAGCCTGACCAACATGGTGAAACCCTGTCTCTACTAAAAATACAAAAATTATCTGGGTGTTGTGGCACACACCTGTAGTCCCAGCTATTCAGGAGGCTGAGGCATGAGAATTGCTTGAACCTGGGAGGCGGAGGTTGCAGTGAGTTGAGATTGTGCCATTGCACTCCAGCCTGGGCAACATAGTGACATTCTGTCCCCCACCCCCTGCCATAAAAAAGTATTTTATTTTACAACAAAGGTAGTATATTTTCATTGTAGAAAAATTTTGAGGTACAGAAAAGAACATGGAGCAAAGATTCCTTGTAATCCCATCTTCCTGGGATAACAAACTGTTAATAGTTTTACTTTTACATTGACTTTTTTTTTTGTATTATTATTATTATTTTTTTTTTGGTAGAGATGGGGTCTCACCATGTTGGCCAGACTGGTCTTGAACTCCTGACCTCAAGTGATCTGCCCGCCTCGGCCTCCCAAAGTGCTGGGATTACAGGCATGAGCCACCACACCTGGCCCTACATTGACTTTTATATTTTAAAATTAACTTTTAATTACACAAGTAATACAGGAAGGTCTTTCTTAAACCCGCATGACACATGTTTACCTATGTAACAAACCTGCACATCCTGTACATGTACCCTTGAACTTAAAATAAAAGTTAAAAAAAGGGAAAACAATACAGACAAGTTTAAAATCTCATTTGATCCTATATTTTCAATTCCAGTTCATTCCAAAATGTAACCACTGTTAACAATGTATTGGGTTTTCTTTCAGAACTTCTCAACACATTTATTTTCACTCTCATTTTTGATCTCTCTCTCTTTTCTTCCCTCTCTCATAATACATACAAACATACATATAAACACAAATATTATAGTATCATTTTTGTGGTACATATAGATAAATGTTGGCGTACTGTTTACATTATATTGCAATTTTTTGATTTAAAAAAGTCTTAAAAATATGTTTATGTTAAGACATTAAAACCCACTACATTCCCTTTGGGTGCTGAGTAGTATTCAATACTATAGCTAAACTATAGTTTATCTATGCATTACTCTATTGATGTACATTTATATTGTGTTTTTTTGTTTTTGTTTTTGAGACAGAGTTTCACTCTTGTTGCCCAGGCTGGAGTACAATGGCGCGATCTCGGCTCATTGCAACCTCCGCCTCCTGGGTTCAAACAATTCTCCTGCCTCAGCCTCCCGAATGGCTGGGATTACGGGCATGCACCACCACACCCAGCTAATTTTGTATTTTTAGTAGAGATGGGGTTTCTCCATGTTGGTCAGGCTGGTCTCGAACTCCTGACCTCAGGTGATCTGCCTGCCTTGGCCTCCCAAAGTGCTGGGATTACAGGTGTGAGCCACCGCACCCAGTGATTGTTTTTAATGCTTTACTATTGTAAGCATTTAAGGTTAGCAATAAACATCTGCTGTATGTTCTGTATATATCTGTATATGCATCTTTATGCATATGTATGATTTCTAAAGCTGATTTCAAGAAATCAAGAAATAAAATTTCTTTTTTTTTTTTTTGGGATGGAGTTTTGCTCTTGTTGCCCCGATTGGAGTGCAGTGGTGTGATGTCGGCTCATTCCAACCTCCACCTCCCTGGTTCAAGTGATTCTCCTGTCTCAGCCTCCCAAGTAGATGGGATTACAGGTGCCCGCTGCCACGCCTGGCTAATTTTGTATTTTTAGTAGAGACGGAGTTTCACCATGTTGGCCAGGCTGGTGTCGAACTCCTGACCTCAGGTGATCCACCCGCCTTCACCTCCCAAAGTGCTGAGATTACAGGTGTGAACCACTGCACCTGGCCCAAGAAATAAAACTTCTAGGTGATAGGGTACAATAGTTGTAGTAAAGGGTTGGCACCTCCTACGAAAACCTCCAATCCCAGTACCTGAAACAAGGTGAAAGTTTATTTATTTATTTACTTATGTTTGTTTATTTTATTTTATTTTTCGAGATGGAGTCTTGCTCTGTCGTCAAGCTGGAGTGCAGTGGTGCCATCTCAGCTCACTACAACCTCTGCCTCCCGGGTTCAAGCGATTCTCCTGCCTCAGCCTCCTAAGTAGCTGGGATTACAGGCACGCATGACTACGCCCGGCTAATTTTTTGTATTTTAGTAGAGACGGGGTTTTACCATGTTGGCCAAGACGGTCTCAATCTCCTGACCTCATGATCCGCCCTCCTCAGCCTCCCAAAGTGTTGGGATTACAGGCGTGAGCCACCGCGCCTGTCCGCTGAAAGTTTATTTTCCTCTCACATAGTAAGTTGGGTGAGTGGTCTAGGACTCATACCAGGGCTTCACAGTGTGAAGGAATCCAGGCTCCTTCCATCTTGCTGCTCTCTTTTCCTTAGGGTGTTGCTGGCATTATCATCCAAGAGGACTTGTATACTAGACACACCTTATGCAAAGCCTTGGGTTTTCTGTCTTCACTGACTTTCTAGGCCCTCTACCACTTACTGCTTTCCAGCAACTGCTCTGATGACTGCCTCCAGGTTGGAGAAACCCCATCCTGGCCTGCTTGGTTCCACCACCTGAGGCCACTATGTGGCGTTTTTGGCTCCTTTCACCACTTTAAAAAAAATATTGAGATGGGGTCTCACTATGTTGCCAAGGTTGTACTTGAACTCTTGGGTTCAAATGATCCTCCCACCTTGGCCTCCTAAGTAGCTGGGACTATAGCCATGTGCCACTGTGCCCAGTTCCTTTCACTGCTTTTGTTGTTGTTGTTGTTGTTTTTGTTGTTGTTGAGATGGAGTCTTGCTCTGTCACCCAGGCTGGAGTGCAGTGGCATGATCTCAGCTCACTGCAACCTCCACCTCCTGGGTTCAAGTGATTCTCCTGCTTCAGCCTCCCGAGTAGCTGGAATTACAGGCACCTGCCACCACTCCTGGCTAATTGTTATATTTTTAGCAGAGATGGGGTTTCACATGTTGGCCAGGCTGGTTTTGAACTCCTGGTCTCGGGTGATCTTCCCGCCTTGGCCTCCCAAAGTGTTGGGATTGTAGGTGTGAGCCACCGTGCCTGGCCCTTTCACTGCTTTTGAACTGGGATGAAACACTATATCACAAGGTATGAGATTTGGCATCGTCAGTAGCTGCTGAAGGGGCAAGGTGATCCAACCTGGAAGTAGAGTGGTGAATCTTGACCAGGAGAAGGGCAGCAGGTATATTTTCTCTCTACCTTTTCCTCTTACAAACTCCTCTAAGATGTAGTATATAGAGATGTAGATAGCCTGTTGGGACACATCCCGCATGACTGAGCAACTCGTTGTGTTTCTTCATGATGTGAAGAAGGCCGGCATTGTACTTCTTTTCATCTGTCCCTGTCCCACTTTCTTTTCTCTTCATTCTTGCTTCACGGAAATTACACTACTAAGTGAAGCACTAGCACTTAAGCCTTTGCCTCAAACTCTTGTTTTTTAGGAAACTCAGGTTAACACAATAAAGTGAGGTGTAAAAAGTGGACACTCGGCTGGGCATGGTAGCTCACGCCTGTAATCCCAGCAGTTTGGGAGGCCGAGGCGGGTAGATCACCTGAGGTAGGGAGTTCGAGACCAGCCTGACCAACATGGAGAAACCCCGTGGTGGTGCATGCCTGTAATCCCAGCTACTTGGGAGGCTGAGGCAGGAGAATCCCTTGAACTGGGGAGGCAGAGGTTGTGGTGAGCCGAAATAGCACCATTGCACTCCAGCCTGGGCAACAAGAGCAAAACTCCATCTAAAAAGAAAAAAAAAAAAAAGAAAAAAAATTGGACACTCAGGATTAGATTTTAGAGTTGAATTGTCACCTATCTGAAGGCAACAGGGACCTGATTGTCTTAGAGCAGTTAATTCACAACTGAAGGCATGCTCTGAAAGACAGTGCCTCTACTGCAGCTTAGGACAGCTGCAGGGTAGATTTTGCTAAAGACCGGGTCCAGGATCTGATTATACAGCAGAAAGTCCAAGAAAAGGTGGAGGCCGAGAGACCTGAAGTGGAAACATTTAGGTAGACAAGCCCAAGAACTTTGAACCTCTAAATTTCTCTGAGCCCCCTATACTTGCAAAAATAGCCCCTAACCATTTGCCAGAGAAAAACAATCTCTGCTTGCCTGGGGGAACATATAATGACCTAATCTGAAGCAGGTGCCTTTCATGGTGAGACTTGTTTTCCTCAAGATGTGCCCCCAATACACTTCATTGCCTTCTGGCTGGAAAGGAAAGTCAGGTTTCAGCACAGCCTGAGCAGGAAATTACAAGCTCTGCTCTAAGAAGAAATTGCTTACATGGCAAAGGAATTGTGGGATCTGGCTAATAAGTAGTAGCTGAAACTGCAGAGAACATGTGTAGGAGTGAGTCTTGAATATGTTAGACCGGGGCACAGAATGCAAAAGTGACGAGGGTAGAATTCATTAATATGGGAATACTCACCCATGATTCAGAATTCCTAATAACTTAATGAGATGACTTCTTGAAGCATTGATCTGATAATGTTCCACATCAAATGAAGTGGAGATGACAGAACTTCCTTGATATCATATTGAAGAAAAGGTCGGAAGGCTCAAGGAAGTAGGGATGTTATACTGGATTCATTGCATATGTCCTGAGAACCCAGCACCTGGTTTACGGATTAAGAAAATGGGGCACAATGAGGTTAAGTAACTTGGAAGAAGTGAGGATTCAAACCATGCTCTTTGGCCTCAGAATTTGGGCGTTTATTTATTTATGACACAGAGTTTTGCTCTGTTGCCCAGGCTGGAGTGCAATGGTGCCATCTTGGCTCACTGCAAAGTCTGCCTCCTGAGTTCAAGCGATTCTCCTGCCTCAGCCTCCTGAGCAGCTGGGCTTACAGGCACCTGCCACCACGCCCAGCTAATTTTGTGTTTTTAGTAGAGACTAGGTTTCACCATGTTGGTCAGGCTGTTCTCGAATTTCTGGCCTCAAGTGATCTGCCTGCCTCCGCCTCCCAAAGTGCTGGTGATAGGGAAGGTTGGAAGGGAAGTGCTGGGAAAGGAAGGGCATGGTCCCTGGTGAAGGCTCCATCCCCGGCCTGTGCCCATGGACCTAGGTGAGGACAGGCACTTCTGCCTTCATGCCCAAATGTTGCATTTGCCAAGACAACCCTGGCCTGCCACGCCTCTATCCTGTGCCTATAAAAACCCCGAAGACCCTAGCAGGCAGACCTACAGGTGGCTGGACATGGAGAGGAACACATCGGTTGAAAAAGACACAAGAGGCTAGATGTCGAGAGGACGTCAAAGAGAGCACGCCAGCGGAAGAGCACACCGATAGACGTTGGCACGCCGCACGGCCATCCACTGGCAGAACGAGGCAGAGTTTGGCTGGGGCAGTCGGAGGAGAGCCCAGGCCGCTAAGCAGCCCCACTCCAGGGGAAAGCCATCTCCCTTCTGGCTCCCCCATCTGCTGAGAGCTACTTCCATTCAATAAAACCTTGCACTCATTCTCCAGGCCCACGTGTGATCCGGTTCTTCCCGTACACCAAGGCAAGAACCCCGGGATTCAGAAAGCCCTCTGTCCTTGCGATAAGGCAGGGGTCTAACTGAGCTAGCAAGCTGCCTATGGATGACTAAACTAAAAGAGCACCCTGTAACACATGCCCACTGGGGCTTCAGCTGTAAACATTTACCCCTAGACACTGCCTTGGGGTCAGAACCCCACAGCCTGCCTGTCTGTATACTCCCCTAGAGGTTTGAGCAGCGGGGCACTCAAGAAGCGATCCACACCCCCATCGCACGCCCTGCAAGGGGGACAAGGGAACTTTTCCGTTTCACTGGGATTACAGGTGTGAGCCACTGCGTGGGCTTTTAACATCTTTAATGTACTGTTTTTTTTTTTTTTTTTTTTTTTTTAAACAAAGCCTCTCTTGGCCGGGTGCAGTGGCTCACGGCTGTAATCCCAGCATTTTGGGAGGCTGAGGCAGGTGGATCACCTGCGGTCAGGAGTTCGAGACCAGCCTGGCCAACATGGTGAAACCCCATCTCTACTAAAAAACACAAAAATTAGCTGGGCGTGGTGGCGGGCGCCTGTAATCCCAGCTACTCGGGAGGCTGAGGCAGGAGAATCGCTTGAACCCGGGAGGCAGAGGTTGCAGTGAGTTGAGATTGTGCCATTGCACTCCAGCCTGGGCGATAAGAGTGAAAATCTGTCTCAAAAACAAAACAAAACCACAAAACCTCTCTCCTGAATACAGAACCAAGTCAAAACCAAGTCAGAATTACTCAGCATACCTTCCAACTCCCCATTGTATTTGATCACACTTCCCTTTCTGCCTCATCTTCTGCCTCCGGATCTATGGCAGCCTGTGGCTCACCACACTAGACAGCTTGTTTATTTAGACTTGCTGTATGTGTTTATGGCTTTGTACCTTACTCAGGCTTTTCTCTCAGTCAGGCATATCCTTCTAAATGCTCTTCATCTTTTTTTTTCTTTTTCTTCATTTGCTCATTCCAACAAAGATGTATTGAGCTGTACTCTGTGCCAGGTGCCAGATTTGGGTGCTAGGTTACCATGGGAAGAAGGTAAATGCTTGTTGCAAGGGTCTTTCTGTGAGTGAGAGGCATTTACGGTCTGGGGCTAAAACATCATCTCCTCTAGAATTCTCTGTTCTCTTTCCAGTTCCGAGATTCATCTTAGAACTCCCACAGTCTTCCTTCCCCCTTGCCCTCCCCTCCCCTGCCCCTCCCCTCCTCTCTCTTTTTTTTGAGAAAAGATCTTGCTCTGTAGCTCAGACTGGAATACAGTGGGGTGATTATAGCTCACTGCAGCCTCAAACTCCTGGCTCAAGTGATCTTTCTGCCTCAGCCTCTTGAGTAGCTGGGATTTCAGGTGCATGTGACCATGCCAGGCTAATTAAAAAAATTTTTTTTAAAAATCAGAGACAGGGTCTCACTGTGTTGCCCAGGCTGGTCTCAAACTCCTGGCCTCAAGCAATCCACCCACCTCGGCCTCCCAAAGTATTGAGATCACAGGCGTGAGTGACCACACCTGGCGGTCCCACATTTCTTAAAACCTTTCTCACAGCACATTCCACAGCATGCCTTTTCTTTTCTTTTTTCTTTTCTTTTCTTTTCCTTTCCTTTCCTTTCTTTTCTCTTTTCTTTTCTTTCTTTCTTTCTTTCTTTCTTTCTTTCTTTCTTTCTTTCTTTCTTTCTTTTCTCTCTTTCTTTCTTTTTCTTTTCCTTTTTTTTTTTTTTCTTTGAGATGGAGTCTCACTTTGTCACCCAGCCTGGGGTGCAGTGGCGCGATCTCGGCTCACTGCAACCTCGCCTCCTGGGATCAAGTGATTCTCCTGCCTCAGCCTCCTAAGTAGCAGGGATTACAGGCACATGCCACCATGTCCAGCTAATCCATAGCATGCCTTTTAATTATGATTATTTGAGTTTGTGTTATCTGCTTCCTGTAGGGAATGTATGGGTTCATCTATGCCTTGTATGGACACTAACAAAATGGTTGCATTTATCTGAATAAATGGATGAAGAAGTTTTAAAAAGTCTACATATTAGGTAGATCATATATATTGTATCTATTTGGGATAGTCCAAATGATTAACAACTAAATTGAGAATTGAAAGAGCACTAACCTTGCATATTCTTTAACAGTCAGTAGCTTTAGATAAAAAAGACTTTCGAATGGGCAAAAAGCTTCCCTGCAGCCTGCGAAGATGTTAATTATAAGAAATAGCAATTTACATTATTTATAAGGAAGCTATTTACAGTACTTAGGCTTGTCAGACACAGTAGTTGCACAGCTCCATTCTTTCATTACAGTGAGAAGAATAAAGCAAAGTGACAAGGAAAGAGAAAGATATTATAATGGCTGCATCTAATTACAAGGAAGATAACACCTCTAAAATGTTAAAAATGCCTCAAATTCAATTTATTTATTTTATTTTTATTATTTATTTATTTATTTATTTATTTATTTATTTATTTATTTTGAGATGGGGTCTAGCTCTGTCGCTAAGGCTGGAGTGAAGTGGCATGATCTCGGCTCACTGCAACCTCCACCTCCCGGGTTCAGGCGATTCTCCTGCTTCAGTCTCCTGAGTAGCTGGGATTACAGGTGTCCGACACCACGCCCAGCTAATATTTGTGTTTTCAGTAGAGACGGGATTTCAACATGTTGGCTAGGCTGGTCTCGAACTCCTGACGTCAAGTGATTCGCCCACCTGAGCCTCCTGAAGTGCTGGGATTACAGGCGTGAGCCACGACACCCAGCCAATTTAATTTAAACTAAATAAAATGTAAACTTCCATCTTATCATAATGATGATTCAGAATATAACACCCATTTAAATATTCAGACAAGCTTCCAAAAACTACTGCAAGTTAAGCATTGTTAGCTTTAGTGTGTGCAAGGGGGAAAGTGACTAAGATGCAATGTTTCATAATTCAGGTATTTGAATTTGCTTAGTCACATTTTCTTTTACCAGTGACTTTGAAATACAAGTGTCTGCCCTATGATAAAGTTTGTTTGTGACAGTAGCCAGATTAGAAGGAAAAACACCACTTTGTCTTTTATTTTTTTCTTTCCTTTTCTGTGACCACTTTAATTAATTTTATCCTGCTGTTTCACTTTCATCAATATAATAGATAGCACTCAGTGGCAAATTACACCAGTTTTTGATCTGCAATGGACAAGTCTGCCATGTTAGAGCAAGAAAAAGATGAGAAAAAAGAGAATTTACCAAGCCGACTTTTAAAAATGTCTATTAATATTTTTGTAAATGCCCAGTGATTATTTCTCTAGGACTACATTCTTTAAAGCCTTACAATTTTTGTTGTTCACTTAGAGAACAAGATAAAATCTTTGTTGATCAAAGGATGATATCTACATCCTGATTAGAGAATTGGACTCCTACAGTGAGGTGTCATTGCGTCTCACTGCTTGCCAGGAAGTTTCTCTGGCTATAATTAACTGTGCCGATGAGCAAAATTATTTTCCTTCAAAGAATATTAGGGTACAGTAGACATGACATATTAGGCCAGCCTCACAAATTAGCACAGGCCCACAGAGCCTGCATAAAATTAGGTCAGACTTGAAAGATATCAGGCTGTGGTCCAATAAGCTTCTTAGTCTGAAATGGAAAATTGGGTTCACAGGGTGTTAGGGTCACTGTCTTTATTTAAGTGTGATAGAACTGGTAACAATTTTCAGGGTTAAAGACTGATTTTTCTAAGCCACCAAATATTTCTGGTTCTTCTCTTAGATAATTTATTGTGTTGCATAATTTATAGAAAAGAAGGTTCTCCATTTTCTCAATACTCATACTTTAATAAATTTAACTCTGACTTTTGCCTATAATACACAGGCTAAGAATAAACTCCCCAAGTATTTCCCTGGAGGTCTGTAGTTTCCCCATCAGAAGTAAAGTCTCCTAAAAGCCCTGTTTAAAATGCAAAGTATTTTGAGAGTTAACACTTCAGGCCACTAGTATGTATTAATGTCCTATGGTTAAGGTTGAGCAAAATGCACATTAATTTAGAATACAGAGATAATTAAAGTAAGGCTGGAATGTGCATAAATAGATGTAATCATAATTATTAGAGGCATAGACATCATGTCCACAGTTACAGACCTCAAGGTACAAATAGAGGAAAGAGAATGGATCAGCTGCATATTCAGTACTCCCTGGCTATCTGTGGGGGACTAGTTCCATGACACCCGCAGATACCAAAATCTGTGGATGCTCAAGCCTCTGATATGAAATGCTGTAGTATTTGCATATAATTTGTGCACATCCTTCAGGATGTTTTAAATCATCTCTAGATAACTAGTAATACCTAATACAGTATAAATGCCATGTAAATAGTTGTATTTTGTGTTATTTTTATTGTTGTATTGTTATTTCTAATTTTGTTCTGAATATTTACAATCTGGAGTTGCTTGAATCCACAGATGAAGAACCCGAGATTTGGAGGGCCAACTGTATTTGATTCTTAAACTGCTTGTCAGATATTTCTCTAATTTCAATTTGATTAATAAGCTTTGTTTTGGGGAGTGATCAATACAGCCTATTCATTTTGAGCACAGGCTTTGGAGTCACAAGTTCCCTTTGGAGGACCTGGTCGCTGACACTACGGTTGTACGCTGACTTTTGTCAAATGACTTAACCTCCTTGAGCTTTGGTTTCCTAAACTGTGAGATGGATATACTAATAGTATCCTAAGTTGTAAAGTAGTTATGATGATTAAATGAGATAAATGAAAGTACATGTTTCAAATGCTTAATGCCTGACACACGTTAATGGTCATGGTCGTCATCATTATCGTTATTAAGTGGCCAACATGGATAAAGAGTATAGTCTGGATTTGTGACCTTAAATTTTTGGCTCTAATATTCGCCAGCGCTCTGCTCAGAACATTCTCTGTTCGCATTTCATACAGCGGTGCCAGCGCACAACCAGGCAACGCCCTCAGGAGCATCATTGTTTTCTGGACCTGGTTCTTTCTCGCTCTGCCCTCCAGGGGCCGCTGTGTTTCTCGGAATGCGCGCGGGATGCCCGGTTGCCACGAGACCGTCGCCAGGCAACCGCGTGTACACATACTCCAGGCGGGCCGGGGCGCGTCAATATGGCGGCGCAGGGCTCCCCCTCGAGCTCTCCGTCAGACGACTCTACCACCTCGGGGTCTCTGCCAGAACTGCCGCCGACCTCCACCGCGACTTCGAGGTCGCCCCCAGAGTCGAAGGGGAGCTCCCGGAGCTCGCTGCTTCAGTGGACCTGCCCCGAGGACTCATTGCCCCTAGCCGTGTTTTATGGGCCGCTGGACGCGAAAAACCCGCTCCTGGCCTCTTGTGAGAAGGAGATCCAGGAGTTGTTAGGCTTTATGAGGAAAAAGAAGGCTTTAGCCACCACGGAGGAAGAGAAGCACGAATTCCGCCGGCGTTGGTAAGCGCTGGCGGGGCACTGGGGAGGGCGCCGGCCAGAGGAGGGACCCCTGGAAAGGGCTGGAGGATGCAGGTGGTGGCCCCAGAGATGGTTCAGCGTTGCGGACGCAGGGGCTGGCTGAAGGGCCCAGGAGAGACAAAGTTTAAGAAGTGGAGACTCGTCGCTCTTAACAATCCTTAATTCCTGGGAGCTGTTATATCTTGGCTTCCTGCTCAGGTCAAAATAAAAATCTACACAGAAATGTTTCATAACTCACCATTTGTTATTTGACCAGAAAAGAAAGATGGTAACATAAGCAGGAAAGAACCTTAAAAAGAGTTCGCAGTTTGCAGTAATAACATGGTGATAGAACTCCCAAAAAGGCAAACAGTTGCGCAGAATGAATAGCAAAATTAAGAAAAAGTCACTGTAATCCTAATAGCAATATAAGAAGGAATTAAAGTGCACATGTTCACAGGATGACATACTTCATTGTATCAAGAGCTAGCTTCATGAACCTGAGCTACCTCGAAGTTATTCCTTTTTCTCCATATACAAATTTATATACTCATAACATGGAAAGTTGTGAAACCCTTGAGCGAGCCAAAAATTTATACATGAATACAAAATACGAAAATTAGCTGGGCATGGTGGCACATGCCTGTACTCCCAGCTACTCAGGAGGCTGAGGCAGGAGAATTGCTTGAACCCGGGAGGCAGAGGTTGCAGTGAGCTGGGATCGCGCCACTACACTCCAGCCTGGGCGACAGAGCAAGACTCCTTCTCAAAAAATAATAATAATAAATAAATAAAATAAAATATTTTTTATTTATGCATATAACAACTATTTATTGAGCACATACTGTATATCAAGTGCTGTTCAAGGAACTAGGAAAACATCAAGTTAACAAAACATATAAGAATCCATGTCCTTATAGAGCATATGTTTTTGTGGGTATAAACAACCACTAAACAAATATGTAAGTAAATAATCTTACAAGGAGATGACTGCTAGGGAGAAAAATAGAACAGGGAATGGTGTTGGAGGATATGAGATGAATGTTGCAATTTTATCTTTTTTTTTTGAGACAGGGTCTCACTCTTGCACAGGCTGTTGTGCAGTGGCTCAATCCTGGCTCACTGAAACCTTGAACTTGGGGGCTCAAGGGATCCTCCCACCTTGACCTCCCAAAGTATTGGATTACAGGCATGAGCTACTGCGCCTGGCCTGAGTGTTGCAATTTTAAATGGGGTGGTGAGAAGCCTGGTTAGGGAAGGTCAGGAAAAGTTGCTTTTGAGAAAGATGAGAAAGATATGGGAGCAATTGATGAGGATTTTTGTGCAAAAAGTAGGTCACACAGGGAGAATGGCAGATGGGAAAGACCTGGGGTGGAATTGTATTGTGGGAAGAGCAAGAGGGAGGGAGATCAAGAGTTTACTTTTATAAAAATTGAGATGTGATTCAGCATCCAGGTGGAGCTACTATGTAGGTAGTTGGACATTTGAATCTGGAAGTCAGATGAGATATACATTTGGGATTCATATGATATTTAAATGATGACACTTGATGAATAGCTAAGGGAGTGTGTGTGTAAATGGAGAAGGGAAGAGTCCAAGGATTGAGCCCTGGGATGCTCCAGCATGGACAGGGAGAGGCAATAAGAAGAAACCAACAGAGACTAAGGAGGAGGGGCCAGTGGAAAACCATTAAGTGCCTGGTGTACTAGAAGCAGGTAGAGAAAGTATTTCAGGAAGAAAGGAATGATCAACTGTGGCAAATTCTGCTGACTGGCCAAGTAAGATGAGAACCAAGAATTGACCAAGGAAAGCCCATTATATACCTACTCTATATGCTTTATTTATTTATTTATTGATAGGGAGTCTCACTCTGTACCCCAGGCTGGAGTGTACTGCTGCGATCTCAGCTTACTGCAACCTCTGCCTCCCAGGTTTAAGCGATTCTTGTGCCTCAGCCTTCTGAGTAGCTGGGACTACAGGTGCCTGCTACCACGCCCGGCTAATTTTTGTATTTTTAGTAGAGATGGGGTTTCGCCATGTTGGCCAGGCTGGTCTCAAACTCCTGACCTCAGGTGATCCACCCGCCTTGGCCTCCAAGATTGCTGAGGTTACAGGCATGAGCCACCTTGCCCGGCTTATACATTTATATTTAAATGGTTTTTATCTTTGAACTTCATCTCCCCATCTCCACTACCAGCGTTCCAGTCCAAACCACCACCATTTCACATTTTCCCTGCAGCCACTCTGTCTCCAATCTATCCTTCACCTAGCAGTCAGGATGATCTTTACAAATCTTATCTAAAGTCTTTCTATTGCTTCCCATTGCTTTTGGAATAAACTTAAGAATTCTGATACTCTCCAGGGGCTGAGGTGTTGACCCTGCCTGCCTTTCTGAGCTCAGCTCATCCCTCACTTCTCTCTCAGGACTTTCCAGAGAAACAGGTCCTACTGTTTCTCACCCCAGAGCCTTTATATTTGCCATCTTTGTTGTCTGAATGTTCTTCCCCAAGCTTTTCAAAAATCTGGCTCCTTTTTTCAGGCCTCAGCTCAGTTGTCACCTCCTTAGAGTGGCCTTTCCTATCGAATGCAGATTCACTCATAGGTTTATATTTTTTAATCGATTTGTTTTCTTGTGTATTGTCTGTCTCATTAGGATGTAAGCTCCCTGGTGACTTTGGATGTGTTTCTTTTTCATTGCTGTATTTCTGGCACTTAGCCTGGGGGTTGGGACATAATAAACATTCAATAAATATTTAGTATTGAAAGGATTCAAGAGTTATTATCCTTGGCCTGGTGCAGTGGCTTACGCCTGTAATCCCAGCACTCTGGGAGGCTGAGGCAGGCAGATCACCTGCAGTCAGGAGTTCAAGATCAGCCTGGCCAACATGGCAAAACTCTGTCTCTACTAAAAAATACAAAAATTAGCCGGGCGTGGTGGTGTGTGCCTGTAATCCCAGCTACTCAGGAGGCTGAGGCATGAGAATCTCTTGAACCCAGGAGGTGGAGGTTGCCAGTGTGCCGAGATCATGCCACTGCACTCCACCCTGGATGACAGAATGAGACTCTGTCTCAAAAAAAAAAAAAAAGAGTTATTATCCTTATATTCTCAGTAATTGTGACTATTACATATAGGAAAGTAGACATGGGCCAGTCTATAAGTACAGAATCTGCGCCATCTTTAACAAGACTATAAGAATCACAAGCATTGGATTGACATGTGCCTTAACAGTCCAACCTCTCACACAATTTTGGCCTTTATTTATACAATAATTTTTACTGAGTGCCTGCTATGTGTGAGGAAATGTACTTGACACTGGTTACACAGTGGTGAACAAAATAGATATGGGAGTCAGTATTCATGGAGCTTATAGTCTAGAGAGGGAGATAGATGTTCAATGAGTCATTAGTCAATTCACAAACAACAAATGCTATGAAAGTAACTGCTGAGCACTTATATGTGTCAGGCTTCCTACTAGGCACTCTGGATACAGCAGTGAACCAGACAAAAGTCTCTGCCTTCTCAGACTTTATAGTCTAGAGAGGGAACTAGACAATAAACATCAATTATGTGTATTTTATGGTAATTTAGGAATGATAAATGCAGCTGGGTGCGGTGGCTCACGCCTGCAATCCCAGCACTTTGAGAGGCTGGATCACGAGGTCAGGTATTTGAGACCAGCCTGGCCAACATAGTGAAACCCTGTCTCTACTAAAAATACAAAAAATTAGTCGGGCGTGGTGGTGGGCGCCTGTAATCCCAGCTACTCGGCAGGCCGAGGCAGGAGAATCACTTGAACCTGGGAAGTGGAGGTTGCATTGAGCCAAGATCGCGCCAGTGCACTCCAGCCCAGGCGACAGAGTGAGACTCCGTCTCAAACAAACAAACAAAAAAACAAAACAAAGAAATGATAAATGCTAGAGAGAAAAAGAAGATAATCTATTCCCATTAGAAATTAAAAAGAAAAAGAAAAAGAGAAGAGGTTATGGAGTGGAAGATAGGAAGTTGCAATTTTCAATAAGGTGGTCAGAAGTAGATGACACTTAAAGCAGAGGCTTAAAGAGAATGTAGTGGGGACTTGCTTTCGAATGATTGGTAAGGGAGGTGCCATTAAGCTGAGATTAGAAGGACACCTGGGATTTGACTAGCCAAACAGAGAGGATGAATAGGGGGACAAAAATGCAGGAAGATCCTTGGCAGAACAGATCCATTCCTACTTCGGAGGAATGGACAGAATCCCATTTAGCAGAAGCAGAGTGAAAGAGGTACAACAGTATGAGGTGAGATTTAGGGGAATAATAGGACTTTGGAAGGTTTTAGAGGCCATTTTAAAGAGTTTGCATTTATTCCATTGGGTAGTTTTGGCAAAGGATTACCCTTATGTAATTTTTTTTTTTTTGAGACAGTCTCACTCTGTCAACAAGGCTGGAATGCAGTGGTGCAATCTCAGCTCACTGCAACCTCCGCCTCCGGAGTTCAAGTGATTCTCCTGCCTCAGCCTCCTGAGTAGCTGGGATTATAGGCGCATGCCACCACGCCCGGCTAATTTTTGTGTCTTTAGTAGAGACAGGGTTTCACCATGTTGGCCAGGCTGGTCTCAAACTCCTGATCTCAAGTGATCCACCCGCCTCAGCCTCCCAAAGTGCTGGGATTACAGGTGTGAGCCACCATGCACGGCCTAATTTTTGTTTTAAGATATTATTCTGATGATCATATCCAAAGGGAACAAGAATAGCAGTGTAGAGACCAGTTAGGAGTACAGGAGGTAGGAGTTGCTTTTATAATATATTTGACAGATGGTTATTATTATTATTATTATTTTTTGAGACAGAGTCTTGCTCTGTCGCCAGGCTGGAGTGCAATGACGCAATCTCGGCTCTCTGCAGCTTCCGCCTCCCGGATTCCAGTGATTCTCCTGCCTTAGCCTCCCAAGTAGCTGGGACTACAGGCGCAACCTACCACGCCCAGCTAATTTTTGTATTTTTAGTAGAGACGGAGTTTCACCATGTTGGCCAGGATGGTCTCGATATCTTGACCTCGTGATCCGACCGCTTTGGCCTCCCAAAGTATTGGGATTACAGGCGTGAGCCACTGCGCCTAGACAACAGATGGTTATTTTTTGTATCAAAATTTGTTTTTCCTTATAACTATGGAAACTTCCATAAGCATACAATTCATAGTATTTAAAATATAAATTATTGTCATACTAGAAATATCTTTAAATAAGAGTATGATACGTTTTTAAAAATGTGCTTTTGCTATAAGCACATAAGATTGAGGTATTCTGCTTATATAGTTATGATTTTCTTTTCTTTTCTCCTTCCTTCCTTCCTTCCTTCCTTCCTTCCTTCCTTCCTTCCTTCCTTCCTTCTTTCCTTCCTTCCTTCCTTCCTTTTTCTTTTTTGAGACAGTGTCTTGTTCTGTCGCCCAGGCTGGAGTGCAGTAGCCGGATCTTGGCTCACTGCTACGTCTGCCTCCCGGGTGCAGTCAATCAGACAATTCACGTGCCTCAGCCTCGTTGGTAGCTGGACTATAGGTGCATGTCACCACGCCCGGCTAATTTTTGTTTTTTTTTTTTTAGTAGAGACGGGATTTCGTGATGTTTCCCAGGCTGGTCTTGAACTCCTGACCTCAAGCGATCTGCCCACTCTGGCCTCCCAAAGTGCTGGGATTACAGGCATGAGCCATCGTGCCTGGCTGATTTTCTGTTTTAGAACATTTTACATATCTAGCAACAGTCAGCAATCCCAAGTACATTAACATTTTCTTCTCAAATGATGTACATTCTATAGTATATATTATATATTTTTGGTTTAATCATTATGTAAGCTATTCCCAATGAGCAGCCTTAACCTGAACTTAGGGTTCAACAAAAAAAGAGATTTTTTCTTTCTTATTATATAATCTTGATTGATTTAACAAAGCTGGTATTTTTCTTTTATGAGTAACAAACCTAGTCATCATTATCTCATCTGTAAGGTTTAGAAGAATTAATTATTTCATCTACATAATTTAAGACTTCTAGTAAGACTTGGTGAATTTCTTGGATTCATTATATTTATTCAAATACCGTGGCATTTCGTGAAGCAGCAAATGAAAGTGAAAGAGGTAATAAAGCAAACAAAACACCTCTCCCCTTTTAAATGTCTGTGGTTTATATTTGCTATATTTATTTGTCATTGTTATTTATTACTTGGTATATGCATATATTTTTCTACCTAAATATATTATTAATCAGTTTGTGAAGGAGGAATGCATTGTCTCCTTCACTCAATCAGTGACTCAATCAATATTATTTAATTACCCAAATGAATTAATTGACAGGTTTCTGTTTAGATGTTCCATTATTACTCCAACACATACATCATAAGTATTAGAGCCATCTTCAGTTCTTAAGTTTATGTCCTGTATTAGCCAGCTCAGGCTGCCATAACAAAATACTACAGACCAGGTGGCTTAAACAACAGAAATTTATTTATTTTTCACAGTCTGAAGGCTGGAAGTCCCAGATCAAGGTCCAGCAGGGTTGGTTTCTCATGAGGACTCCTCTCCTGGTTTGTAGAAGGCTGCTTTGTCCTCAAGCATGGAGACTGTAAACAATTTATGACCATATCACAAAAGAGCAACCTCTCTGGAGTCTCTTCTTGTAGGGACATTAATTCCATCAGGCCAGAGTACTAATCTTATAATTTCATTTAACCTTAATTGCTTCCTTAGAGGCTCTGTTTCCAAATACAACCACACTGGAGGTTAGGATTTCAACATATGAATTGGGGGGCAGTGGGGGAGGGGTCACAAATATTCAGTCTTATCTAGAAATTTATGAGATAGGATTGGACACTTGTTAAGGGATATTCAGATTTTTCCTAGAGACATATATAATTTCTGAGGGAGAGGAAAGAAATAAATGTTAACTAAATGAATGAATAAAATAGGCAATGATCTGCTACTGTTTGAAACTCTGGTTAGAAACCATTTTGAAAATGCTGTTTGTTTTGTTTTTATTTTACTTGGTGGAGGGAAGTATAGCTCTAAGTGGATTGACTGGCCATTTGAGCCCTGAGCCCTTCATAAGAAAAAATAAAACAAGAACAAATAATGTTTTCTTCCCAATCCTTTATTCATTCATTCATCTTTCAGCAGATATTTATTGAGTACCTACATGTACTAGGTATTCACTACTGTTGGGGCTGGGCAATGAATAATATTGTTGAGGTCCTTGACCTCAGGGGAGTTTACTTTCCAGAGGACTGGCAAGCTCATTCATGTAGTCGTTAAGAGCATAGATGCACTGAGCCTCAGCTTAATCAACTGTATCTTTGGGATATTGATATTACCTTTCTTGGAGTTGTGAAAATGAAGTGAAAAAAGGTACATATATAGGCAAGAGACCCAAAATAGCTAACACAGCATTGAAGGAGAAGAAGAAAGTTGGAGGACTGACACGACTCAATTTCAAGACTTACTATAAAGCTACAGTATTCAAGATAGTGTGACATTGGTGAAAGAATAGACAAATCTATGGAACAATATACACAGCTCAGAAATAGACTCACATAAATATAGCCAACTTGTTAGGGAAACAGGAGCATAGGAGAGCCAGAGTAATGGCATTTTAAAATCAACTCCATTTTAAAATTAGCAAGGCACATTCCTTGCCAGGCGTGACCCATGGTCATCAATTTTTTACAGTTGAAGAAACAACCTAAAGATACCTGCAAAGACAAGCACCTACAACAGCAGAAAGTCCAGATGTCCCAGTACCCATAACAATATACGCCTTCAAGATAATTATAGCTATGCCTTGATGTACTGCACATGAAAACGTTGAGGATAGTTTCCTTTAAATCAACAGAGTAATAAATTTCGTTACACTGTTGGCCTACCTGCATGTAGACCTAACTTAGCTTGGCTTTTTACGTAGATAAGACCCCTATATAAGAAGAGTTTAAAACAAAGATAGTGTGTTCATCTTCCTGCTTTCTGAGGTTGCCCAACTCTGTAACTGAGTAGCTTTCAATGAATGATCTCTTCCCACTGCACTCTGTGACTTGTCTTGAATTCCTTCCTGTGCGAGATCCAAGA
Organism: Homo sapiens; assembly: GCF_000001405.40. Lineage (NCBI taxonomy): Eukaryota > Metazoa > Chordata > Mammalia > Primates > Hominidae > Homo > Homo sapiens. The sequence continues at coordinate 96,498,007 of NC_000012.12, forward strand.
GCCCTCTCTTGTGGTCTAGATCAAAACCCCTTTTCTGGCAACAAACTGATCTTTGGCAAGTGAGCAAAGTCAATTCAGTGGAGAACAGTGTCTTCAATAAATGATCCTGGAACAACTGGATATCCACATGCCAAAAAATGAATCTAGGGGGTCTGGATCAAAACCCCTTTTCTGGCAACAAACTGATCTTCGGCAAGTGAGCAAAGTCAATTCAGTGGAGAACAGTGTCTTCAATAAATGGTCCTGGAACAACTGGATATCCACATGCCAAAAAATGAATCTAGACACAGACTGTACGCCCTTCACAAAAATTAACTCAAAATGGATCACCTACCTAAATGTAAAATGCAGTATTATGAAACTCCTGGCCGGGCACCGTGGCTCACGCCTGTAATCCCAGCACCTGGGGAGGCCTAGGCAGGTGGATCACAAGGTCAAGAGATTGAGACCATCCTGGTCAACATGGTGAAAACCCATCTCTATTAAAAATACAAAAATTAGCTGGGCGTGGTGGTGCGTGCCTGTAGTCCCAGCTACTCGGGAGGCTGAGGCAGGAGAATCACTTGAATCCAGGAGGCAGAGGTTGCAGTGAGCTGAGATGGCACCACTGCACTCAAGCCTGGTGACAGAGTGAGACTCCATCTCAAAACAAAAAATAAAAAATAAACTCCTAGTAGATAACATAGGAGAGAATCTAGGTGACCTTGGGTTTGGTGATGAGTTTGAATATACATTACCAAGGCATGATCCATGAAAGAAAGAATTGTTAAGTTGGACTTCATTAAAATGAAAAATTTCTGCTCTATGAAAGATACTGTCAAGGGAATGAAAGGATAAGCCACAAACTGGGAGAAAATATTTGCAGAAGACATATTTGATAAAGGACTGTTGTCCAAAATATACGAAGAACTCTGAAAACTCAGCAATAACAACAACCTGATTTTACTTTTTTAAATATTTTTATTTATTTATTTATTTACTAATTTTTTTGAGATGGAGTCTTGCTCTTTTGCCCAGGCTGGAGTGCAGTGGCCTGATCTCAGCTCACTGCAATCTCCACCTCATGAGTTCAAATGATTCTCCTCCTGAGTAGCAGGGACTACAGATGTGCGCCACCATGCCTGGCTAATTTTTGTATTTTTAGTAGAGACGGGGTTTCACCATGTTCACCATGTTGGACAGGCTGGTCTCAAACTCCTGACCTCAAGTGATCCACCTTTCTTGGCCTCCCGAAGTGCTGGGATTACAGGCATGAGCCACTGTGCCTGGCCAACAACCTGATCTTAAAAATGGGCCAAAGACCTTAACAGACACCTCACCAAAGAAGACATACAGATGGCAAATAAACATATGAAAATATGCTCCACATCATATGTAATCAGGGGAATGCAAATTAAAGCAACAATAAGATACCCTACATGCCTATTAGGAAGGCTAAAATCTAGAACACCGACAACACCAAATGCCGGTAAGGATGTGGAGCAATGAAGTCTCTCATTGATTGCTGGTGGGAATGCAAAATAGTACAGCCACTTTGGAGGACAGGTGGTTTTTTACAAAATTAAACATATTCTTACCATAACATTCACCCCTTGTGCTCCTTGGTATTTACCCAAAGGAATTGAAAACTTATGTCCATATAAAAACCTGCACATCGGGCTGGGAGCGGTGGCTCATGCCTGTAATACTAGCACTTTGGGTGGCCTAGGCGGGTGGATTACCTGAGGTCAGGAGTTTGAGACCAGCCTGGCCCACATGGTGAAACCCTGTCTCTACTAAAAATACAACAATCAGCCAGGCATGGTGGTGCACGCCTGTAATCCCAGCTACTCGGGAGGCTGAGGAAGGAGAATTGCTTGAACCCCAGAGGTGGAGGTTGCAGTGAGCCAAGATCGTGCCACTGCACTCCAGCCTGTGTGACAGGAGCAAGACTCCATCTCAAAAACAAAACAAAACAAAACAAAACAAAACAAAACAAAAAAAACCGTGCGCATCAGTATTTCTAGCAGCCTTATTCATAATTGCCAAAACTTGTAAGCAACCAAGATGTCATTCAGCATGTGCGTGGATAAATAAACTGTAATGCATCCAGACAATGGGATATTATTCAGTGCTAAAAAGAAATGAGCTATCAAGCCATGAAAAGACATGGAGGAAACTTAGATGCATATTGCTAAGTGAAAGAAGCCAATCTGAAAAGGCTTCCTACTATATGATTCCAACTATGACATTTTGGAAAAGGCATGACTATGGAGACAGTAAAAATATCAGTGGTTAACAGAGATTAAGCGGGAAAGGAGGGATGAATAAGTGGAGCACGGAGGATTTTTAGGATAGTGAATCTACTCTCTGATATTTTCACAGTGGATAGACATTATATACATTTGTCCAAACTCATGGAATGGATGACACCAACAGTGAACCCTAAACTATGGACTTTGGGTGATAATGATGTGTCAATGTAGGTTCATCACAACAAAGGTACCATTCTAGTGGAGATGTTGATAATGGGGAGGGCTGTGCATGTTTGGGGGCACAGGGTATATATGGGAAATCTCAGAATCTTCTGCTCAATTCTGTTGTGAACTTAAAATTGCTCTATGAAGTAAAGTATCTAAAAAAAATATGTAAAGGGCTGCAATCAATGCTTGGTACATAGGAAGCAATAATTTTAACTGTAATTACATTTATTATTAATAATTGGACATTAACAATAAGGCACATTGGAAAGGCTTTAGCATAAGGTAAGTTTTAAAGGATTGCTTGCAAATTAATTGGGGTTTCCTGCAGACTTTGACAATGTCGTTTTATTTTATGATTTTTACAGTGCCACTTCTTTGTTTAATATCTGGACTAAATACGCCCCCAGGCTGCCAGCAGACTATTACAACGAAAAGCTTCTGAAGGTTGGAGATAGCCTTTGTCAAATGAAAGTAAGTGCCTCTGCAGGAAAGAGCCAAAAAGAAGTTCATTTGGCTAATTATTATTACAGTATTTAGTCTGATACCCTTCCTATTTTACATGTTTTGATTTTTCTCTTAGAAAAAAATAAATGAGTACATAAAAATTTTAATAAGGCACAGTAACCAAAAAAGTGTTGCTTTTTAATTTTGTAGTTGAGATTTCCCAGAGGTGAGACATTCCTGAACAGCCAGGCAGCTGGCTGTGGATGGGCAGGAGGGTGGCCGGGTTAACAGAGGGTGTGGTAGGCACACAACAGGAAATGCTGAATCATCGTGTTCCTACCTTATACAAAGGAGCCCAGACACCACTTCCTGTTGTTTTTCATATGGCTGGCCTTGCCCAGTGGTCAACCTTCAGGGCTCTTGGCCTTGCAGCTCTGTTGCTTGCTTCAGTGCCCTGTTTATTAAACTCTTTCAACTCTTTCTTAATGTTTTGCTGTATGTAATTATAACAGTCATTCCATACATACCCTGTTTCTTGCTCAGTATTGTATTCCAGAATGAGTTTGTGTCCTTCTTTTAGTTCTACCTGAATGTCTAGGGCTTGGAATGCTGTGGACCGGTGGACTTGGTTTGCTGAGACCACAGCATGGCTGGGTTTTCCATTAATGATCATGTGAGTTTCCCCCTTAAACTCTGGCCTAGGTCCAGATTATTCTAAGTTATGTGAACGTCAGACAATGGGATCTTAGGCCAGCCGTGGGCAGTGTTCAGTGTTTTCTCAATCTTCAGTTTCTCAACTTCATTTTTCCCCTCTCTGTTTTCTGGACTTTAATCCTCTTGGTCTGGGAGACAAATTTACCAAATAGAGGATATGAGTGGTGGAACTTCATAATGAAGAACTAAGATCTATTTTCTTCTGCCAAAACTAGAGAATAACCATAGTTCCACATAAATGGACCATGGGTCTTAGAAACTTGAAAATACAGGGCTTGGTAAGCTACAGAAAAGAAACCTGGGTGAGATTCAACTTGGAAGCTTTATTCATGTAAGTGGAATAAGAGTTTTGACAAGAATTACAAGATAGCCCCCTTTCCATCCTTACACTTTTCAGTATAAGAAGCTGGTAATACAAATAAAAAGCACAGTGTAGGGTTGTTTGAGAAATGTCTGTGTGGGTGGAGTGGATATTAGTGGAGGGAGGAGAGAGGTGTATGTTAGAAGCTGATAAAGCAAGTTAAAGATGGCTGGTAGCTAAGGATTCAGAATGTTTTAGATAGAAAGGCCTAGATAGGATATTTTAATATTTAATTAAAGGAACAAAGAAAAAGTTTTATCTACTTTTCACTGAAGGGAATGTTGGCCAGGCTGGGCATGGTGGCTCACACCTGTAATCCCAGAACTTTGGTAGGCTGAGGAGGGCAGATTGCTTGCTTGAGCCCAGGAGTTTGAGACAAGCCTGGGTAACATGGCGAAACACTGTCCCTAAAAAAAAAAAAAAAAAAAAAAAGGTATTTATAATTCTGAAAATGAACTTGTTACTTTGGTTTCTAGGCTCTATTTTTATTTTAGTTGTAGTAAAGATCATCTTGTGGAAAATTTTTTTTAAACCTAGATTTGAATTTATTATATGACTCAAGTTAGAGCAGAAAAGATTCAGGATTAGTGAGCAAAAACAAATCTTTAATAGAAATTTAAACAAAACAGTGTTTGACTGAAGATGCCTCCCAAGGGGCTAGGTAACTGGACAGCCAGTTCAACCTTGGGCAGTTGCTTTTCCTGGGGATGAAGTTGTGGGGGAGGGAGCTGAGGAAGGGTTGCAAGTGACTCATTTTGAAAGCACTGCTTATGTCCCCTGCCCTGAAACCCTCCAGGTAACTGAGCCCTGTGGGTTACAGAAATGGGGCATCTGATTCTGTAATGGGAACATAAGCATGAATTTGAATGAATAAAAATCCCACTGCTCAGATGCTTTTTATTTGTCCTGATGCAGCTTTAGAGTGTTGACAGATGAAAGAGAGGCAAGTAGCTCACCTCACTCTGCAGTTTTTTCTTTTATTTTCTCTTCTTTGGTTCCCTCTTTCTTCCTCTCTTCCTTCCTCTCTCCCTCCCTCTCCCTTCCTTTCCTTCCTCTCTCCCTCCCTTCCTTTCTCTCTCTCTCTTTCTTTCTTTCTCTTTCTTTCTTTCTCTCTCTCTCCTTCCTTCCTTCTTTCTCGCTTTCTCTCTCTCCTCTTTCTTTCTTTCCCTCCCTCCCTTTATTTTTTCCTTCCTCCTTCCCTCCCTTTCTTTCTCTTTCTTCCTTTCCTTTCCTTTTTTTTCCTTCCTTTCTTTCTCTCTCTCTCTTTCACTTCCTTTCTTCCCCCTTCCTTTCCTTTCCCCTTCTCTTCCCTTTTCTTTTCCTTTCCTTTCCCTTCCCCTTCTTTCCCTTCCTTCCTTCCTGCCTTCCTCCCTCCCTCTCTCCCTTCCCTCCTTCCTTCCTTTCCCTTCCTCCCTTCCTCTCTCCCTCCCTCCCTCCCTCCCTTCCTTCTTTCCTTCCTTCCTTTGTTTCTCTCTCGCTCGCTCGCTCTTCGTTTCTTTTCTTTTTCGAGCCTATGAGGTATCAGAGAAGCAAGACTACTCATCCACCTCTCTAGGTATGTGGGTTACCATGATCTGATGATGCTGAATTTTGGAACCTGGGTTTTGAGTATTTGTAGGTATTACCATGCACAGTGCCATAGTAAATATTCTCATCCTTGTGGTCATGATGGTCCCATCTCACATAGGCTCATTGTGAGGAGAATTAGATGAAATAATGCACATACATTGTATAGTGCAGTGTCTCTCACATACTATGTTTTTGGAAAATGGAGCCAGTAGTAATGGTATAATTGTAATAATCAACCTTGATACTATTAGGAATAATATGAATATTACCTAATAATGATAAGCTAAATGATATTTTGGAACTTTAATCAAGTACTCCTTTTGTTTCAGGAATACAAACTGGCCCTTTTACAATGCTATGGAAGATATCTTCAGCAGTTCAATACCAATTTTGATGAGAATAAAGTGGATGTAACTCAATTCAAAGCTACCTTTTTCCCAAAAGGCTTTAAAGATAAAACTGCTGGACTTACAGTAAGATGAAAGAGCAGCTGAAATAGCTACAATTTATGATTAGCTATACAATGTATCTTTTAGTTGACAGCTTCTAAATGTCTTGTTGGCTTAGCATAGCATCTAGCTGTGTGCTATAAGTTGCTTAATAAATACTTTCAGTGCTGGATAAGAAAGTGAACTTATCAAGCTTTGTAAGGATGCTTTGGAGATTAAGTCACTGCAGTCACTCATTCATGTAGCAGTTGTTATTTAATAACTAATACTTGTAGAGTGCATTTAGTTTATAAAGTGCTTTGGAAAACAAATTTGATAAAGTAATTTTATGAGTTACATACTATTATCCCTATTTTACAGAAGAGAAAAATAAAGCTTATCACATAGTATAAAAAAGCGACTCAAGATTAAACATAAATCTATTGATATAAAATATTTATACTTTATTTCTAGTATACCAGTATTTTGTTAATTACTACCATTGATTCACTGGTTGAGCAGTTTTCATGTGCTGAGTACTCTTCTAAATACATTGTATGAATTATCATCTTGCAGCCTCATTAAAGTCCTAAGAGGTGCCTCTTTTACAGGTTAGGAAATGGAAGTTTATTAGCCCACTTAAAGCAATGGGCAGGGTTGGTGTTTGAACCCTGATCAGTCTGACTCTAAATCTATGTTACTTCAAACTTGAGGACTATTCAAGGGTTTGGGACCCGTATGTGGTTAATAAGCAGAAACTCTTAAGGCATGTTTGGGAGACAATTGAACAGTTCAATTTGGCTGTACCATAGGTACGTGAATGAGAATACTGGGCGATGTAGGTTGGCACCCTGTTAGGGAAAAGGTCTCTCCTACTCCCCTTTTTGTAGCCTTGACCCCCTACCTTCTGCTTTTTGCTTTTCATATTTTGCCAGAATTTATTTTTCTTTCTTCCTCTTTCTTTCTTTTTCTTTCTTTCTTTCTTTCTTTCCCTTTCTTTCTTCTTTCTTTTTCTTTCTTTCTTTCTTTCTTTTTCTTTTCTTCTCTTTCTTTCTTTTCTTCCTTTCTTCCTTTCTTTCCTTTCTTTTCTTCTTTTTTTTTTGGAGTCTTGTTCTGTTGCCCAGGCTGGAGTGCAGTGGCATGATCTCAGTTCACTGCAACCTCTGCCTCCTAGGTTCAAGCAATTCTCCTGCCTCAGCCTCCTTAGTAGCTGGGATTACAGGCGCATACCACCATGCCCGGCTAATTTTTGTATTTTTAGTAGAGATGGGGTTTCACCATGTCGGTCAGGGTGGTCTCAAACTCCTGACCTCATGATCCACTCTCCTTGGCCTCCCAAAGTGCTGGGATTACAGGTGTGAGCCACCGTGCCTGGCCAATTAATTTCTAAAGTAGAAACCTGTCATTTTGTTCCACTACCCATTGACTTTGCCTTTTGGCTAAAGTCCAAATTCCTTGGAATACATGGAATGCTCTCTCTCTTTTTCTGAGCCTGGGTCACCCCTATAATAGCCTCACTTTTTTTTTTTTTTTTTTGAGACCGAGGCTCACTCTGTTGCCCAAGCTGGAGTGCAGTGGTGCAGTCTTGGCTCACTGCAGCCTCCGCCTCCTGGGCCCAAGTGATTCACCTGCCTCAACTTCCTGAGTAGCTGGGATTACAGGTGCGCACCATCATGCCTGGCTAATTTTTGTATTTTTAGTAGAGATGGGGTTTCTCCATGTTGGCCAGGCTGGTCTCGAACTCCTGACCTCAAGTGATCTGCCTGCCTTGGCCTCACTTCTTTATTTTAAACCATCTCATCCAACCTTACAAAATACTTTCAATTCAGTGACCGCAGCAGTCCCTTCAATGCTGCATGAGCCTGGTGCATGAGCCTGTAACTGTTTTCCCTCCTCTAAGAGCAGTGTCCGTTTCTTCCTCATCCTAGAGTCTCTGTTGCCTAGCAGAGTGTGGCTAATAGAGGTGCTCAAGAAACATTTGTTGAGTGAATTGTGTAAATGGTTATAATCACATCTGAATTAATAAATAAGTTAAAATGCCACTGGGGAGCTTATAACAATTGATTCAATTCTGGCCGGGCGCGGTGGCTCACGCCTGTAATCCTAGCACTTTGGGAGGCCGAGGCAGGCGGATCACGAGGTCAGGAGATCGAGACCATCCTGGCTAACACGGTGAAACCCCGTCTCTACTAAAAATACAAAAAAGTAACCAGGCGTGGTGGCGGGCACCTGTAGTCCCAGCTACTCAGGAGGCTGAGGCAGGAGAATGGCGTGAACCCAGGAGGTGGAGCTTGCAGTGAGCCGAGGTCAGCCACTGCACTCCAACCTGGGAGACAGAGCAAGACTCCGTCTCAAAAAAAAAAAAAAAAAATTGATTCAATTCTGTATTTTTGGTAATAGGATTTGTTTTTCTTTCTGAATTTCTTGTGACTAAGGAAAGCTAGTCTTAACTAGATGGATGTTTTAAAGAAACCTATCTTTTTTTTTTTACACTAATCTATTAAATTAATTATCCATAATTGTTTCCATTTTAGTTTTTTACATTTTGAGAAATGCTTTCCTAAGTTATTTCTATTTCTTCCTTCTTTTTCTTTCTTTTCTTTTCTTTTTTTTTTTTTTGAGATGGAGTTTCTCTCTTGTCACCCAGGCTGGAATGCAGTGGCACGATCTTGGCTCACTGCAACCTCTGCCTCCCAGGTTCAAACGATTCTCCTGCCTCAGCCTCCTGAGTAGCTGGGATTACACGCATGTGCCACCACGCCCAGCTAATTTTTGTATTTTTAGTAGAGACAGGATTTCATCATGTTGGCCAGGCTGGTCTCAAACTCCTGACCTCAGGTGATTTGCCCACCTTGGCCTCCCTAAGTGCTGGGATTACAGGTGTGAGCTACTGTTCCTGGCCAGTTATTTCTATTTCTATTTCTATTTTCCCATGTGTTTCAGTTTCATGCTTTGAGTGGCAAAAATATGTGCAACTACCAGCTGGTCTGCGACAGTGATGAAAACCTGAAGAATAAAGAATCTGTGGTCCAGTGTCTGCATATCTTGTCCTCCTTAAGGCTCATCATGCAAGTGGCTCTGCCACAAGAGCATCTTTGCTGGATTATCTTCAATGGTATATGCTGATGTATTTTATTTTCCATTGTGTCTTTCAGAAAGTTACTTCAATGCTAAGTTTGACAGTAGCTTGAGTACCTTGTGATTTAAAACATACGCATTTCATAATAGGATGAATATATTTTTTTCAACATTCGTGTGACATGTTTGTCCTCGTAAATTGGGATGGATAAAGCATGTCTTTGGGTTTTCACTGGGGAAAGGGTCAGAGACTGTGGGAATAATCACTGTTGGGTGTTCAAAAAGCAGGGCCGCAGTTAACAAGTAAATATAGATGGAGAAGGGTCAAAGAACCAGTGCGGGTTAGATTGGCTCTAAGCATCACCCATTTACTGGCCCTGTCCTCAAACAACTTGGCTTTGGGTTTCTACAAAGTGACCTCCTCCTACTTTTATTTTGAGTGAGGACTGCTGAGGAACACACACACACACATACACACACACACACACACACACACATACACACACACATATGTACATTATGTGTATGTCTGAAGAAATGACTCTCAGCTAAAAAATGTAATACTTGCTTTTCTCTATTTTAAAGTTGCAACTTACTGCATTATTCTCTGGATAATATATTTTTAAAAGGAAAATATTGACAGTGTGTTCGATGTGCATAAGACAGGATCAAATAACTTCAAGGAAACATATTGGATTTTCCCTCATCCATGGCAACTGAAAGTATATTTTCTAGCCTTTTCCTTTCTCACCCACCCCCAAGTCATGTTTTGACATTTTGATTGAAATCAGACTTTACATTTGCTGCCAGAGATGAGGCCAACTTTGATGAGATTTTTTCAGTCCAGTGATTATTAAGCTTTTGTGTCTGATCATCCTCCAGAGATTCGATGTTACCTGCGCCACCACTGCCATCTCTCACACATCTTGGCAGGGACGGAGAAGGAGCAGCAGTTCCATGTTAGGCCCAGTGGTTGAGCCCTGTGGTCAGCCCTTGTTTGAGTGGTGGAAATGAGCATGATTCCCTGTCTTTACTCCTTTTAAGATCACAACCCAAACATAGTCTTTTTTTTTTTTTTTTTTTGTCTGAGACAGGGTCTCACTTTCTCACCCAGAGTGGAGTGCAGTGTGGCATGATCACTGCAGCCTTGAGCCTTGAACTCCTGGGCTTAAGCCATTCTGCATCAGCCTTCCAAAGCACTGGGATTACATTTCTCTCAATAATCTTTTTTTTTTTTTTTTGAGATGGAGTCTCGCTGTGTTGCCCAGGCTGGAGTACAGTGGCATGATCTCGGCTCACTGCAACCTCCACCTCCTGGGTTCAAACGATTCTCCTGCCTCAGCCTCCCGAGTAGCTGGGATGACAGGCACGCCCCACCACACCCGGCCAATTTTTGTATTTTTAGTACAGACGGGTTTTTACCATGGTAGCCAGGCTGGTCTTGAACTCCTGACCTCAGGCAATCCGCCCGCCTCCACCTCCCAAAGTGCTGGAATTACAGGTGTGAGCCACCATGCCCGGCCTCTCAATTTTTTTTTTTTTTTTAAAAGATTATTTCTGTATCCTTGATATCTTTTTCTTGGTATGTGCTTTTTTCCTTTTCTCTTTTTTAATACACATGGCATTGTGCTCTAGATTTTATTCTGTTTCCTTTTTTTTTTTTCCTGCTGAATATTGTGGGGTTTTAGAATCTAGCTAAGTTCCTGTATGTAAATCTAATTCATTAATTCTGCCTGCTGAATTATATTGCAGATATCCATACAGGCCTGGCGATGAGCACCTGGTTTGCCTGACCTCTCTAATTGCACAAATAATTCTGCAATGAATATCCTTACACATGTCCTTTTATAGACCTGTGCGAGAGTTTTCTGGGATCTGTGCCTAGGAGTGGAATTACTGGGTTCTGGGAGATACACATACTTAGTTTCAGTAACTACTCTTCCTGTTTTAATTTATTCTCTAACTTACTGAATGCCTACCATATGCTAGGCATTGTTCTAGGTGCTAGGGACACAGGAGTGGACAGTAGACAAAAACCACATTCTCATGCTGACTTCCATTGCAGGGAGATGCTAAACAAATCAAAACTGAATTGTGTCAGATAGTGACGAGGCTATGGAGAAAAGTCAAAGCCAGAAGGGGATAGAGAGAGGAGGGGCTGGGCTGCTGAGATGACAGAGGAACAAAGACCTGAAGGAGTTTGGATAGTGAAACTTCTGGGTATCTGGTGGAAGGGCATTCCACCTGGGGGATCAGCAAGTGCAAAGACCCTGAAGTTTTGACAGTTTGGAATTTAAGTAGTCAAAACTATATTTGACTGAAAATGTCAAATGTGCCTTGATAACTTATCAAAATACATTTGACCTTTTCAGTTAGACATTTACTCTATTTACTTTTAATTGACTGTTATACATACACACTCTTGGTTTCTTCAAATATTTAACCAATCTTGGTTTTTAAATAAAAATTTAGGCTGCACACAGTGGCTCACACCTGTAATCCTAGCACTTTGAGAGGCCAAGGCAAGCAGATCACCTGAGGTCAGGAGTTCAAGACCAGCCTGGCTAACATGGTGAAACTGGGTCTCTACTAAAAGTACAAAAATTATCCGGGTGTGGTGGTGCATGCCTGTAATCCCAGTTACTCAGGAGGCTGAGGCAGGAGAATTGCTTGAATCTGGGAGGCGGAGGTTGCAGTGAGCCAAGATCATGCCACTGCACTCCAGCTTGGGTGACAGAGCAAGTCTCCATCTCAAAAAAAAAAAAATCTAATTGGGTATATGGATATTAAGTAATACCTTACTTTTCAACTAAAGTGAACCCAACTAATTTAGACCCTCAACTAGATTATTTTGATGGTGGCCATTTTTAATGAAAAGGACTCACAAGACCAGGCAATAAACTCCTATTAGGGACTTGGTTAAAAATGAAACAGGCCCGGCATGGTGGCTCACGCCTGTAATCCTAGCACTTTGGGAGGCCCAGGTGAAAGACCAGCCTGGCCAACGTAGTGAAACCCCATCTCTACTAAGAATACAAAAATTGGCCGGGTGTGGTGGCGTGTGCCTATAATCACAGCTACTTGGGAGGCTGAGGCAGGAGAATTGCTTGAACCCGGGGAGCAGAGGTTATAGTGAGCCGAGATCATGCCACTTCCCTCCAGCCTGGGCAACAGAGCAAGACTCCATCTCAAAAAAAAAAAAAAAAAAAGAACAAAGGAAATAAACTTCCAGAAATACCCTGAGATCATAAAGATTCAGTCTGTGTTCCATCTGATACCATTTACTCTCTGAGTCTGGCTTTTGCAGCAGGAATTTGTGAGCCATGCCAAGATCTTGAACTGTCAAAGGACTTAGTTACAGTCAGAACATTTTAGTGCTGGAAAGGTGAAAGGCACCTTTTTGAAATACAGAGGGCCCTTGTCATTCTTGAGGGCAGTCTCCTGAGGCCTTCCTCAGTTCCCCAGTTCCCCGTTACTGGCATGTTTATACAGGCTCCTGGCTTACATCCTCATCACATGTTTTTTGGACAGGCATGTGTTTCCTGTGCATATTTTTACTTGGTGACTATTTTTTTTTCCTGCAAAGAAACACTTAGACAGTTTTATTTTTAAAGATGAAGAGTAGAGGCCAGGAATGGTGGCTCACGCTTCTCATCACAGCACTTTGGGAAGCCAGATTACTTGAGGTCAGGAGTTCGAGACCAGCCTGGCCAACATGGCAAGACCCCTGTCTCTACTAAAAATACAAAAATTAGCTGAGCGTGGTGGCGAGCGCCTGTAATCCCAGCTACTTGAGAGCCTGAGGCACGGGAATCACTTGAACCCGGGAGGTGGAGGTCACCGTGAGCTGAGATTGCACCACTGTACTCCAGCCTGGGTGACAGAGCGAGACTCTTATCTCAAAAAAAAAAAAAAAAAAGAAATGAAAAAGATGAAGAGTAGAGGTCAACAAAGCCTCGTTGAGATAAGTCTGCTGAGCTTGAGCTGTTATTAGTCGAGTGGTTTCTTCCCCAGTGGATCTTCAGTGGAATGAATAACTGCAGGTGCTGGGGGTAGTCACATGAATAATGCCAAGTCCCTGAATGTTAAGGACCAATTGCATTCTCTATGAAATTTAGGGTACTATACATTTAAATTTAAATTTTATTCAATTTTGGGGGTCACTGATTTGTGTAATTGATGTTTATTATGCTTATAGTTGTGTTCTAATCAAGTAATAGATGTTTTGGTGCAGTTGCCATTTTCTCACAAACTTTTTATTTATTTATTTTTTTGAGATGGAGACTCGCTCTGTCACCCAGGCTGCAGTGCAATGGCGCAATCTTGGCTCACTGCAATCTCTGTCACCTGGGCTTAGGCAATTCTCCTGCCTCAGCCTCCTGAGTAGCTGGGATTACAGGTGCATACCATCACGCCCAGCTACTTTTGTGTTTTTAGTAGAGATGGGGTTTCTCCACGTTGGCCAGGCTGATCTCGAATTCCTGACCTCAGGTGTTTTGCCCCCTTCAGCCTCCCAAAGTGCTGGGATTACAGGTGTGAGACACCACGCCCGGCTGGGATTACAGGTGCACACCATCATGCCCAACTAATTTTGTATTTTTAGTAGAGATGGGGTTTCTCCATGTTGGCCAGGCTGGTCTCGAATTCCTGACCTCAGGTGTTTTGCCTGCCTCAGCCTCCCAAAGTGCTGGGATTATAGGCGTGAGCCACGGCGCCTGGCCATCAGAAACTTAAAAGTTTAAACCTGAACATAGAATTCATAATTGTTGAGTTTTTATGGTTACGAATATTAGATACTTTATAGAAAATATTTAGACTATCTGTTACAATTACATGCCTTTTTAAAGCATGCTACCATCTTTTGGGTATGTTTATAGATAGATAAACTGCTTGTATACAGAGAGAAGTATGGTGATGTTCCCCACTCCTCTCTTCAACCCTCCCTCCAGCCTTCTATCCTCTTTTAATTAATGGTCTGACACAAAAGCATGTGTCCTTACTTAGGTGTTGGAAATGCTATTTTTTCACTAGAATGCTAGTAGGACACACCTTGATAATAGGAAAAATGTTATATGAGTCTGAGAGTGAATATAACGTGCCCTGTTATGCATTATGATTTTTAAATTATTATGAGTTTCCTTGTTGAGTATTTTGCCATGCTGATTAAATATGTATTCTGATCTTATTTGGAGATAAATCTTTAGTTTTTAAATGATAAGGAAACCATGGGAACCAATTTTATATATATATATATATATATATATATATATATATATATATATATATATGTATATATTTGAGATGGAGTCTTGCTCTGTCGCCCAGGCTAGAGTGCAGTGGCATGATCTCGGCTCACTGCAACCTCCGCCTCCCAGGTTCAAGCGATTTTTCTCCCTCAGTCTCCCAAGTAGCTGGGACTACAGGTGCATGCCACCACGCCCGGCTAATTTTTGTATTATTAGTAGAAACGGGGTTTTACCATATTGGACAGGCTGGTCTTGAGCTCCTGACCTCGTGATCCTCCCGCCTCAGGCTCCCAAAGTGCTGGGATTACAGGCGTAGCCACTGTACACAGCTGGGAACCAGTAATATTTTATATGAATTAATGAAAGCACAGGGTACATAAATTATGCCACTAGAATTATTCTTTTGTTCATTATACTTCAAAAGTTAAATGGCCTGTAAAATGAGACTAGAAGATTCCTGTGTCAACATATTTAAAATACGGCCATGTTAATTATTTTAATGATTTTGTTTACAAGTTACAAGAAAAATTATGATGAGTATAACTCTATATACCATTATCAGACTTCCTCATAAGATCACTTGTTTTGGGAACTACAGACTTGAACCACAGAAATTGGAATATAAAATTTCTATCATTTGACTGTAAAACATGTTAACAATCGTTTTCTCCATCCAGGTACCATTTATATTTACACCATTTGCAGAAAACTGATGGTCATAGGTCAGTCTTCCAAGGTATGAAATGTACTGACAAAATATTTTCCCCTCTATTTCCTGTTTTATTTTTCTTAAGGCTTTCATTACACAGTATATTGAATGTTAAACAAGGAATATTTGGAGAATTATATAATATAAAATTTAGTAAATATATATTATATAGCTTTATTATTCTTAGTTTTGCTTTAATAGGGATCATATGTAAAAATATAGATGATTTAATGAAAAGAAAGGAAATTCCTGAAAATGTTAGTATTCTCTGTCTCTCAGATAGTCATGCTTGTCACGCTTGATAGTAAACATCCATCTGGTTGCTATAGCTTTAGGTAGGGTGACCATCCGTCCTGGCTTGCCCAGGAAAGTCCCGGTTTATGCCTGTTGTCCTGTTAGTAATTATCAGTAGTGCCCACTTTTACTAGTAAAAGTGGCCTGGGCCGGGTGCAGTAGCTTACACCTGTAATCCCAGCACTTCGGGAGACCTAGACTGGCAGATCACTTGAGGCCAGGAGTTTGAGACCAGCCTGGCCAACATGGCAAAACCCCGTCTTTACAAAAAATACAAAAATTAGCCGGACCTGGTGGCACATGCCTGTAGTCCCAGCTACTTGGGAGGCTGAGGTGGGAAGATTGCTTGAGCCTGGGAGGCGGAGGTTGCAGAGAGCCAAGATCGTGCCACTTTGCACTCTAGCCTGGGTGACAGAGCAAGACTGTGTCTCAAATGAAAAAAAAATAGAAAATTAAAAAAAGGTGTCCTGGTTTGGATGATAAACTATGGTTACCCCCTTTATGTCATGATACGGAGCTTGGATTTCATTCTGCTTGAAGTGCTTCCACTTCTGGCCTGCATGCTAATCGGGTGAATGCACACTTAAACTCTAACCCAGTTGCATGACAAAGGCAAGGAGACTTTATTTTATAATAAGATTCTTACTTACCAGTAGTCACTGCTCAGTGTTAGCTTGAGGAAGTTGCTGACACTTCTATTGACTTCCCTACAATGTTGGTAGCATTTTTGTCCACGGGAGACATATTTATTCCCTGTATTAGTTTTCCAGTTATTGGAATGTAGGCCAAGAAGGGCGAATATACTCCCGTTGAGACCCTGCTTGAGTTGTTGCTGGCATCTGAAACATGACTACTTTATTCTTTATTCCATACAGAACCTTACCCTGAATATTCTAACACTCAGGAGAGATATGTTTTTTCTTATTTCCTCAAAGCATAGCCAAGTATCTTAAAAGTTGACAACATCTGAAAAATAAAAATGGAAGTAAAGAAATTTGCATGCTCAATGGATAACATTAATTATGTGTTCTCTCTCTGTTTTGCTTCTCAAATTAAAAAACTCTATGACAGACAGTGACTTGAAGAAGCTCTGTGCCAGCTTTCTGAGTGTGAATTAAATTGAGGGGGGACTCTCCCAGGCCTAATGTAAACTTGGCCCGCAGACTACTGCAATGATGCTACATTCAGTTCCAGATGATTTCCTAAAGAGAATTTGCATACTCTGGTTGCGCTTGGTGTAACAACAACAAACATGGCTTCACAGGACCATCATAGTTTGGTCTGCTGCAGTGCTTGCTGCCAAAGCTTTGAAGGGCAGAAATGTCTGTGCCGACATTTGACTGTTAGTGTTTGTGCTTGTTAACACTGAGAGAATTTTAAAGTGACAGTCATCTTAAAATAATTTCTTATTCATAACCTTTGTAAGACATTTCTTCTCTGCCTCATATACCTTGAGTTTGTCTCTGATAAAATAAGGATAGTTGAGTATTTTGCCATGCTGATTAAATAGGTATTCTAATCTTATTAGGAGATAAATCTTCAGTTTTTCAACCATAAGGAAACCATGGGAACCGATAATATTTTATATGAATTAATAAAAGCACAGGGTACATAAATTTTGCCACTAAAATTATTCTTTTGTTCATTATATTTCAAAACTTAAATCGCCTGTAAAATGACACTAAAATGAGTATAGTTCTTTTTTTTTTTTTTTTGAGACTGAGTGTTGCTCTGTTGCCCAGGCTGGGTGCAGTGGCGCCGTCTTAGCTCACTGCAAGCTCTGCCTCCTGGGTTCAAGTGATTCTCCTGCCACAGCCCCCTGAGTAGCTGGGATTACAGGCACCCACCACCATGCCAGGCTAATTTTTTGTATTTTTAGTAGAGATGGGGTTTCATCATATTGGCTAGGCTGGTCTCGAACTCCTGACCTCCAGTGATCTTCCCGCCTCAAGCCTTCCAAAATGCTGGGATTACAGGCGTGAGCCACGGTGCCTGGCCCAAAATGAGTATAGTTCTGTGGTGCCAGTCTTGTGGGATGGGGATGGGAGGTGAGGGATGCAATAATTTTGGGGGAGGGGTGGGTGGTTGTACATTTGGCACCTGAAGATCTGAATGACATTCTTTCTGTTTCAAGGAAATTAATAATTTTCACCAGTAATTCCCAAACCTCCAGTTGGTAAATTGATTCCTGAGCTGAGGCTAAAAATGGATTTGATGGGTCCATTTAATGGAGACAAGTCTTTGGAGGTCCCACCGTGTGTGAGATGTCCTGGGTCTGAGGGCTTTGAATACTGTAGTGACTTCAGAGTTCAAGTATGTTATAGCCTAAGACGGAAGGAGAAATAGACCTGGGCTCCTCATGCTGTCTAAACTCCCGTTTTTATAGGATCTAGGCATGATGGCTAGCTTTTGTTATTATTGAATCTATACCATGTGCTAGGTCCTGTGAAAGGCTTATGAGGTGGGCACTAGCATCATCATCATTAACATTGATTGAATGAATGCCTACCGTCATCAAGTATGCTTGTAAGCACTTTCATTTGTCATCTCATTTAATCTTCACACCACCACTTTGAGAAAGGTGCTGTCATTACCTCTATGTTTTTTTTTTTTTTTTTTTTTGATATGGAGTCTCGCTCTGTCGCCCAGGCTGGAGTGCAGTGGCGCGGTCTTGGCTCACTGCAAGCTCCACCTCCCGGGTTCACGCCATTCTTCTGCCTCAGCCTCCTGAGTAGCTGGGACTACAGGCACCCGCCCCAATGCCTGGCTAATTTTTTGTATTTTTAGTAGAGACAGGGTTTCACCTTGTTAGCCAGGATGGTCTTGATCTCCTGACCTCGTGATCCACCCGCCTCGGCCTCCCAAAGTGCTGGGATTACAGGTGTGAGCCACTGCGTCCGGCCATTACCTCTATCTTATATAATAGATAAGGAAGCTGAGGCTGGGAAAAGTTACTTTGCTTAGGGTCACACATCTAGTCAGAGATGTGCTGAGACCAGGGGCAGTGTCACTCTGTACCATTAGAATAATGCATGTCTGTTGACTAAATAGAATCCCGTCATGACCCATTCTATTTTGGTTTACATACTCAAATGGAGAAGCTGCAGGGAAGGGGTTGATATTTTCTGATATAACCCTATCTTCCTAAAGACATCCTGAAAACCAAAACTAACCAGGGGCTCTTCCGTAGGTGAGAAACACCTAATTTAGTGCTGCAGCAGGTCACCAGCATAAGCTTAGGGAATAGAGGGCGGTCGGACTTCTGAAACCTCTTTCCCTGAAGACATATGACCATTTTGCTTTTGTTTATGGAATAATTTAGCTTCTTTGGTGGCATTTAAAACTGTAGTATAGTACTCAGCAAACATTAAAGAATACATCTAGAATCTGTTCATTCTAAGAAACGATTGATTTCTGTTTCATTTTACTATGAAACTGAAATGGTTTGACAACGTATGTGGCTTGAACAGTTACTGTCAAATTATTTCACGTACCATTACACAAACTTTAAGTCCTAACTTTGAAATTGCTTGTCATTTTCTTTAAATGGTGTAAGCTGATATAAATGAGGCTGCAGCGCCATCCTGTGGCTGAGCTGATTTAATCGTATGTATATTTCCTGCTCAACACCTGCAACATGCTCTTACTGGGGCCATGTTTTAGATATGGATATCATTTGACTTTTTAAAGTTTTTTTTTTTTTTTCCATGAAGAGAATAGTCCTGATGTATCCTATTAAATTTTTTAATTAATAGAAACAATTATTTGTAGCTTTTAAGGGTAAGAAAAAAATGCTACAAATTGAGTCATATTTTGAAAATGGCTT
The DNA here is from genome assembly GCF_000001405.40 of Homo sapiens. NCBI lineage: Eukaryota > Metazoa > Chordata > Mammalia > Primates > Hominidae > Homo > Homo sapiens. Next base: position 96,517,138 of record NC_000012.12, read on the forward strand.
TTCCTGTTTAAACTTGAAAGATGGTTTTTCATAACCCTAAGTGGTTTATGGTGAGCTTCTCCCCTTTGTCAGGGCTCCTCTGTGTAGTGGAAAGAACACTGCATTTGGGAGTTCAAAGACCTGAGTTTCAGCCCCAGCTCTTTTGATTAGAGTGAGTTTAGCCTCATGGAGTCAAGCTAGGTTACTTTTAAGATCTCTTCTGGCACAAAAAACTTTGATTTTCCATAGCAAATCAAATACAATGTGAACAATTGTTAACTGAAGCTATTTTCATTTTGAAATGTGAAATTTCTAATACCAGGAGTCCTGAAGGATTTTAGAAAGATGTGAATTTAAAGGGGAAATTTAGGCATGGCTTAATCATATACCACCCAACCCAAACCACAACAATCTAAATGCAAAAATCTGAAATAGAGATTGTTAGGGAGCAGCAAATGTGAGAAAAATTCGAGGGTTTTTGGTGATATGATTAATTTCATATCAGTTCACAAAGTTCACAACAATAGCAATGACAGCAACAACAAAAACAGCAAGGAATCAACCTTAGTCTAATTTAGAAGAGGTACAGTGTCCACAACCAGGGACTGAAAGCATTCACTGTACTGTGGTCTAGCCATACACCCTGAAAGGATGCTGGCAACCTGGGGTAAAGCCACAGAAGGCCAATCATGGTGGAGAAGGGCAGTGCAGTTCCGTGAGGGATGGAAGTGCTTGGGGATATTTACCCTGGACGAGAGAGCTGAGGGAGAGGGCAGGCTACATAAATGTTTTTAGATTTCTGGATGGCTGTAATTTAGAAGTGAGTTCTGGATTGCTTTGTGCTGTTCTGGAAGACATGAGGACCAATGCACTGGAGGTATATTAAGGTGGATTTTATTTTAGATTATGGAAGTATTTTCCTAGCATGTCATGTACGTTGTCACTTTCTCCATAACAGCACTATTGTAATGTGAAAAAATACCCATTTTACAGATGAGAAAATTGAGGCGTAAAGAGGTAAAATGATCCAGCCACTAGGTGGTAAAATTGGGACCAAAATCCAGGTTTATTTGATTCTAATCTTGGACCATTTCTACTAAGCATCACAGGCCCCAGGCTGTAAGCCTTTTTCATTTTCCTTACCTCCTATACCAGCTAATCTTCAGAATCATATACTGGTTCCAGGCCAACAAATAACAATTGTATCATTGGAGTTAATTCCTAGACTACTGTTGACATGGTAAATGTTAATAAAAATGAGCAGAGAGGCTTATAATAAGACAAGACAGGCCGGGTGCAGTGGCTCATGCCTGTAATTCCAGCAGTTTGGGAGGCCGAGGCGGGTGGATCACTTGAGGTCAGGAGTTCAAGACCAGCTTGGTCAACGTGGTAAAACCCCCTCTCTACTAAAATAGAAAAATTAGCCAGGTGTGGTGGTGCACACCTGTAGTTCCAGTTACTTAGGAGGCTGAGGCATGAGAATCAATTGAACCCAGGGGGCGGAGGTTGCAGTAAGCTGCGATTGTGCCATTGCACTCCAGCCTGGGTGACAGAGCAAGACTCTGTCTAAAAACAAATAAACAAACAAAAAAGACATTTTAGGATGTCTTCCAAAATGGCTTGAGATTTTGAGCTTTTAAATTATCTTTTACTTTTTAAATGCTTGTTTCTTCTTGACACGTTATTTATGGTATTTTTGGTTTGAGTAATCAGCAACTTGTGCTCACAACTTAGAATTTGATTATATTTAATACAATTATCATTATTAACTTCAAATGAAAACAAATCCAATGGTGCCCTTTATTTTGCAGGCCTTAGAGTATCTCCTGTGGGCCAGCATGTGTATGGAGTCCTTGGTCCCGCTCCTGTCACTCAGGTACTTGACATGGCGCGCTACTCTCTACACAGCTGTTTGCCAGTGCTGCTATGACTGCCATGCCGGGATTCACGGAGAGGTATGCTGCTTTTTAACTCTGAGGAGTCGAGTTTTTTTTTTTTTTGAGATGGAATCTGGCTTTGTTGCCCAGGCTGGAGTGCAGTGATGTGATCTCGGCTCACTGCAACGTCCACCTCCCAGGTTCAAGCGATTCTCCTGCCTCAGCCTCCTGGGTAGCTGGGATTACAGGCATGCGCCACCATGCCCGGCTAATTTTTGTATTTTTAGTAGAGACAGGGTTTTGCCATGTTGATCAGGCTGATTTCGAACTCCTGACCTCAGGTGATCTGCCTGCTTTGGCTTCTCAAAATGCTAGGATTACAGGCGTGAGCCACTGTGTCCAGGCCCAATATTTTAAAATAGAGCGTATCCAGCATTTTCTTCCTTAGATGCCTGCCAGGGGAAAAACAAAACCCAACCAAAGAATTGAAATGAAGAAAAGACAAAAGTTCAGCTTTATTTGCACAAATTGGCTTGGCTTTTCCATTGTTTTTCTCTCTCACCCTCCTTTCTGCTCTCTCCTTTATTCTCTATTCATTTTCACCTTCTTTGCTCCATTTCTGAGTAAGATTTTTGGAATTTTAAAAATTAAGATTTTTATTTTTAAATGACAAATAATAATTGTATATACTTATGAGGTACAATGTGATGTTTTGTTGAATGTATGCACTGTGGAATGATTAAGCTAATTAACATATTCATCTTCTCACATACCTTTTTCTTGTAGTGAGAACACTTAAAATCTATTTACTAGTAATTTTGAAATATGCAATACGTTATTGTTAACTATGATCACCATGCTGTGCAATAGATCTCAAAAACTTCTATCTGTTGTCTTTCCATCCTCACTTTGCTCTTGAATACAAGCCACCTTCCCTCCTCGTTTAGTTTTGTGTTCCTTATCACTTAGTATGTACACTCTTGTCTTGCTTTTCTCTGCTAACCACCATTTAGTACACTTTGTTTTTCTTTTGTTTTCTTTCTTTATTTTTTAAGACAGAATCTTGCTCTGTTGCCCAGGCTGGAGTGCAGTGGTCTGATCACGGCTCACTGCAGTCTTAGTCTCTGGAGTATCTGGGACTACAGACACACACCACTATGCCAAGCTAATTGAATACACTTTCTAATGACCATTTAATACACTCTATTTTTTGTTTTTCCTTCTTTCATTTCATTTTGATTGAGTACTTGAAATATAACTTAACTTCAGGCTGGGCATGGTGGCTCATGCCTGTAATCCCAGCACTTTGGGAGGCTAAGGCTGGTGGATCACCTGAGATCAGGAGTTCGAGACCAGCTTGACCAACATGGTGAAACCCTGTCTCTACTAAAAATACAAAAATTAGTCAGGCATGGTGGTGTGCACCTGTAGTCCCAGCTACTCGGGAGGCTGAGGTTGCAGTAAGCTGAGATCGCACCGTTGCACTCCAGCCTGGGCAACAAGAGTGAAACTCCATCTCAAAAAAATTTATATATATATAAATTTATATATGTGTCACTCCAGAGCTTCTATTGGCCTGTAGAGTGCCCCTGTATCAATTTGAAAAAGGCACCTTCTCTACATTATGTGACACCTGGCTTGGTCAGTGGATGGGACCTTGGTGAGAATGAGAAATAAGCACCCCTTCCTTTGGGCCAACACGTTCCTGCACAAGGGTGCATGGTTTGGTATGTGGGGCGTAAGCTGGATTTCTGCTCTAGTCAACCTCTTTGGCTGGAAGTCTTGTGTAGGACTGCCTTCATGGCTGTGCACATGCCTATTCATATCTTGTTAACGACCATAAATAAATCATCTGGCCAATTCACAATTCCATTTAGTTTTTCCTGCCTGAACTAATTCTGAAGGGTTTGATGCTGGTGGCACATAGGCAGAACAGCCTAATTTAACCTTCACGGGTTACTTGTGTAGCTCAAGATACATTCCAGAAAGACAACTCATCATGTATATATATAGTTAACTTCAGTGTACTAGTGGTGGCATATTTTGTTCTATAGCTATTAAGATTATTAGGGAATGGAACTTTTATAGCGTTTTGGCCATTTGATCCCTATTGGGATTTTTCTTTATTGGAAAATGTAACCCTTCATATATGTTAATATTTTGGTTGATCTAGAAGCATCTTCATTAAAAATTATAAATGATGAATGAAATATTTCAAAGAGTTGGTGAAATAAGGGACATGAACTCTTGTTATTGAGTTCTTAATAACTCCTTTGAACTCATTTGTTATCTCTAGAGGATTATAATAATGGTGATATGATTAAATAAGAAAGCCTCCCTTCTTCCTTCCTTCAGATATTTATTAAATACAGTGTGCTGCGTATTGGAGACACAAAAATGAGTAAGATCCTTTCAGGAAGTCACAATTTGATGGTCAATGTGAACAGTTAGGTAGATAATACAGCATGTCATGATAGGAAGGTTAGGATTTGAGAAGAGCAACTGAGGACGTGTGTGTGTGTGTGTGTGTGTGTGTGTGTGTGTGTGTGTGTGTGCGCGTGCGCACATGAGGACGTGCGGTGCCAAATGCTGAGAAGCGATAATCTGTATGGAGCTACTGTTTAAGTGATATTTCAGCTTTCCTTTTTAAAATTTCATAATTCCTAAAGTCACCTTATTCACAGTTTATTAGAGAGTTTAGTGGTTCTTAAATAAAATGATAGACTGGATAAAAGGAGTCAGCATTAACCTAGAGCTTAATTCACAGATTAAATCAAATGCCTGGGAGAACAAAACATTGTCTTTATACATTTTAATCACTATATTCTGATTTATGAATTAAATTTATTTTAATCACATGTAGGCATTTGCTCGGCGTGCTTTGGCTAAAATTGATGAGTTAAGGCAACTGGAATTAATGAGTTCCTCAAAATCCCAGGAAGAATCGCGAAGATATTTTCGAGAGGCCACAATGAAGGTATAAAAATTTCATGAAATAAAAGAAATTTACCACACTCTACAGCTGATTAAATACTTAGTAGTTGGGAAGTGCATCTCATTGTTATTTCATGTATAATTCTGCTTTTTGAGGCAGATGGCAGTGATGATCTTCAAAAGAGGAGTCTTTGAATCTAGAAGAAAAAACAAAGCTGTCTTTAGACCTAAGATAAGAATTAACCTAAGGGAAGTACAAACTGTAAGTCTAAACATGTCTTCTCTCTTTAAGACTCTTTTTGCAGTATATTTGTATTATGCTCCTATGTCTTTCAAGCCTAGTCACTCATTATTAAATTCTGCCCCCAGTTCTCTGCCCTAATGGGTAAATAGAGAGAAGAATGTTTTTCTAGTTTGCACGTAGCCTCGCTTCATCTCTTTCTCAAAGCTTTTGTGTCTTAGCACAATCCCAGTTTTGCAGCCTTAAAGAACAAGAGGCTGAAGAGGAGCCTGTGAAAGATTTCAATGAACTGGCTCTTGCAAATGAATAGGCCTCTGAGTGGTTCTGCACTTGCCTTTGTCTTTGACCACTTAGGGTTAGCTGAGCAGGCGAGCAGGCTTTGAGGCTGTGGAGAAGATGGAGGCACCTTTTCTCATCAGCCTTAGGTTTCACCCTTGGGAATGTTCAGGAGCTAGGTTATCCAGTAGCAACAAACAACACCCGTACCTCAGGTGGCTTAAAACAACAATTTATTGCCTACTGGAGTCATATGTTATTTTAGTTATCAGGGGCTCTGCCTTACAAAAGCTGCTCAGGGCCAGGCTGAAGAGCCGCCTTCATTTCAAACATTGCTGGTCATTTGGCCAGAGGGGATTAAAGAGAGTTCTGGGGGACCTTTCATGGGCATTGATGCTCAACATGGAAGTGACATGAGTCTGTTCTTCTCACATGTCATAACCAGTCACACAGCCCCTCCCAACCACAAGCCTATTTGGCAAACAGTAGTAAAGATGATCACAGGGCAGGGAGTAGGCAAAGTTACACCTGTGGGGCCCTCGGCCCTTTTTCTTCCCCTTGTCTTTTTCTTCTTCTTCTTCCCTTTGCCTTCCTGACTCTTAATATCCCCCAGGGCCCAGTTCTATATCGTTTTGAAGCTCTCCCTGACTGTTCTAGATGGATATACACCCTCTTCTGCGAGCTTCCATGTAGAGATTGAAAATGAATCTGGGGGGAAGGAGGTGAGCAGTTTCTTACAGAAGAGGTGTATCAAATCTCAGAACCTGGAAAGGATTTGGGAAACCATCTGGTTCAGTCCTTTTATATTACAGTTGGGAAAATAAAGCCTGCAATATTTAAATGACTGGCTCAAGGTCACAAAGGCAGCCGCTGGCAGAACCAGAACCAGCATCTCTAAGTCCAGTGCTTGGCCTCTACTCCAATCACTGCTACTCTCTTTCCTCATTTCTTCTTAACACATTTAGGAGTAATCCTTTTTCTTTCTTTTAAATGAATTACTATATTTAAATACAAATAAGTTTTTGGACATGGTACCTTTCCATTGCTACTTAGTGACAATATTGACTACTGAGCCCACAGGTACATTTTATACATCCCTTTTGAGCTATATCCCTTACTAACCAACAGTATATTAATTGGCAAGTATATTAATTAATTTATAGGCAATTCCTTGGATAAGCTTTTAAGCTGCCTGCATCTGGTATTAAGTAGTGATGCTATAGTCTTTGTAAAAGGACAGGGAACAATTTTTTTTTTCTCCCCGGCATTTTTTTTCTCTGAGCAACCAAATTTAAATATCCAAAGTTGCAAGACTGTTGTTACTTAGAATATTATTAGGACTTAACAGTTATCCTGGTAGCAAAACTAAATACATTTTCAAAGAAAAATGTTTAAAATTCCAGATAAAATTACATTAAAAACTAATTTGTATCTGATTTCCCTTAAGATAATTGTTGAATGAAAAGTTCTGGTGATTTTTTTTTTTTAAGAAAAAATTGTAATTGTTTAGTGAGTAGTTGTTTCAGAGGCTAGTCAACACATCCTTTTTATAACGTCATCCTATGTTACCTTGGCATATTTTGCAGAATGTCCTGTTTTCTGTGTATGAAATAATTTTATTATGTTTCTACTAAATAATTTCAATATGCATTGAACATATTTTCTAAAACATTTCTGGGTTTGTATGTAAGTTGTTAACTTATAGTAAATCATTTTGACTCTCAAAAGATTCTTTTAAAGGACTACTAATTCAGACTCCTAATGATTGATTAGTTAGTGATTTATTCAATAAATATTTTTTAAGTACCTGCTATGTGAACAAAATAGATGAGGATTACATTCTAGTGGAGAATTATATCATAAATAAATAAATAATTAAAGCTTGTGATAAATATTAAGAAATAAATAATGATAATGGTGAGGATGAAATGAGTTACATGTAAAGCCCTTAGAATGTTGCTGGCAGGTAGAAAGTAGGTCCTCAGTAAATATTAGCTATCATTGTTTATTTATTTTTTATTAATTCAACAACCATATATTGAGTATCTACTGTGGTTTCAAGTATAGTGGAATATAGAAATACTAAATTGCAGCCCTGGCTTTTTGAAGGGCCTTGGGATAACGGGCAGAATTTGGTTAGACAGGGAGAATAGAGAAAAACATTCCAAGTGAAGGATCAGAGCATGGTCATAGCTTAGAAGCCAGAGTAGGCAAAATTTGCTGGGGGTCAGTGATAAACAGAGCTTGACTAGGAATAGGCACTTGATGTTGGGAAATTAACATAATACATCTCCTAGAGTAGATGTCATGGAGACTGTAGTATTTAAAGATGGAACCAGACTGTACAGTTGTGCCATTCAGATTTTCATTCATCCTGACATTTTAAATAAGATAATATATCCTATGCAGTATATGTGTCATAATTTGTCTAATATTTTATCATTATTACTTTAGTTCTTTCAAATCTTTTTTTGCTATTATAAGTATTGACATCATCCACATCTTCAGACATGCTTATTTTTTTTCTTTCTTTTATTTTCTGTGGATAAAATTCCAGGTGTAGGATTATGGAATTGAAGGACATAAACACTTTATTTCTCTTGATATATGTTGCCAACTTGACTTCCAAAATGAGTATTCCTATTTTCAGGGTGACAACTTGCAAGTACGAATTTTATCACAAGCTGTTATTATTTTGATATTATTATTTGTTTAAATTTTTTTTTTGTTAATTCAGTTTTCATAAAATGGCTTGCCATTTTAACTTTATTTCTTTGAGCCAACTTTTCTTTCATTGTGTGAATTATTTTTCACAGTCTTTGACCATTTATTTACTAGGGATTTTAATTTTTAAAATATACTTGAATGAGCTCATTATTTTTATAGATATTATTATTTTGCTTTTCATACTTGACAATCCATTGTTTTCCTTATTGCTTCAGCTTTAATTCTTTTTTATAGATCTTTTAAATATTTATATTTCAAAATCTTTTAGTTAATATTTCATTTACAGCTCTGATAAATATTCCATTCTTTTTGCTGGTTTTTCTATGATGTTTTTATAAATAATTTCATTCTTTTATTCATTTGGGTTTTACCATTTCATTTTGAATACTTCTAATTATTATAAAGTTAATTATGCTGTTTCAATATGTATTTTTAAAAGCTCTGTTTTAACCTAAATAAAAATCTTAGGAAAAACTCTTACCTCTGTAAGAAAAGAGAAGGTAGGGCATGAAGTTCAAGTTTTGTTGAAGTTTTTTTGAGATGGAGTCTCACTCTGTCACCTAGGCTGTAGTGCAATGGCATGATCTTGGCTCACTGCAACCTCTGCCTCCTGGGTTCAAGCGATTATTCTGCCTCAGCCTCCCAAGTAACTGGGACTACAGGCGCGCGCCACCATGCCTGGCTAATTTGTGTATTTTTAGTAGAGATGAGGTTTCACCATATTGGCCAGGCTGGTCTCGAACTCCTGACCTTGTGATCCACCCGGCCTCCCAAAGTGCTGGGATTACAGGCGTGAGCCGCCGCACCCAGCCCCTTGTTGAAATTTTTAACATGTCAGTTGATCTATGGATTGAAAAGGTACACAAGCTTATGAGTAGGGAAGCTAGTGCTTGCGGGAAAGTAGTTCAAGGCAACTTTATCCCTGCTTTTGTTTTTCTGTCTTTCTGACTTTGCCCTAAGAAGAGAAATAAAAGCAAGGGAATTATGAGGAAATCTTCCAGCTGGATAAGGATTCTAGAAAAGCCTACTAAAACTACGGTTCTTATTTACTGGCAAACTAAATGCAGAGAACAGGTCATTTGATGGAGAGAAGAATGAAGTGTGGCAGGAAGCATGTGCAGGAAGTGCAGTCATTTTGGGCCAGTACAAAGCAGAATGACTGGGAACCCACAGCAGGTTCTAAACAGTCACTAGCCTGTTAGCATAAAGCTGATCAATTCTTTCTTAGAGTTAATTACCACAAACCTTGTTATTTATACTACTAAATACTGTTTCAAATTTTGGCTTGAAGACCTTCTGCATGAGAATATCCTGTGGTGCTTATTAAAAGTGTCCTAAACACTTATTAAAAGTGTCCAGACACACAAAATCTCTGGAAATTTGGTCTTGAATCTACAAAGCACCCCTGAGTGATTCTTAGGTAACCAAAGTTTGAATATCAGTTCCGAAGGCTATAATGAAGATACTATAAAGCATATGGAGATATATGCTTGCTTAATAAGCAAACCATAATAAACAACCTTTTAATGCTGCCTTGGAAACACAAGCATATGAAGAAACAACAAAGTCTTTGATGTAATGGCAGCATGATATCTCTAATGAAATCTGGAGTGACATCTCAAAAAACCATAAAAGCAGGTATCTAATTGTTAGACCAACTGCTCTCTGTTTTAGCATTGTAAGCATGCCTTACTTTTCTTTGCCTTATAACAGGTTTTTTTTTTTTTTTTTTTTTTTGCCTGAGACAGGGTCTCACTCTGTCACCCAGGCTGGAGTGCAGTGGCATGACCTTAGCTTGCTGCAGCCTCTACCTCCCTGGGCTCAGGTGATCCTCCCACCTCAGCCTCCCAAGTAGCTGGGACTACAAGCACATTCCAACATGCCTGGCCAATTCTGAAATTTTTTTGTTGAAATGGGGGTCTCACTGTGTTGCCCAGGTGGTCTTGAACTCCTTGGGTCAAGCAATCCTCCTGCCTTGGCCTCCCAAAGTGTTGGGATTATAGGCATGAGCCACTGCGCCCACAATATAATAGCTTTAACAAATGGACTGAACTTTTTTTTTTCTCAATTTCAGTTATCATGGCCACGAACTGTCACAGAGCGGCTACTGGATGAGATGTTTGATAGCACTGCATCCCAGTTTCTGGCTGTCTTGGAAGCTCTTTCTGATTCAAATAGGCGAATACTGCAAACTGGACCCATTGTTACAGATGAAGTGGAGATTCATGATGTTGTCTCAGAATTGTTTATGGCAGGAAAAGAACTTTTGATAAGTAAATAAGATGTTAAGATATTGTTTTATGATAGAATGATACACATGAGTAACAAAAATTTTAACATGGTAGTCCATACATAGGAAACTGATAACATTTATATTGTTTTTTTTTTTTTGTTTGGTTGTTTGTTTGTTTTTGAGATAAGGTCTCTCTTTGTCACCCAGACTGGAGTGCAGTGGCGTGATCATGGCTCACATTGCAGCATCAACTTCCTGGGCTCAAGTGATCCTCCCTTCTTAGCCTCCCAAGTAGCTGGGACTACAGGTGCATGCCACCACACCTGGCTAATTTTTGTATTTTTTGTAGAGACGGGGTCTCACCGTGTTTCCCAGTCTGGTCTCGACCTCCTGGGACAAGCAGTCCACCCATCTCAGCCTCCTAAAGTGCTGGAATTACAGGTGTGAGCCACTGTGCCAAGCTGATATAATTTATATTGATCTTGAATTCAGAAACCTTGCTAAGGTCAATTGATATTTCAAATAATGTATTAGTAGATTTTTGGGGGGACTTGTTTTGTATATACAGTCATCTATGAATGACTTATTTCTGTCCAATCCTTAATCTTTTAATTTCTCTTTTCTTGCATTTCTTGATGGTTGCACTGGCTAGGATCTCCAATAACACATGGGAAGAAGTGGTGATAGCAGACTCCTTTGTCTCATTTTTTTCCTCAGTTGGAAAGCTTTCAACATTTTGCCATTATTTGAGATATCTACAGAATAATTTTTATAGATACCCTTTTGCAGATCACAGATGTTTCTTGTATTCCTGGTTTGCTAAGTGTTTTTTTTTGTTGTTGTTTTTAATCTTGAATAGTTTAATTTTAGCAAAAGCTTTCTCTGAATTTATTGAGATTTACTGAGTCGATCAAATGGCTTTCTCATTTATTTCTATTAATGTGGTTGATTTTATGGATTGCTTATTTCTGCTTCTCTGTTGAAGGGAGAGACTTTTCTTTCTTGTAATGTTATTTTTAGGTTTCGCTCACAAGGTCATATTAGCCTCATAAAATGAGTTGAGAAGTATGCCCTCTTTCTCCATTATCTGTAAATGTTTGTGTCATATTGGTGTTATTTCTTCCTACATGTTTAGTTGAATTTTCTGGTGCAGCCATCTGTACCTGGAATTTTTTGTATGGCAATATTTTAAATGATGAATTCAATTTCCTCCATAGATATAAAATTTTTCAGATTTTCTTTTCAGTATTGGTCAGTTTGCTTTCTCTCTTATTTCATCAATTTCACCAGGGGTCCACCAGTTTCATTAGTCTTTGCAAAGAAACAATATTTGACCTTGTTGATCTTCCCTATTGTATGTCCATTTTCCATATTATTGATTTTTGCTCTTCATTACTTCCTTTATTATACTTTCTTGGGTTTGCTTTACTGATTTAAAAAACTTATTGACTTGGAAGCTTAGATCATTGATTTTTAGGATTTGTTATTATTTACATTAAATGCATATTAAGACATTTGTTCTAAATTCAGCTTTAGCTATGTATCTGAAGTTTTGATATATCATATCTTTATTACTATTGGAGTAAGAATATTTTCTAATACGCAGTGTGATTTATTCTTTGATATATGGGTTCTGAACCAAAATATGGGAGATTTTCTAATTATCTTTTGGTTACTGATTTCTATGTTAATTATACTATGGTCAGAGAGCACATTATGTATTATTTGGAACTGTGAACATTTGTTAAGATAGGCTTTATGGCCTAGCACATGACCAGCTTTGGTAAATAGTCTGTGTGTACTTGAAAGACTATGTATTTTTTGTTGTTGTTGGATGCATTGCTTTATATATATGTTGATTAAGTTAAGCTAGTAAATCATGTGGTTAGATCTTCTCTATCCCTACTGATAGTTTTTGTCTTTTTATTTTATGAATTACTCAGAGAAATATGTTAAACATCTGCTATGCATTTCTGTTGGTGTGGAATTGCAAGAGCATGGGATATTCCCATGTTGCTTCATTGGATACTGTTTTACAAAGTGGTTTTTTTTAGTTTGCACACCCATCAACATTTTATCAGGGTTCCATTACTCCAAATTTTCTCTGACACTTAGTATTATCTGTCTTTCTCATTTTGTCCATTTTGGTGTGAATTCAGTGGTGTTGCAGTATAAACTTAAATTTCTCTGATGACTAATAAAGTTAAACACTTTTTCATATACTTTTTTCACTATTGGATATCCTATTTTGTGAGGTGCCTATTTTAACCTTTTGTCCTTTTTTCTGTCGATTCATAGGAATTCTTTATCTATTCTGGATATAATTCCTTTATTGAATACATGTATTGCAAATATCATTTCTTACTTGATGGCTTGCCTTTTCATTCTCTTAATGATATCCATTGGGGAACAGAAATTCTTAATTTTAATATAGTCCAATTTATCAATATATCCTATATAGTTGATCCTTTGTGTGTTGTGGTTAAGAAGTTTCAGCTACCCCAATGTCGTAAATATATTCTCGTATGTTTTCTTCCATAAGTTTTATTGTTTCTTCCTTAAGTTTATGAGGTCTATAATTAGAAATTAGATCTTTTTTGTTTATACGAAGTAGAAATCAAGATTTATATACTTCTATATGTATATTCAGTTGACACAGCACCATTTATTGAAGATAACTTCCTTTAGTTGGCTGCAGTATCCCTTAGTCATAAATTAGGTGGCCGTATGTGTGTTGTCTGTTTTTTCACTCAGCATAATTCTCTTGAGATGTATCCAGGTTGTGTGTATTAATAGTTCACTTGGCGGGGTACCATGGCTCATGCCTGTAACCCCAGCCCTTTGGGAGGCCAAGACGAGCTGATCCCTTGAGCCCAGGAGTTCAAGACCAGCCTGGCTAACATGGCGAAACTCTGTCTCTACTAAAAATACAAGAATTAGCCAGGCGTCATGGCATGTGCCTGTAGTCCCAGCTACTTGGGAGGCTGAGGCAAAAGAATCATTTGAATCCAGGAGTCAGAGGTTGCAGTGAATGGAGATCACACCACCACCACTGCACTCCAGCCTGGGGACAGAACAAGACTCTGTCTCAAAAAAAATTTTTTTTCACTTGTTACTGCTGAGTATTATTTTATGGTATGGATACACCACAGTTTGTTTAACCACTTACCCTTTGAAGGACATTTGAATTATTTCCAGTTTTTGGCTACTAGAAATAAAGCTGCTATGAACAGTTGAGTACAAGTTTTTGTGTGAAGGTAAGTTTTCATTTCTCTGGAATAAAATGCTCAACAGTGCAATTGCTGGATTGGATATATGATAAGTTCATATTTAGTTTTGTGAGAACCTGTCATACTATTCTCCAGGGTGACTCTACTATATTTCCACCAGCAATGTGTAAATGATCCAGTTTCTGGACATCCTTGACAGAATTTGGTGTATCATTACTTTTTTATTTTAGCCATTCTGATAGGTGTGTAGTAATATCCCACTGTGACTTTAATTTGCATTTCCCTAATGGCTAAAGATGTTAAACAGTTTTTCATGTGTTTATTTCCCATCTGTATACTCTCTTTTTCTCTAGTGTCTTTTGTTCACTTTCTAATTGGATTGTTAATTATTTCTCTTGAGTTTTGAGAGCTCTTTTTATGTTCTGAATACAAGTCCTGGTCATTGCTTTTTAAGACAGAAAATACCTTTATTAAGATTTTTTTCTCCTCATCATTACTTCCCATTTTTCATTGCTTCTTTCTAAATTCATTTCTTTTTGCTGAAATACAAACTCTAAGAATTTTGAAGTAGTTTGGCTGGATATAATAGTTTACTTACAAGTTTCTTTAAGATTTTGATGCTCTTTTTTATAATCTTGTATATATAGTGTTTCTGTTGAGAAGTGTAATGTCAGTTTAAATCTTGTTGTTTTATAGATGTATCTTTTACAATTTTCTCTTTCTTATGACATTCTTACATTTTATTCTACTGGATCTAGGGGTGGGTTTAGTAATGCAGCAGATACTTTGAGGTCATATCTTTCTTTCATTTTTTCATGTTACTTTTAAATTTCTTTCCTTATATTCATTATTTAAAAAAAAAATCCTTCAAGGCATTGAAGATGCCATTAGACAGATGTTAACAGGATAGATGTTCATCCTCCATGTCTTATTTATTTTATTCTTTTCATGTCTTTATTCTGTTGCATTCTGGGAAGCTTCCTCTATCTGATTTTTCAGGTCACGAATTTCATCTTTGATTCTCTCTGTTCTACTCTTCTGTTTACCTATTTAATTATTTGTTTCAACAATGATATACTTTTTTGTTATTTTTGTTGTTTGTTTGTTTGAGACAGAGTCTTGCTCTGTTGCCTGGGCTGGAGTGCAGTGGCACGATCTCAGCTCACTGCAGCCTCTGCCTCCTGGGTTCAAACGATTCTCCTGCCTCAGCCTCCCGAGTAGTTGGGACTACAGGTGTGCACCACCACGCCGGGCCAATTTTTTGTATTTTTAGTAGAGATGGGGTTCCACCATGTTGGCCAGGCTGGTCTCAAACTCCTGACCCCAGGTGATCTGCCTGCCTTGGCCTCCCAAGGTGCTGGGATTACAGGCATAAGCCATCGCACCCGGCCATCAATGATGATGTACTTTATACATTGAATCCACTTGGTTCTTTTTTCACAGCAGTTGTTCTTGCCTTATGTTTCTAATATCCTCTTTTATTTTTCTGAGAGAACACTTTCACTTAAATTCTTGTTTGTGCTTTTCCATTTTCTTGCTTCTTGTGGTAAAGGATGCTTCATTTGTGGTTTTTCTTTCAAGATGTTTTTGCTTTTAATTTTCTTTTCCCATGAGCTTTCCTTCTTGGAACAATTAGCTGACTTGGCCTTAGTGTCCACCTGAGAGGAGGGAGAAAAGCCTAGGGTTAGCTCCTATGCCTTTAGGTGAGTTTAGTGTGTGGGTGTGGGCACATGTGGGTGCACATGTGTATGCGAATGCCCATCTGAATGCAGGGAACTTCTGGTGCCATAGTTTGGGCTCTTCTCTTCCTAAGAAAAATACAAGTTTTAGATAAGAATTTCCTTGACTTTCTTCACCCAAACCCCCAAATTTACCCTCATGCATATTGATCCTTTCCCACTATCTCTCATTTAAATGGAGGAGAGGGGATGTTTCTCTTTGTGTCTTTAAGCCTAATCCCTCCAAGTGTCCAAGTGGTCCCATTATACCGTGCCCTTTTTTTTTGAGACAGGATCTCACTCTGTCACCCAGGCTGGAGTGCAATGGTGCGATCATTCTTCACTGTAACCTGGACCTCCTGGGCTCTAGTGATCCTCCTACCTCAGCCTCCTGAGTAGCTGTGAATACAGGCATGTGCCACCATACCTGGCTAATTTTTGTATTTTTTGTAGAGGTGGGGTTACTCCATGTTGCCCAGGCTGGTCTCGAACTCCTGGGCTCAAGGGATCCACCTGCCTTGGCCTCCCAAAGTGCTGGGATTACAAACATAAGCCACTGTGACTGGGCCTCCGTGTTTTCTTTCAGCTTCCTCCCTATAGGTCTTCTTCTTGGTACAGCCAGATTTATTGACGGTATTGTCTGTTTTCATTGTTCCTAAGTATTTTCTTTCTACTTATACAGTGGGCAGACTCTAGCACTCTACTAAGAATGTCATGGACAACCTTATTGCTCAATCCAGGGGTCACTTTCAGTTACTTTCAGTTACTTTTCTTTTCTTTCTTTCTTTTTTTTTTGAGAGTCAGGTTCTTGCTATATTTCTCAGGCTGGACTCAAACTTCTGAGCTCAAGTTATCATCCTGCTTCAGCCTTCTGAGTAACAGAGACTATAGGTGCACGCCAATAAGCCTGGCTAGTCCTTTTCTTCTTTACTTTCTGTATCTATGTGTTACTGTTGAGTACTCCTTTCTTTCTAAACACTCACCTTTGCAGCCTTTATTCCCTCTGCTCTTCTCTTAAATGTTGGTGTTTCTTATTATTCTGTGCAAGGCAACATGATCCATGGCTGAATCTACTATTTACTGTGGATGTATAATGATGACTCTAAAAGCTCTATCCCCATTTTAGATCTCTTTCCCAAGTTTCCAACCTGTATCTAGGAACTCTTGCTCATTCTGTGTTTGAGATTCCATTCTCTTTCCCCTGAGTATCCTTCCCTAACTGCCCTCCTTCCCCACATCTGTGTTGGATGCCCTTCCTATTTGTCCCTAAAGCACCACCCTGTATTTGCCCACTAAGATTTCTTGTTTCCCCCACTAGAACGTAAATCTTATGAAAGCAGGGATTGTGTTTTCCTGGTGCCTGAAAGTGTCTATAGTGAATATTTAATAAATATTTATTTGCATGAGTGATATTCAAAACTCTCTTCTTCCTTTCCTAGTGTCAAATATTGGTGCAGATGGAATGCTTGATTTTCCAAAAACATCTCTTCTGGAACTTATGATAGGAAGAAAAGATGTTATTTCTGTGGATGCTGCTGTGAAATTTATAAAATTAGCTTTTACCTATGAGGAGTGGAGTTTATTTGAATCTTCTGCTGTACATCTTATTTATTTTCTCCAGGTAATATATGCAAAATTATCCTCCTGGTTTTTTTTTTGTTAAAATGACATCCAATTACTAATTAACGTGTGGGATATACTTCCCCAAGAGGCAGGATGATCCAGAGTCAAAGAAAGCAGAGAAGGATTTAACTCTTCTGATTGCAATGGAACCACTAATCAACGTGAAGAGAAACAAAGGTTTGATCTTTCCTTTGGAAAACTATAAAGAAGGACAGTCAACTCAAATTTATTTAAAAAAAATTGCTGTTCATGGTAAGTATTTATTTGTTTGTTCAAAAAATTTAGTTTGACGAAATATGCTCTTTTATAGATATGGTGAGAGAAAGGATGTTGAAGGCGGAGGGAGCAAGAGGTACAAAGGCCCTGAGACAAGAGTGTGTTTGGTGATTGCAGGAATGGCATGGGGGTATGTGTGACCAAGTGTGGTAGGTGACAAGGTTAGAGAAGTAGCTAGGCGCTAGATGATGTAGTTCCTGGGCTTTGTAAGGATGCTAGATTATATTCTGAGTGACAGTTTTGAGTAGGGGAATGAGGTTCTATTTACTTTCCGGCTTAGTTGGATAAGAGGGAGGCCCGCAAGGCAGTGAATCAGAGGACAAAGTCATCAGTTCATGTTAGGAAGGGAAGGTTTGGTAATCTCCTGTCTCTTTCCAGCTTGCAGTGTTTGCCATTCTAGGACTTTTCAAATCCTAAAAGTTATTGTGTGTATAATTGAAAACCTGCCGTGTCTGCTTTTTACACCAAAGAGAACTATTTAATTCCAGGTTTTTAATGTTTTGCCATGTTCTTAAGATATTGCATGGCTTATCAGTTGCAGTAAGTAATTTGTACCAAGTAATGATATATGTCTTCTAGTGATTTCTGAATCAATATTTTTATTATTTTTCTTTCAACTACCATATTTTATGTGCACTTTAATATTATAAGCCTCTTCAGTTTCTTTTTGGACATAGCATACAAATGTTGGAATGTTGGATTTATGATAATGGTCTATTTTAATTGGATTAGAGCCACTAAGATTAGTTTTCTTTTCTGTGTGTGTGTGTGTGTGTGTGTGTGTGTGTGTGTGTGTGTGTGTTTATTTATTTATTTATTTATTTTGAGTCACAGTCTCACTCTGTTGCCCAGGCTGAAGTGCAGTGGCATGATCTTGGCTCAGTGTAACTTCTGCCTCCTGGGTTCTCCTGCCTCAGCCTCCCGAGTAGCTAGGATTACAGTGACTTGCCACCATGCCCAGCTAATTTTTATGTTTTTAGTAGAGACAGGGTTTCACCATGTTAGCCAGGCTGGTCTCAAACTCCTGACCTCAAGTGATCCGTCTGCCTCAGCCTCCCAAAGTGCTGGGATGACAGGCATAAGCCATTGCCCCCAGCCAAGATTAGTTTTCATATAGAAGTATTTAACTTGTCTTATTGACATGATATTTGCCCGCCTATCATTTGTGTCATTTTTTTAGCATATTTGTGTTTCTGTGCCTTTTCTATTTGAAATTTTGTAAGTGATTTTTTTGTTTCATTTTCCTCTACTTTATGAACTTAGATACTTGTTTGAAGACTTGTGGATATTCAGAGGATATTTTCCATTTGGCAGCAACCTTGTATGTCTGTGTCTGCACTGCTCCCCAGGTGAAATAGCTATTTTAAATAATTTTTATTAGTGTGGAAGGAGGTTTTTGTGCCTAACTTAAGGCCGAATTTAAAATATCACAGGAATTACGCCTTGCTAAAATTTTATTTTGTTTAATCATTAGCATATAGGATTAAGTTAGATTCTGACTTGTAGTTTTAAGTTTCTTTTTATTATTGTTGTCATTTTGAGTGTCTTCCTTTTTGGGAAATTCTCAGGCTATGTTTCTAATAATGAAGGAAATGAGGCAGTGGTTTTTAGGAAGAGTTAATATGTTTAATGAAATACTGCTTTCAATCCATGAGTACAAAGCCTTGTTATTATTGGAAGTCACTTTGCACACAATGGCCAGTATTTTAAAATGACCTATAAGAGGGTACCAGTGTTCAGGTAAAACTATTATAATATAGCAATGGTTATTAAACAAATTTCAGGGATCCTCAGAAACCTAACTTTGTTTTGTTTTTTAAATTAATTTATTTGTTTTTAATTTTTATTTTAAGTTCTGGAGTACATGTGCAGGACATGCAGGTTTGTTACATAAGTAAACATGTGCCGTGGTGGTTTGCTGCACCTCCTACTTATAAGTGAGAATGTGGTGTTTGGTTTTCTGTTCCTGTGTTAGTTTGCTGAGGATAATGGAGAAGCCCAGCTTTAAGTAGTAGCTTCCTAATCTGTTTTTGTTACTTTTGTATATAACACTGGGATTCTGATGAAATTTCATTTGAAAATTTGGTTATATTGTCATTTTTAAAAAGTATGTAAACCACGGTTATAGAGCACTGTATTAACTTTTGCCCAGGTAAGTGAAGCACACTTGAGAAGTTCTGCTTTATAATATTTTTCATTTCTTCTGGGTTTGTCAGAATAAGTTATAACCTGTGACAGGTATTTAATTTTTGAAAGAAAGGTGTTTGGCAGTAAATAAATTATTACAGTGGGAGAGCTAACCAAAAAATAGCGATCAAGGCTTAAAAAGGTAGGGAACTTTCCTTTATCTGTTTTTCTTTGTCTTTTTCTTTTTCTTTTTTTTTTTTTTTTTTGAGACAGAGTCTCACTCTGTCACCCATGCTGGAGTGCAGTGGTGCGATCTCAGCTCACTCCAACCTCTGCCTCCCAGTTTCAAGTGATTCTCTTGCCTCAGCCTTCCGAGTAGCTGGGATTACAGGCATGTGCCACCATGTTTGGCTAGTTTTTGTATTTTTAGTAGAGACGGGTTTCCCCATGTTGTACAGGCTGGTCTCGAAATCCTGACCTCAGATGATCCGCCCACCTCAGCCTCCCAACGTGCTGGGATTACAGGTGTGTGAGCCACTGTGCCTGGCCCTCATTAATCTGTTTTGCTAAAATGATATATGTCTTAGTTCAATTCAATTCAATTCAATACAATTCAATTCAATTCAATTCAATTCAATAAACACTTATTGATATCTGTCGTATTCCCAAACATTGCAGGAAGGTGCTACATATGCAAATTAGGTCTTAGAGCAGCCTCAGAGAGCTCCAGGTTTGGTATATTTTAATCATAAACTCATTATTTTTCTAATTTAGCTATAATGAATAATAATTTTCTTTTGCAAAGGCAAGTAACTTGGATGAGAGAAAACATACTCATTATGGCTCATCAGTTGACACCCAGTGTGAGGTTCTGTTCAGCTTTTGCCTTTCCTTCTTGTCTCTACACTTTCCCAACTCCCCATTGCTTCTCTAGTTACTAGTTCATCTCCCCCTGCTCCAATTCCTTATTATTATTATTTTTGAGACAGAGTCTTGCTCTGTCGCCAAGCTGGAGTACAGTGGTGCAATTTTGGCTCACCACAACCTCTGCCTCCCGGGTTCAAGCGATTCTTGTGGCTTAGCCTCCCAAGTAGCTGGGACTACAGGCACACGACACCATGCCCAGCTACTTTTTATATTTTTAGTAGAGATAGGGTTTCGCCATGTTTGCCAGGCTGGTCTTGAACTCCTGACCTCAGGTGATCCACCCGCCTTGGCCTCCCAAAGTGCTGGGATTATAGGTCTGAGCCGCTGCGCCTGTCCAATTCCTTATTATTTTAATGCAAGAATTTTAAAAAGAGAAAAGTATATGTAAATTTCACAGTCAGGTGGAAGTAATTGGTTTGCAAACTTGCCTAAAAATGTTTGGGAATTTTCTTTTTAGAGAGGCGGAAGAGCATAGAGCATTCATTAAGAGTGATGGATCTAGGTGGGTCACGGTGGCTCACACTGTAATCCCAGTACTTTGGGATGGCACGGCAGGTGGATCACTTGAGGCCAGGGGTTCGAGACCAGCCTGGCCAACATGGTGAAACTCCATATCTACTAAAAATACAAAAATGAGCTGGGTGTGGTGGTGTGCACCTGTATTCCTAGCTACTTGGGAAGCTGAGGCACGAGAATCGCTTGAACCTGCTGGGATGTGGAGGTGAGATTGCGAGCCGAGATCTTGCCATTGCACTCCAGCCTGAGTGACAGAGTGAGGCCCTGTTTCAAAAAAAAAAGGAGTGAGGACTCTGGAGCTAGACTACTTAGGTTTGAATCCCTCCCATCTGCCACTCTTTAGTCATTTCATGTTGGGAAAAATCACTTAATCTCCTTGTGTTTCAGTTTGCTCCTCTGTAAAATGGGGAGGATCATACTAGGACTCCTCTCATAGGGTCATTATGAAGATTCAACATGTTAGTATTTGTAAAGCTCTTAGAGTGTTTCTCAGCACACAGTAAATGTTATATACATGTATTTTATTATTCCTACTCATTTACCTTCTCACTTTTGTTTTTAGGATGTTCAACCTGATAAAGAAATTGTTGTGGACACGATAATGTTCCTATGGCAGAAATGCAAATTAGGAATTCAGCGGCTCAATATATCCAGAAATGACTATGCAAAATTCACCCAGAAAATCAGTACTAACAAAGTATTCCTTTCGCATTCCCTTTCACGTGTTTTTTTTGCTATTGCTTATTCAAGTTGCCACACACATTTCAAATCTAAATTTTTCCTATTTTTCACCTGGTTAATGACTTTCATTTGCATATATACATATATAAAGAAGATATTCTTTCTAGCGCTGAGTGACCCTTTCTTTTAATGTGTGTTCCCTGCACTCCTGTTCTAATTTTGTTTGTTGTGAGGAGCGAAGAGGTGTTTCAGGCCTTTTTTTTTTTGGCAGAGTCTTGCTCTGTCCTGGAGGCTGCAGTAGTATGGTACCATGATCTTGGCTCACTGCAACCTCTGCCTCCTGGGCTCAAGTGATCCTCCACAGCTCAGCCTCCCTAGTAGCTGGGACTACAGGCATACACCACCATGCCCAGCAATTTTGTTTTATTTTTTGTAGAGATGGGGTTTTACCACATTGCCCAGGCTGGTCACAAACTCCCAGGTTCAAGCAATCTGCTCATCTCAGCCTCCCAAAGTGTTTGGATTATTATAGGCATGAGCCACCACGCCCGGCCTTTTCAGGTTTTTTTTTTTTTGTTTTTGTTTTTGAGATGGAGTCTTGCTCTGTCACTCAGTCTGGAGTGCATTGGCTAACTGCAACCTCTGCCTGCCGGGTTCAAGCGATTCTCCTGCCTCAGCTTCTGGAGTAGCTGCGATTACGGGCATCCACCACCACGGCCGGCTAATTTTTGTATTTTTAGTAGAGATGGGGTTTCACCATCTTGGCCAGGCTGGTCTTGAACTCCTGACCTCGTGATCTACCTGCTTTGGTCTCTCAAAGTGCTGGGATTACAAATGTGAGCCCCTGCGCCCGGCTTCAAGCTTTTAAGTGAAGAATAAATATAGTATGGGCCAGGCACAGGGGCTGACACCTGTAATCCCAGACCTTTGGGAGGCTGAGGCAGGTGGATCACCCGAGGTCAGGAGTTTGAGACCAGCCTGGTCAACATGGTGAAAACCCCGTCTCTACTAAAAATACAAAAATTAGCTGGACATGGTGGTGTGTGCCTGCAGTCCCAGCTACTCAGTAGGCTGAGGCAGGAGGATTGCTTGAACCCAGGAGGTGGAGGTTGCAGTGAGCCGAGATCACACCACTGCACTCTAGCCTGGACAACAGAGTGAAACTCTGTCTCAAAAAAAATAAATAAAAATAAAAAATAAATATAATGTATCTGAGGTCATATGAGCTTGGATCAATTCAAAAAGAAGATTAATAATAGAGAATACAGAGACGTAAGAGTGTCAGATTTTCTCCCCCTGCAATAATATATTTAGACCATTTAAAAGAGCTACTTTATAGGAGGGAGAAGGGTGAGCATTTGAATATTATAACCTGGAAACTTAGGAGAAAAAATTTAATAATAACAAATATTATAGCTTTGGTAATTTGGAAGCTGCATAAGATTAGCTACATTAGTATGCATAGGTGTGATTTTTATCATGTACTCTGTTAAGTAATAATGTGAGTACATAAATACCGTTTTATAATCTCAGGTCCCAAAATGTGATAGTTGGTTTTATGTGCTAAGCTTTGGGGATACAGGCATGAAAGACAATTTCTTTCTTTCTCTTTTTTTTTGAGACAGAGACTCGCTCTTTTGCCCAGGCTGGAGTGCAGAGGCACGATCCTGGCCCACTGCAATCCCCACCTCCCGGGTTCAAGCGATTCTCCTGCCTCAGGCTTCAGAGTAGCTGGGATTACAGGTGTGCGCCAATACGCTGGCTATTTTTTGTATTTTTAATAGAGACAGGGTTTCACCATATAGGCCAGGCTAGTCTCGAACTCCTGACCTCGTGATCCACCCGCCTCAGCCTCTCAAAGTGCTGGGATTACAGGCGTGAACCACCGTGCCCGGCCATGAAAGACAATCTAAGTCACCTGATATGGAGCCTGAAACACCTGCTTCCCCACTCATAAGGAGGATGTTGATAGTAATCATAATAGCTGCTTCAAAGGGACAGTGAGAACTTTGAGGATACAGATACTATTCACTGATATGTACAAATAACAGATCATAAATTTGCCATAATGGCTATAGATGTGCAGACTCTAGACTTAAATGAATCTACTTTATGAATTTATATAAACAGATTGATTACTAAATATCATTTTAAAAGGATTATTGAGTTTTATGTTATTTATAATTAAGGCGTTAATAAGGAGGGGTACCTGTGTAACATTTCCATATGATTAGAAGATGGTTGTTTCAAGGAAGTATAAGTTTTGAAAAATGTGACTGTTTCTACAGTTTCATATACTTTTAATTAATTTTGCTGTGTATTTTCTCTTTTTAGTGGATTTATCTTCTGTGGCAGATAAATGAAGTAATTCACTGCTATAAAATGGAAGACATTGACATTGTGGTAGTGGCAGAAGTCACATTACGGTTAAGTGAAATATTGGAATCTTTAGGAAGCCCAGGAAGAAAATTTAAACAATCTCTAGGTAAAATGTTGGCTGAAAAATTGTATACATATATAAATACAAATATATAGGTATGATATCAAATGCAGGATAACTCCTACTAATGGAAACTAGGCACTTCAATATTATGCTTCATTGAGGATTTATAATTAGAGATAGATAATAAGATAGTTTCATCAAGTGGATGTTAAGGTTTCATGCTCTCTGATTCAGTGAAGGACAAAATCCTTTTTGTCTTCTCATATTCCTTTTCTCTGTTCCTAATTACTGCCTACTCCCCTTTAGTCCCTTCTCTTTCTTTCTTTTTTCACTTTCTCTCCCTTTTTTTTTTTTTTTTGAGACGGAGTTTTGCTCTGTTGCCCAGGCTGGAGTGCAGTGGCACAATCTCAGCTCACTGCAACCTCCATCTCCCAGGTTCAAGCGATTCTCCTGCCTCAGCCTCCCGAGTAGCTGGGATTACAGGTGCTGGCCACCATGCCTGGCTAATTTTTGTATTTTTAGTAGAGACAGGGTTTCACCATATTGACCACACTGCTTTCGAACTTCTGACCTCAAGTGATCTGCCTGCCCTGGCCTCCCAAAGGGCTGGGATTACAGATGTGAGCCACTGCACCCAACCACCTCTCCTCTCTTTTATCTTCCTTTGTTTTTCCTCCCCTTCCATTTCCCATAAGAGTGAATGCTTGAAGGAAGACTATGTTTTGGACACTGACATATTCTTGGCACCCACCAAATCATCTGACACAGCGCAGGAGATCAAGTAAGTGTTGAATGGATCAGTGTCATTCTACTTTCTATCTCCTTTTCTATTTTCTTTCTTCTAATTCCTTCCTTTTAAAATTCTTTCTTCATTTATTGTTTCTCCTCCCCTTTCTCTTTTTCTTCTTATCCTTATCATCTTCCTCTTTTTGCTTTCATTTCCTAGCACCCCCTCCCCACCAGCCCCCATTCTTCCTGTCTCAACCCCTTTCTCTTCTCCATTCAGGAGATGTCTTCTCTCAAAGGATGGCCTTCTGCTCTGACCTCCTTGTTCTTTGTTCTGCCTCTGGTTGCAGCCCTGTACTATATTTCATGGGGTGGGGAATAATGTGGAGGAGTCCATGGAGGGTGTTTACTTTGCTGTTTCACCCCACTTATAGAGCATGTATGACATCTGGAGGACTTCGTAATAAAGTTACTCTTTACTTGGAGATTCACGAATCTGGCTCTGCCTGTCCTCCGCTGTTGAGTGTGGCCTTGCAGATGGAGTTTTAGAGCCATGGTTCTCAAATTTTGATTGTTATCAATATCACCTGAAAGCTTGTTAAAAATGCAAGGCCCAAGCTCTGTCCTACTTCAGCTAGCCTGGACCTTTTTAGTCTTTATTAGCTTCTCAGGTGAATTTGATATAGATCAAAGTTTGACAACCATCAGCTAAAAGTCTCTGGCCATCGAACACATTCATTGGCCTCAGGTTATATTTCTGAAATGTCCTGGATTAAAATGCTTTTTTTCCTTTTAAAAACTTTTGTTATGCAGAACTTTAAATATAAGGTGGAGAGAAAAAATAAATCACCATGTATGCATCGTCCGGCACCAATAATTATCAACATCTTTTCAATCTCATTTCATCTCTCCCTGCAACGTTTCCCCCTCTCCGAGTATTTTAAAACAGACACGTAATTTTTCCAGCAAATACCACCCCACCATGTGTATGTGTGTATCTAACTATTATCTGACAGATAAGGATTTTTCAAAACATAAAACCACAGTGCCATTATTATTATATCTTACAAAATGGGGAATAATTCCGATGTCCCTGATTGTATTAAAAAATATCTTTTAAAGTTGGTTTGTTCCAATCAGAATCCAAACAAGGCCCACACATTGTATTTTCTTGACATGTCTCTTAAATCTCTCTAATCTCTAGTGGTTTCTCTCCTTCATACTCCCCTTTCAAGACGTTTATCTTTTGAAGAAACTGAGTCATTATCCTGTGGGATTTTCCACATTCTGGATTTGGCCATTTCCCTCCATGTGATGTTGATTAACTTGCTTCTCACCTGGTAGTTAGAGCTGGATGCTTACTTAGATTCTGCTGATACTTTGTTAAGAAGAATTCTTGCCACTTGTCTTATTTTTCAGCAACAGTACTTCATAGGTAGTGCTATTTACTCCCTTGCGTTGAATCAGGAGGCACACAATGCCTAGTTATCCCACTTTTTGGGCTATAAAGATTTATCTGTGAGTTCAGGTCTAGGTTGGTTCCCCAGAAGGAGATTCTGAGACAATGATTTGAGTGAAGTAGTTTATTTGGGACCTTATCCAGGGAAGCACAGTGGAGAAGTGAGACAGCGGAGGAAAGGAAGCCCCATGTAATGCATGGTAAGTTAATGAGAAGGCTGCTGTTGTGAGTTCAGGGCCTGTTCCCATGAGGGACCTCTAGGATCCCATACAGAACAAATACAATGAAGTTGTATTTCTACGGCTTTTATCTGTCATTGGTGAAGGGCTGCTAGGAGACTGGGGGTAAGAAGCCAGGAGGGACTCCTAACTTCTTTCATTCCTTTTGCATTTATTATACTGAAGTCTTCAATGAAGAACTTAACCTCACACCTGTTTGGCTAGTCTGGTTATTTTTGAGTGTGTAATGGACATTATTGCTAAGCATTTTGTAGAAATAATTGAGGCTTTGGATGATGTTTTCGTTTTCTAGGGAAGATTTATGCTTGCTTTTACTAGATGCATGAAAGGCACTAATACTCTAGGATCCCATTATTCCAGTTTGAGGGATTAAGATATTTTGAAGCTGAAATGCTTTCTCCTTGAAGATCTATTTTCAGTTCACCCTAACTTCTAGGATGGAGTCTCTTTTGCTTCTCATCCTTGGTGGGCCCTGGATCCCAATCCCTGTTGCTTTTCTCTCAAGGCTATCAGAGGTATCACTCAGTTTCTCAGCTTCTCTCTCCAGAATTGATATAAGCCCCAGTGGGAAAAGTAGCTCTAATGTGTTCTATACTCTGGCCTCCCTTTCCAATATTCAGATGTGACTCTGTGATACTATGATATATGATATATATGCAGTTGACCCTTGAACAATATGAGGGTTAGGGGCACCCATCCTAAATCCATGTTTTGGCTTCTCCAAAACTTAACTCTAATAGCCTGCTGTTGACTGGAAACCTTCCCAATAACATAAACCATCAATGAACACATATATTTTGTATGTTTTATATATATATATAAATAATTATTGTTGTCCGCAGTTCCTGGCTCATGACTCCCTAGTTCTTATTTCCTAAGTGACTAAAACAATAAGCATACCTTTTGTTAAAGAGTGGCTTTTTGTCCTTGGTTCATGAAGTAGCTTCAGAACAGCTTTGGAGCAATAAAAGTGAAAGAGAGTCTTTTGTTATAATGTTGGGGCACTTTAGGCCTCCGAAGCAGTCCTCAGAAAACAGAATATCTCTCTCTCTCTCTCTCTCTCTCTCTCTCTCTGACTTTCTACTTTCCTCCTTTCTCCTGCTCCTTTTTCTCTCCAAGGATGGCCATAGAAACTGAAAATATACTCTAATCTTCTCCTGCCTCTCTGTCTTCGAGCTGATCATAAAGAAATTCTTTGACCTACCTTGTCTGATTGTAGGACATAAGACTCATTTCAGAAGGGGTCCTGCCCCATACCCAGGAGGAAGGAACGTGGCACAGAGAGGCCAGGAAGAATCTGAACAGACAGGCCTTGCTGGGTATCTTAGTCCATTTTCTGTTACTTAGAATACCTGAAACTGAGTAATTTATAAAGGAAAGGACCTTATTTCTTACAGTTGTGGAGGCTGAGAAGTGCAAAGTCTAGGGGCTGCATCTGGTGAGGGCTTTCTTACTCACGGAGACTTTCTGCAGTGTCTGAGGTGGCACAGAGCATCAGTGATAGGGGGCTGAGGAAGCTATCAGGTATCTCTTCCTTTTCTTTTTTTTTTTTTTCCCTTTGAGACGGAGTCTCGCTCTTTTACCCAGGCTAGAGTGCGGTGGCACGATCTTGGCTCACTGCAGCCTCCGCCTCCTGGGTTCAAGTGATTCTTTTGCCTCAGCCTCCCGAGTAGCTGGGATTACAGGCATGAGCCACCACACCCAGCAATTTTTTTGTATTTTTAGTAGAGACAGGGTTTCACCATGTTGGCCAGGCTGGTCTTGAACTCCTGACCTCAGGTGATCCACCCTCCTCGGCCTCCCAAAGTGCTGAGATTACAGGTATGAGCCACTGCACCCGACCTCTTCCTCTTCTTATAAAGTCACCAGTCCAGTCAGGGGGTGGGGAGCTAGGGGAAGGATAGCATTAGGAGAACTACCTAATACAGATAACGGGTTGATGGGTGCAGCAAACCACCATGGCACGTGTATACCTGTGGAACAAACCTGCATATTCTGCACATGTACCCCAGAACTTAAAGTATAATAAATAAAAAAGATACAAAACTCTGAACTGACATAAAACAGGGCCAGTAAGTAAAATATGAGTGAGTGTAAGATATTTTTTAAAAAACAAACAATATATTTCCAAAAAAAAATAAAGTCACCAGTCCCGCTCCCATGATAACTCATCAGTCCGTTAACCTGTTAATCCATTAGTCTATGAATGAGTTAACCTATTCATGTGAGGAGAGCCTCCGTGACCCAGTCATCTCTTATGGGATCCATCTCTCAATACCGCCACATTGAGGATTAAATTTCAACATGAGTTTGGAGGAGACAAATATTCAAATCATAGCAATGGGTTTCTAAAGGTTATTAGATCATACCCTTTTTGTCCAATCGCATTTCTGCACAGCTGTACATCCATCCAGTCATCAATTATGCATATCTAATGAAGTCTCCATAAAAGGTCCATGAGGACATGGTACAGAGAACTTCTGGATAGCTGAGCACTTGGAGGTTCCTGGAGGGTGGTGGTCCTGGGAGGGCATGGAAGCGCCATGCCCCTTCCTTTATGCCTTATGCTATGTATCTCTTTATCTGTATCCTTTGTAATAGCCTTTATGATAAAGTGATAAACATAACTGTTTCCCTGAATTCTGTGAGCCACTGTTGCAAATTAATCAGACCCAGGGAGGGGGTCACAGGAACTTTAGTTTGTAGCCAGCTGGTCAGAAGCACAGGTAAAACAAGCTGGGGCTTATGGTCAGCATTGGAAGCAGGGAGCAGAGTGGGGAAAACAGCAGTCTTATGGGACTGAGTCCTCAATCTGTGTGATCTGACTCTATCTGCAAGGTAGTGTTGGAAGTGAACAGGGTTGGAGAATGCCCAGCTGGTGTCCACCGCAGAATTGATTTCATGTTTGGTATGCAGGGACCCCCCACTCCACACTTAGTCACAGAAATCTGTGTTGATTGTTGTGGCATGAAAGCAGGGAAAAATAGTTTGTTTTTTTCTCCACACTTCCTTCCCAAGATCCTGGCCATGTATTTGTTTGTTTGTTTGTTTGTTTATTTATTTTCCACCATCTTCTTAGCTTGTAGATTTAAAATATATAGTTTCCAGCTTTCCTTCAGCCAAGAGAATTTTTCTACATTATGCATTACTGATTACTTTTTAAAAATGTCTATTTCTGGCCAGGTGCAGTGGCTCATGCCTGTAATCCCAGCATTTTGGTAGGCCAAGCCAGGTGGACCACATGAGGTCAGGAGTTCAAGACCAGTATGGCCAACATGGTGAAACCCTGCCTCTACTAAAAATACAAAAATTAGCTGAGCATGGTGGCATGTGCCTGTAGTCCCAGCTGCTCGGGAGGCTGAGGCAGGAGAATCACCTGAAGCTGGGAGGCAGAGGTTACAGTGAGCCGAGATCATGCCACTGCCCTCTAGCCTGGTCAACAGTGTGAGACTCCATCTCAAAAAAAAAAACAACTCTATTTCTTACTTAATGTTATTGTTTTATTTACTAGTTACTGTGGGGGAGATTATTGTTTTATATCATTATAAATGGGCTAAATAAAATTTAAGTTATTGATTGTTAAAATGTTTCATTTCTGAAGAGCTGATCAATATTGGAGCATAATCCATTTATAAATTTGAAAACTTCTATATTTATGTAATGAGGGGTTGTCCCTATTTAGATATATAAATTCTTATAACTTCTAAGAATGTTATTCTTAACACCTTGTTGCCACCTAAAACATAAAGTACAAGTCTTCTCTGATATTTGTCCAAATTGATAGGGTTTCTATGCTATCTTCTGAAAGCTTTTATATTTATTTATTTATTTTTTGAGATGAAGTCTCACTCTGTCGCCCAGGCTGGAGTGCAGTGGCATGATCTTCGCTCACTGCAACCTCCGCCTCCCGGGTTCAAGCAATTCTCCTGCCTCAGCACCTCCCAGTAGCTGGGATTACAGGCACGCGCCACCATGCCTGGCTAATTTTTGTATTTTTAGTAGAGGTGGGGTTTCATCATGTTGGCCAGGCTGGTCTTGAACTCCTGACCTCAGGTATCTACTTGCCTCGGCATCCCAAAGTGCTGGGATTACAGGTGTAAGCCACCGCACCTGGCCTCTGAAAGATTTTAAATGGACCTTATAGAATATAGAGAAAGATGATATTGACTTGTTGATAAATATTTGGTTTGTTACGTTACAAGATTTTTTTAAATTACCTTACAGAAGAAAATATTTAATTAGATGGAAGAAATAATTTGATGCTTAGTCAAATTCTAGTGTTGAATCATTTCTGAGATTATCGGTAATTAAAAAGTAATTAATTTAGCATAAAGTTTTTTATGATTATGATTCACTGCTATATTTCCATTTTTCTCTTTCCTCCTTTTTATTTCTCTGGTCCTTCCTTCTTCTTTCGTTTCCTCCTCACTCTTGCCCTGTCCTCTTCCTCTTCCTACTTTTCCTTTTTTTTCATCTCCTCTTCTCCCTTCCCCTCCATCCTTCATTCCCTTCCTCCTTCCTTTCTTTTCCAGATGTACCTTTAAGAGAAGGGACTAACAAATTCCCTGGAGCTCCAAAAGGGATCACAGAAATTCTTCCAATATTACAGGTATTACTACATATTTAGAAAATTTAGGTGAAACATGCAATTTTATTTTCAAATAATATTAAATTTGTAAATGCATAATGGTTAATTGTAGAAATAATTTTGAATATTTAAAATTTGAGGATTATATGGCTTTATATATTGAGAACTATAGGGACATTTTTCTACCTTTTATGAAGAATATTGTAATGAAGCCCCATTATAATTTACCATTTCCTCATATGCTAGCTTAAGAAACAAAATATTCCTAGTATAGATAAAACTCACCTCCTCTGCTACCCTCTCTTGATCACCTTGCCTTTCCCCTACCTAGGAGTAACTCCTATCCTAAATAATAATGTCTTCAAGATATTTGTATAAAAGATATTTATATAATGCATAGATATAAATGACTTTACTTGGTTTTTAATAACATGCCACCCCCCCTCACATTTATATTTGGGAGCCCCCTGAAATAGAAGAACAAGTGCTAATTTTAAAAGTGTTATTTTATCTATTCTCTTCCATACTTGGTATAATAGATAAAGTCCTAAGAAATGGTACCAGTCAAATGCCATCATGAATGTACAGGAGGACTGTGGGGTCGTTCTGAATTTACTTCCTCAAATGCACGTTCCTCTTCTAATGCTAAGTTTCAGGGGATGCCAACTGAGTACTTTATGCTGTCTTGTGTCTTCTGAAGAGAGCTAGATTTGAGAAATCTTAAATTGAGAACAGAGACTGACATGCATAAGAGATTGAGGTGGCATAATAGCTGTCTGCCAATGTTTTTCCCAGGGATCACTTACAGTGTCTGCTAAATATGCAGCTTCCTATCTCTCACTCCAGACATATGCAATCACAACTTCAGGTGTGAGATTCTTAAAAGTTCCTCCGGTAGATTTTTTTTTTTTTTTTGAGATGGAGTCTTGCTCTGTTGCCCAGGCTGGAGTGCAGTGGCGCACTCTTGGCTCACTGCAACCTCTGCCTTCCAGGTTCAAGCCAGTCTCCTGCCTCAGCCTCCTGAGTAGCTGAGACTACAGGCATGTGCCACCACACCCAGCTAATTTTTTGTATTTTTAGTGGAGGTGGGGTTTCACCATGTTAGCCAGGATGGTCTCGATCTCCTGACCTCGTGATCTGCCCACCTCGGCCTCCCAAAGTGCTGGGATTACAGGTGTGAGCTACTGTGCCTGGCCTCTCTGGTAGATTTTTAAGGACATTAGAGTTTGAGAATCACTGGCTTATGGGCTAGCACTTATTCTCTGAGGCAGAGTAGGGCAGACATAGAAATCCTACCTATAGGTACAAAGTGCTAGATTTTGCCTTGAGAGATAAATTTTCTGGCAATTAAAACCACTATATGAAATGGATTTCTTTTAAGGTGGCAATTTTCCCACAACAAAGAAACGAGACCATTTATGAACTGTTATTTATTTAAATAAGAAAAATGTACCCTCTCTTAAAGATAATTTATTACCATCTGCTGGGAAATCGTCAAAATAAATACAGAGAAGTCTGTGATGACAACAGTGTGAATTTTACCCCCTAAAGTTATGCAATACACAATCTGCTCAGCTGTACTGGGCATATGGTAGACATATTTTCTTTGGCATGGTTGAAGAGCATAGCATTTGGTGTGGAAACCTGTAGTTGAGTCTGGATTCTGATATTGACTATTTGTGTGATGCTGAATGAATTATTTTGTCTTTTTGAGTATAAGTGTCCTCATCTGGAAAATTATAATAGTACCTATTCCACTGAGTTGTTATATAGTTTAAATGAGATATTGTAATGTGGAAACTAGTACCTGGCACATGATAGCTGCTGTTTTTCTCTTATATCTTACGTAAAGCACTGAATCTCAACTTAGGGTTTTTAGACTCACTGAGGGGAATGGAGTTGAGGGGAAAAATGACGGTTTATTGTAAGGAGAATTCGCAATTCATAAGTTCACCCAGCAGAGTCTGTAGGTGGGATAAATTATATAACTTGCATATATGCATGCTACTATTTAAAAAATGTATGAGACACTATTGTGATTAAATGAAAGAAAACTTATTTCAAAGTTTTACTGAACACAGAGCATTTCTTTCTTCAACAAATGGGTTATAAAATTATAACTAATTTGTATCCACCTTATACTGGGCTATGGCAACTAAAAGATTATTAGTAAAGCATTTAGCCCTATACCTGCGACATGTTTTAGTTAAATGTCGACTGTGATGAGGATGATGAAAATCATAAAGATGATGGTGGTGGTAGTGATGGTGATGATGATGATGATAGAATGTGAGCGTGTGGGGTCTTTGAAATTTTTTGATGTTAAAAAGATACCCTGGCTGGGCGTGGTGGTTCACACCTGTAATCCCAGCACTTTGGAAGGCCGAGGTGGGCAGATCACTTAATATCAGAAGTTTGAGACCAGCCTGGCCAACATGGCAAAACCCTGTCTTTACTAAAAACACAAAAATTAGCCAGGCATTGTGGTGCCTGCCTGTAGTCCCAGCTACTTGGGAGGCTGAGGTGTGAGAATTGCTTGAACCTGGGAGGCGGAGGTTGCAGTGAGCCAAGATCGCACCACTGCACTCCAGCCTGGGCAACAAAGTGAGACTCTGTCTCAAAAAATAAAAAAATAAATAAAAGGGATATCTTTTAGAGACTTCTGTTTCTAGCAAAATGGCAAGATGAGCTGAACATCCTCCTGGGAGAAAACACTTAGAGATTTTGGACAGATTTGAACAAATATCCTCAAGCATGTTGCAGAGCTCATGAGAAAGTTGGGTAAATCCCAGGGGCCAAAATAGAAAAGGGAACTGAAAACTAGCATGGTAAGTTTATGAGTAGATGCTGCAGTAGGTTGATGGGCATAGTTTTTATACAAATATACTTAGATTTTTAACCACCATCCAGGGACAAGAGATGAGGCTTGGGCACATGAAAGATGGGGGTTGGAAAGGAGACTCATATGTAAAGTTAGAACCTACAAAAGATTATATCCTAGGAAAAGGTAGACTAGAAAAAAACTCTGGCCTGGGTATGGTGGCTCACGCCTTTTATCCTAGCCCTTTGGGGAGGCCAAGGTGGGTGGATCGCTTGAGCCCAGAAGATTGAGACCAGCCTGGGCAATATGGTGAAACCATGACTCTGCAAAAAAAATACAAAAATTAGCTGGGTGTGATGACATGTGCCTGTAGTCCTAGCTACTTGGGAGGATCGCCTGAGCCCGGGAAATCAAGGCTGCAGTGAGGCAAGATCGTGCCACTGTACTCCATTCTAGGCTGGAGTGAGACCCTGTTGCATAACAAAACAAGACAAAAAACCCTCCCCAAACCCAAAAAAACCCGCCTCTGCCTATGTATATAAGGAGATGCCTCAACTTGGGTAGTGAGAAGAGGAGTGGGTAGGAGAAAATTCCTCCTCCTAATGATTTATAACCTTGGGGCCTGCCCTCAAGTAGGTTTTTAATTTGAATTTACACTACTTGGGTTACTTAA
Source organism: Homo sapiens (assembly GCF_000001405.40). Classification (NCBI taxonomy): domain Eukaryota; kingdom Metazoa; phylum Chordata; class Mammalia; order Primates; family Hominidae; genus Homo; species Homo sapiens. The sequence continues at coordinate 96,551,452 of NC_000012.12, forward strand.
GAACCTTCCTGAGCCTGCGATTCTTGAATGGGTATGTGTGTGTGTGTGTGTGTGTGTGTGTGTGTGTGTGTGTCTGTATGTATATATAGTATAAAATTGTTTATATTCTAGGAATGCCAGGATGATTTAACACTAGAAATACATAATGCAATACATTGCATTAGCTGATGAAAGGAAAACATGTGACTACTTCACTTAGACAAAGAGATGCAAAAAAAGCATTTGATAATATTCAACAACCATCTTCTTTAAAAGCAACCATCCTTTAAAAAAATAACTCTTAGTAGTTAGGAATATACAAGAACCTCTGTATCTAATAAGGGTGGCATCCAAAGACCTTGAGTAAATGCTATACCTATGGTAAAAGATTAAAAGCAGCCCTTTAATAGTGGTATAACCACATAAAGCTATCTGTCATTCTTCTGTTCAGCATGTCCTGGAAGTCTTAGACAGATGGGTAAAAAAAGAAAGCAGAGAAAAGGTGTAAGTACTGTAAAGAAAGTATGAACTTTGGGCTGGGCGTGGTGGCTCATGCCTGTAATCCCAGCACTTTTGGAGGCCAAGGCGGGTGGATCACCTGAGGTCAGGAGTTCGAGACAAGCCTGACCAACATGGAGAAACCCCATGTCTACTAAAAATACAAAATTAGCTGGGCATGGTGGCGCATGCCTGTTATTCCAGCTGCTTGGAAGCCTGAGGCAGGAGAATTGCTTGAACCTGGGAGGCAGAGGTTGCAGTGAGCTGAGATCACGCCATTGCGCTCCAACCTGGGCAACAAGAGCAAAACTACATCTCAAAAAAAAAAAAAAAAAAAAGAATAAAAGAAAGTATCAACTTTGTGTTTATTCACAGACAAGTACAATACATTGCAGCATATTTAGTAATAATAATCTTTTTTTTGTTGTTTTTTGAAACAGGGTCTCACTCTGTTACCCAGGCTGGAGTGCAGTGGCATGATCAGGGCTCACTGCAGCCTCTGCCTCCCGGGTTCAAGTGATTCTCATGCCTCAGTCTCCCAAGTATGTGGGACTACAGGTCTGCACCATCATGCCCGGCTAATTTTTGTATTTTTTGGTAGGGACACGGTTTCACGGTTTTGGCCAGGCTGGTCTTGAACTCCTGACCTCAGGTGACCTCCTGCCTTGGCCTCCCCAAGTGTTGGGGTTACAGGCGTGAGCCACCACGCCTGGCCTTAGTAATAGTAATCTAAATGTCCATTGGCAGAAGAGTGGATAAATTGGGACATATTCCTCCAAGTAACACCATTTCATTGTAGCTGTGAGGATAAATGAACTGGAGTAGGCTTATACTAGAGTAAACTTGGCATCATTGCAATTCCCTTCTATAGTTACCTTCGCATTATAGGGGGGAAACCTGGAACTATATTTCCAGCATCTCATTTCTGTATAGTTTTAAATTAGTCTTCCAATGAGGGGCATTTGCATGAATTTGTAATTCAGAAGAGAAGAGATACTTCTTAATCCATAGTGGCGAATAGATGATATGAGTTTACCAGGCATGCTGAGCAAACTCTTGCAATTCACCTGCTTCAGTGTAGTAGGTGCTTGAGGTTGTTGTCAGCTGCCTCCTAGATTCTTAGGTTCACAGAGGCTTCTGAGCAAACTCTTGAGAATTGCATGAAGCAAAATTGTCACTGGCAGCTTTCCTATCTTGGCTCTTTCATGCCTTGCAATGGTGATGAACACTTCTAATTCTGTGTATTAAGTCTTCTTTTGCTTGAAATATGTAGCGTAGTTTTGTGTTCATAACCAATCCCTGACTGACCCATTGAGTTACATATACCAGCAGGAATAAGTTTCAACAACATATGGTTGAGTTTTAAAAGGAGCCTACAGAGTTTTATAAAAGAGAATTAAAAATATGCAAAGTGATATTGCATATGGTTAAGGATACATACACATGTAGTAAAAGTTTAAAAACATGCACAAAATAGTAAAACCAAATTCAAGGACAGTGGCTACCTCTGGGGCAGAGAAGAGGAGTGGCACTGTGGACAGTTAACTATATATATAGTTATATATATATATAGTAATATATGTATAGTAATATATATAGTTATATATATATATAGTAATATATGTATAGTAATATATATAGTTATATATATATAACATGCATATATCTGTATGCTTTATTTCCTTAAAAAATCTGGAAAAATATGGAAAATTTGAAAGTTTGGGCAAAGCTGGTTGCTCTTTACATTATTCTCTATATTTGTCTCTCTGTGAGAATGATTACATTAAAAAGTGTTTAGTTTTTGAAAATCATGATGTAGACTAATATAGACTGTTGGGTTGATGGACTAAATTTCTAGTCTGAGATTCTGAAATTGTTTTAAAAAATCTTTTTCAAATTAGGTATATGAAAGTGACAAACTATGTGAACTCTTTTAAAAATGTACCAGTACATTTAGTACAATCAGAATTATGCAAACCATAAATGGAAGTTATATATATTAATACATGTTTGTGAAAGGTTTAATTTGTATTTGGAAAAATGGTGAAATTTATTTATTATTGTCACCCATATTGATAGCACTCCACATTTAGTCACAGATAAATACATGTAGTTAGAGACATAACATTGTTAGTGTTAGATAGACTATTTAAATTTCTGTTATGTGGTTTTGAATTATTGTCAAAAATTGGAAGTGTTGCATTTGATTTTCCCTTGTTTTATTTTTCTTTTTTGTTTATAAAATTATTTTAGAAAAATCCTGTGGAACAGTTACTTTTTGCTTATAAACTTCTTGACAGAGCAATCGGTGGAATAAATTTGAATTGCATGTTAACCTCTTTGCCAAATGGATCATCAGTAATTGACCACTGCTATGCCAAGGTAAGAATGGAAGAGTCTTAAATTAGATTGAAGTTTTACTTAACTGGGAAGAAAACTGGCCTTGAAAGTAGGTAAGTAAAGCATGACTTGTGTTGGCTTACCTCTCATAGGCCAGAAATATATTTCCCTCTTCCCAGAAGAGAGCTAGGAGAATGAGGAGTCTTTGAATTTGTTAATGAAGAGGACACTGATGAATTCTAAGGGCATATTTATTAGTGTTTAAGCAAACTGCAAAGGGCTGAGAAGTGAGCAGAATGTAATGGTTACAAATAAGATGATGATAACTTGAGTGATAATAGTATACAGCTATTTTTGTGTGTTTTGATAACTATATTTCTTTTTATTTCAACTCTGTTGGACCAAAGCGTACCCACCATATAGATGGAGATACTTACAAACCACTTGCCTCAAATAGTTTCATGATGGATTTGCATCTTGAACTAATTCAAGCTCAGCATCGAATAGCTGTTGTGCTTCTGGACAAATTGCAAGGTAGTAGTCACTAAAGCAAGTAACCATTCTGAATCAATTTTAAGCCAGACTCCAGTACAGAATCAATTTAATTTGAAAACTGTGTTCTTGTTGACTTAAGTTTTCAGATAAATTTCATTTTTTTCTACTTCCCTAATTAATATCAATAAAAACATAATTAAATCTTTCCTTATTGCTTTACACTTTGCATATTAAATCAGTTAGTAAACTTCTTAAAAAGTTAATTATGTTTATTTGTGTTATAGTAAATTATTTTTTGTTAATTCAACCAAGCAAACATTTACTGAGTACCTACTAAAATCCAGGCATCGTATTAGGCTAGGTGCCAATAAGACAGTCTACTTTTGAGCTTCTAGATGAGTAAGCCAACCATATCAGTTGAGGTTGATACATTTTGTAATAGGGGTGGGCTCAGAGTATTATGGGCACACAGAAATATCTATATCAAATAAGAAAGTCAGAGATGAGTTCCTGGCAGGGGCGTGTAAAGCATTCAAATAATATTGTATATAGAGCTAAATAGATTTATTCAAATGCTGGTTAATTTAAGAGTGAGCAGTGTAGACACACTGCTGATTGGTGCAGGAAGATGAAAAAAATATTTATACTGAGAATTCTAGCCAATGCAAGAAGATAAGAAAAATAAAGATATAAGGATTGGAAAAGAAGAAACAAAACTGTTCTTTCCAGATTATATGATTGTCTACCTAGAAAATGCAAAAGAATCTATCAGCATATACAAAAATAATAATATATAATACATAATATATAATATGTAATATATAATATGTAATTATATTTCTATACAACAGCAGTTAGCAAATATAATAAAAAGACATCATTTTTATATCAAAAAAATCTGTAAGGTACCAAGGGTTTCAATCTAACCAAAGAGCTACAAGTATGCAAAAAATTATAAGACTTTACTGAAAAATGTTAAAGAACTATATAAATGAAGGTAGATTGTGTTTATTGATAAGAAGACCAAATAATCAGAAAGATTATTCTGATTTCAGTTTTATTCAAATAGATCTATAGACTCAATGCAATTTCAATAAAAATTCCAGTAGGATTTTTTTGGGTAGACCTTTACAATCTTTTTACAAAATGTAGGTAGAAGACATAAATAGCTAAGACATTCCTGAAGGAAAAAAAAATCAGGTGAGTGTAGGGGATCTCGCTCTAACATAAGTCAAGATTTATTTCAAAGTGCTAGAATACCTCATATTCATTGGATAATTGGATATCCATATGGATAAAACCAAATTACATTTCTTACCTTCCCATACACAAAAATATCTTCCAGATGCACCAAAGAGTTAAATGTAAAAAAAAAATCTTAAAAACTTTTAGAAGAAGATATGGTAGAATATATTTCTAAGCTTGGAGTAGGGAAGATCTTCTTAAACAAGATTCAAAAAGTGCTGATCCTAAAAGAAAAAAATGAATACATTAATACATTTGGCTGCATTAATATAAATAAATTCTCATCATCAAAAAATTTTAAAGATAAGGAAAGCAAAAAAAAAATAAAAATAAAACCCCAAAACCACACCACACCTAGGAGAAATATTTGCAATTTATATTTCTTTTCTTTTTTTTTCAAATTAAATGCTTTTGCTTTTCCCTTCCAAGTCCCCCATACATTTTTCACAATTGTATTAGTTTGCCATTATTGCTGTAACAAATTACTACAAACTTGAGTGCATTGAAACAACACAAATATGTTATCTTACAGTTCTGGAGTCAGAAACCTGAACTGCAGCTCACTGAGCCAAAATCAAGGTGTCACATGCACATGTATGTTCATTGCAGCACTATTCACAATAGCAAAGACATGGAATTAACCTAAATGCCCATCAATGGTAGACTGGATAAAGAAAACATGGTAAATACACACTATAGAATACTATGCAGCCATAAAAAGGAACAAGATCATATCCTTTGCAGGAACATGGATGGAGCTGGAGGCTATTATCCTTAGCAAACTAATTCAGGGATAGAAAACCAAATACTGCATGTTGTCACTTATAAGCGAGAGCTAAATGATAAGAACACATGGACACATAGAGGGGAACAATAGACACTGGGGCCTTTCTGAGGGTGAAGGGTGGGATGAGGGAGAAGGTCTGGAAAAATAACTAATGGTACTAGGCTTCATACCTGGGTAACAAAATAATCTGTATAACAAACTCCCATGACATGAGTTTATCTATGCAACAAACCTGCACATGTACCCCCGAACTTAAAGCGAAAGTTAAATAATAAAATCAAGGTGTCAACCGAGCTGTATTCCTTTCTGGAGGCTCTGGGGGAGAACTTGTTTCCTTGTCTTTTCCAGCTTCTAGAGGCTACCTGCATTCTTTGGCTCATGACCACTTTCTATCTTCAAAGGCAACGATGACCAATTGAATCTTCCTTCTCATGCCATCTCTTTGTCTAGTGGCAATTTACTAACGATTAGCATGAACAATGTACAAAAATTCCAAAACATCAATAATAAGACAAATAACAAGACAATAAGCAAAAGAAAGAAGGAGAACTTCATAGAAAAGGAAGAAGTTATGGCCAATATAATTATTTTGTAAAGCTAAACATTAATCTAAATTATGACCCAGCAATGTCACTCATAGGTACATACCCTGTAAAATTTCTTGAACGTGTACACCAACTACAGATAGAAGGATGCTTGTAGAAGCAGTGTTCATAATAGCAAAAAACTGGAAACAACCCAAGTGTCCATTAATAGAGAATTGATAAAGAAACTGTGATATATTCATGTAAGGGAATATCACATGGCAATGAAAATGACCAACGTGGATGAATTCTAGAAACATAATTTTTGTTTTAAAACAGTAAGTTTTAAAAGACTACATTCAGTGTGATGGGAGGATGGGGTCAGAAAAAAATAAAATGAAAGACTACATTCAGTAGGATGTTTTAAATCAAGCTCAAAAATGAAAGCTTGGGATTCTTAAGGCTTATTATATATTATATATAATAAGTAACGTAATAATTGATAAAACTGTATATTAAAAAGTGACCTGCATATACATAAATTTATCATATAAGGAAAACTATAGTTATCAGGTATGCAGGTAGTCCATAAAGTCTGGAAACATAGACATATGTCCTTTGAAGACATTATGTATAACTCATCTGCATTTCCAGATTTTATTGACACTCTCTATCTATAAAATTAAAAAGAATGACCTTGAGTTTAGGACAGTGGTTCCTTTGTGGAGGTGGCAGGGAGATGGCGTAGGAAGGAAAAGCATATAGGTAGATGTAAGTTACTGCTAATGTTCCAGTTCTGGTGCTGGGTGGTGGTTTACATGTGTTCATGATATTAATGTGATTTAAAACATACATACATGATAAATATATTTTTGTATTTATAAAATAAAATATTCAAAGGTAATTTAAAAATTGAAAGTTTTCCTAGGTTGACAAAAGAATTAACATTCAACATAGTACTGGAAGTCCTAGCTAGAGCAATCAGACAAGAGAAAGAAAGAAAGGGCATCCACATTGGAAAGTCAGATTATCCTTGTTTGCAGATGATAACCATCTTATATTTGGAAAACCCCAAAGACTCCACAAAAAACTATTAGAACTGATAAACAAATTAAGTAAAGTTGCAGGATACAACTTTACTGGAGGAATCACATTACCTGACTTCAAATTATACTACAGAGCTATAGTAACCAAAGCAGCATGGTACTGGCATAAAAACAGTCACATAGACCAATAGAACAAAATAGAGAACCCAGAAACAAATTCACACACCTACAGTGAACTCATTTTGACAAACATACACTGGAGAAAAGACAGTCTTTTCAATAAATGATGGGAAAACTGGATATTCATATGCAAAAGAATGAAACTAGACCCCTCTCTCTCTCACCATATATAAAAATCAAATCAAAATAGATTAAAGACTTAAATCTAAGACCTCAAACTATAAAACTACTCCAAGATACCATTGGGGAAAATCTCCAGGACATTGGTCTGGGCAAAAATTTCTTGAGCAATACCCCTTAAGAACAGGCAACCAGAGCAAAATGGACAAATAGGATCATATCAAGTTAAAAAGCTTCTGCCCAGCAAAGGATACAATCAGCGAAGTAAGGCTGGGCACTGTGGCTCATGCTGGTAATCCCAGCACTCTGGGAGTCAGAGGTGGGTGGATCACTTGAGGTCAGGAGTTTGAGATCAGCCTGGCCAACATGGTGAAACCCAGTCTCTACTAAAAATACAAAAATCAGCTGAGCGTGGTGGTGCATGCCTGTAATCCCAGCTACTTGGGAGGCTGAGGCAGGAGAATAGCTTGAACCTGGGAGGCGGAGATTGCAGTGAGCCAGGATCACTCCACTGCACTCCAGCCTGGGTGACAGGGCGAGGCTCCATCTCAAAAAAAAATTTAATTATACATTTAAAAATAACTAGAAGAGTATACTTGAATTGTTTGTAATACAAAGGATAAATGCTTGAGGGGATGGATACCCCATTTTCCATGATGTGATTATTATGCATTGCATATCTGTATTAAAACATCTCATGTACCCCATAAATATATACACCTACTATGTACCCATAAAAGTTAAAAATTAAAAAGTTAACTGTGGTAAACTGTTCCCTCCAACTTTTTATTTAACAATTTTTGAGCCTTCAGAAAGTTGAAAGAATAGTGTAGTGACTATCCACATAACCTTCACCTAAATCCACCAATCATGACCATTTTGCCACGTTTACTGTCTTTCTCTTTACATGCACATATAAATATGTATATTTATACATCTATGTATAAACATCTGTAGATGTATATACCTATTATATCAATATCATATTATGTATGTGTAGAGATATATACATATACATGGACATATCCATAGGCTGAGAAGTTGCAGACATTATGATATATTTTACCCCTGAAAACTGTAGCATTTGTCAGCTAATAATGAGGACATTCTCTCAAATAACCATAATACCATTATCACTCTGAAGAAAGGTAACACTGATATAATAATATTATTGATTATATAGTCAATTATTTTTTAGCATCCAATTGATCATTTATTTACTTTTATGTAATGTGATTTTGGTGTCCCGTCTAAGAACTCCTTACCTAACCCCAGATCATGAAGATTTTCTTATGTTTTCTTCTAAATGTTTTATAGTTTTACATTTTTAATTGGTATATAATAATTGTACATATTTATGGGGTACATGCAATATTTTAACACGTGCATACAATGTACAAAACTCAACCCAGGGTAATTAGGATATTCATCATCTCAAACATTTATCAGTTATTTGTGTTGAGAACATCTCAAATCTTCTAGCTATTTTGAAATGTATAATAAATTATTGTTAACTATAGCCACCCTATTGTCCTGTTGAACACTGGAACTTTTTTCTTCTATCTAACAATATGTTTGTACTCATTAACCAATCTCTGGTTATCCCCCTACCCCCAATCCCTTCCCAGCCTCTGTTAACCATCATTCGACTCTCTACCTCCATGAGGTAAACTATTTTTTTTAGCTCTCACATATGTCTGAGAACATGCTCTATTATGCATCTAATTTTCAAATTGCCATAATTGTTCCCAAATATCCTTTTTGGGGAAAATGGATTTTATTTAAAATGATCTAAGAAGTAATCAAAAATCACTTACTGCATTTGGCTGTCATATTCTTCTTCAATCTAGAATAACTCCTCCAACTTCTTTTTTTCTTTCATAACATTGATATTTTTGAAGACATGTTCCACAATCTGATCTTTCCTAGTAGTTTCCTCATAATCATGCAGGTGATGCTGTTTATATTCCATTGTATCACATTAGATTGCATGCATCGGCTATTTGTTTTATTATTGGTGAGGCAAAGTGCAATCGTTTTATTAAGCTGATGTCTGCCAGATCTCTGCATTGTAAATGTCCCTCTCCCCTTTGTAGTGAAAAAGTAATTGGTGCTGTTGGTGATGTAGGAATGAATATCCTGTTCCCCAACAGACTTTCACCCAATGGTCTTACTCCCTCCATTGGTGATCCTTCCTGAATTAATTATTACAGTGGTTGTACGTGATGATTTTCTAATTGAATTATTCCTTCTAGATTTATTTGGTAACATTCTTTTGTAAACAAGAGCTGTCCCTGCTTTGCCTCTTTTAATTTTTTGAGTAACACTATGGATCAGATTCCTTTTTTACTAATCTTTTAAAGTCACTTGCCATCATTGTTCTTTGTGATGCTCAAAGTCATAAATTTTGCCAGTGGGAGGGAGGCCCTTCACACTGGATCCTGTGTTCCTTTGATATGTCCCTGATTTGGTTTGGCTGTTTCCCCACCCAAATCTCATCTTGGATTCCCACATGTTGTGGGAGCAACCCGGTTGGAGGTAATTGCATAATGGGGGCAAGTCTTTCCCATGCCGTTCTCATGATAGTGAGTAAGTCTCACAAGATCTGATGGTTTTATAAGAGGAGTTCCCCTCCACAAGTTCTCTCTCTGCCTACTGCCATCCATGTGAGATGTGACTTGTTCCTCTTTGCCTTCTGCCATGATTGTGAGGCTTCATTAGCCACATGGAACTGTAAGTCCATTAAACCCCTTTTTCTATATAAATTGCTCAGTCTCAGGTATGTCTTTATCAGCAGCATGAAAACAGACTAATACAGCCCCCATTATTCTTTGAGATTTTTTTTGCTTTCTGTGCAACAAAATATTCTTGACCTATCTTTTGCTTTCTCTACCCCCAGATCTGGAATAAGCTATTTTTCCAATGATATTTGGTACCTTTTGCTAGGAAATGGTATTTAGAAACCAAGATCTGTAAGCTAAGAGTGCTCATTGCTATTGAGATGTCAATGGCTCCTTTTAGTAGATAGAGCTAAGAAATACACACACACACACACACACACACACACACACACACACACACATGTATATATATTTAAATCACAAGTTCTTTTTTTTTTTTTTTTTTTGAGATGGAGTCTTACTCTGTCACCCAGGCTGGAGTGGTGCGATCACCCAGTGGTGCGATCTCAGCTCACTGCAACCTCGGCCTCCTGGGTTCAAGCAATTCTCCTGTCTTAGTTTCCCAAGTAGCTGGGACTACAGGCATGTGCCAACATGCCCGGCTAATTTTTGTACTCTTAGTGGAAATGGGGTTTCACCATGTTGGCCAGGCTGGTTTTGAACTCCTGACCTCAAGTGATCTGCCTGCCTCGGCCTCCCAAAGTGCTGGGATTACAGGTGTGAGCCACTGCGCCTGACCACAAGTTCTTTTTGATATCTCCAATTCTAACACTAAAAGGTTTCTCCTCACCTTCTCCATTTTTGTATTTTCCTTCTCCCATATTGAGCATTCTGGTTCGTAACAACATCAATGTAATTACTCATTTGTTTTATCCTGGCAAATTAACAAATTACTTTCAAAATTATTAAACCAATACCACTATTAAAAACCTACTAAGTAAATTAAGGATTTCTTTGCAGTTCATTTTGTCTCTAGAAAATGTCATACATCAGAGAACTGTGTCCAAATTTACTTGAATTCTATTTTTAATTTTTTTTTCAATTTGATACATACTTGTGACCCTTTTTTTGTATTTGCATTCTTTTTTTTTTTTTTTTTTAAGACAGTCTCCCTCTGTCACCTAGGCTGGAGTGCAGTGACGTTATCTCAGCTCACTGGAACCTCTGCCTCCGAGGTTCAAGTGATTCTCCTGCCTCAGCCTCTCAAGTAGCTGGGACTACAGGCATGTGCCACCACACCTGGCTAATTTTTGTATTTTTTTTAGTAGAGATGGGGTTTTGCCATGTTGGCCAGGCTGGTCTCGGAACTCCTGACCTCAAACGATCTGCCCACCTTGGCTTCCCAAAGTGCTGGGATTACAGGTGTGAGCCACTATGCCCTGCCTGTATTCTGTTTATATAAAATTTCCTTTTTTCCCCATCCTTTTATTTTTTTATACTCTTCATCTTTTTACATTTTATTTTAAACATTTACATAGTTTCAAAAACTACTTCTCCTATGACCTGCTGGGTGTAGAGGGAAGCAAGTAATAATTAAAATATCTCTGTGTCATCATGTATAAATTGAAAATTTGATAAAGTTTTTTCTAATACATAAATGAATTACTTAGCATAATAATCTTGAACATGTTTTGGGCTGAAAATATTTGGTTTAGAAATATGTTTCAAAATGTAAATAGAATTTTTGTGTCAGGTTTTAAGAAACTAGCCCATGATTCTCACATAGTAACTGTATTATTTCCTTTAGTGGAGGATTAGAGTTTTTTTTTAAACTCATGGAGTTCCTAATACCTCGTTCTCTAATTGTCATCCATAAATCTTTGAAGACCAAATGAGTTTTGATCATAGACCACTTAAAGATATTGATGCAAGACTTGAGTTCAGATGTAAATGGAATTAGTTATTATTTCCTTGCAATATCTCTGGGTTTCCTTGAATTTTTTCTTGGCTTTATTGAATTGCCATCCTAGCACAGCTGATCACTTTGTTCCCCTACCTTGTCTTTCTTTAGCATGCTGTTGCCAGACTGATGTTCCCTACATTAGCATTCTTATTCAATAATGGTTGCCTGTTGATGTCCATGACATAAATATGATGCATCTGTATTTGGCATTCAGAATTTTTTTGCAGTCTCATCCTTCTTATCTCCAACGATTATAATCAGGAAAGCTTAATTAGCATTTATAATATCCTTGGTATTGAGAGAATGATGCACTATTTTCTGCTCTGCATTGCTATCTCCATGCAGATGTTTCCTTACCCTTTGCCACTGCAGATGCCTTCTATTCTTCAATGGTGTATGTTAACATCTTTTCACGAATCAATTACTATCACATGGTGGCTCATGTGCATTAGCACAAATAATTAAAACTCAGTAAAAGGGGTTTATTGTAAGGTTACTATAGCTACCCTCGCATATCTCCAAGGACCAAAATACTACCAGGTCTCTTAAGCACCAGACCTGAAAATCAAGAATCAGTGCTACAGTTTCCATCTCCCTGGGCTAGTATAGTTGTATATAGTTGTATCCTTTTTTCCCCTCATCCACATTCCTGTCTTTACTGAACCACCATGATGGTCAGTCCCAATTGTATACCAGTATCAACAACTGGCAAGTTCATGTTTTAGTTCAAAATCTTGAGACAGGCTCTGATTTCATCAGCCACAGCTGGAAGATAGTGGAGGTCTTCGTGTGTTACCCAGAGCTCTTAAAGGGACCTTGGATGAAACAGTTTTTCTAGAAGGGGTGTTGAGGACAGAGTTTGACAGCTTATTGGTATTGGTATCAGGACTTGCCATCTGTACTTCTGTGAAAAGGTAAAGTCAACAGAAGTAGGTTGGATTCTATCAATCCTCAGGATGACTTTATTCAAGATGAGATAGAAAATCAAATATTTTTATAATTTGGAATTTCTTCTGTCCTGAGGTATACTGTGGCAAATAAAAGAGGATTTGATAAAACTGCATTATAGTAGATTTATATGAATTTTTATCTATTAATGAAAAAAATGACATGACAGAGGAAGCAGTAGCTTTATGAATAGTTACTCCTTAGTATTTAAAAAATATTTCCTCTCTTGGATACATACTTAATTGTTATGACAGTCGTCTTCTTCTTCAGTTTTGCAGACTCCAACTGTTAGCAAAGATATTTCTACCAAGGGTCCGGAAAAGTTAAAACAATCTGGAAGCACTGATTGTTTTACAGGTAATTAAAATTGGGATAACTGGTATTTCCAAAAAATTTGGAAGATAGTTTTTAATCTCACCTTTTTGGTAAAATGTTTGTTTTTATAGAATTAAATATAATGAATAAAATAAAGAAGAATACATTATCCAAAGCAATTTACTTAATGCAGAAAGCTCTTTTAATATTCGAGAAAGATGCAACTTCTACATCTTCATGGGAACTTTTGATGGTAACAGTATTTCATTTCTTCTTTTAATCCTGACATAAAATTTCTGTTAAAATGAATGATTCATTTCCTTTATTAAAAATAATGTGTTGCCCTTAACATTTAATTATGAACTTTCAGATTCACTATATATAATTCATCCTGACCAGGGGAACTAATTCGTACCTCCAGTTCTGAATTCTGAAATGAGAGATTCTCTTTTTATCAGAACTTCATGCAATCTACATGAGAAGACAAATAAAATCAGAAGGACTCAAAATGAGGGAAATTATAGAATTGGAGTGACACTTTACCAGCTTAATGTATTCTTTACAATGGAATTAAAATTCTTAAAGTCCATTGGCTGAGGTACCTTCTCTCTTAGATAGATACTGCTAATTTATGGACCAATCCCCTTGTTGATATTTTTAATCGGGTCTCACTCTGGCCTGGAAATTCTTCTGCCTTCTTGCTAATTCATTATATGTTGATTTTATGTGTTTATTTTTTGAGACAGGGTCTCACTCTGTCAACTAGGCTGGAATGCAGTGGCGCAGTCCTAGATCACTGCAGCTTTGAACTCCTGGGTTTAAATGGTCCTACCACCTCAGCCTTCCAGTGGGTGGGACTACAGACATGCCACCATGCCAGAATATTAAAAAAAATTTTTTTTGGTAGAGTCAGACCCTTAGTATGCTGGCATTGGCTGAGTGAATGATGTATGAAGATGTACAGAATAATGCTATGTCTTGGCTGATAAGAGAAGGAAAAAAGTAGGTCAAAGCTAGGAGGGGGATATGGAGCTAAAGGGGTTTAATGAGAAAATTTAGCATAATAGTATGCTAAAAATGAAGTGCCAGAACAAAGAGAAATTGAAGATAATAAGAGGGAAAGGTTAATACACAGAGCCAAGGCCTATAGAGGATGATTTTGAAAGCACAGATAAAGGGATTCATCTTCAATGATGGGTGGGCTGCAGGGCAGACACCTCATCTTTTGATACAGAAGGGAAGGAGGAACAGACAGATGTAGATAAGAAAAGTTTGTTGGTGTGAAGGCAGGGAGTTGAGTTGATGCCTTTTGATATGCTTTGACTGTGTCCCTACCCAAATCTCATCTTAAATTGTAGTTCCCATAATCCCTATGTGTTGTGGGAGGGACGAGGTGGAGATAATTGAATCACGGGGGAGGTTTCCTCCATCCTGTTCTCATGAAAGTGAGTTAGTTCTCGCAAGATCTGATAGTTTAATAAAAGGCTTGCCCCTTCACTGGGCACTCATTCTCTCTCCTGCTGACATGTGAAGAGGATGTGTTTGCTTCCTCTTCTGCCATGATTGTAACTTTCCCAAGGCCTACCCAGCCATGCAAAACTGTGAGCCTCTTTTAAATCTCTTTTCTTTATAAATTACCCAGTCTCGGGTATGTCTTTATTAGCAGTGTGAGAACAAACTAATACACCTTCTTACCTCTGTCGGATGCAGTGGGAGGCAAGGATATCTGCCATCAATGGAGCATGAGGGTGGAAAATTGAACTGGGAAAGTAAAGATAATGTGGAGAGTGGGGAGGAATGGATGAGGGAGTTGACTCCAAGTAAAGGGACTGGCCAGCATCACTAAGTTCTAGCTGAAGTTGGAGACCAAGAATTTTTAGACATCTTGATCCGTATGGTGGTATGACATTATCCTGATGTGGTGTTCTTAATGACAGCAGAATATTTGTGACAGCAGACATTTGTGGAGGATTAGATTTTTTTTAAAAAAAATGAAGGTATGAGTTAAAAGTTTATGGCTTTAAAAACGTGGATACAGATTGAGTAGGGAGGGAAGGCATGAAGGCATTTAAAGACTTGGTGTCTATGGAAATATCAAGAGACTGGACATCTTTATGAGGTCAGGTCAAGGACCAGAAAATGAGGGTCTGAGGGAGCTAGAAGGATAGGTGTTTGAGGTTAGAAAGTAGAATACTGAAATTCAAGATTCCTGGTATGTAGCACTTACTTGTTATCTGTCAATCTATTCATCCATCTAACAAATAATTTTGATCCATTTCGCAATTATGTATTGGAAGTTCACTATGTGCCTGGTAGTATGCTGAGTATAGAAGGGGGGAATCTTTTATTTATTCAACAAATATTGATTGATTTACCTTCTTTTTGTGGTTCTGCCTTTGTGGTCCCTGGATTTATTCATATAAAAATCCAGTCTGTGGAAACATAGACAAGTAAATATATGCTTTAATTGCAAGAGGGCTAGGGAAAATTAACAGGGGAGTACCTAACTCAATAGTGGGGAATGTTTAAGGAAACATCCAGGAGAAATCACGTGAAGTTGAGTGCTGAAAGACAGATGGCTTGAATTTGAATACTGAAAGAGCCAGAGAAACAGGAGCGCAAACAGTAGAAAGGACATTCCAGGCAGAGAGAACAAATGTGCCAAGGTCCCAAGGCGAGAAATGTCATAGAGTGCTTGTAGTTCTACAGGTCATTCTGTGAGACAGAAGCTTAGATGCAATAAGGGTAGGAGTCGGGTGGGGGAGAGGATAGTAGCACGGGAGACCAGAGAGGAAGTAAAGATGTGTTCATAAGAAGTATTTTTCGCCAAGCTAAGAATTTTGGATGGACAGATGCTATCAATGTTCAAGGTGAGGAAGTCTGTCCTGGGAGTATTAGGGAAGAGCCTGGTTAAATTTGAATTTCCAGAATTTGAATGAGGAAGTTGGATGGTGGTGTTGGGTGGTCTGAGATCACAAGGCCAAGTGGTGTCTGGTCTTTGCTGGAAGACTTCGGGGTTGTGTTCAGATCCATTTTCTCAGCTGATGCTTCCATGGCTGTTTGCTATTGTCTAGTGCTTGGAGGACATTGGTACTTCAGTCCTATTTTTATGGCAAATAAACCTTATCTTTATTTTAGAAATATTGGTCTTACTACTAATCTTGGGTCTTCTTAGAGCCTGAAGAGAGGTTTCCTCTTGTTTTATGATGACTGAATCTGGTCTTTGTACTGCCATAGTGTGCTGGTTCCCCTGTATGTGTCTGCCTCCCGCCACTGAGACCAGGGAACATACCGGGACTGAGATACCTGGATGTCTCAAGTTTCCAGTGTGGGCAGGAACATCTTCTTTGGCCACCTCTGCTCCTCAGTGGTAGTTTTTATCCAAGTGTTAAGGCTTAATGATCAATCCCTAGGGTACTCTCTTAAACAATGATGTTATGGCTCAAACATTTGGACCAGAACAAATGAAGAAGCTCAGGGGTACTGGAAGTTCTAAGGAATTTTGGCTTTAATATTTCCCAAACTTATGTCTTGATGTCTCCTAAATACCAGTCTATTAACTGTGTTAGCAGTAATTGGATTTAATTATTTTTCCTATTTTGTAGCATTTCAAGTCAAATCAGTTCTATTTGCTTTTTTTTTTTTTTAGGGAGGGAAGAATATACACGGACGATTTTCTTTTTTCAGAGATCTTCTCAGCTCTTTTTTTGTTTTCTTTTTTAAAAAATGTAAAATTTACAAAATTTCTTCTATTTTTTAAAAAATGAAACTATTTTAATTCCAGAAAAAATTATGAGTATAATGTCCTATTAGGATAGACTCTTGAGATGCATTAAGAGGCTCTATTTTTTATGAGGAGCCCTCTAAAGAATTTTCACCAACGAGGAACATGTCGAATATTTATTTAGAAGTCCTGAAATCTTCTATAGCCATGTCTGCTCCTCAGTGGTGGTTTTTATCTAAATGTTAAGGCTTAATGATCAGTCCTCAGGGTACTCTCCTAAACAATGATGTTATGGCTCAAATAATTGCCAAACTTTCTTTCTTTTTTAAAGAAGACAAATACATTTATTTCCCTTGGCAATCATTCTCAACTGGGGTACGTAACAGAATGTTTTACAATATCATGATCTTGTAACAAAATTATCCCCAAATCAGTAATTGATGTGTCACCTGATATCATAAAAAGGTTTGAAAAGCCTGAGTCTCTTTAGAACTCTTAAATAATTCATATCCTGTCTCTGTTTTTCAGAAATTTTCTGACTCTGTGGATCTGGATAATCTCATCAGGTGTCTGTTTTATTTCTAATCAATTAAGATGGACCAATTTATTCCCACAAATGAGGGACAAACCTTTGATAATAACTCATTAGCTTCCAAGTGAGATGACTGGCTTTTTTTTTTTTAATTATGGGGATTCATTTTTCCATTTTCTTGTCTTGGTTATTTGACCTCTGGAAGTCCATTTTGGCTGTTTATATATTATTCCATAGGATTATATTAAAGGATTGCACCTAGGATCCATACTGGATGTCCTTCATCTTCTACTTCTGGTCAAATATAGTATCATTATGTGGCTTATGTCATTGCTCTTAGTCCACTAACAGAACATTCAGTGTCTTTGTAGATGTAATTTCTCATAGAAAGAGGCAGAAATGCTCCTCCATCCAAGTGTTGGCGGTTTTG
Source organism: Homo sapiens (assembly GCF_000001405.40). Lineage (NCBI taxonomy): Eukaryota > Metazoa > Chordata > Mammalia > Primates > Hominidae > Homo > Homo sapiens. The sequence goes on from NC_000012.12 coordinate 96,569,199, forward strand.
AGGATGCTGTTGTTTTCTGTACAGCATCCATTTCCCCTTCCAAACTCATCTTTTGAGAATTTCTTTTTCCGTATCAGATGTAATCAGGTGGGACTGGTCCTCAAGAGGAAAACTAATGATGCCACCTGGGCCAGTTGACTGCTCCTTCCAGTCTTGAGTAGAGGGATACAAAGACTAAAAGACCTTAGTTTTGTACACCCTAATGTAGAAAATTATTGCTTAGGAAAATAAGTTTGTCTTCTCTAAGGAAATGTTGGCAATTCATTCATCCTCATAACTGTATTCTGATTACACCATTATAACTGTGTTTCGTAGACCCTCCTTCCTCTCTGGGGCTACTTTTGTCCAAGCCAGGTTTTCCAGTTGTTTCTCTTGCAAAGAAACCCAGTTGTTTCATCTGGTTTTCTTCTAGTACTATTTGTAGGAACCTAAACAAATCTGTAGTTGAGATCATTTCAACAATTCCAAATTCCACTCTAAGCAAAGGAGCATTATGATTTAGCAGGTTATTGTTTATAATCAACACAGAATCTAATTTATGGTACCATTTTGGACCAGAACTAACGAAGAAATTCAGGGGTATTAGCAGTTCTAATAACCTCTGGCTTTAATACTTCCTGAATTTATTTCTTGATATCCCCTAAATACCAGTCTATTAACTATATTAGCAGTAGTTGGATTTAATTGTTTTTCCTATTTTGTAGCATTTCAAGTCAAATCAATTCTATCTGATTTTTTTTTAGGGGGGAAGAATATACATAGGCCTTTAAAAATTTATTTTTATTTTTATTTATTTATGAGACAGGGTCTTGCTCTGTCAGCCTGGCTGCAGTGCAGTGGTGTGTATGGCTCACTGCAGCCTCGACCTCCTGGGTTCAGCCATTCTCCTACCTCAGCCTCCTGAGTAGCTAGAACCACAGGCCCATGCTACCATGCCTGGCTGTTTGTATTTTTTTGTAAAGATGCGGTTTTGTCATGTTGCCCAGCATGGTCTCGAAATCCTGGGTTCAAGGGGTCCGCTTTCCTCAGTCTCCCAAAGTGCTGGGACTACAGGCATGAGCCACTGTGCCCAGCCTCAGCTCTTTGTAATTGTGTGCTCAAGTCTTTTTTTCTTTTCTTTTTTTTTTTTTTTAAATCAATGAGCCAACTTCTAATTCTGACCCCTCCTCTTATGAGGCCATGTTTTGACTCCCAGGCTTCAAACTGCTAACAGAATATTTAGCATATCTACATTTTGGATTTTTTTTCTCTTTTAAGTGATTTAAGGGTATTGCATAGGAAACTTAATCCAGGTTGCCTTTCCAAACTTCTTTTAACTTAGTTTATTAAGACAAGATAGCATAGTGGTTAGGAGTATAAGGATCTTGGATTAGAGTTCTGGTTCTACCAGTGATTAGCTGTATGACCTGTCAAGTTATTTATGCTCTCTTAAGATTCAATTTCTTCATCTGTGAAACAGGGATTCTTGGGAAGATTCAAGTAATGATGCATATAAAATGCTTAGTGTTCAGAACAGAGTAAGCAGTCAATAAATGTTAGCCATTATTATTATGATTACTCTGCTTTTCATTCAGTTTTGTCATATCAGAACTATTATTATTTCTCTTTCACTTTAAGCACTCTGAGACATTCTGTTTGAACTACTTTTTGGTGCTTTATATGTATTTTCCTCCATCAGACTACACATTTCTTTCTGTATTTTCTCTTAGATTTATCTTATTACTTGTATATTTTATTCTAAGCAATATTCCTTCTCAGGATTCTTGGATATGACTTAATCTACTTTTCATCTTTTTCTGCAATGTACATTATAATGTTGAGAACCCAGAATATACCTCAGGGAGGTCTACCAGATATGTAGGAAATATGGTACTTTATCATTCCAGTCCTGTGATAGTTGATTACATATGTCTTAGTCACACCCTCAAGATTCCATTGCATCTTTCCATTAGTGTTTTGCTGCACTGTGGGCATCAAGCCTGTGTCAAATGTATTTAACATCAATCTGTCCTCATAAGCATTGAGTAACTTCTGAAGAGAGGCAGGTTTCATTTTCTCTAAGGGAAACTATACGCAGAGAAATTTACATTCAGACAAAAATACTTTGGACTTCAATACTGTGGTTTTGGTGGCACATTGCAGTGGAAACCACCATTGAAAGAACACCTTAGAGCTTATTTTTATTGTGAGTTGGTGGGCAAGTCCCTTTCCATCGAGATTTCTTGGCTGAGTCCCCGTGATAGGTAAAGGCTTATTTCTTTTTTCAAAGTTACTGAACCTTTCTAATTTGCTAGGCACTGTGGTAGGTAGTATAAGATGTGAGGATATAGTTATTTTTCATTATTGATACGTCATGGAAAGTCTACTTCTTGACCTGTGATTAGAGAATGGTTTATCTAGGTTTTGCAATTGTAATAGGTTGGTGTTCTAGAGCACTGCTATTATAGACAACATTCAGGTCCATATTGATAACACTTTCTCATGACTAAGTAGTATTGGTTTCATGGGAATTTTTCCTTCTTGATTTTTTTTGGGGGATTTTCTGATGTTACTTCCCTTTTTTCTAGTTGAAGAACCCCTTTAAAAAGCCCCAGGCACTTTCTCATAAACAAAATCTTATTAGCAGCTCAATGAATTGGCTGCCTTAAATTAGGATTCTAGTTTTTAACTAGCCTTAGGGTTTGCCCTGAATTCTGTTATGGAATTTATCTGATTTACCTAAATCAAGGGCTTTGTTATAAACTTTTCTTTTGTCACCATTCACTTAAAACTTTAATACTTCTGTTAACCTATTTCAAATTGGGCCATGGGATCTGAGTTAGGGGTCTAAAGTTAAAATTGATCAAGAGCCAATCAGAACATTTTAAATATGCCATCTTAAAAGACACTGTAATAAAGATTACCCTTTTCTTTCATAATTTTGTGTGTCTTATATTCCAAACACATTGACTGAACTTAAAGAGATAAACAAAGCACTGTCCTTCCTGCCAAGACCAGTGTTTAGAGGGTGTGGACAGGCAAGTACAGAGGTAACATATTATGTAATACCTGCTAAAATAAAGATACTATGTAATGAAGGAAATGGCTTATTTAAATACATGGGCTATCTTGGAAGATGTCAGAGGAGGTGACATTTGTGTGGATCTTAAAGCAGAGAAGAGGACGTGAGATGCTCCAGAAAGAATGAAATGCGTGGGCAATTCTGAGGCGTGAAATAACAGCATTTTAGGGAATGAGTGATTTTTTTTTTTTATGGTTTCAGAGGTTAGGTTGAACAGAGAGGTAGGTATGAGAGAGAGAAAGAGTAGAAAGGGGGATAAGGCTAGAAAATGTAGTCATGATCAGAATGAAAAGGGCTTTGGAAAAGTTTGCACTTTATCTGGCAAGTATTAGAGGAGGCATTGAAGGACTAGAAGACTGGAGGTTGAAGAGACTAGAAAGAGACTGGGAGAAAGGCAGGAGGGAAAAGGAGATTTACTCACCTGAATCTGTGGTTCCCAGTTCTTGCTGTACTTTGGAATTATCCTTGGTGTTTGTAAATAATACAGATGTTCAAGCTCCACTCCTGGAGATTTCTATTTTGGGGTAGAAATGGAGCCTTCTGATTTTTAAATAAACTCCATAGATGATACTGATCAACAGCCCAGTTGAGAAATGTCTATGTTATAGCCATGGCAGAACACAGAAAGTTTTTTTTACCTCAGTTGGATTCATTGATGTGCAGAAAGAAGATGCAAGAATTAAGTCAGAAGGTGCTAGTGTTCAATTGGTTCACTGAATCAGGAACTACCAAGGCAAATTTTGAGATCAAATTTGGAGCCCAGAGAGGCTGGCTGGTCAGTGGAGATGGAGGTCAAAGGCAGTCTGCTTGACTATAAGGGCCAGTGGGCCAGTGCTGCTGGTATATTTTACAGGCTCCAGACATAATCCCGAGGAAGGATATGTCTCCAAATTTCCAAGGGAAGTGGGGGCATTGGTCTCCTTTCCTTGTTTTGCATAATTTTTCCTTAGGCTGATTTTGTCTGTTCTTATGTAACCTGAAATATCTTGGTCTCTACAGCCTGTGATGCGAATGAAGATACATTAATGTTTAATGTTCAAAATATAATAGCGTTTTATCTCCTTTTTGTTCAGGTAGGACTTTCTTCCCTCAAAGTTTTTCCACAGCTACCTGGGGAAATCCACTTATCTTTTCTGTCTCTGGCCTCTTCCTCATCAAGCCTCTCACCTTTTGTTACCCTTCAAGGGAGTCCTGTTCTGTGGTACATTCGTCCCCTCAGGGAGCCAAAGCTGCTCTGTTGTCTATGGAAGAGGGTGAAGAGGGAATGAGCCTCTGCCCAGCCCTGTGCTGATTGTGTGCTCTGGGCCTCACTGGCTCTTTTACGGCCTTTTATGACATTGCTCCCTCACCATCTAGCCCTGACCCTTTTGTCCATCCATTTGTTATAATTTTTAAAAATTAGTTTGGTTGAATGAGTGAAAAAGTGGAGGCAATGGAGGAAACAGATGTCATCTTATCTCCTTGATTCATTCATTCAGTGATTCAAACAGTTACACTGATACCTCATATGTGTATATAAATTAGCTTTTAGGTCTAAATACGGAAGGACTGGTATGCAGGCTCTAGAAACATGGTTACCATGTAACACTTCCCTTCCCATACGAAGGAATGGTTGTCTTTGCAGATGCCTAAGATTCTTGACCTGCATATGCAGAAACATTTCTCAAGGCCTCCTGGCACTGAACAAGTGGAATTAAAAAACTATTCATCATCGTGGATACATTTTAATCACGATTAATGATTTTAGACCTTAATGTCAACCATTTCCAATAAAAAAGAAAAATGAGAAGTTAATTCTGATCTCAATTTCGACCAGGCTTCATTATTTTAGAAAAAATATATGATGTTATAGTTTTATAATCTCTGCTCCTACAGGGAGCTGGTTTCCTCACTCAGCTTTAAATATGACTCCAACGCGTACTCAGATCCTATCTCCAGTTTTTTACCTTCCCTTTTGAGCTTGAGGCTCAGGTTTCCAAATGGAAACTTCAACCTCAACATGTCTTCTGTAGGAGAAACAGCACAGGTTTTTTTCTGTCAGAATGAAATACATTTGAAATTTGGTAGACAGACATATTGTCTTTTCATTTCCAGGATCTCTTCTCTTATGTTTGTTGAATTAACTAGAACTTCCAGAATAAAATGGAATAGTGGCATTCTTTCTGGCTTTTATTGATAATTCTATTAGTGCTTCACTCTTAGCACTAAGAGTCCTATTTTGTGCTAGTAATATTTTGGTTATTGGCTAAAATTAATATTTTTAAATAATGCTAAAAAGAGCTTTTCTAATTTATTGACTTAAAAAAATCTGTAATGAATGTTAAAAAATGTTTGAAATGTCTTTTTGGCCATTGAGCACTATGATCATGTTTTTTCTCATTTAATTTATGGATATATTAAATTATATTTATATACTTCCTAATGTTAAACTGTCCTTGCATTCCTGGGAAAAAGACAGTATTATTACAGTTCATTATTTTGTTAGTATATTGTTAGAGTGAATGTATTAGTATTTTATGTATTTTATTTAAGGTGTCTGCATTTGTATTTGTGAAATGACTGGTCTGTGTTTTTATGTGTAGTTGTTTTTCAGACGGTTATCAAAGTTAAAATAGTTTTATAACATTATTTGAGAGGATATCTGTTTCTCTCTGTATTTGGAAACATTTAAAATGGCATAGGAATGATCAGTTCTTTGAGATTTAAAATATTTTGTTTATGAACTCATTTGAGCCTGACACTTTTATATGAAACAATTTTTGGGTAACATTTCTAGTTTCTTTGAACATTATTATTTCTGTGTTTAGGTTCCTGCTTTTTGAGTCAGTTTGCTGATTTTGTATTTTCATCCCTAATGACTAATGACGTTGAACATCTTTTCATGTGCTTATTGGCTATTTGTGTCTTTTCTGGAGAAATGTGTATTCACATTCTTTGCCCATATTTAAAAGGAGTTATTTTCCTTTTTATTATTGAGTTATAAAAATTCTCAGTTATAACAGTGTATATAAGTGCTGAATACAAGTCTTTTATCAGATACATGATTTGAAAACATTTTCTCCCATTCTGTAGGCTGTCTTTTCACTTTCTTAATGGTATCCTTTGAAACACAAATGCTTTTGATTTTGATGAAGTCCACCTTATCTACTTTTTCCTTTGTCAGTGTGCTTTCGGTGTTCCAGAACACTTTAAGTGAAAGCGTAATAATAATAATAGTTCTGATATGGCAAAACAGAATGTTCCAGAGTGCTTAAAATGAAAGAAAGAGGAGGAGGAGTAGTAATCACAATCATAATCATAATCAATGTCTAACATTTATTGACTGCTTACTCTGTTCCAAACACTAAGCATTTTAAATGCATCATTGCATTGAATCTTCCAAACACCATTGTGTAACTCAAGGTCACAAAGATTTGGTCATATATTTTCTTCTAAGGGTTTTATAATCTTAGCTCTTACATCTGAATGCATATTTCATTTTAAGTTAATATTTGCCTATGGTGTGAAGTAGGAGTTGAACTTTATTCTTTTGCATGTAATGTCCAATTGTCCTAGCACCATTTGTAGAAAAGACTATTCTTTCTTTATCAACACTTTAATTTTAATCTTTACATGGGTTTTTACTTAGAGCTCAGTTAGAGAGTCTTTGCCTTTTAATTTAAAAGGAATTGTAACCCATTTACATGCATTATTATTATTGCTTATGTATTTAGCCCTACTTTTGAAATGTTATTTAGGTCTGATTTTTATATTTCTCTTTTGTTTTATGTGTTATCTCTCTGCATATAACCTTTTTAAAAAGTGGTTGCCTTTCCATCAGCTTCACAGAATATGGTTTTTCTATTTTATTTCTTCTTGCTGATAAAAAGAAACTCTCAATAATATTTATTTCATAAACCACATATACCAATATTCTTATTATTTGAGAGTCACACTTCAGCTGAATTAGGGTAGCTGTGTAATTCATCAGCATAAATGCAGATGATTATGGTATGAACCTTTTAGGGAAAATGAAATGTGGTAGATATTCAAAAGGTTCAATTTAAAAATGTACTACCTCATATTCATGTATGATAATAATGATAAACATATAAGATACACAAATATAATGCCATTGGTGATCATGATTAACCTTATCTAGTAGGCATCTTTTACTTTTGCAAAATCATTAAATAGTTGAAATATATATGTATATATTTGAGCCTCTGAGGCTTGAAAAACTGCATATAAAAATATAACATTGTTTAACATCACTAGAATTCTATAAACGTAAATAGAGTTCAAGCTCTTGACATATATTTTTCTATTTTCATATTTCATTATAGGAAGCATATTCCTTAATTCAGAGGATTGAAGCTGAACAAAATGCCCTATATTCCTATCAGAAATATTTGGAAAGTTCAAAAAGAAAGAAAAGCAGAGTCCCCCCTCCACCTATCCTGCTGTCTCGAACTCATTGTTCTGTGACACTCAAACCTGCTCCATTTACTTCAGAGGTTAAGGTATGGTGTCCAGTAAAATTTTTGCCTCATGCAAAGCAACATAAGTACTTTTATAACTACCATGATTCATACTTTGATTGCTTTTAGGAACTGGATAGTCTTATTCATAAGCACTGAACACTGGATTAATATTCCAATGTCTTATCTATACTTAGTTTCTCCATGACTTGTTGCCCCTTATGCTGTTATATTTATGATATGCTCTGTATTGCATTGCTATACCCAAATATATTGTTAGGAGAAACAGTAGAGAAGCACCTCCTTGTAAGTATCCTTGTCACCATGACACACCATATGCTGACATCCTCGTGTGCTCAAGATGGAAGTCTCACTTGAAGTGGAATCAGACATTTGAAGAGGGTAGAAGTTACTTCAGAGCCAGTGATGGTATGAGGCAGCAGAGTGTGTAAAATTTAGGGGTGATGAGTCTAGAGGTTCTGCCCAAAGTCCTTCCAAGTAACTGTAGATTCTTTCAACACAAGCAAAGGACAATTCCAACCATATTATAAACCATACATCTTTGTGTATTTATTGGAAGGTGAGCTTTTTCTCCCATCCCTGATGCCTCAGAACTTGGCCTATATGTGACTAAAACTTGAGATTCAGTTTCTTCACAAGAATTTGGTTCTACCTAATTTATATTTTACAAACTACACTTTCCTCTTTGGGATGATCAACAACATGCTCTTTGATGTTACATAAAAATAAAGTTTTATCTTTGTATCTTTGATTCTCTTTAGGATGTTCTGCTTGAAGTTATGTCAACTTGGTATAGTAGAGAGAACATAGGCTTTGGAGTCAGACAGATTTAGGTTTATAATTCTAGCTCCAACCTTTCCTGGAAGTCTGACCTTAAGAAAGCTAAATACATTTCCTGAGTTTTTTTTTTCATTTGGAAAGTGTGTTTATTGTGAAAATTAAATGAGATAATATATAATATTCTTGGCATATTAGCTGATATCTTTCCACTTCTTGTATTAAATGTTAAGTAGTAAAGCTTACTCAAAACAAGTAATGGGCTAAGCGCGATGGCTCAAGCCTGTAATCCCAGTACTTTGGGAGGCTGAGGCAGGCAGATTACCTGAGGTCAGGGGTTCGAGACCATCCTGGCCAACATGGTAAAACCCTGTCTTTACTAAAAATATAAAAAATTAGCTGGGCGTTGTGGCAGGTACCTGTAATCCCAGCTACTCAGGAGGCTGAGGCAGGAGAATCGCTTGAACCTGGGAGGTGGAGGTTGCAGTGAGCCGAGATCACGCCATGACATTCCAGCCTGGGAGACAGAGCGAAATACTATCTAAAAAAACAAAAAATAATGAAATGATAGACTGTGATTACATTATTTGGTAATATTTTTTGTGGATTCTGTCCAATGAGCATTTATTGAGTGCCTGTAATCTGTCAAGCTCTGTGCGAGGTAATTGAGGTATAAAGATAAATATGGATTAAATGTGCTTGCATACTTTGAGCAGCTTCAGGAATGGCAAATGGACATCAGTGAGAACTGATGACAACCTTCATAGTGCTTTATAATTGTGAGAGGAGGGGAATAGAAGTGACATTCATCTTATACCTAACTGTGCTATGACAGATGCATTACTGCTGTTGATACTGGTTTTAAAGTTAAACTTTGGATTTTTGGAATCTGTTTAAGAATAGAGCTTCACTGATTTTGGAAAATTAGTGCAGAACTAAGACCACGTGCTTTACTAAGAGTTTTTGTTTGCTTTTGTTCAAATATTTGGGTTTCTTTAACCAAAATCTTATTCTGTATGTACTTTAATTTAATGATTAGTTTATTTCATTTCATAATTCTTGGAAATAGGAAGATATAAGAGTCTCATATTTGGCCTATAGTTTTAGGACTCATCAATGAGGACGTTATAGGAAGTTTATGTGTATTACGTTCATTTAGAGAGTTCCAGGAAATTATCACCATCTGTTACCTTCTCATCAGCACTAGATGGTGCTATGGGCTTAAATAAGTTTTCTGGGTTGAGGCTTCAGCCATCTTTTGTTTTCTCAAAATCTCTTGTTGAGGCATTCATTTCATTAAAATCTACTTTTGTAGTTGAAAATGCTAATGTTATTTATATTACGTATAAACTGTTCTAAAGTTAGTACTGATTTGTTCATGATGTCTCTACCCTTATGTAGATTCTAATTACACATTGTTTCTTAGAGTTACATAAACTGATATGTCTTCATCTGTGGAACAAAATAAAAATATAAAGCCTGCTTGTAAAAATGCTTTTAGAGAGAATTTTACCCTCCAAATTCTGGTTTATATAATAGAACTTGGAGCAATAGTGATATAAATCATAGAACATAGTCTTTCTGCCTTTTTTCTTCTTTGAAAAATAGTATCTTTTTGCATGGGAAATCAAAGGAAGTTAGTTTTGCATTTTTTTTTTCTGAGATTCATCTGATTTTTTTTTTCTACCCTATTCTCCAGCTTCAGGTTCCTTCTGTGTTCTCTTTGTCCTGTTCTGCCTTTGACTAGTGCTTTTTAATCAGTTGTGCATATCACAGTCACCTGAGAAATGTTCTTTGGAAAGACAAAGATGCGGAAACTTGCATCAGAAATTCTAATTCATTGAAGCTAGACAGGCTTGGGTATCTGTAATTTACAAAAATGGTTCATTCTGTACAAATTTGTATTTTAAAGAAGTAATTCTGGAGCACAGTCAGTGTTGAGAACCACTTGTGTCAATTGGACATAGTTAGTATTTTTCTGTTGACCTGAAGGAAGGAGTAGCAGGCACAAGCTGTAAGACGTAGTTGTATTTAGAGACAATTGTATTTTTTTTAGAGGCAATTGTATTTTTCCTTCTTTCTAGCTTGCCTTGTAGTTTAGGAGTTGCCTCTGGGAAGAAGGTAATGACACAGTCATGACCCCTATAACCCTCAGCAGTATGGCTTGTTCATAATACTACCCCGTCAGGTGTCACCTAGCTCCCTTTTTCTCTGTAGGGAGAATAGTTCATTCCAATAATGAATCTTCATTATCTTGACACCTCGGCGAAAGGATCATTGTCTAACTATTTAATCAAGGTTAAATTTTGTTGTTTCTGTGGGATTTATATTTTATGTTTGATTTATGTCTAATGTTTTTATTTAAAATATAAAATTAAACTAAATATAAAAATTATCAAAGTAATATCATGTTTCAGAAAATGTATAAATTGGAGAAAAAAATTGGCCCATTATTTACCTATCATCTTACCATTTTATCATCCAAATCCTACTGCTGTTCTTATTTAGGGGTGTTTTCTTCTAGGCTTTTTCATATGTATTTTTATATTTTATTTAAAATAATATATTTTAGTATCTTGCTTCTCTTTCCACTTGCTTTTTTTGTCATACATTATCATGTAAAATATGAAAATCACTTGAGTGTTAATCTTTTTTTTTACATCAAGACAAAGTCATTTTAGGAGTCAACCCTGCCACTATCTGTCTGATCTTAGGCAAAGTTATTTAACATCTCTGCATCTCCATTTCCTGTGAAGCAAAATGACAATAGTAATCCCATCTCATAGAGTTGTGCATATTAGAAAATATCTGTAAATTTCCTAACAGTACTTAGCAGTAGGAACTGTTCAATTAATGGTGGTTAAAATAATTAATAATGAATAATATCTTAGTCTTAATTGCCTCAGTAAACTAGCTAAGGTTACTTTTACTCTTTAAAGATTAAACCTAAGTATATTTGTAAACTTGGATTTCATGTTTTAAAACCTGAATCATTACATTTTTATTTAGAAAAGTATTTTTTTTGTTACATTGATATAAAAGAATGCCTTTTAAACAGGCTCATTTTTCTCGTCGGCAGGTCTCCTGGTACTGCATTTTGGGTTGCAAAGCAGAAGGAAGTTATGGAAAAGTACGGCTAAACAATAATCATCTCCCAAATTCAGGAGAAGCGGTACGTCAAATTAAACATCAGGAAATCTTACTGAAGCCTTTAATGATAATTAAATTTTTAAATGAAGTCATTGTTTTGGTGAATCTCTCTAATTTCCACCTGAATCATAACTAAAATCCAACAATGAAAGAAAAAGGTTTTTTTTTAATAGAAGGTTTACTTAATTGTATTTTAAAAGTCATGTTATTTTAATTTTTCATGTATAACTTGAAATATATTTTTCTTAATAGATACCAGCTGACGGTAAAAGTGTTTTTGAAGTGAAAGGTTTAGAAACCAATGAAAAGTATGTATTTGCAGTTGCTGCCTATTCTAACAACGGAAAGCTTGTCGGTGGTGCTATTGGGGAGACAACTAAACCAATTCTGGTTTATCCCCCTCTTTCTACTATTACTGCTCGGATGTTCCTGACACAGGTAGAAAAGATTTCTGCTAATTTTTTCCACTGTGTTTTTTTTTCCATTAAGCAGTTATGAAGTAATTTCTGATGGAAATAAAAATCACAGCAGATATTCTAAAGCTCCTATAACACATATTATCCATTACTACAGTTTTGTCTCATAAAATATGAATCATTCCTTCTCTTATTAGTAAATTTGCTTTTTGACAATAACATTTTTTCCCCTGGATTACAAATGTAACACATATATATTAATTTTAGAAATGCTGGAAAACACTGAAATGCATAAAGAAGAAAATAAATGTTATCTGTTATCCTATCATCCAGAGTAGCAGAGTTCTTACCCTGGGGCAATTTTGTCAATGTCTAGAGAAATTTTCAGTTGTCACAAACTAGAGGGGTGCTACTGGCATCTAGTGAGTAGAGGCCAGGGAGGCTGATAAACATCCTACAATGTACCGGATAGCCCGCATAGCAAAGAATTATCCAGCATAAAATGTCAGTGGTGTCAAGATTGAGAAACCCTAATCCAGAGATATCCTTTTATTTTTGTGTATCTATCTGCCTATTTATCTATCTAATTAATATATATATATATATACATGCACACACACGTGTATATGAATTTATGTACAATATATAATTTAAATCATAGTATACATATTATTTTACATCCTGATATTTTCACTTAACATATAATTGACATTGCTGTATTCCATTAAGTATTCTTCCAAAACATAATTTTTAATGGTTCCATGGCATTGAATCTTATGGATATATAATAGTTTGTTAGTAATTCTCCATTGCTAAACATCTAGATACTTTCCAGTCTTTTGCTATTATAAACAAAGCTATGATGCCCAACTTTGTATATAAATCTTTACCTACATCCATGATTACTTTCTTAGGGTAAATTTATAAAAGTAAAACTTCTGGATCAGTAGAGGCAGAGAGACCTGAGTTCAAATTCCAGCTTCTCACACTATCACAGCCATGTGATAGTGGACAAGTAATTTTCATCTGTGAAGCAAGAGTAGCAGTAGTAGCTACTTCCCAGAGGTATTATGAGTATTAAATGGAATTATGCCTGTCAAATATTATCACACAGTAGGCATTGAATAAATAGTATTGTTTTTAGTTAGGGATATACTCATGAATTAATGTTTTTTGTCGAAATAGTTGTTGCCTGACTTAAAACATGTCATCAGTGAAGAGGATGCTAGGAAGAGTGACTCATTGACATAGGTCTCAAGTATCTAATTTTAAGCCTATTCTTGACTGTAGAGCTGATGGCTTTTCTAAATTTTGTCATATTTCTATTCTATTTTCTCTTAATAGTTGATTAGTAATATAAGATAAGATCTTAGTGGCATTTTATATAGCATATTTTTCAAAGAAAATTAAATTGAGAGAATTACTAGGATTTGTCTAGTATTGGTTTAGCGTGTCATACTGGCTCATGGTTTTCTGATGTTTTGGTATCTTTGGAATCTAATATATTCCCTAATTTGCAGTGATGGAGTTATTGTGAGGAACTGAATATTTCATCAAGGCCTAATTTTTCTCCAGGGAGTGGTTTGACTCTTGGGCTTAATTTGGTAGAACTTTCATTGAAAGTTAATAAAACTAAGTCAGAGCTATACTGCTGGGATAATGAGTAGTGTCATGAAGTAATGACCTGTGTTTCTTTACTGACACTATATTTGCAGTTCTGTAGTTTATTTATGATGGTTTATGTGCATTCTGTCTCATAATGTTAAGAGGCTAAAGCAAAGCTTTCTCACTTATTAAACCTCCTTAATTTATAACTTAAGTTTAAGCTTTTAAGTTTCAGCAAGTTAATGTACCTCTATTTTGTAAGTGCAATCTAATTTTCATGAGAGTGGTTAGTTTCTAGTTTCAGGACAGTTCTTTTCTTTAAAACATATTATTATAAATATTTGATAGTAAAGCATGGAGACGTTTCACTAAATGCCTGTGATTAACTTGGCTTTTGGGACTTTAGGTTGTACTTTTTACTCAGCATTATTCTGTAAATATTAATAAAATCAAGTGAATCTCTACTAGGCTTTCCCTAAATGTAGAAGGCTATTAGTTTAGTGTATCTGGAAATTTTTTTTTGAGGAAACTTTTTGAATTATCTATTTTCTGTGGCTATTTTCTCTTCTTTTTAGACTATTTCTTTTTATTCCTCCTCGTTAAGTAGAAAATGACTAGATAATATCATATAAATGTAGAAGAGTAGAAATCTGTGAGCAGGATTCTGATCTTGACCTTGGAGACTGATTTTAGGCAAATTGGTCTCAATTTTCCTATCTGTAAAATGGATGTAAGACAAAATGCCATATTTGAGTGAATTGTTGAACTACCAAATCAAGTAGTGAGTGGGCACAATGGCTTACTGAGATAAGAAAAGGAGGAATATCGTTTATTTAAGAACTACTGTGTACCAGGCATTTAAAATTTATTATTCCACTTATTATAATAACTCCATGAGGTAGTATGATTACTTTTCTTTTATAGTTGAAGGAACAGATTAATTTAATCCTTCCTCTGCCAAACCCACTGTATCCCTAAAAGGGTGTCTCAGGGAGGTTAAGAAATGTACCCAAGGTTGCTCAGGTAGCAGATGTCAAGCCTGACACTTGGACCAGCTCATGCCTTTGGACTGCTCTGTCCAGGTTCCAGGAAGTCATGTATTGGACACCTAACATGTGCCAAGTCTCCTAGAGCCTGCATCTCTCCAATCTATTAAGTGACCCTCTGCTCCTTAGAGAGCTCCTCTTCTCTTTAACCCTCTTCCTTCCCTTTCACTGTCTTTACCTCTTCCTCTATCAATTTTCTTTTTATTCTCTCCCTGTGTTGGTGTTAATCAGCAGGTCTTCATGATCTGTATTGGCAGTAGAGTTTGATGTTGGAACATGAATGCTTTGTCAGCAATCACGATGGTGGCAGGTGAAGGGGAAATGAAGTTCACACGACTCCCACTTTGTATGTGAATTCATTAAAACCCATTATTAATCAAAACTCCTTTTATTAATAATGGTTTGTCTTTTGTCTATTTTATTTTTCATTCAAATAAAAAAAAAATAGGCCCAGTGTAGTGGCTCACGCCTGTAATCCCAGCACTTTGGCAGGCTGAGGGAGGCAGATTGCTTGAGGTCAGGAGTTCAAGACCAGCCTGGGCAACATGGCGAAACCCTGTCTCTATTAAAAATACAAAAATTAGCCAGATGTGGTGGCACGCACCTGTAATCCCAGCTACTTAGGAGGCTGAGGTGGGAGGATTGCTTGGGCCCAGGAGGTGGAGGTTGCAGTGAGCCAAGATTATGCCACTGCATTTCAGCCTGAGTGACAGAGCGAGACCCTGTCTTAAAAACAACAACAATAACAACAAAAAGAGTTTTAACTCTTCTTTTCCCTCTCATCCTCTAACTGAAGATTACCACTCTTTCCACTCATCTATTATTTATGGATGAATCATTTAGTCAATGTTTATCTTGTGCCAAGTTATATGCTAGATGTCATCACTTCATCCTTTGAAATATGTTTTTTTTTTTTATCAATCTCATTACAATGACAGTAATACTTGTTTAGATAATTCTGACTTATAGTTTCAGTTAAAACCCTGATTGCAAGTCATGGAACCAGCTCAGCTTGGGGTAATGCAGCTAGGCCCTGGGAATGCAGCAGAGTCCAAGCAGCTCTAGGTCTCATACTTCTGGTTCACCCTGTGCGTCTGCTTTCTTGTATTTTTCTCTAAACATTAGCTTTCATTACTTCTCCATCTTTGGAGGAAAGGTGGCAGTTCCTGAGTTTTTATATATCCCTCAATTTAAGCTATAAATGGAGATCAGCTGACTAGCCTCTAACTGTGGCTCCAAATTCCTGGGAAAGAGAATGTGATTGGCCCACCCAGTATAATAAAGAGTCTGATCTCTCTCTCTCTCTTTTTTTTTTTTTCTTGAAATGATCTTACTCTGTTGCCCAGGCTGGAATGCCGCTGATCTCATTTTCGATGTTTGACAACTGACTTGTGACTTGTTTTTATTTTTTTGACTTCTTTTTATTATTTATTTATTTTTCTTTGAGTTGGAGTCTCACTCTGTTGCCCAGGCTGGAGTGCAGTGGTGCGATCTCAGCTTACTGCAACCTCCACCTCCCGTGTTCAAGCCATTCTCCTGCCTCAGCCTCCTGTGTAGCTGGGATTACAGGCGTGTGCCACCATACCTGGCTAATTTTTGTATTTTTAGAAGAGATAGGATTTCATCATGTTGTTTGAAAACGTTAGGGCTTTTACTCTAGCTGTTCCTTCTGCAAATGCTCTTCCCCCAGAGAGCCATTCCCTCATCTCCTTCAAGTCTCTGCTTAAATCTCACCTTCCTTGATCACCCTATTTAATATTGTAATCTACCTTCCATTCCCCCACTTCACAGACCTAAGACTGGTCACGAACTCCTGACCTCAGGTGATCTGCCCACATTGGCCTCCCAAGGTGCTGGGATTACAGGCATGAGCCACAGCGCCTGGCTGCAACTTGTTTTTAAACCTCACCCTTCTTTTTGCCTTTGGCCCCACATCTGGGCAGGATGATAAGAAGGCCTATGAGCTCTCCTTTTTATTTTGTGGCAGCAGGAAATTTAAACCTTACAGCCAGCATGGACTTTCCCCAGTCCTATCTCTCAACTCCTATGAAGGCCCAACCTGCTTTCTCCCTCTGCTTTGCCCAAGCCAGCCCAGACAGTCATGTGCCTGCCAAGCTTTCCCAAGAAGTCCCTTGTGTAAGCAATATACTTTCTCTCAAATTTTCCTGCTGTATGGAGTGTCATCAGTCTTAACATCAGAACCACACTTTGGATGGGGGCCCATCTTGCTTTGCAGGGGAGTCTCTAACAACCTTGTTATAGTCTAGTACAACTGCTGGGTGTCCTTCTCTGTGGGTAGAGGGATATTATCAGGAAAAGAGGATTTTTAAATTCACTCAACACATTATTTGAGTGCTTACTCTGTGCCAGGCATTGCCCCAGGTTAGTGACTCTAAAACTTGAGTGCACATAGGAATGACTTGGAGTACTGGTTAAGCAGATTGCTGGATGCCACTGCCAGAGTTTATGATTCACTAGGCCTGAGTTTGGGTCTGGGAATTTGCATTTCTAACAAGTTCCTGGGTGATGCTGAGGCCCAGGGACCATACTTTGAGAACTGCTGTTCTAAGCAACGTGAACAGAATGCCATGGTAGGAGATAGGTAATAAACAATGACCACAGTAAACAAGTAAATTATCTAGTATTTCAGAAGATAATGAATGCTATGGAAAAACCAAGTGGAGTATGTAAAACGAATTGGAAATGTGAAGTAGGGGAATGGAAGGTAGATTACAATATTAAATAGGGTGATCAAGGAAGGCGAGATTTAAGTAGAGACTTGAAGGAGATGAGGGAATGGCTCTCTGGGGGAAGAGCATTTACAGAAGGAACAGCTAGAGCAAAAGCCCTAAGGTTTTCAGAAGTGTACCTGGTATGCTTGGTAAACAGCAGGAAGCTTGTGTGACTGGAGCAGAGGGACCCATGGAGAGTAAAAGGGACAGGTCAAAGAGCTAAGGTGTGAGTGGGTAGATGGGGAGCAGATCATGAAAAGACTTCCAGGGCATTACAGGGACTTTGGCTTTTGACTTGAGTGAAGTGGACAGCGATTGGACAGTTTGGAGTAGTGGTATGATGTAACGTGACTCCTGTTTTTAAAGGTTCACCCTGGCTGCTACATTGGAAATAGAACGTAAGGGGGTAGAGTGGCAGCACCATCCACTGCTGTAACCCAGTGAGAGGTGAAGGTGGCTTGGCCAGTGTGCTGGTAGCTGATGTGGTGAGAAGTAGTCAGTGTTTGGACATGTTTTGAAGGAGGAGCTAACAAGAGTCCATAAAGAGAAAAATAAAAGATGACCCTAAGGTATTAGCTGACCAATTGAAAGGACAGAGTTGACATCAACTGAGTTGTGGAAGGCTGTGGGTGGTGGAGGTTCGGGGGAGTGGGAGATCAGTTCAGTTCCAGGCATGTTGAGGTAAGGTGTTTAGTATATATGGAGAGAATTGTTGAGTAGTCAGTTAGATGTATGAATCTGGAGTTTGGGGAAGGGGTCTGGGCAGGAGAGGGATTTGAGAGTGATAAAACTATAGGACTAGGTGGTATCAATAAGAAATGAGGGTAGACAGAAAAGAGGAGCAGTTCACAGAGTGAACCCTGGGGCATACCAATATAAAGAGGTTGAGGAAAAGAAGTAAAAGGAAAACCAAGAGTGGAATTCTGGAAGCCAAGCGAAGGTCAGGCATCAAAGAGGAGGTATCTACTGTACTTAATTATTTCATTAGTCTTTTAGTGCTTCTTTCTCATTTTCATTCAGCCCCTCTAAAATCTGTTCTGCACATCACTACCAGGACCAGGTTAACCATTTTTGAACATGCTTATATCATGGCACTCCTCTGTTAAAGAAACCTCACAAAACCTCATGATTTTATAAACCTTAATTTTAATCACGGTATCTTTTCCTGTTTTGCAATGTTAACTGATGGAACAAAGAACATTATTTTAAAAGGGATACATTTTACAAGAAAAGAACAGTTAATTATAGTTTCACCAACCCTCTTACACATCATCTATTGCTTACACACATTATTGCTTTCCATGATAAACCTTAATAATTATATATTTTAATTATATGTATTTATATTTCAGTGACCACTTAGTACAGTTGAGTCATTTGATTAATGTAGCCCAGAAAAGTGACTCATTAACCACTCGAAGACTTGGCTTCACTATTTTTACTGACTGTCAGACTCTGTACAAATTATTCTACTTTTCAATGTTCTGGTTTCCTCATTCACAAATAGGGATGGCAACAGAGCTCACTTCGTAGAACTTTGATGAAGAATAAATACAGCAATGCACATAAAGTGCTTAGTCCAGTACTTGACACCTTTAAATTCTTCCATCTGATTTTCAAGGCCTTCTGAAATCATGTCTCACTTGAACTTGTCCAATCTTATTACCCACTTGTTTCTTTTCATTTTTTTTTCATCTCAGACCTTGCAGGGATGAAATGTCTACTTTTTTTCTTTTTTCAAACTCTGACCTGCCTCTCCAGTCTCTCTTAAATGTATTTTAGAGTCATTTCCATTACTGGACCTTTTGGAGATTCTGTTTTAACTGTGCTGATCTGAATCTTATCTCTGCCTTAGGGTTCAACTCAAGCCCTGCCTTTTCCTTGAAATCTTCATGTCTCCTTTTCTAAAGCCTCTGCAATTATTATGTTATTCTTTGTAGTTTTTCTGTGATGTTATGGGTTTTATGCCTTTAACCTAATTCCAGTTTCATAGAGTTTGATACCATCTCTATCTAAACTTTGAAGAGTCTATCTCTACAGTGCCTAACACAGACTAGAAACTTCATAAAAGCTTACTGGTTGGAGATCATGAGTATTCATTGGCAGATTCGAGAGTTCTGGCCCTCTAAGTTATTCCCTGGAGTGGAGAATATTCTAGTAACTTGTCATTCACTTACTTCATTCCATGAATGCATTTATACTTCATACCTTAGCTGTTTCCATAAAGGATTTGAAGCAGTGTAGAACTCATTTGGTGAGATTTTATATTGTTATTTACATATTTAATGGAGTGCTTTTTAGGAACGTCTTTAAAGAAATATATTCTACCATAAAAAATAGGTAAGTCAGTTTTTTTCTTTTGAACTTCTAGGCTTCACCAGTGAAATTATTTATTTTGCCTAATGTTAAATTTGTTAAACTTAAAACATATAATGTCTTCTTGGAAAGCTTCTCTGTTTTATTCTATACTCTTTTCAGCTCGTGAACTTTTTGTTGCACAGAAGCTCTGAAAGTATCAGTCAGAACCAGAAAAGAATGAAGTATTTTTCACATATTGGGTTTGGGAAATCTGATTGTTTCTCTTGGAACAGATTGTTCATTATAACAGTATCTATAATAAATGGAGTGCACTGCTGAGATAGATGGAAATGAAATTAATTTGGCTCAGATGTGATCTTTGTTTTGCTTATAAGGATTTGAAACATCCTTACAGAGTTTCAAATTTCCATGCAATTTAGAAATAAAAGAGATTTCAAAAATGTATCTGTCTCCCTTGCCATTGGCCGTTACCTGACCATGGCACTATAGAACAGAACAGCAAATGTGAATGATTGTATCTGAAATGAGCGTGTGATAGCACCTTATAAAATGCTGTCATAGATTGTATATTTTAAGAATTATTGTTTAAAACATTCATTCACGAATAAAACTATTACATAAATATGTGCTTTTTGTTATAGGTTGCCTATCAAGTTGGTAACTATGAATTGGCTAAGAAAGTTTTCTCACCAGTTTGGGATTATTTTGTTGCTTCGCCACTTCAGGATGAACAATCTGTTATTTGTTTAAGCAATATAATTACTATTACACAAAGAAGGTAATTAGAAATATTCTTCTAAAATATTAATTTGCTTATTGAAAATATAGATGCTGGATGCGAAGCCTGGAATTATTTTTAATATCATGTTCAGATAGTCCATATACAATCATCATTTCTAATAACTATTGTAATAAGAGTATGCATTGCAAGGTCTCATGTGCTTGTTAGAAACTTTCTTTCTTTCTTTCTTTCTTTTTTTTAATACTCACTCACTCTGTCACCCAGGCTGGAGTGCAGTGGCATGATCCTGGCTCACTGCAACCTCTGCCTCCTGGGCTGAGGTGATTCTCATGCCTCAGCCTCCCGAGTAGCTGGGATTACAGGTGTGCACCACCACGCCCTGCTAATTTTTGTATTTTTAGTAGAGATGGGGTTTTGCCATGCTGGCCAGACTGGTCTCGAACTCCTGGCCTCAAGTGATCTGCCCACCTCAGCCTTCCAAAGTGCCGAGATTACAGGCATAAGCCACCATGCCCGGCCAAGAAACTTTCTTTCTAGAGTCAGCAAAAACACTAGAGGCATAAGGTTGAAGGTTATGAAATAAAAATACCAACTACAAACCAAAGTAATATCAGTTATATCGTAAAACACAAATATTCATTGGGAACTTTTATACCAGGGAAAGGTCAAATTGGGGTTAAGGTTATGGTCTGACAGGTTGACTGTTAGGGTAAGAAGGCTTTTCTTTTGCTAGAAGGGGCTCCCAGGATTACACCATTGGCAACTGCAAATAGGCCAGTAGAAGCCATATAAAATTACTATCCTTCGTCTTTACTGCCATTTTCCTTAAAAGAACAAAGTTTTGAAGCAGGCTCAGAAATGAGCATTACTGTAATTTCAGGCGGTCTCAACAAATTCAAAAGCAACAAGAATCTCCCTCACCTGGTTGTTAATGCCTGAAAGTTTTAAAATAAGGAGACAACCCTTCATTCCTCAATCAAAAATAATGAGCTTAAATATGCAAATATTGCTTCAGGCAAGGCGTTGATAATTCCATTCAAATAAACAAATGCAGACTTAGCATTTTCTATGTACAAGGATGCTATGTGCTATGGGGGTATGGGTTTCAGAGGCATTTTAGAGGAGGAAGAGACAGGACTTAGATATTATGCGACTTGTGGGGATAAGAGAGAAAGGAGTGAAAAGTGACTGGGATTTCTGGTGTTAACTGACTGAGAAGTCTGTGACATTTACTAAGGGGATATGAGAGGTAGAACAAGTTCTTAGAGGAAGATGATTAATTTCATTGAGAATATTTTGAGTTTGGTTTTCCAGCAGGACGCCTTTGTGAATATGAGATGCCAGTAGGTTTATTTATCTAGTGCTGACACTCAGGAGAGCATCAAGGCTAGAGATACAGATTTAGAAATTGTCCATTGAGTTCATCATCAAGATCTTGAAAATGAATGGTATCTCCCAGGAAACGACTGTTTAACAGAAAAGACAGAAGGCCGGAATTGAACCCTAGGCATTGCTTAACATTTAGGAAGCAGAATTAGGAGATGGAACCAAGGAAGGATATTGAAAAGAAGCTGTCCAGAAAATGAAAGTCCAAGAAAGTGCATTGCTAGGGAAAGTGAAAGTATCACCAAAGAGGGACTGGCCAGAGATATTAAATATCAGTGCCAGGTCAGGCAGAGCAGCTGCTCAATAAAATGCCACAGAGAGGGTTGAGTAGAACACAAATGAAGAAGAGTTGGCAATTAGCAGGCCATTGGTGAATTCAAGAGAGCCACTTTTGTAGCATGATAGGCCGGAAATCATTTTGCAATTCGCTAAGGAAAAAAAAGAAAATGAAAAATCCTAACAAGCAAAGACCACTCATGTGAAGTTTGGTGGTAAAGAGGAGGAGAGCAGGCAGAAGCTTAGTGGGGAGGCAGGCTGAAGGAAAGAATTGTGGAGTGTGGAGAAAAGGCAGCCAGTAGAGAGAGAGAGACTGAAGAAGAAAATGTAGGCGATGATAACACTATGGTGGTCGAGCCTGGAGGACATAAGAGCTTATGGGGTGGAAAGAACAAAGGATTTAGAAATATTTTTTTTTGGCCGGGCGCGGTGGCTCACGCCTGTAATCCCAGCACTTTGGGAGGCCGAGACGGGCGGATCACGAGGTCAGGAGATCGAGACCATCCTGGCTAACACGGTGAAACCCCGTCTCTACTAAAAATACAAAAAAAATTAGCCGGGCATGGTGGCGCGTGCCTGTAGTCCCAGCTACACGGGAGGCTGAGGCAGGAGAATGGCGTGAACCCGGGAGGCGGAGCTTGCAGTGAGTCGAGATCGCGCCACTGCACTCCAGCCTGGGCGACAGAGCGAAACTCCGTCTCAAAAAAAAAAAAAAGAAATATTTTTTTTTTTTTGTGGGGAATGTGAACAAGGAGACATCAGGGATAAATGGAATTGTTATTGAGATGCAGTAATGACTCAGTTGATGTAATCGAACATGAATTTGTACTGAAGCCCAGCTCCTAGTGGCTAAAGATTCCATTTGATTCATCTTTATACCTAAGGGTCTAGAACAGTGTCTTGTACATAGTAGGCATTCATCAATTGTTAGTTAGCGTGAATGAAAGAAAGAATGAGTGAGCAAAATCAGTAAGTGATCGTTGTCACAGAGATAGAAAAATTGGACAGTGACATCTAGATTCTGAAAATCTATAGTGATTTTGTTATCTTGATAAAAAATAACTTTATGTATTAGAACCCCCAAAATTGCCACTAATTAATTTTGTGTATCTGTGACATAATATTTCAGTAGTTTAATTTTCTTAGTTGTGAGCTTGTCTGTGCAAGAATAGCTGTTCTAAATACTTTTGTTGCTTTTTTGGGATCTTTGTGTAGATACTGAGAACAAATCAATGTAAAAAGACCAGTTGACCTGCTAAATCAATTTATATTTATACCTGCCATTTACTTCATATTGCAGATTACATTCAGATATTTTGGCAGAGACTTCTTCAATCCTCTTGTACCTTTTTCTTAGAAATATTTTTGTAACAAGTGACATCAAAATTAAAGAAGAAAATCTTTTCTGTGATAATATTAAAGGCAATGAGATTTTCCCATCTCAACAAGTAAGTGAATTAAAGTGACTAAAAACATGTCAGATTCACTGTATTTTTTTCTTGATGTTTTAAGATCATGTTTTTTGAGTGATTGCATAGCTTGTCTGGTGAATGGACTGAAAGGACATTGTATGATTATGCGACTTTATGTGATATTTCATATAAGTTTCACAGGCCTGAGTTCATGTTTTTTTCTCTTCTTTTCAATTTATCTCTTTTCCCCCTGTGTGTAAAAGTATTATATATTTCAGACATTTGAAAATATATAATGTATAAAGTGAAACCCGTTGTAATCTTATTACCTCTAAGAATACAACAATTTTGCTTTCATATAATTTCTCTAATTTAAGAACATATGCCTAGACAAATCTGTTATTATTATTTATGAAAATGGGATTATGATCTACTTGCTATTCTGCAACTTGCCTTTTTAACACTTTTATAATCTATCTTGCACATATTTTCATGCTGTTATATATCAATCTGTCACATTTGTTTCAATTATAATATTGTCTTCATGGAGGCAGGAATGTAACCTATCTCCTATTGATAGATTCTCAGTGTGGTTATGAACATTGCTGTATGTACATCTGCAACTCTATAATGCTCTTGTATTTAGTAATGATCCTACATTATTTTTTTTTCATTCCTGCTTGAAGTTCACTTTTCTTTCTCTCTTTCCTTCTTTAGGTATGGATGTTTTAGCTGTCTATGTTTTTTACAGTTGCTATTTCCTACCCATCCATTAACTAATTAATTAATTAACCAAGACCTTGTTACATGGGACTATGCCAGTTTCTGGGGATATAAAAGTGGAAAAAATGATTCTTTGCCCCAGACAAGTTCACTGTCCTGTAGAGCCCAAGTACTCACAACCATCTCAACCTGTTCCTACTAAATTGCCTTCAGTTTCTTCTTTCAGCGTATTCAATCTGAAAACAAAGACAATTTTCAAGTACTTCAGTGAATTCCAGAATGCTAGACTACCATTTTAGTAAAAACTGACTACATGGAAATTTCTGGTTACCACTCAGACAGTTTCTTTATACATAATCTTGAATATATATATATAGAAAAATAATGAAATCTTTCCCCAGGAAAGGAAAAAGAGGAGTAAGAAAGGCTAACTATTCTTTTTAAGTGGCATTTACTCTCAAAACCTTAACTTTACATTTTACTATCATTTAAATTTAAGTAGCAGAAGTATAATTAGCAGAAGCATAATAGGAGGTTAGCTTGGTTTACTGAAAATTTACCGTTTTCTTTCAAATCAAAAAAGGAAATGAGAACCTGTTAATCAAATGGGGGCAATATTATAGAGATGTTATATATTTTAATTGTTAATATAATTTATATTTTTGAAAACTAGATTTTTTAAACATAAAAATATAGCCAAGTTTTTAGCTTATTGATAAAAAAACTGGTTTCTGTTATGGCACTTGTATTGTTTTATAAAAAATTTTGAAGTTTAATTCTAAGATCGTGCTATCTATAGGTAGCATTATTGGAGAGTTAGAGTTGTTTCTGAATTTAGATTTTTTAAAATACAAACACTCATGTTGTTTTTAGCCAGAAGGATCACATTTTCTACCCATTCTCCGTAGAGACACATACGCTAAGCACCTATGTTCAATCTGAGTAACAATGCCTGTTTCTTTACAGATTGCCAGACTGATTGAATGTGAGAGAGTATTAGTGGCATTGGAACTTAGCAACTTCCTAAATGATTCCAGCTATGCCCTTCAAGCTGTGACTCAATGTTATGGACTTCTTGCTCCCATAATTTATCACAATATTGTTTTGGTACCTGTTGTACAGGTAAGGGTATTCCTCTCCCCAAGAGAAGGGAATCTTTATAAAGGCAACTTAACAATTCATTTTAGAAAAGAAAAGCCATGTATCTCTTATAAAGGGCAAATAGGTCAGGAATCAGTATTATGAAATTTTAGGAGTTAACTGAAAAACACTTTAATAAATTATATGTCTGGGCACATATAGATAAGGACATAAAATAGGTTTCTCTGAAAATATTCGTCCCTGTTCCTGTCCATATTTAAATATTGGCAATTTACCTTTCTAGAGTTTTAAAGTTATTTTAATTTTTATGTTCTTGTAGTGTCAGAAACAACATTTATTCAAGGCATATTGTTAAATCCATCATCTGGAGAAAAACATGGTGGGAGACCCAAGACAAAATACCTGGTGTCTTGGTGATGGAGGAGTTAGGATTTACAGAAAAAGGGTAGCTGAGACCTGGCTGAAGGGATTATATAGTTTTTCATGTTTCTTAACATATCACCATGGATTTAGTGGCTTGAAAGGACACTCATTTACATTCTCATAGTTTCTGTGGGTTAAGAGGTTGAATATGGGTTAGCTGGGTCTTCTGTTTAGGGTCTTATGAGGTTGAAATCAAAGTCTTGGCCAGGGCTGTGATTTCCTCTGAGGCTTGAGGTCCTTTTCTGAGTTCACTGTTATTGATAGAATTCATTTCCTTGAGGTTTTACATAGGAGGTCCTTAGCTCCTAAAGGCCAACTACTAATTCCTTGCCACATGGCCCTTCCACATCATGGCCCTTTGCCTTTTCAAGGCTGTTGGAGAGTCTCCTCCAGTATGCTGTGAGGAGCCTTATCTAGGGTAATGAAATCATGAGACTGATGAGCTTATCACATTCAGGAGCCCCACCCACACTCAAGGGGAAGGAATCATACAGGGCATGTACACCAGGGGGAAGAATCTTGGGGACCATCTTAGAATTCTGCTTACCACAGGAAAGTAATGAGAGATGTAAGATTTTGCTGCTGAGACTTGCAGAAAGTTATCGCCGTCATTGTCACTGTCATTGTCAGCATCATGATCATCACTGACACATTTTTTGTCATCCTAGAAGATGTGAGTGAACTCACACAAAGTCCAAACATTTTTAGTACATGATCAAGAAGACTAACTAGACAGCTTGAGTAACTTAAAAAAGATTCACCTTGGAGGGGCTCTACGGAGCATAGGTGTGTCTCCTCCTACATTCCCTACAGCTGCTGGAGATCTGCCTCCAGAGTCTAAAATCTAGACTCATAGTTGACAGCCTTCTGGGTCAGTTGTAAATAGATAGAGCATTTCTCTCAAGTGTGGAGTATGGTTCATCCAAAACCCAAAGGTGCCGACCTGGTATGGTCTTTCTTTTTAAAGGTGAGAGATGCCAGATATCAGACCTACTTTGGAGGGGGTATCCCAGCCTCCCCCAGATATTTAATGTGGCAGCCCTCTGAACCTTCATTGAGTCTATTTTTACCCATTGGAAGGTGTTTATCAAGGTCTTCAATGTACTTCACATTTCTTGATCATTAAGTCTGAGTAACATGATGTCATTGATATAGTGGCCCAATGTTTTGTTTTGAGGAATGTCCAGAAAGTTCATATCCTTTCACATAAAATTATGTCAGAAGTTATAAGAATATTCATTGTCTTGGGACAAGACTTGAAATGCATACTTTCATCTGTCCAGTGTTAATGAGAACTCGGATAGAAAAGAAAACATTAGCTATATCAATGCATACCTTTTAATATGTGTTAGCTTAGCAAAGATACCACATTGGGAACAGCAGCTGCTCAATTGGCTGAGTTTACGGTAGTCCACTGTTACTTTCTAGAATCCCACTGATTCAGGATACCTTTGGCTAGAGAATGGATTATAGCTATGGGAAGTCTTAGGAAAGAAGTCTCTAATTGAATTGTATTGTTTGGAATTGGAAAAGATCAGTAGAACAGAGGGTAGTTTCCAGAAATAGGCCTCAATATATATGAGAATGTAATATATGACAGAGTTGTCATTCCCATTCAGTGGAAAGAGAATGGACATTTTTACTAAATGATGGTAAAATGTCTAGATATTCATCTGAGAGAAAATAGAGTTTGACCCCTATTTGTACCATGTACAAAAAGTCCAGATTTATCAAAGACTTAAGTGTAAAATAAAGCAAAAACTTTAGGAAAAATTTCCCAGGAGATGACGTGTGCAGTCCGGGGTTTGGGGGGAAACATTTCTAACCAAGACTGAACTTCTAACAGCAACAAAGAACCTATGTGTAACAAAAAGGACTATAACAAAGATAGAAGAACATTTACAGATTTGGAAAAAAAATATCTCCAAATGCGACAGAGGGCAAGTATATATACATGTATAACAAAAAGTCTTACAAACTGACAATAACCTAATAGAAAAATAGGCACAGGATATGAATAAGCAGTTCACAGGAGAGCAAATCCAAGTGAGTGAGAAACATATGAAAAGATGCTCAAATTCTAAATACTCATAGAAATTCACATTAAATTAACAATGTAATATCACTGGCAGGATTGAAAAGATTTGCTGGTGAAGATGTGGGGCAATTGCATTCTCATTCATACATGGGGGAAATGTGAATTGTTACAAGCATTTGAATTTTGGTAAAGTAATTTTAATTTAAATTAAATTAAATCTAATTTTAAGCAAGATTAAAAACAAATATACCTGACACGGTAGTCCCTCTGCTAGTAATTTATCCTGTAGAATAAAATTTTAATAAAATTAAAAATACATTTATCTGACACAACAATTCTTCTGTTAGTAATTTATCTTATAGAATAAAACCTCCATTTGAAATAATGTCACTCCTAGTTCCACCTCTTGGTTCCTGGACCTGAGGAACCTACTGGGACACAGTGTTATGTACTGTCATTGGTTTAGAATGTATACTGTGTTCTGGAGGATGGTATCTCATCTTCACTGGGTATCATCTCAAAGCCGGCATCTTGATTGCTAATCATAGTTGGCAACTGAGCATGTAAAAGGGTATTTACTGTGACATTCTTGGTGTTGGCAAAAAAGCTGGTGACAAAGAGAAGTAACAGTACCCCCAGATTGTACAACCATGAAAATGTGTACCATGAAGTCCTAGAAAAGGCTGAGTAAATAATGGCTGATCCACACCAAATAATATTATGCAGCCATTAGAAACAAACAATGAATTAGAGCTATACCTGTAGACTTACAGCATTTCTCACCAGACATGGTTGTCCAAAAACCATGTCTGGTGAGAAATGTTCACAACCAAAGATATGGTTGAAGGAAAAAATACACACTTCAGAAAAGTATTTATAAATCCCATTTTGTAAAACAACAACCCTCCTAGGTACATTATGTTTTTATACACATGTATGTATTTATATTTATATGAGCTTCGGGAAAACTCCAAAACTACTAGGGTGTTCACATGATTTAGGGATATGATATGGTAGCATGGGAGAGGCTGATTAGGGTGGGGAGGAATTTAAAAAGTCTTAGAGATGAGTGTACTGTAACAATAGTAACAGTATTGTTAGAATGAGAGCTTGAAGCAATTAATGTGCCCCCAAAGAACCAACATTCATATATTAATTTGTCCTTTGGGTTAATCTAAATGGTGAATGATTGATGCAATCTCACACTACCTTTGAAAAGCTATTCGTCTAGCTCTTGATCAAATTTAAGATCATATAATACGAAGCAAGGAGAATAGGAAGTAAGTACCAATATTAGTTGATTTCCTGAGATATGAATGTTTGGTTTTAATTTTAAAGGAAACTATTATTTCAAGTACCTGGAATCACTATGTAATATTTAATATGCCATATAAGCTTCCATTTGGTTTTTCAAGTTCCTTCTATACCTGGATGTGATAGTTTTTCAAATACATGTCACATTCTGACTATACCTTTTATGATACTTATCAAAATATGCTTTGTTTTATAGTCATTTGTGTTTTATTTTATTCTTTCCACTGATTTTCAAGTTGCTGTAGGTGAAGGACTAATCTCAAAATTGAATGTATCAACTTTATCTCAGTGTACTCTCCTTTATTCCTAATAAACAATTTATCAATAATTATTGATAACAAAATTTTATGTCTTAAAGCTTGCATTATTTGAATGGAACATTTTCTAATGAAATGAGTAAGGATGACATTTTAAAACAAAAATCATTGTGATTCTAATTTTTAGATCCTGATAAAGTGTATAGTGGTTTTGCAAGGACTACCAAGTATTGTCTGCTCGAAGAAACATACTGCGAGCTTTGAAAGTATACAACACATGATAGCTTGTTGTATTTTCTACATAACAAAGGTATTTATCTCATTCTTTATCTAGTATTATAATATTTAGGAGCGATGATGATTTGGAAAGTCTACTTTTAATCACAATAAGAACACTTTTAAAAATGGCACCCTAAAAGCATTTTTAGATCAAAAGCAAATGTAGAGGCCAAACATTATAGAATAGCAATCTGTTGTTGAACTTTTTGATGAAACTGTGGTGCTTCACAAACTAAAACTTGATGTTATTGAAATAGCATTAGTATATCTATCTATATATTTATTATTATACTTTAAGTTCTAGGCTACATGTGCACAACGTGCAGGTTTGTTACATAGGTATACATATGCCATGTTGGTTTGCTGCACCCATCAACTCATCATTTACATTAGGTATTTCTCCTAATACTATCCCTCCCCCAGCCCCCCACCCCCCAATAAGCCCTGATGTGTGATGTTCCCCTTCCTGTGTCAATGTGTTCTCATTGTTCAGCTCCCACTTATGAGTGAGACCATATGGTGTTTGGTTTTCTGTCCTTGTGATATTTTGCTGAGAATGATGGTTTCCAGCTTCATCCATGTCCCTGCAAAGGACATGAACTCATCCTTTTTTATGGCTGCATAGTATTCCATGGTGTATATGTGCCACATGTTCTTTATCCAGTCTATTATTGATGGACATTTGGGTTGGTTCCAAGTGTTTGCTATCGTGAATAGTGCCACAATAAACATACATGTGCATGTGTCTTTATAGCAGAATGATTTCGAATCCTTTGGATATATACCCAATAATGGGATCACTGGGTCAAATGGTATTTCTAGTTCTAGATCCTTGAGGAATTGCCACACTGTCTTCCACAATGGTTGAACTAATTTACACTCCCATCAACAGTGTAAAAACGTTGTATTTCTCCACACCTTCTCCAGGATCTGCTGTTTCCTGACTTTTTAATGATCGCCATTCTAACTGGTGTGAGATGGTATCTCATTGTGGTTTTGATTTGCATTTCTCTGATGACCAGTGATGATGAGCATTTTTCCATGTGTCTGTTGGCTGCATAAATGTCTTCTTTTAAGAAGTGTCTGTTCATATCCTTTGCCCACTTTTTGGGGTTGTTTGTTTTTTTCTTGTAAATTTGTTTAAGTTCTTTGTAGATTCTAGATATTAGCCCTTTGTCAGATGGATAGATTGCAAAAATTTTCTCCCATTCTGTAGGTTGCCTGTTCGCTCTGATGATAGTTTCTTTTGCTGTGCAGAAGTTCTTTAATTAGATTCCATTTTTCTATTTTGGCTTTTGTTGCCATTGCTTTTGGTGTTTTAGTCATGAAGTCTTTGCCCATGCCTATGTCCTGAATGGTATTGCCAGTTTTCTTCTAGGGTTTTTATGGTTTCAGGTCTTACATTTAAGTCTTTAATCCATCTTGAGTTAATTTTTGTGTAAGGTGTAAGGAAGGAATCCAGTTTCAGCTTTCTACATATGGCTAGCCAGTTTTCCCAGCACCATTTATTAAATAGGGAATCCTTTCCCCACTGCTTATTTTTTTCAGGTTTTTCAAAGATCAGATGGTTGTAGATGTGTGGTGTTATTTCTGAGTCCATTGGCCTATGTATCTGTTTTGGTACCAGTACCATGCTGTTTTGGTTACTGTAGCCTTGTAGTATAATTTGAAGTCAGGTAGAGTGATGCCTCCAGCTTTGTTCTTTTTGCTTAGGATTGTCTTGGCTATGTGGACTCTTTTTTGGTTTCCTATAAAACTTAAAGTAGTTTTTTCCCAATTCTGTGAAGAAAGTCATTGGTAGCTTGATGGGGATGGCACTGAATCTATAAATTACCTTGGGCAATATGGCCATTTTCACGATATTGATTCTTCCTATCCATGAGCATGGAATGTTCTTCCATTTGTTTGTGTCCTCTGTTATTTCGTTGAGCAGTGGTTTGTAGTTGTCCTTTGGATTCCTAGGTATTTTATTCTCTTTGTAGCATTTGTGAATGGGAGTTCACTCATGATTTGACTCTCTGTTTGTCTGTTAATGGTGTATAGGAATGCTTGTGATTTTTGCACATTGATTTTGTATTCTGAGACTTTGCTGAAGCTGCTTATCAGCTTAAGGAGATTTTGGGCTGAGATGATGGGGTTTTCTAAATATACAATCATGTCATCTGCAAACAGAGACAATTTGACTTCCTCTTTTCCTAATTGAATACCCTTTATTTCTTTCTCTTACCCGATTGACCTGGCCAGAATTTCCAATACTATGTTGAATAGGAGTGGTGAGAGAGGGCATCCTTGTCTTGTGCTGCTTTTCAAAGGGAATGCTTCCGGTTTTGCCCATTCAGTGATATTGGCTGTGGGTTTGTCATAAATAGCTCTTATTATTTTGAGATACATTTTATCAATATCTAGTTTATTGAGAGTTTTTGACATGAAGGGCTGTTGAATTTTGTCAAAGGCCTTTTCTGCATCTATTGAGATAATCATGTGGTTTTTGTCCTTGGTTCTGTTTATGTGATAGATTACATTTACTGATTTGTGTATGTGAACCAGCCTTGCATCCCAGGGATGAAGCCCACTTGATCGTGGTGGATAAGCTTTTTGATGTGCTGCTGGATTTGGTTTGCCAGTATTTTATTGAGGATTTTCACATCGATGTTCATCAGGGATAATGGCCTGAAATTCTCTTTTTTGTTGTGTCTCTGCTAGGCTTTGGTATCAGCATGATGCTGACCTCACAAAATGAGTTAGGGAGGATTCCCTCTTTTTCTATTGATTGGAATAGTTTCAGAAAGAATGGTGCCAGCTCCTCCTTCTACCTCTGGTAGAATTCGGCCGTGAATCCATCTGGTCCTGGACTTTTTTTTGGTTGGTATGCTATTAATTATTACCTCAATTTCAGAACCTGTTATTGATGTATTCAGAGATTCAACTTCTTCCTTGTTTAGTCCTGAGAGGGTGTATGTGTCCAGGAATTTATCCATTTCTTCTAGATTTTCTAGTTTATTTGCATAGAGGTGTTTATAGTATTCTCTGCTGGTAGTTTGTATTTCTGTGGGATTGGTGGTGATATCCCCTTTATCATTTTTTATTGCATCTATTTGATTCTTCTCTCTTTTCTTCTTTATTAGTCTTGCTAGCAGTCTATCAATTCTGTTGATCTTTTCAAAAAACGAGCTCCTGGATTCATTGATTTTTTGAAGGCTTTTTTGTGTCTCTATCTCCTTCAGTTCTACTCTGATCTTAGTTATTTCTTGTCTTCTGCTAGCTTTTGAATGTGTTTGCTCTTGCTTCTCTATTTCTTTTAATTGTGATGTTAGGGTGTCAATCTTAGATCTTCCCTGCTTTCTCTTGTGGGCATTTAGTGCTATAAATTTCCCTCTACACACTGCTTTAAATGTATGCCAGAGATTCTGATATGTTTTGTCTTTGTTCCATTGCTTTCAAAGAAGATCTTTATTTCTGCCTTCATTTTGTTATTTACCCAGCAGTCATTCAGGAGCAGGTTGTTCAGTTTCCATGTAGTTGTGCAATTTTGAGTGAGTTTCTTAATCCCGAGTTCTAATTTGATTGCACTCTGGTCTGAGAGACAGTTTGTTGTGATTTCTGTTCTTTTACATTTGCTGAGGAGTGTTTTACCTCCAATTATGTGGTCAATTTTAGAATAAGTGCGATGTGGTGCCAAGAAGAATGTATATTCTGTTGATTTGGGGTGGAGAGTTCTGTGGATGTCTATTAGGTCTCCTTGTTCCAGAGATGAGTTCAAGTCCTTGATATCCTTGTTAATTTTCTCTCTCATTGATCAGTCTAATATTGACAGTGGGGTGTTAAAGTCTGCCATCATTATTGTGTGGGAGTCTAAGTCTCTTTGTAGGTCTCTAAGGACTTGCTTTATGAATCTGGGTGCTCCTGTATTGGGTGCATATATATTTAGGATAGTTACCTCATTTTGTTGAATTGATCCCTTTACCATTATTTAATGGCCTTCTTTGTCTCTTTTGATCTTTGTTGGTTTAAAGTCAGTTTTATCAGAGACCAGGATTGCAACCCCTGCTTTTTTTTGCTTTCTGTTTGCTTGGTAGATCTTCCTTTATCCCTTTATTTTGGGACTATGTGTGTCTTTGCATGTAAGATGGGTCTCCTGAATACAGCACACCAATGGGTCTTGACCCTTTATCCAATTTGCCAGTCTGTGTCTTTTAATTGGAGCACTTAGCCCATTTACATTTAAGGTTAATATTGTTATGTGTGAATTTGATCATGTCGTTACAATGCTAGCTGTTTATTTTGCCCGTTAATTGATACACTTTCTTCATAGTGTCAATGGTCTTTACAATTTGGCATGTTTTTGCAGTGGCTGGTACCAGTTGTTCCTTTCTATGTTTAGTGCTTCCTTCAGGAGCTCTTGTAAGGGAGGCCTGGTGGTGACAGAATCTCTCAGCATTTACTTGTCTGTAAGGGATTTCATTTCTCCTTACTTATGAAGCTTAGTTTGGCTGGATATGAAATTCTGGTTTGAAAATTCTTTTCTTTAAGAATGTTCAATATTGTCCCCCACTCTCTTCTGGCTTGTAGGGTTTCTGCCAAGAGATCCACTGTTAGTCTGATGGGTTTCCCTTTGTGGGTAACCCTACCTTTCTCTCTGGCTGCCCTTAACATTTTTTCCTTCATTTCAACTTTAGTGAATCTGACAATTATGTGTCTTGGAGTTGCTCTTCTTGAGGAGTATCTTTGTGGCGTTCTCTGTATTTCCTGAATTTGAATGTTGGACTGCCTTGCTAGGTTGGGGAAATTCTCCTGGATAATATCCTGCAGAGTGTTTTCCAACTTCGTTCCATTCTCCCGTCACTATCAGGTACACCAATCAGACGTAGATCTGGTCTTTTCACATAGTCCCATATTTCTTGTAGGCTTTGTTCGTTTCTTTTTACTCTTTTTTCTCTAATCTTGTCTTCTCCCTTTATTTCATTACTTTGACTTTCAATCACTGATATCCTTTCTTCCACTTGATCGAATCGGCTACTGAAGCTTTTTTATGCTTCACACAGTTCTTGTACTGTGGTTTTCAGCTACATCAGGTCATTTAAGGTCTTCTCTACACTGTTTATTCTAGTTAGCCGTTCGTCTAACCTTTTTTCAAGGTTTTTAGCTTCCTTGCGGTGGGTTAGAACGTGTTCCTTTAGCTTGGAGAAGTTTGTTATTACTGACCTTCTGAAGCCTACTTCTGTGAACTCATCAAACTCATTCTCCATCTGGTTTTGTCCCCTTGCTGGTGAGGAGTTGTGTTCCTTTGGAGAAGAGGCGTTCTGTTTTTTGGAATTTTTAGCCCTTCTGCTCTGGTTTCTCCCCATCTTTGTGGTTTTATCTAACTTTGGTCTTTGATGTTGGTGACCTACAAATGGGGTTTTGGTGTGGATGCCCTTTTTGTTGATGTTGATGCTATTCCTTTCATTTGTTAGTTTTCCTTCTAATAGGCCCCTCAGCTGCAGTTCTGTTGGAGTTTGCTGGAGGTCCACTCCAGACCCTGTTTGCCTGGGCATCACCAGTGGAGGCCACAGAACAGCAAATATTGCTGCCTGATCGTTCCTCTGGAAGCTTCGTTCCAGAGGGGCACCTGCCTGTTTGAGGTGTCTGTTGGCCCTACTGGCAGGAGGTGTCTCCCAGTCAGGTTACACAGGGGTCAGGGACCCACTTGAGGAGGCAGTCTGTCCATTATCGGAGCTCAATCGCCATGCTGGGAGAACCACTGCTCTCTTCAGAGCTGTCAGGCAGGGACATTTAAGTCTGCCAAAGCTGTCTGCTGCCTTTTATTCAGATATGCCCTGCCCCTAGAGGTGGAATCTAGAGAGGCAGTAGGCCTTGCTGAGTGTGGTGGGCTCTGCCCAGTTTGAGCTTCCCTGCCACTTTGTTTACACTGTGAGCATAGAACCACCTACTCAAGCCTCAGCAGTGGTGGATGTCCTTCTGCCTGCCAAGCTCTAGCATCCCAGGTTGATCTCAGACTGCTGTGCTAGCAGCGAGCAAGGCTCCATGGGCATGGGACCTGCCAAGCCAGGCATGGGAGGGAATCTCCTGGTCTGCTGGTTGCAAAGACCATGGGAAAAGCGCAGTATTTGGGCAGAAGTGTACCGTTCCTCCAGGTATAGTCACTCATGGCTTCCCTTTTCTAGGAAAGGTAAATCCCCCAAACCCTTGTGCTTTCTGGGTGAGGTGACGCCCTGCCCTGCTTTGGCTGGCCCTCCATGGGCTGCACCCACTGTCCAACCAGCCCCAATGAGATAAACCAGGTACCTCAGTTGGAAATGCAGCAATCACCTGTCATCTGCGTTGATCTTGCTTGGAGCTGTAGACTGGAGCTGTTCCGATTCAGCCATCTTGGAAGCGACTGCATTTGTATATTTTATAAGCATTATATATGGTCACACAGAACGTATTTGTTTAAACCCTAAAACATTAATTATATATTTATTATACTGCGTTAAACCTGCATATCATCTTATCAGGTTGTGATTTTAGTGGAACCTGCAGGCAGACTTTAAGTATCTTAACCCAGCCATTGAGACAGTGGGGCTTAGAAGGTATCAAGAAACCAAACAGCTGGATTATAAGTGAAGAGTCAATCAGTAATGGAGGGGTGTGTTAATCTCATGACATTAGAATGTAAACAATAATGTTAGGCCTGAAGGAAAGGGCTGACTAGGCAGACTCTAAGGACAATTCTGAGATTGGTGTGCAGGACCCTGAACTCAAAAAGGACAAACTGGAGAGGTGAATTCAGACTGTGCCAGTCAAGAGTGCTGTATCTGGACATCTAAACCCACGAGAAGACATAGGCAAGAGTGTGGTCAGAATAGAAACAGATTTTTCATTTTTGTTTCATTCCTTCATTCAATATGTATTTACGATTACCTATTTGTGTCAGGCACTGGTTTGGGCTCTTGACATATGCATGAAGAATTAAAGAGAAGTCCATAGTAATTGTAGGAGGAGAAGAATGAATCATGAATGACACCCAGGTTTCTAGCTTAGGTGATGAACGGATGGTGGTGACACAACAGGGATGCAGGAAGATGACCACTAAGGGATAGGATGATTGGGGAAGGCTTCACTCTGGGGATGAGACTTAGGTATGCTCTGAGCAAGAGTTACAAACTCAAATGCCTACTGAGACCAAGCAGGTAAAATAATTGGTGAATTGGTTGAATGTAAGACAAGGTTTGTTGGGTCCTGAGACAAACTAGAGATTAGGTGTACCTACCTGTAGGCATCCTTTATTTAAAAAGAAACCAACATCATCTCACAGAGCTTGTGATTTAGTGGGGGGGTGACAAAAAACAAACATACGCATAAAATACAATTTCATGAAGCTTTAAGTGTTATAAGCAAAAAGAAAAGCATTTAAAGGAGATAGATTTATGGAGCTGAGCCTATTTTAGACGGGATGACCCTGTAGCAAGAGGAAGAGTAGAGCTGAGACAGATGGAGGAGGAACAGCTTTGTTGGCAGAGGGCATGAAGGACTATGCAAGTGAATAGACTTAGAGGTTCATGACCAATTTTAGCCTACAGTTGAGTGGGCAGGTTTCAGCAGGGCAGACCATTCATGTGGAGCAATGGATTCCCAACCTGTTGACTTGAGAGTTATTGTAAGAGGTCTATATAGCCATAGTCGTGCTTAGCATTGTCTGTAAACAGAATCACTGTATTCCCACGTGTTTTGTGTTTGTTACAAAAATATGGGAAAACAATTAAAATAGTTAACTAAATTTATTTAGGCTTTAATGAGAAGAAATACTAGAAAGTATTTATTGTAGCTCAAAGGCTTGCAGGAAGGCTATTTGTTTTAAGGTAAAGAGATGAGGAATTCTGAATAGACAGCAGCTTAATCACACATCCCCGACTTTTCTCTTTTTCAATTTTTATTTTGGCAGATTATAGTAGCCTGAGCGGGCCAGTTGGTAAAGGCTGGAGGGGGTATCTTAGGCCAGAATATCTGAGAAAAAGGCTTTTTATGGAACCTCATTCACCTTGGAAACGAGAAGGAACTGAGACAAGAGGCAGAGAGGTCAGCTTGTTTGTTCTCGTTGCTTGGCTCAAAGACCAGCATTGTGTGGTTCCTCAAAGGCTTTCATTGACAGAATCCAGTGATTCCCTCAAAGAACGTCCATATCTGCCTGCCTGTTTTTATGTGGTTCTCATAGGACCTTTGCAGTTTGACCAGAGATCTGGAAGAATGCTGTGTAGGTGAGCTCATTTGAGCCATTGCTTTAGTTAGGATGTAAGCTTGCTTCTGTGGAGGTCTTGCAACAGAGAGGCTTCTACCCTCCACCTTAGCAAAGAAGCCATTATTTGCTTTCTGTTCATGGCCTGACCTCAAGAGCAGGAAATAATATTTGTTCCATTGCTCACTGACTTACCAGTGCTGGAGAGACTGCTATGACCTGGTCTGTGTAGATGCTGAGGGAACATAAGCCATTAGCAGGAAGAAAAAAGCAATTACTCGCTGAAGGAGACTCCATACTCCAAGGGAAGAAGAGCAAGCCAGACACCAAAATCATTGTGTTTTTACTCTCATCATGTTGGAAAAAGACTAGAGAAGACTTGGTTAAAAAAAAAAAGGCAGAGAGCACTTTTAAGGAGATACAATCATGTGATCTAAAAGAAAACAAACAAAAATAACCCTTCTGTAACTGAACAAATGAATTTGATTTTTTAATCAAAAATCAAATAGATGAAAATTATGGTTATGGTATTTCTTGAGTCAAATCTGAAAGCTCAAGAAATACCCCTTCCAACATAGTACAGAATTACCTAGAGGTGGTAAATGAATTCAAAAGGCAGATCCAGAAGTCATAACTTGAAAACAAAAGAAGTCTGGAGGTAGAAAAGAAAAGCAAATGCAGAAGGAATAGGCTTCCTGAGTCCCAGGCAGGATTAATATAAGAATACATATGGAAATACATGTGGGTGAAATCCCTGAAGTCAAAGGATAAGGACAAATCTTAAAGTTTTGTGACCCAAAGAACATTTATTTGCAATGGAAAGAGAATCAATTAGCTTCAGACTTTTTTTTTTTTTTAAATCAGTGATGCTAGAAGTTAAAACACTGGAGCAACATTTGTAGAATCCTGAGGGAAAAAGACCGAGGTCCAAAAATTAATATCCAGGAAAGATATCATTCGTCAGGGCAAAATAAACATTTTCAGAAGTGCGGGCATTTAAAAAGTATTCTGCCCATGTACTTATCTGAGGAAAACACTTGAGGAAATACTCTATCAAATGACAATTGATTCAGAACAGAAATCCCAAGACAGGGGAAGACGAAAAGGAGAGGAATAATGGGAGCAATGAATCTTGCAATATATGTATTATTAAAATTAATTAGATAATAATGATGTGACTAGGACTTTGTAATATAAATGCTAAGTAGGGATTCTTTAAAGAGAAGAGTCATTCTTGAAAGAAAAATTTATTAGTAACCTTGACCTAAAACTTCCATTGTGTTTGGCGTAAGGAGAGGTATGAGCAGGTAAAGATTTTTGGTGCATGGTTGTGCATTTTATATATGCATATATATATACACACACACACACACACACACACACATACGCACACACATACATATAAAATTATTTTTTGATAGAATATAAATATGTCTCTCTATATACATGTTTAAAGGTGACTCAGAGAAATATGTGACCATGAGCAGAACTTTACAGCATAGTAGGACTTTTTTTTTTTTTTTTTTTTGAGGCAGAGTCTCACTCTATCACCCAGGCTGGAGTGCAGTGGCTCAATCTCAGCTCACTGCAACCTCTGCCTCTCCAGTTCAAGTGATTCTCATGCCTCAGCCTCCTGAGTAGCTGGGATTACAGGCATGCACCACTACGCCCGCTTAGTTTTTGTATTTTTAGTAGAGACTGGGTTTCACCATGTGGTCCAGGCTGGTCTCGAACTTCAGACCTCAGGTCATTCACCCGCCACACCCTCCCAAACTGCTGGGATTACAGGCGTGAGCCACCACGCCCAGCTGCATAGTAGGACTTCTAAACTGACAGGGAGGAAAAAATGAACAGAGAGGAATAAGAGAGAGAAAACAGGAACAGGAAAAACTGACAGGCAGGGAGAAAAAATGGCTAATTTTCAGCAAAAGTAAGAAGGAAAAAGAGAAGATATAAGATGGAAGAAATATAATTAAGTATATTGATCACTTCACTGAATGTGAGGGAATTCAGAAGACAGAAATTACCAGATGGGCTAAAAAGTTAGGTTCAAATGTATACTATTTCAAGAAACAGTCCTAAAACACGATGACAAACAATGCTTGAAAAAATGAATGGGTAGACAGTGGTACTGGGAAAATGCAAACAAAGGAGGAGAGGCAATTTTCATATCAGAAAAAGCAGAGTTCAGGGCCCAAAATATTAATCAGAACAGAGAGTGTTTATGTAGTGTCCTTCAAATCTGTTCTGTCAGATCACCCTTCTCTGCTCCTGAATGGCATTTGGTCACTTTCTGGTCTTAGGACAGTGTCATTGTCAAGTATTAAAAATTGAGTCTGAATTAAAACAAAACTTGAATTTTTTGCAATAGCAAGGTAAAGGAGACAAATAAGATTATATGAAAAATGCCACAAAGGCATTTGATAACACTTAGTAACCTTTCCTAATAAAATTTCTAATAAATTAGGAAAGGAAAGAAGCTATTGAATAATGACAAAGACATTTACCAACATTTTACAGCAAATATCATACTGAATGGCAATTTTCTGGAGCCATTTCTTTAAAAATCAGCCACAGGAAATAGATGCTGACTCCTAACAGTGAGATTCAGTATTTTTAGAGGTTCTTTCTCATATTCTAGATAAGGATAGAAAATAATTTTATAATATTAGAAAAGTATAATTTATCTGTAATTGTACTGGTCTCAAAACCCCATGACGATCTGGTAAAAAAATTACTAGGATTACAAAGAGAATATGTAAAGTGATTCTATGTAATACACTTACAAAATGATAGGTTTTTAAAAATACTAGCAATAGTTAGAAATGGAGAGGGTAAGATATACCACTCATAATACACAATATTTAAAACTTAACAAAATGTTAAAGAATCTAAATAAAAGAACCATGGGATCTTACTGAGGGACACAAAATAAGATCTGAATATAGGACAGGTCACACCAAGTTCCTGAACAGGTAGACTTATTGTCACAGAAGTGCAGATCCTTCCTAAAATAATATTTAAATTTAATACAGTTCTAATTAGAATTCTAATTGGGTTTCTCTGAACCTGATTAATTTAAAAGTTCTCAATAGATATTAAAGTTTGCCATAAGGCCACTTTAATAAAAAAATGATGTCACAGAGTGATGGGCAAACAGTTCGGTGCAATAGAATAGAGAGTCCAGGAATGGCCCCTAAGTCTACAGAAGAAATTAATATATGACAAAGGTAGCAATTTGATTCATTGAGAAAATGATAGTGTGTTATAATAGTTTATTTAATGAAAGGTGCTGGTATAACTTGACTCTTCATCTGAAAGTAAACAAAGCCAGAACCTTGTCTCATGCCATAAACAAAATGAAGTCTAGGTGGATTTAAGGATATTTATATGGCCTTGGAGTCAGGGGACACTTTCTTTGATAAGCCACAAAATTCAAAAGATAAACAGGGAGTTATGGGGGGGTGGGGGCTCCCAAGATGGCTGAATAGGAACAGCTCCAGTCTACAGCTCCCAGTGTGAGCAATGCAGAAAATGGGTGATTTCTGCATTTCCAACTGAGGTACTGGGTTCATCTCACTGGGGCTTGTCGGACAGTGGGTGCAGCCCACTGAGCGTGAGCCGAAGCAGGGTGAGGCATTGCCTTACCCAGGAAGCACAAGGGGTCAGGGAATTCCGTTTCCTAGCCAAGGGAAGCTATGACAGACGGCACCTGGAAAATCGGGTCACTCCCACCCTAATACTGTGCTTTTCCAACAGTCTTAGCAAATGGCACACCAGGAGATTATATCCCGCGCATGGCTCAGAGGGTCCCACGGCCACAGAGCCTCACTCATTGCTAGCACAGCAGTCTGAGACCGAGCTGCAAGGTGGCAGCAAGGCTGGGGGAGGGGCACCTGCCATTGCTGAGGCTTGAGTAGGTAAACAAAGCAGCTGGGAAGTTCGAACTGGGTGGAGCCCACCGCAGCTCAAGGAGGCCTGCCTGCCTCTGTAGATTCCACCTGTGGGGGCAGGGCACAGTCGAACAAAAGGCAGCAGAAACCTCTGCAGACTTAAATTTCCCTGTCTGACAGCTTTGAAGAGAGTAGTGGTTCTCCCAGCATGGAGTTTGAGATCTGAGAAAGGACAGACTGCCTCCTCAAGTGGGTCCGTGACCCCTGAGTAGCCTAACTGGGAGGCACCCCCCAGTAGGGGCAGACTGACACCTCACATGGCTGGGTACCCCTCTGAGACGAAGCTTCCAGAGGAATGATCAGGCAGCAACATTCGCTGTTCAGCAATATTTGCTGTTCTGCAGCCTCCGCTGCTGATACCCAGGCAAACAGCGTCTGGAGTGGACCTCCAGCAAACTCCAACAGACCTGCAGCTGAGGGTCCTGACTGTTAGAAGAAAAACTAACAAACAGAAAGGACATCCACACCAAAACCCCATCTGTACGTCACCATCATCAAAGACCAAAGTTACATAAAACCACAAAGATGGGGAAAAAACATAGCAGAAAAGCTGAAAATTCTAAAAATCAGAGTGGCTCTCTCCCTCCAAAGGAATGCAGCTCCTCACCAGCAGTGGAACAAAGCTGGACGGAGAATGACTTTGACGAGTTGAGAGAAGAAGGCTTCAGATGATCAAACTTCTCCAAGCTAAGGGAGGAAGTTAAAACCCATCGCAAAGAAGCTAAAAACCTTGAAAAAAGATTAGACAAATGGCTAACTAGAATAACCAGTGTAGAGAAGTCCTTAAATGACCTGATGGAGCTGAAAACCATGACACGAGAACTACTGATGAATGCACAACCTTCAGTAGTCGATTTGATCAACTGGATTGAAGTTGATTCGATCAACAGTGATTGAAGATCAAATGAATGAAATGAAGTGAGAAGAGAAGTTTAGAGAAAAAAGAGTAAAAATAAATGAACAAAGCCTCCAAGAAATATGGGACTATGTGAAAAGACCAAATCTACATCTGATTGGTGTACCTGAAAGTGACGGGGAGAATGGAACCAGGTTGGAAAACACTCTGCAGGATATTATCCGGGAGAACTTCCCCAACCTAGCAAGGCAGGCCAGCATTCAAATTCAGGGTTACAGAGAACGCCACAAAGATACTCCTCAAGAAGAGCAACTCCAAGACACATAATGGTCAGATTCACCAAAGTTGAAATGAAGGAAAAAATGTTAAGCCAGAGAGAAAGGTAGGGTTACCCACAAAGGGAAGCCCATCAGACTAACAGTGGATCTCTCAGCAGAAACTCTACAAGCCAGAAGAGAGTGGGGGCCAATATTCAACATTCTTAAAGAAAAGAATTTTAAACCTAGAATTTCATATCCAGCCAAACTAAGCTTCATAAGTGAAGGAAAAATAAAATCCTTTACAGACAAGCAAATGCTGAGAGATTTTGTCACCACCAGGCCTGCCCTACAAGAGCTCCTGAAGGGAGCACTAAACATGGAAAGGAACAACCAGTACCAGCCACTGCAAAAACATGCCAAATTGTAAAGACCATCGATGCTAGGAAGAAACTGCATCAACTAATGAGCAAAATAACTAGCTATGATTATAATAACATGATCAAATTCACACATAGCAATATTAACCTTAAATGTAAATGGGCTAAATGCTCCAATTAAAAGACACAGACTGGCAAGTTGGATAAAGAGTCAAGACCCATTGGTGTGCTGTATTCAGGAGACCCATCTCACATGCGGAGACCACACATAGGCTCAAAATGAAGGGATGGAGGAAGATCTACTAAGCACATGGAAAACATAAAAAGGAAGGAGTTGCAATCCTAGTAAACCAACAGAGATCAAAAGAGACAAAGAAGACCATTACATAATGGTAAAGGGATCAATTAAACAAGAAGAGCTAACTATCCTAAATATATATGCACCCAATACAGAAGCACCCAGATTCGTAAAGCAAGTCCTTAGAGACCTACAAAGAGACTTAGACTCCCACATAATAATAATGGGAGACCTTAACACCACACTGTCAACTTTAGACAGATCAATGAGACAGAAAGTTAAAAAGGATATACAGGAACTGAACTCAGCTCTGCACCAGGCAGACCTAATAGACATCTACAGAACTCTCCACCCCAAATCAACAGAATATACATTATTCTCAGCAACACATTGCACTTATTCCAAAATTGACCACATAGTTGGAAGTAAAGCACTCCTTAGCAAATGTAAAAGAATAGAAATTATAACAGCTGTCTCTGAGACCACAGAGCAATCAAACAAGAACTCAAGATTAAAAACTCACTCAAAACTGCTTAACTACATGGAAACTGAACAACCTGCTCCTGAATGACTACTGGGTACATAATGAAATGAAGGGAGAAATAAAGATGTTCTTTGAAACCAATGAGAACATAGACACAACATACCAGAATCTCTGGGACACATTTAAGGCAGTGTGTAGAGGGAAATTTATAGCACTAAATGCGCACAAGAGAAAGCAGGAAAGATCTAAAATTGACACCCTAGCATCACAATTAAAAGAACTAGAGAAGCAAGAGCGAACACATTCAAAAGCTAGCAGAAGACAAGAAATAACTAAGATCAGAGTAGAACTGAAGGAGATAGAGACACAAAAAACCTTCAAAAAATCAATGAATCCAGGAGCTGGTTTTTTGAAAAGACCAACAAAATTGATAGACCACTACCAAGACTAATAAAGAAGAAAAGAGACAAGAAGCAAATAGACACAATAAAAAATGATAAAGGGGATATCACCACCAATCTCACAGAGATACAAACTATCAGCAGAGAATACTATAAACACCTATATGCAAATAAACTAGAAAATCTAGAAGAAATGGATAAATTCCTGGACACATAGACCCTCCCAAGACTAAACCAGGAAGAAGATGAATCCATGAATAGAACAGGCTCTGAAATTGAG
The DNA here is from genome assembly GCF_000001405.40 of Homo sapiens. Lineage (NCBI taxonomy): Eukaryota > Metazoa > Chordata > Mammalia > Primates > Hominidae > Homo > Homo sapiens. The sequence continues at coordinate 96,613,861 of NC_000012.12, forward strand.
GCAATAATTAATAGCCTAGCAACCAAAAAAAGTCCAGGACCAGATGGATTCACAGCCGAATTCTACCAGAGGTACAAGGAGGAGCGGGTACCATTCCTTCTGAAACTATTCCAATCAATAGAAAAAGAGGGAATCCTCCCTAACTCATTTTATGAGGCCAGTGTCATCCTGATACCAAAGCCGGGCAGAGACACAACAAAAAAAGAGAATTTTAGACCAATATCCCTGATGAACATCGATGTGAAAATCCTCAATAAAATGCTGGCAAACGGAATCCAGCAGCACATCAAAAAGCTTATCCACCATGATCAAGGGGGCTTCATCCCTGGGATGCAAGGCTGGTTCAACATATGCAAATCAATAAACATAATCCAGCATATAAATAGAACCAAAGACAAAAATCACATGATTATCTCAATAGATGCAGAAAAGGCCTTTGACAAAATTCAACAGCCCTTCATGCTAAGAACTCTCAATAAATTAGGTATTGATGGGACATATCTCAAAATAATAAGAGCTATTTATGACAAACCCACAGCCAGTATCATACTGAATGGGCAAAAACTGGAAGCATTCCCTTTGAAAACTGGCACAAGACAGGGATGCCCTCTCTCACCACACCTATTCAACATAGTGTTGGAAGTTTTGGCCAGGGCAATCAGGCAGGAGAAAGAAATAAAGGGTATTCAATTAGGAAAAGAGGAAGTCAAATTGTCCCTGTTTGCAGATGACATGATTGTATATGTAGAAAACCTCATCATCTCAGCCCAAAATCTCCTTAAGCTGATAAGCAACTTCAGCAAAGTCTCAGGATACAAAATCAATGTGCAAAAATCACAAGTATTCTTATACACCAATAACAGACAAACAGCCAAATCATGAGTGAACTCCCATTCACAATTGCTTCAAAGAGAATAAAATACCTAGAAATACAACTTACAAGGGATGTGAAGGACCTCTTCAAGGAGAACTACAAACCACTGCTCAATGAAATAAAAGAGGACACAAACAAATGGAAGAACATTCCATGCTCATGGATAGGAAGAATCAATATTGTGAAAATGGCCATACTGCCCAAGGTAATTTATAGATTCAATGCCATCCCCATCAAGCTACCAATGACTTTCTTCACAGAATTGGAAAAAAACTACTTTAAAGTTCATATGGAACCAAAAAAGAGCCTGCATTGCCAAGACAATCCTAAGCCAAAAGAACAAAGCTGGAGGCATCACTCTACCTGACTTCAAACTCTACTACAAGGCTACAGTAACCAAAACAGCATGGTAGTGGTACCAAAAGAGAGATATAGATCAATGGAACAGAACAGAGCCCTCAGAAATAATACCACACATCTACAACCATCTGATCTTTGACAAACCTGACAAAAACAAAAAGTGGGGAAAGGATTCCCTATTTAATAAATGGTGCTGGGAAAACTTGCTAGCCATATGTAGAAAGCTGAAACTGGATCCCTTCCTTATACCTTACACAAAAATTAATTCAAGATGGATTAAAGACTTAAATGTTAGACCTAAAACCATAAAAACCCTAGAAGAAAACCTAGGCAATACCATTCAGGACATAGGCATGGGCAAGGACTTCATGTCTAAAACACCAATAGCAATGGCAACAAAAGCCAAAATTGACAAATGGGATCTAATTAAACTAAAGAGCTTCTGCACAGCAAAAGAAACTACCATCAGAGTGAACAGGCAACCTACAGAATGGGAGAAAATTTTTGCAATCTATCCATCTGACAAAGGGCTAATATCCGGAATCTACAAAGAACTCAAACAAATTTACAAGAAAAAAATAAACAACCCCATCAACAAGTGGAGGAAGGACATGAACAGACACTTCTCAAAAGAAGACATCTATGCAGCCAAAAGACACATGAAAAAATGCTCATCATCACTGGCCATCAGAGAAATGCAAATCAAAACCACAATGAGATACCATCTCACACCAGTTAGAATGGTGATCATTAAAAAGTCAGGAAACAAGAGGTGCTGGAGAGGATGTGGAGAAATAGGAACACTTTTACACAGTTGGTGGGACTGTAAACTAGTTCAACCATTGTGGAAGACAGTGTGGCGATTCCTCAGGGATCTAGAACTAGAAATACCATTTGACCCAGCCATCCCATTACTGGGTATATACCCAAAGGATTATAAATCATGCTGCTATAAAGACACATGCACACATATGTTTATTGCGGCACTATTCACAATAGCAAAGACTTGGAACCAAGCCAAATGTCCAACAATGATAGATTGGATTAAGAAAATGTGGCACATATATACCATGGAATACTATGTAGCCATAAAAAGGATGAGTTCATGTCCTTTGTGGGGACATCGATGAAGCTGGAAACCATCATTCTCAGCAAACTATCCCAAAGACAAAAAACCAAACACCACATATTCTCACTCATAGGTGGGAATTGAACAATGAGAACACTTGGACACAGGAAAGGGAACATCACACACCGGGGCCTGTCGTGGGGTGGTGGGAGGGGGGAGGGATAGCATTAGGAGATATATCTAATGTAAATGACGAGTTAATGGGCGCAGCACACCAACATGGCACATGTAGACATACATAACAAAACTGCATGTTGTACACATGTACCCTAGAACTTAAAGTGTAAAAAGAAAAAGATAAACAGAAAAAGATAATTAGATTACATGATGATTAAAACATTTTTATGACAAGACACTGTAAGGAGAGCTCAAAGGCAAATATTAGGTTGGGAAAATATGTGAAGGCATAGGATTATTAACGTTAATCACTCCAGGGAGTAATCAGTTAGAAAATATGGAATAATTTTAGAGTTTGATAAAATAATCAAATTTATCTTTTATCATGGAGGATATAATGCAATATTTCAGTTGCCTTAAAAGGTTGAGCAATGGACAGGTACCAGGTGATAAATGGCCATCTTGTGGGGTCAAGGAGGTGCCATTGACGGGTTTCACACCCAGGAATGACATAAGGAGATTTGTATTTTAGAAAAAAGAAATTGTTCTTGTTGTACAACAGCTAATAATTAGAGGAGATAAGACCTGAGGCAGAGATGAGTTCAGAGAGAAGATAAACTAAACTGGTATGGAAAAAGTGGAGGTAGAGAGAATGGAAAGGATTCATGAGTTATTTATGAGATAGAATTGAGAATCTGAAACTCTAAATAGACAAGAATAAAGGAGGGAGAGGGAAGAGGCAGTGGTAATATTCAGCTACCTGGTCTGGGCAGTTGGGTGAATATAACACTACTCATTGAACCCTGCATGAGGAGTAACTTTGTGTAGTGAATGGGGAGAAGGTAATGAGTTTTAAACAGATTGAATTTTGGAGTCGATAGGATATCCAAAGAAGTGGCCTTTATATAACAGGACCTATCAGCCTGGAGCTCGGGAGATGTGAAATGTATGTAAAGACAAAGAAGTCATTAGTATCAGGACTGCAATTGAAGCAGTAGAAATAGATGCCACCACCAGGGGGATGGTGCATAGAGTGAGAAGGGGAGAGAATTATCTAACAATTTCAAGGGTGCACTTAGTCCAAGAGGTCAATCCTTCTTCCAAATACTAGACAAGAGGGATAACTGAAGAGTTTGATTAGTCTAAAGCTATTCTGTCATTCCTAATCCCTCCCAACCTCAAGAACATTCCTGCTGCTGTTAGTTCTGTCATTGTCACATGGTGACACCATTGAAAGCAGGGGTCCCATGCAATCCAAAGCACCCTTTTCTTTTTCCAGTGCTACGATCACACACACATTAATTCGTGTTGTGCTGGGCCCAAAGTCTATCTTCCAAGGTTACTTTTCTTTAGAATATATTTATCTGCGGGCGGGGCGTGGTGGCTCACGCCTGTAATCCCAGCACTTTGGAGGCCAAGCTGGGCTGATCACGAGGTCAGGAGATCAAGACCATCCTGGCTAACACGGTGAAACCCTGTCTTTACTAAAAATACAAAAAATTAGCCAGGCAAGGTGGCGGGCGCCTGTAGTCCCAGCTACTCGGGAGGCTGAGGCAGGAGAATGGCGTGAACCCGGGAGGCAGAGCTTGCAGTGAGCCGAGATTATGCCACTGTACTCCAGCCTGGGCAACAGAGCAAGACTTTGTCTCAAAAAAAAAAGGAATATATTTATCTGCTTGGCCTACTCCGACCCCCAAAAAGCTCTTCCATCAATGAGTATTTCCAGGGGAGGGGTGTCTTTTTCAAATAAGGGAAGGCCAGGTTACACTCTCTTTCCAGGGCACTGAACACAACTACTTACGTTTAAGTAACTAACAGGGGCTACTGCAATGTCTTCCAGAAGAAAGAAAGAAACTCTATTTCAAGGCAGCTTGTGGTTTGCATCTTGCCAATGGCAACTTCTGCTAAAACAATCCAAAAAAACCAATTCAGCTTATCGACATACTCCAAAACATTGAAATATTGATGAGGAGGGACCAGGAAAGGGAAAGGATGAAGACTTAAGAGAGGTGGTGTGAGGACTAGAGCAGGATCCCTGAAAGCATGAGGCAGTGAGATCCCAGCACATGTGGGAGGGGTTAGTCTGGACAGGAGATTCGCTTCTCGTCTCTCAAGGAGGGAAGGGTGGTTGTAGTTACAGACGTGTGATGATAGGTTTGTGGATGGGAGAGAAGCACTTCCCTTAACATTTCCTCTGTGGACAGGAAGCAAGGTCATTTGCTGACAGTTAGGAGGAGATGGGTAAGGGTGGGTTTCAAAGATTTGAGAATGGGTGGGTTTGGGCCGCCACTGAAGAAGATGGGAGAGAATGCTGACCTAGAATAAATTGGACTTCCAACCAGCATTTGGGACCCAGTGGAGGTTGACGTCCTTGAATTCACATGCTACCTTTCTCAGCTTTGGATGAATTTTCTCTCTTAGCACACACCAGCTTCTAGCTGACTCTGTGCATTTCCTGACTTGCTGGCCAGGACCCCCACCCCCTTCTTCTCCCATTTGGGGAATCATTGAAATCCAAGTGATGTTACTGTAGAAATGACCCTGAATGTGTGTTTGTTTGTTTGTTTCTGAGACAGAGATCAGGCATGATCTCAGCTCACTGCAATCTCCACCTCCCTAGCTCAAGCAATCCTCGCATATCAGCCTCTGAGTAGCTGGGACTACAGCCATGTGTCACCACACCTGGCTAATTTTTGTATTTTTTGTAGAGACAGGGTTTTGCCATGTTGCTCAGGCTGGTCTTGAACTCCTGAGCTCATGCAATCCACCTGCCTGCACTTCCCAAAATGCTGGGATTACAGGCATAAGCCACGGCAACCAGCCTGAATGTGTTCTGAAAACATTCAAAAACAAGTAATATATTAATGTCACGATTTTGATATTTGACTTGATTTTGTCCCTAATATGTTGAGAATTGCCATTCTAGAAGCTTCCTCCTGTCTAGCCTACAGTTCCAGGATCCTGGACTAACCCTGAATCCCAGATTTCAGGTGTTCATTTGATATAAACAATGTTGGATTTTCTCTTAGGACATGTAAAACCTGATTAGTCAAATGGCTCTGTTTCTTTTCTCTGTTCTGTTTTAAAAATTGGTAATCTTTTCAGATGGTTGAGTCTTTCTTCTTTAAGCATCAGTATTTTTTTTCTAACATGCCACTTGTGAGATTTGCCATCTTCAATGTGTCATTACTTTTGCATGATTTAAAAATTGTTATGCTAAACATCTGGCATACTCTGTTTCTGTTCATCATTTGGTATGTTAAATAGAATTGGTCCTCTGTTTTTCCTTTGGCTGGAAAAAATTCTTTATCATTTATTATTTTCTACTAGCATATTAAAAGAAGGGGAAAAGATTGCCCAGTTATCTGTAAGCTTAGGACCTAAATATGTCAGAAAGCAAAATTAAGTAGAGTGGAGAGCAGACTCGTTTCTGTTTTCTTATAGCAAAACTTAGCTCAATTCTATTTCCTTATAGGAAAACTTTCTTCTGCTCATATACATTTCATAATGAGATTTGACTGTTTTGCTGAACATTCAAGGTTTTGCATGACCTAACCCTACCTACCTATTCAAAATTTATTTTGGCCGGACATGGTGACTCATGCCTATAATCCCAGGCATGGGATTTTTAGAGACCCTGCCTCTACAAAATATAAAATAAGTAAACAAATAAAAATTTTTAAAAAAACTCACAAAATTTATTTGGCACTTTCTTTCCCACACTCTGTTCCACAGTCACTATTAGTTTAGTGCCTTTGCCCTGGTCCCAAAGATACGTGTTCCAGTTCTTAGCATTAGATAGGGCTTCTCAGGTCTAAGCAGCCACTCATTATTGTTCAGCCACTTTATATATCCCTTCCCTGCATGAGAAGTAACAGTTGTTATTTATTGATATGGTTTGACTGTCTCCCCACCCAAATCTCATCTTGAATTGTAGCTCCTATAATTCCCACATGTCGTAGGAGGGACCTGGTGTGAAGTAATTGAATCATGGGGGCGGGTCTTTCCTGTGCTGTTCTGGTGATAGTGAATAAGTCTCACGATATCCGACAGTTTTATAAAGGGGAGTTCCCCTATACAGGCCCTCTTGCTTGCCACCATGTAAGACATGACTTTGCCCCTCATTCACCTTCAGCCGTGATTGTGAGGCCTCCCCAGCCCTGTTAAATTGTGAGTCAATTAAACCTCTTTCCTTTATAAATTACCCCATCTTGGGTATGTCTTTATTATAAGTGTGAGAACAAACTAATACACTTGTCTTAAATACTAACATACTCAACAGAATATATCTACATATAACAAATTCACACAAACTTATTTATACTCCTAGTTGCCCTAAGGGGCCCACAATGAGTGTGTCCCCTTTTTTGACCCTTCTCTACAGCAGAATATATGCAAATCAGATTGCTGGCCAGGGCAGCTTTTCTGAAGTTGATGCTAGAGCCAAGGTTTTAATGGCAAGGTGAAGCTGTATAAACAAGGTGCAGACAGCTGTTCTGGGAAATGGCTCAGCTGTGGGAAGACATGAAGTCCTGTAACACAATGGTGACTGTCAGATTTTATAATTGGCTCAATATTTTGTAAGATTAAAGTACAAGGAGATGAGTGGTGGAAGATTACTTTAGAAAGGTAGGTAAGGGCCAGAATAGATAAGGCCAAAGAACTGGTATTAGGGGATGTGAGAGGCTAAATAGGCCTCTTCCCCTTACGACTACAGTGCACACTTCCCCTAGGGTTGATGGGGAATCTGCCAAAAACAGCTTCTATCTAGCCTAGTCCTCTAGCAGAATGTCTTGTAAATCACTTAGTGATATAAATGCTCCTTAAGACATCATGAGGTCGGTAGTTATGCCATTTCCTATAGAAAGCAACTCAAGATAAGAAGTGGTGGTGATGTGGCCTTTACAAATGACTTTTTAAATATGGATTTTTTGAAAGGAATTGTTTTCTTAATAGTTAACTCACTGTATCAGAAGGTATATGGCTGTGTGGCCCAGAGATATGGGAAGTTTGTTATTGATGAGATCCCGTTATTAGTCCTTTACTTAAAATAGTTGAATTATGCATCTTTAGTTGCACTCAATGTGTTAATACGATCTGGAGGTAAACTTACGGTTTTTTTTAAAATAAAAGGGGGATTCTTAGACTGAAAACTCTATGGGGCTTTTGAATTTATGGAAAATGATGCATTATACTTGAAAATAGACAAGAATGTCCAACAGAGATAATTAATAAATATTTTAAATTAGATTCTTCGTTCATGGAGGGAATATGACCTGGCAGTAATGATTATAAATTATGGGAAAAAAATGTTGGACATCACACCAGGATGCAAGTCTCTGTTTGATGGTAGTAATGAACAAGAAGAAATGCCAGAGGAGGTAATTGTTTTTGTTTCTCATTTTTAAACCTACGTTTAGTTTGCATCTTTTAGGGGTAATGTAGTATTATTAAACATATTAGAAAATTGGTAAGTTTTACATTTGTTATATTTACATATAAGTAAAGTATTATAGTAAAGAGCTTTTGGGTTTGTTTTTTTTTTTTTTTTTTTTTTTTTTTTTTTTAGTTATGGTCAAGAAAATGAAAAAGGAATCTCTGCTAGCATGCTGAATAGTCCCCATCACCAGTCCCGACCATCAGTTAATGATGATAGAGAGCTTCTTACACCCAGTTGGACACTGGACTTAAAAGCTCTCTAAAGTCTCTTCCAAATCTAAGATTTTATTGTTCTGGGTGGATCATTGAATGTGGCAAATACATGTCAGAGTTTTTTTACTTTGTGTTCAAAGTAGATTTCTGAAACTCTTTGTGACACCCGTGTTCTCTTCTTTATGAGACTGCTAATTTTTGAGATTAACTTTTAATATCTGCCTTCCAAGCATGAGTCTTACAAGAACTTATGCTTATTGCCTTTCCTTGAAACTATGTAGTTTTGTAGATCAAGTTTTGAAATGTTACTTAGTTCACTGGCCTGCCTGCCCGCCCGCCCTCCCTCCCTCTCTCTCTCTCTCTCTCTCTTTCTTTCTTGACACAGTCTCACTCTATAGTCTAAGCTGGAGTGCAGTGATGCAATCTTGCCTCACCGTAGCCTCCACCTCCTCAGTTCAAGTGATTCTTCTGCCTCAGCCTCTGAGTAGCTAGGATTATAGGTGTATGACACCACACCTGGCTAATTTTTGTATTTTTAGTAGAGATGGGGTTTCACCATGTTGGCCAGGCTGGTCCTGAACTCCTGACCTCAGGTGATCCTCCCACCTTGGCCTCCCAAAGTTCTGGGATTACAGGTGTGAGCCACAGTGCCTGGCCAGTTCATTGGGTTTCTGAGGGCACTAGAAATTACTTGAAGTCCCTTCCATGGCTTGGGTGGGAGTAGAGACTCTCATCCCTGACTCTGTCTAAGTTAGAGTAGCTCCATTTCTATCTCTGTGATATCTTGAATTTCCAAGTAAGCATTTGTTTGCCAAAAAAACTTTTAAAAATCACCACTGTTTTACTGGATGACTTTTTAAGCTATAATACTTTTTTTTTTCCTAGTTGGAAGGATGTTTTGTCTAGAGGGATTTTTGATTAAGCTGGAAGCAATATGAGGGTTTTGTTTGTTTGTTTGTTTGTTTTTGTGCCATGCAGTGTCTACTCTCAGAGTCTATCAGCCCCTTTATGTCACCCAGGCTTTGACTCAGGGCCTTCCACATCATGGTAGGACAGGCCTCATGCCTCTCTTCTTGAAGCTTTCAGTCCAGCAGAAGGTTGTGATTCTTCCATCCAAGATTGTAGAGATTGTTAATTTATAGGAGTCAGAAATTATTAGAGCTACTCAAGGTTCCTTTAAGCCTAAAGGGGCTTGGAAGTTTTTTTTTTTGAACAAGAGACATTAACAGGTCAGTTCTCAGGCTCAGACAGAGAAAACATGGTAGTGAGCCTGAGTGGGCAGACAGGCTGATTCTTAATCCACTAATTGCTGATCCCCTTAAGTTTCAATGAAAGGCAAAGTAACAAAGGCAATTAGCTTAGTTGTAAAGAAGCTCCTTCTGGGAAAAAGAAAGGGAAAAAAGAATAAAGGGATACATTTCTGAGGGCAGGCTGGGAATTGTCTTTTCAAGATTTTTAGAGACATAGCCTCAGCTGCTTTGAGAATGCAGGTTTTGGAGGGGGCTGGTTAGGTAGGTGGAAGTTACTGGGAGAAAGGGAGAGAGAAAAGAAGCAGCATTTTGGTCAATCTCCGTGAAACACAGCACTATGTCTACATTTAATTAGAGCACAATAACTGTTATTATTCATTGTTGTTAATTAATATTGTTATGTAGATCATAGTTTTATCTACCAAGTGTGAAAGTATGAAAACATAATTTAAAGAATGTTGTTTGAAAAGGACAGTTGTTGCAACACGTTAAAGTACATTTTGACGTTTAACCAATGTTTTTAGGATTCTTCTAAGAAGTCTTTAAAGACTAAGAAGCCACAGCAGATACTACTGCCTGAAAAGATAAATGAACAGCTGGCCTTGTTGGAGACACACCTACTCAAACTGACAAAGCAATGTAATCATTTGTTTTCTGTATACTTCCATTTAGCATTAAGTTTTTTAAAACGAGAAACTATTTTGTTCAAAGGATTAAGATGAGATTAGCATTTGGTAAACCCTTTAAGGTTTACACAGTGCTTTTATATCATTAATCCTAACAATACCCTGTTAATAAGGGATTGCTAACCACTTTTTACAGATGTGGCTCATAAAGATTAAGTGATTTACTTAGGATTACATAGCTGGCTTGGACTTGAGCCTGTGTCTTCTGACTCTAAAGCAAGTTTTCTCAACCTCGACACTATCAGCATTTTGGGCCAGGTAGTTCTTTGTTGTGGGGGACTGTCCTTGGCACTGTATGATATTGAGTAGCATCCCTGGCCTCTACTCACAGAAGCACAGCACACCACCCCCTAGTTGTGACAACCATCTGGGTATCCTTGGTGGGAGAGTGGGAGGGGGTTATGGGTGGCACAAAAATCACTGCTTTGAAGTCAGAAATGCAACTGAGAAATAAAGGAATAGTGTGAGTGTTGTTAATGTGTAAGTGGTTTGAACCAATGCCTTTCAGAGTAGAAAGCAGAGTGAAAGATTAGTTTAATTTTAGGTCGTTGTACTGTAGTAATTTCATAATAAACCAATGTGTTAATGCAATGATTGGTATTTTGGAGTTTGCAGCCTGGAAGGTTACTTGGGAAATTGAGTTAGTTTCTGGTGATGATTAGTATTGTCACATTTTTAAAAAGCAGGTACTTCAAATCTTCTAGAACAAGAGAGTATCCAAATTTGAGCCTTAAACCAAGTACGAGGCTCTACTTTTGCCCCATGGCCTTTGGGGATGAGGCTACACTTGTAGAATTCCATGTCCCTACCTCACCTTTCCTACTGTGTGCCTCTGTTCTATCTTGTGGGCTTCACTGACTTGGATCTCTCTCTTTTAATATGTTCCATGCCTGTTTCAAGCATGGATTTATGAATTGAACTAAGAATTTGATTATTCCCATAATTAGTTTACCTAGCTTTGGGAAAGCTGTAATCATCTTATTATATATATAAAGTATAATTCCTTAAAACATACAGTGTTCTAGAAATGTGAATTATTTATTTTCATAATATCAGTAAAAATATTTTACCAAGAAGCACAATGAGCTATAACTAGCTAAATAGTAAATTCTCCCTGGTGGTCTAATGGTTAGAAAAGGAATAGTAAATTCAAAAACAATAATAAAATGATAGTTTTGTACAGTGTTTTCTGTGTGCCAGTCACTATTTTACAAAATATACTATTTTTATAAAATATACACATTAAAACTCATGCAACCTGTATATAAGAGCCAGAAGAAGATACTATTATTATCTCCATTATAAAGATATGGAAACTGAGGCACAGAGAATCTAAATAACTTTCCAAGGTTTCATAACTAAAAAATGTCATAGTTAGAATTTGAACCCAGCCAGTCTGGCTCCAGCAGTGACTGTGTTATACTTTACTGCCTTTTAAAGATAATTTTGCTAAAATGGGGTAAATGTAATTGGTAGATTTCTGAGTCTTGGGTTTGCTGATATATGACAGCTGTTGAAAAAAAGAGAATCATGCCTTGGAAACTCTTTACCTATTTGGTGGTGGACCCCTTAGCTTTTAGGGGGAAAAGTGAAGCAAATAATTTCATCAGATTATTTTTATTTCCAAAATGTAATGCTATAATTGCTATTTTAAGGCACATAATTTAGAATAAATAGTATTTTCCTGTTTTGTCATCTCTTTTAAAGAATTGTTATTGTGAATTACTCAAAAAATTTGTATTTTGCGTTACTAAACAGAACATACAACTTTTGAATTTTTTAACCTTAGATGTTACATCTGAACTCTCAGGAGGAGAGGACCCTATATTTCTTTATCCTGTAGTTTTGAATTGGTCGGTCAAAGGTGCCGTGAAAGAAGGTAGGTGAACTGGATGTGTATATGCTGTTCACTCGATTTATCACTGAAGAGAATTAATTCTGTGGATTTTGTTTCTGTTGTCTGCTTGAAGATTTCACCTGTTTCAGGCAGAATATTTTGAATTCTTACCCACTCAGAATAATGCAGAATCCTGATTGCCAAGTAATGAAAGAGACCTAAAGAGGTACCTGATTTAAAGTCTGGAAAGACAGAATCTTGATGGTGGCTTATTTTGGTAGTGAATGGTGTTATTATGAAGCTTACAAAAACTAAGGCATTGAAAAACATATTAGTGGCTGGGCGCAGAAGCTCACGCCTGTAATCTCAGCACTTTGGGAGGCCAAGGCAGGCAGATCACCTGAGGTCAGGAGTTTGAGACCAGCCTGGGCAACATGGTGAAGCCCCGTCTCTACTAAAAATACAAAAATTATCCACGTGTTGGGTGGTGGGTGCCCGTAATCCCAGCTTCTCAGGAGGCTGAGGCAGGAGAATCACTTGAATCTGGGAGGCAGAGGTTGTAGTGAGCTGAGATCGTGCCACTACACTCCAGCCTGGGCGACAGAGTGAGACTCTGTCTCAAAAAACAAAAAAAAAAAAGAAAAAAGAAAAATGTATTAGTGAATTTCAAGTTTAGCTAATGAGAAATGGCAACATAATTGATTAATTCAGAGTGAAATATAATAAAAATTAGGATTACTAGTTATGATAATTATCAACAATTTTTCCCCCAGTTAGTCATACATTAGAAGTGACCTTAATGAAATCTTTCTCAATGCTGAGATATTTAGAAAATAAATTTAATATAGACTGTAAAGGATTCATTGATATTAGAAAAACAATAGTTCACACCACATTTATTCCTATATACTTTTTAAAATGGAGAAATCTAAAAAGCAGATTAATAAACTTGCCTGTTGGAACAAAATGACTGCTAGCACTGGCAACCCTTTGGTACTAATAATTGAGTATATTGTTAACTATATATGAACTTCCTTGTTATTACAGTTATGAAATTTAAGCAAAAACCAAGATTTCTGGAATTCTTTACACAAGTTATGCTAAAATGCATGAATGAGGAAAAATTTCATCTTATGGTAGAGGTAACAACTCCTGTCCATGACTTCTTGAAAAGGTACTTGCAATTATCAGTGTTATACATGTTAACAACTTTAAAAAATGAATATCATTGTCAGTTTTAAGAAATATAAGGTAGACGAAAAAGAGAGTGGAGTATATACAGTTAAAACCACTGCCTAAGAGATAGTGAAAATTCATGTCTGTGTAAATAAATAACTAAAAATAAAAATATATATACAATGTACTCACAAATGAGAATAGAGCATGTTCAGGTCTCTAGCTGGAAACAGATTAAGTCTTTTGCTATTGAGTCAGGATGGATAATAGTATCTCTAGGCCATCAGTTCTTTCTCACACAAGGTTTTGGCTCCAGTTTTGGTCATTTACCACGTGTTTGTAATTCTTCTATGGTAACAAATAGAGCCATTTCTTGAAGTTTCCATTTGTATATGTGAAGAGGGAGTTCCTCAAATAAAAGCAGTAAACCTTAAAGCTGCCCCTCTTATTCTCTAAGCCTGAATGATTCTCTTTGCTCCCAAATAAAATGATAGTGCTTCACACCAATTATGAGACATGCCAAATGAATCCAACTTTTCTTTTATCAACTGAGAGTGGGCTTTTCTTCACTGGGCATTGATCTGTCCATCCCATTTTAATAAAAGTAAACAGTAACATGAAACCTGTTTTTGAAATGGCAGCAAAAGAGAAGCATTCCCTTAAAAACATATAGAAAGATTTCTTCCTAAAATAGGTACTTCATTTATTAGAACAGAAGCTTAGAGTATATATATGCTTCATATTTTCAAAAGATAAAAGAAGAAATTGCTTATATTAAATGAAACAGGCCGTGATAATAACAGAATTGTTCAGAATTAGAGTTCTATTAAATTTTTTAAAAAATAGCTAAAATTAGATATTTAGGGGGGTTAAATAATGTTCTTGATTCCAAAGAAAAACAGAAGATACTTTCAGTGTACAGGCAAATGTGGAGGGCTGGCTGTGGAAGTCTAACTTAAGAATAAGAGATATTCTGGAAGAGGAGTATAAGATTATAATACTGTATTTATACTGTACTTTTTCCATGTTTGGATATGTTTAGATACATAAATACTGACTATTATGTTACAACATCGCCTACAGCGTTCAGTATAGTAACATGCTGTATGGGTTTGTAGTCTAGGAGCAATAGGCTGTACTATATCACGAAGATGTGTAGCAGGTGGTACCAGCTAGGTTTGCATAAGTACACTCTATGATGTTCACACAATGACAAAATTCCCTAACAAAGTATTTCTCAGAATGTATCCCTACCGCTAAGTGACACATGGCTGTATAAATAGTTAAAACAATGAACAACTCCTCAGTAACGCTGACTTGAATAAAAATTTTAAAATACTATTTATCAAAATGAAAAGCAGTCAGTCAGAGCTCCACAGAGCAGTGAACAGATCAAGGAGTGGAGGAGTTTAATTTATTCAATGGATGAAGGTTCTGCTGTGCGTGGAGGAGAATGCTGAGATGGTGGCAAAGACTGTAGTCTAAATGTGACCTCCTCTCCTTCCCATCTCTTTCTGGAAGAACATAACCACCAGGTCAAGCACCCTGGTAGTGAGGGAGAGAGAGAGGAGAGGCTGTAGAGAAGAGACGTAGCTGGTTGGAAATGGAAGGCAGTCTTAGGCTGCAAGTTGTGGAGGATGGCTCCCCAAGTCCCTTATGGTCATTGATCAAAGGCTTCTAATTTAGGCAGCAAAACATTTGCCCAAACGAATGTCAACTAACTGGGTGATTCTTAGGATTGTTACAGCTGAACCGGGGTTCCAGACAACCATGGGATTAGGATTATCTTCATCAAAACTGGAGCGAAGGGACCAAGATGGATTTGGGTCAAGTTCCAACCCCTGGAACTAGCTATCCAGGCTTACCCCGTCTTGTCATTAGCCTTGCATTAATAAGACCCTACATTTTATTCAAGTTTTGGGATCCCATTTATCATATTAAGCAGTTTTGCTGTACCTGGCTAGTACTTACGAAGAAATATAAATTCAAAAAAAAAAAATAGAAATTTCAGGAAAAATAGGCAAGTGTCAATAAAGGGACAGTGAGAGATGATAGTATTGGTAAAAGGTCCGCTCAGTTCCTGTTGGTATTCAGAGGGCAGCAGTGGCTGGGAGCTTGCAAAAGATGGAACCAAAGAGATTGAAATCTGTTGGAAGCAAGGAAGCTTGTCTAGGGTTACTTTTACAGTATTCTCTGAGTTATAAGGGAAGAAGTGTCCATCGTTACTTTATTTTCAATCCAGTTCTGTTCCATGTACATCATGCCTTCAACTCCTCTTTTTCCCTATAGAAAGCCCTATGGGAGCTTTTATTATACGATTATAATATACAACATATTCTCTATTATACACTGTATAATACATTTTATTATTATTTTTTTTGAGACAGAGTCTCGGTCTGTCGCCCAGGCTGGAGTGCAGTGGCGCGATCTTGGCTCACTGCAAGCTCCACCTCCCGAGTTCACACCATTTTCCTGCCTCAGCCTCCCAAGTAGCTGGACTACAGTAGGCGCCTGCCACCACGCCCAACTAATTTTTTTTTTTTTTGTATTTTTAGTAGAGACAGGGTTTCACCCTGTTAGCCAGGATGGTCTCTATCTCCTGACCTCGTGATCCACCCGCCTCAGCCTCCCAAAGTGCTGGGATTACAGACGTGAGCCACCACGCCTGGCCTATACATTGTATAATATATTTTAAAACTTATTTATTCAGTCTCCTGTAAATAGGCATTTAAATCTTCCTAATTTTTTATTATTATAAACAGTGCTGCAAAGAACATTCTTATACATGTGTCCTTATGCATGTGTGAGAGTTTCTGTAAATATACAGGGCTGTAGTTTCCAAGATATGAACATTTTAACATTAGTGGATATTGCTCAGTTGCTCTTAAACTTTTATCAATGTTGTGAAAAGTTTCTATTATTCAACATCTTCATTGATACTCACATTTTATGATATGATTTACACTTTGCTCTTTTGAGAGACCAGCTATTTCATGCTGAACAGAGATATCACAGTCAAATTGATGCATAGGACACAAGCAGTTTTAGATATTCTTGTATACTTTCAGTGAAAACTTTAAAGACATATTACTTTGGGGTAGTTCTGCAAATTTTTGCAGGTCTTTTTGACTGACTTTATCTTTTTTATTAGGAGAAATGAGTCTCTACTTGGACTAATAAAAGTGAAATATAAGGATAGTGCTTTGAATAAAAAAGCAAACAAATCTTTAAAGTTCAAAGCTGCAGTAATGGAAATTGGAAGAGTAAGTTTCCTATGAGTTTTGAATTTTAGGTAATGAAATTAAGAGATTCATGTATCTAGAGATGATTGGCTACATTTAAACTCATTATAATATGAAACAGAAGGATATACTAACAAGCATAATTTTATAATTACACAATACAACTTTTAGATTAACATGTAGATATTGTTATAATCAGATTTTTTTTGTCTACAGGGGTACTTCTGCTGCCTTTGATAGTAATTTTAATTGAGGATATAAACTACTGTATTTCAATGTCAAGAGATAAGCATTAGAGTATGAATAAATTATACTACTGTGTTCAAAGTTTAAATTTAACTTGTAACATTTTATCTCCTCTATTAAGAGTGCAGAAATGCAACAAAGAATAAGAAGTAAAAAAAAGGAAACTCTAAGAGATTTCATTTTTAAAAATCCGGCTATTTCTGAAATGGTGGCACATGAAAGGTATTCACTAATTAATTAATTCAATAAAAGTTTACTTGAGGGTAACTATGTGTTGGGCATTATTTTGGGTACTAGGGATACACTGGTGGACCAGACAGGTGAAATCACTGCCTTCAAGGAACTTACATACTAATGAAAAAAGCATAGTAAACAAGTAAACACCTAAATAAACAAGACAGTTAAAAATGGTGATAAATGTTATAAAGTAAATGAACTAATATAGAATATTTGGCTTGGCATGAAGGTGGTGGTGGCAATAGTTTAGATAGGGTGGTTAGGAGAACAAATTGGTAAATTATCAGTGAACCTAAAGTTCTTGATTATAAAATATATTATGGCAAAATGTTTAGTTTCTGTTTTTTTAAGTACACATTATAAGTACACATGTGTAAGAATTTTTTATTCTTATACATTCTTTATATATCTTACCTTCATTATCTAATGTTTTTCTATACCTGTTTAGTGATTTTGATTTTAATTTACACCGCATAGATATTAATAGAACCAATTCCACTTTGTTTTTATTTGCATTTGCCTACTATCTCTTTGATTATTCCTTCATTTTCTTTATTTAAATTATGACATATTTTTAGATAGGTATAAAAATAATATAACAACTATGCAACTTAACATGTAAAACCTTTCAAACACAGTTGAAATCCCTGTGTACCCGTGTTGGTATGCATTTCTGTTTTCCTCTATCCTGGAAATAATACTATGCCAAAATTTCGTGTTTATTATGCTGATGAGTGAATTCATATGTCAACCACATATGTATGTAGCCCCAAATAATGCATGCTGTAATTTTTTTCCAATTTGCTTTGGAAATTTGCCTTTTTTCTCTCAATATTATGTTTGTGATTTTTTGAAATGTCACTTATACGTAAGTCTACTTTATTAATTTCACTGCTGAATGGTATTTCATTATATACTAAATATCATATAATAAATTATATAATAGTGTAATGCGTTACATTATTGTATACATATTTCTGTGTGCATAATACTACACATAAATATAAATAACATAATTTAACATGCATAAACAATATATATTATGCATATATCATATAATATATATTATATATTGTATAATAAATTTTTTAAATGATTTATTCAGTCTCTCATAAATAAACATTTAAATTCTTTCTAACTTTTCACTGTTTTAAACAATGTTACAAAGGACATTCTTGTATATGTCTCCTTATGTATGTGTGAGAGTTTCTGTAGGGTAAATACACAGCGTTGCGGTTTTCAAGATACGAACATTTTAGCATTACTAGATATTGCTAAGTTGCTCTTAAATTTGTATCAATGTTGTGAAAAATTTCTGTTATTCAAGGTCTTCACCAACACTTGACATTATTATCACATTTTTGTGGAACTATGTGGTATGAAATTTTATCTCATTGTTTCAATTTTCATTTCTTTGATTCCTAAGGTTAGGCATCTTTTCATATTTTTATTTGGCCCAAGGGTTTTTCCAGTCTCAGGACTGCTTGTTTGTATCCGTTGCACATTTAAAAACTTTTGTTTTCTTATTTAATTTTATAAGTTTGGATGCTAATGCTTCTCCCAGTTTGTGGCTCATCAGTTCACATTTTAAAGTTTTTTAATAATTAATTCAAAAGTTTTAATTCTTAATGGAGTCAAATATATCAATGTTTCCCTTTATTGTTTTGGAAATTCCTAATCTGGGATAGTAAAGATATTCTCTTTGTAAATTTAAATTTTTGATTTTCACATTTAGGAATTTCATTAATTTGTTTTTGCGTATGGTGAGAAGATGAGTCCCTTTCACTCTTTTTTTAGTTTTGTTGCAGGTATTCAGTTGGCCGGCACAATTTATTGAGTAATCTATTCTATTGTCACTGTTAACTTTATCACTTAACAAGTTTTCATATATGTAGCTTTGGGATCTCTTCTCTGTTTGATTAGTCTATTAACTTATTCCTGAGTCAATATCAAACCATCATAATTACTCTAGTTTTAAATTGAGTTTTGCTGTCTGAAGAACAAGTTTCTCCAGAATATTCTTTTCCTTCGTGCAAGTCTTGGGAGTCTTGGGTATTCTTCCACAAAATGGAATGGTTTTTTGATTAATACAAAAAACTCTATTATGATTTTGATAAAGATAGAATTGAATGTATGTATTGGTATAGGAAGGTTTTTAAAAATTATTTATTTATTTATTTTTACACTGTTGTGTTTTTCTGTTAGTAGACAGATCACTTTCTTAGGTCTTTAATGCCTTTCAATAAATTTCTATGATTTTCTCCATAACCGCGTTATATATCTTTTGTTAGATACATCAAGGAACTGTTTTTTGATATTAGTGTAAATTATATTTTAAAATTACATTTTTGAATTTTTCTATTCTTTGTATAGGTGTATAGTTGATTTTTTTGCGTACTGATCTTCTAAACAACTTGATAATTTATTTGTAGATACAGTTTTTTTGTGTGTGTGTGGACAGTCATAATCTGAAGAGATAATGTTTTGCTTATTCCTTTCTAATGCTCCAGCCTCTTCTTTCCTTTTCGTGTTTAGCCTACAGGCTAGGACTTCGAGTTTAATCAGGAAAAGAGTTTGTGATTGTGGACATCCTTGTTGTAACATGCATATTTAAAACTTTCTTATTTCCAGATAATTATAGATGCATGTGCAGTTATAAGAAATAATACAGAGAGATCCCATATACCCTTCATCCAGTTTCTAATGATAGCTGTACAACTATAGTACAATATCACAACCAGGAAATTGACATTGATATAATCCACTGACCTTATTTGGATTACAGCAAGTTTGCATGCACATGTGTGTGTGTTTGTGTGTCTGTGTGTATATTCTATGCAATCTGTAGAATTTGTATGACCACCACAGTATGTAACCTTTTGAGGCTTTTTGTTTCACTTAGCATAATTCCCTTGAGAGTCACCCAAGTTGTGTGTATCCACGAGTTCACTTATTATTGCTTAGTAGTATTCCATGGCATAAATCTTCCATAGTTTATTACCATTTACCTATTGAAGAGCATTTAGATTGTTTCTAATCCAATAGCATTTGACTATTAGGAATAATGCTGTGATGAACATTCATGTGCAGTTTTTATATAAACATAAATCTTCATTTCTCTGTGATAAATACCCAAGAGTGCAATTGCTTGGTCGAATAGTAAGCATGTTTAATTTTGTAAGGCATCCTCCACTCTTTTGCAGACTGGCTGCACATTTTTACATTCCCATCAACAGTATATGAGTGATCTAGTTTCTACTCATGCTTTCCAGCATTGAGTATTATTACTGGTTTTTAAATTTTAGCTATTAAAATAGGTGTGTAGTGATATCTCATGGCCTTAATTTGCATTTCTCTAATGGCTAATGATAGCGAACATCTTTTTTTTTTTTTTTTTTTTTTTTTTTGAGATGGAGTCTCACTCTGTTGCCCAGGCTGGAGTGCAGTGGCGTGATCTTGGCTCACTGCAACCTCCGCCTCCCCGGTTCAAGTGATTCTCCTGTCTCAGCCTCCTGAGTAGATGGGATTACAGGCATGCACCACCACGCTTGACTAATTTTTGTATTTTTAGTAGAGACGGGGTTTCACTATGTTGGTCAGGCTGGTCTTGAACTCCTGACCTCACGATCTACTTGCTTCAGCCTCCCAAAGTGCTGGGATTACAAGCGTGAGCCACCGTGCCCGGCCAAACATCTTTTTATATGCTTACTTGCCATCTGTATATCCTCTTTAGTGAAATATCTGTTTATGTCTTTTGCTCATTTTCTCATTGGATTGTTTTTATTTTTCTGTTGAATTTTGAGAATTCTTTATATATTCTAGATACGAGGCCTTTGTTGCATATGTTATTGGCAAATACTTTTTCCCAGTATGTGGCTTGTCTTCTCATCCTCTTCACAGATTCTTTTGCAGAGCACAATTTTTAAATCTTGATGAGGTCCAGCTTATCAATTTTTCCTTTAATGGGTTGTGCTTTTGGTGGCAAATCTAAAAACTTTTTGCCTAATCGTAGGTCCTTTTTTTCCCCTGCTAAGTTTTATGGTTTCATGTTTTCCATTTAAGTTGTGATTCATTTTGAGTTAATTTTTTGCATAAGATGTGAGGTTTAGATTGAACTTCATGTTTTTACCTGCGGATATCTAATTGCTCCAATGTCATTTCTTGAAAAGACTATCCTTCTTCCATTGAATCACTTTTGTACCTTTGTAAAAAATCAGCTGGACATATTTGTGCAGATCTATTTCTGAGTTCTGTATTCTGTTCCATTGATCTATGTGCCTCCCTCTGCCAATACCACATTCCCTTTCTTGATTACTGTTGTTATAGAGTAAACCTTAAAATCAAGTAGAGTGATTCTTTCCACTTTATTTTTTTTACAAAGTTGTTTTAGCTACTCTAGGATCTGTACCATTTCATATACATTTTAGAATAAGCTTGTCTGTAACACGAATTTTAAAGATCTATTTCTTGTACCATTTCATATACATTTTAGAATAAACTTGTCTATAATATGAATTTTAAAAATATATTTATTGTTTCCCTTCTAAGTACCATATTTGCTTTGGGATTTGGGATGAAGCCCTTTATCACATTTAGGAAATTGTCTTCCATTTTTTATTTTCTAAGAGTTTTGTTATAAATTAAGTTTAATTTTGTTGAATATTTCTTTTTCATTGATTTTTTTCTTCTTTAATATGATCGTGCGATAAACTACATTATTACATAAATGTTAAATGATGTGTAGTATCTTTTTGCTCATACCACTCACTTCTGACACAAACCATGTGGTGTTTTCCAGCACCAACCAATTCTCCAGCACCAGCGGGGCAGCCCCATATGCACTTCATGGAATTTCTCCTTAGGATAACATCCTGTATAACTATAGTACAAAAAGACAATTAAATGCTGACACTGTCGACATACAGTTAGCAGCACATCCCACAAGTTAAAGGGCTTGGTTCCACAACACTGCCACCACTTCAGAGGCCACTCACAAATGTGATACCAGGATACCCACACTTCTGCCTAGCTGACTATAAATTCAGAGATTCCCTCCTCAGGTTCGAAAATTTGCTACAATAGCTCACAAAACTCAGAAAAACACTTTAAATGTTTACTAGCTTAATATAAAAGATACAAATGAATAGCCGCATCAGAAGGTACATACCAAGGGCAAAGTCCAGACGGCTTCTGAGCACAGGAGCTACTGTCCCTGTGGAGTTGGGAGCACCACCCTCCTAGCTTGTGGTTGTACCTACCTGGAAGCACCCTGAACCTCCGAGTTCAAGACTTTTCATAACCTGGCTTGCAGCCACCCTCCCCTCCAGGAGGTGGGAGGGGTGGGGCTGAAAGGTCTCACCCTCTAATCATGTGTTCAGTGATGATTAAGATAACCTATATCCTGAGGCTATCTAGAGGCTCTACCCTGAGTCGCCTCCTTAGCATAGACTTACATAGGTTCCACAGGGACTTTCTGTGAGTAACACATTTCTTTCACTCTGGAAATTCCAAGGGTTTGAAGACCTCTCTGTGCCAGAAACCAGGGGACAGGTACCAAATATGTATTTTTATTATACCACACCATCCCTGCACATTTTTACTAACAGATTCAATTTCTTTGAGATTACTATGTCTCTTTGAGTCTGTAATCTTTTTTGAGTTCCTTTTGATGAATTATATTTTTCTAAAAAATTGTCCATTTTATCTAAAAAATTATCCATTTTATCTAAGTTTTCATATTTATTCATAAAAAGTTATACTCTCACATTAACTTTTGACTCTCTGCTATATCTATAGTTACATCCTGTGTTTCATTCCTAAATTCATTAATCTTTGTCTTCTCTCGTATTTTTGTCATTTGTTTTGCCAGAGGTTTGTCTATTTTTTAGTCTTTGCAAAGAACCAAATTTTGTCTTTGTTGATCCTTTCTATTGTCTTGATTTTCTTTTTCATTACCTTTGCTTTTATGTTTATTACTTTCTATCTTCCTTTTAAAAAACAGCTTTATTGGCAGGCGTGGTGGCTCATGCTTGTAATCCCAGAACTTTGGGAAGGTGAGGTAGGCGGATAACAAGGTCAGGAGTTTGAGACCAGCCTGACCAACGTGGTGAAACCCCGTCTCTACTAAAAATACAAAAATTAGCTGGGTGTGGCGGCACACGCCTGTAATCCCAGCTACTCAGGAGTCCGAGGAAAAACAAACAAACAAACAAACAAAAAACAGCTTTATTGAGATAATAAGTCACATGCCAACAATTTACCCCAGTGACATACTTCAGTGGCTTTTGTTACAGTCACAGAGTTTAATCATCACCCCACTCAATTTTAGTACATTTTCATTTACCCAGAAAGAAACCCGGCACCCCTTAACTATCACTCCCTCACATCCAACTCCTTTCCCTCAGCTTGAGGCAACCATGAATCCACTTCCTGTTTCTACAGATTTGCCTATTCCGGCTGTTTCACGTATGTGTAATCATATAATATGTGGTCCTTTGCCACTGGCTTCTTTCACTTAGCATCGTGTTTTCCAGGATTATCCATGTGGCATGTCTCAGTATTACATTTCTTTATTGCTGCATAATATTTCATGGTATGGATACATCACATTTTGTCTATCCATTCATCGGTTGATAGACTTTTGGATCAGTTGATCCACTTTTTGGCTATTATAAATAATACTGCTGTGAACATTCATGTAAAGCTTTGGTTTAGACATATTTTCATTTCTCTTGGGTACCTACCTTCTTTCTTTTGGCGAATTTAGTTGTTCCTTTTCTAACTTTCAAAGTAGAATGCTTACCTCATATAATCTTGGGATTTTCTTTTGGTGGAAATTGACAAACTGATTATAAATTTTTGAGAAGTGCTACAGTTAGCTAACAACTGGAGAATGACTGTTGTTTTTAATCATGCATAGAGTATTTATACTATTGGCTCTAAAGCAAGTCTCAAGAAATTTCAAGTAATTGGAATCATATGAACCATATTTTATTACAATGCAATTAAGGTAGAAACCAATTTTTGAAAAGTTAACCAAAAAGATTCTATACATTTAAAAATCTGAAGGAGAAACTGAAAAATAATTAATGAGGAAAGATTGAAATTACATTCACGTGTTGCATAACATTTTGATCAATGATGGACTGCATGTACAACGGTGGTCCTATACAATTATAAAATCATATTATCACCATACCTTTTCCATGTTTAGATGTACAAATACCATCTTGTCATAATTGCCTACAGTATTTATTACCCTAATCTGCTGTAGAGGTTTGTAGCCTAGGTGTGTAGTAGGCTATACCATTTAGGTTTGTGTAAGAACACCCTATGATGTTCAAACAACAATAAAATAGCTTAACGAAACATTTCTCAGAATGTATCCCTGTCATGAAGTGACACACACTGTACAATGGTAATTTAAAAACAAAGAACTTGCTGGAAGTACAGTTGGGATTGCTTTGAATCCAGAAAACATAAACATTTAAGTTTTCTTCTAAATATTTTAGCTGCATCATATATATATATATATATGCATGTGTGTGTGTGTGTGTGTGTGTGTGTGTGTGTGTGTATATATATATATATTTATTTTTTTTTGGTTATCCAGGCTGGAGTGCAGTGGTACCATCATAGCTCACTGCAGCCTCAAAATCCTGGGCTTAAGCGCGATCCTCCTACTTCAGTCTCCTGAGTAGCTAGGACTGCAGGCATGTACCACCACACCTGGCTAATTTTTTTTTTTTTTAATTGTAGAGATGGCCTCGCTATGTTGCCCAGGCTGGTCTTGAACTCCTGGGCCCAAGTGATCCTCCTGCCTCAGCCTCTCAAAGTGCTGGGATTACAGGCATGAGCCACTGCACCTGGCCTGCATCCTACAATTTTTACTAAAATTGTTTTCATTCTCATTTAGTTCTATATGTTTTTAAATTATCTTTGTAATTTCTGCTTCTTGTGAATAGATCTTATATATCATTGCTTTGATTAATTTCTAGGTATGTTTTTGAAGCTACCGGAAATGATTCTTTTAGAACTCTTTGTTTATTGATGGTATGTAGAAATAGAGTTATTTTTGTATATTGACTTTCCAATCCTTTTCCCCTTTTCCTTTTTCTTCCTTATTGTTCTGGCTAGGCCCATCAATACAGTGCTAAAACAAAAATGATGTTAGTGGGCATATTTGTCTGATTCCCACTTCATAGGGAACGCTTTCACGTTTTCAACATTTTAGCATTAAGAATGGTATTTGTGTCTCTATTTCCTTCAGTTCTGCTGTGATCTTGGTTATTTCTTGCCGTCTGCTAGCTTTTGAATGTGTTTGCTCTTGCTTCTCTAGTTGTTTTAATTGTGATGTTAGGGTGTCAATTTTAGATCTTTGTTGCTTTCTCTTGTGGGCATTTAGTGCTATAAATTTCCCTCTACACACTGCTTTGAATGTGTCCCAGAGATTCTGGTATCAGTGAATCCAGGAGCTGGTTTTTTGAAAAGATCAACAAAACTGATAGACCGATAGCAAGACTAGTAAAGAAGAAAAGAGAGAAGAATCAAATGGACGCAATAAAAAATGATAAAGGGGATATCACCACCGATCCCACAGAAATACAAACTACCATCGGAGAATACTATAAACACCTCTATGCAAATGAACTAGAAAATCTAGAATAAATGGATAAATTCCTTGACACATACACTCTCCCAAGACTAAACCAGGAAGAAGTTGAATCTCTGAATAGACGAATAACAGGCTCTGAAATTGAGGCAATCATTAATAGCTTACCAACCAAAAAAAGTCCAGGACCAGATGGATTCACAGCCGAATTCTACCAGAGGTACAAGGAGGAGCTGGTACCATTCCTTCTGAAACTATTCCAATCAATAGAAAAAGAGGGAATCCTCCCTAACTCATTTTATGAGGCCAGCATCATCCTGATACCAAAGCTTAGCAGAGAGACAACAAAAAAGGAGAATTTTAGAGCAGTATCCCTGATGAACATCGATGCAAAAATCCTCAATAAAATACTGGCAAACGGAATCCAGCAGCACATCAAAAAGCTTATCCACCATGATCAAGTGGGCTTCATCCCTGGGATGCAAGGCTGGTTCAACATATGCAAATCAATAAATGTAATCCAGCATATAAACAGAACCAACGACAAAAACCACATGATTATCTCAATAGATGCAGAAAAGGCCTTTGACAAAATTGAACAACATTCTTGCTAAAAACTCTCAATAAATTAGGTATTGATGGGACGTATCTCAAAATAATAAGAGCTATCTATGACAAACCCACAGCCAATATCATACTGAATGGGCAAAAACTGGAAGCATTCCCTTTGAAAACTGGCACAAGACAAGGATGCCCTCTCTCACCACTCCTATTCAACATAGTGTTGGAAGTTCTGGCCAGGGCAATCAGGCAAGAGAAGGAAATAAAGGGTATTCAATTAGGAAAAGAGGAAGTCAAATTGTCCCTGTTTGCAGACGACATGATTATATATCTAGAAAACCCCATTGTCTCAGCCCAAAATCTCCTTAAGCTGATAGGCAACTTCAGCAAAGTCTCAGGATACGAAATCAATGTGCAAAAATCACAAGTATTTTTATACAACAATAACAGACAAACAGCCAAATCATGAGTGAACTCCCATTCACAATTGCTTCAAAGAGAATAAAATAACTAGGAATCCAACTTACAAGTGATGTGAAGGACCTCTTCAAGGAGAACTACAAACCACTGCTCAATGAAATAAAAGAGGATAAAAACCAGTGGGAGAACATTCCATGCTTATGGGTACAAAGAATCAGTATTGTGAAAATGGCCATACTGCCCAAGGTAATTTATAGATTCAATGCCATCCCCATCAACCTACCAATGACTTTCTTCACAGAATTGGAAAAACCTACTTTAAAGTTCATATAGAACCAAAAAAGAGCCTGCATTGCCAAGTCAATCCTAAGCCAAAAGAACAAAGCTGGAGGCATCACTCTACCTGACTTCAAACTATACTACAAGGCTACAGTAACCAAAACAGCATGGTACTGGTACCAAAACAGAGATATAGACTAATGGAACAGAACAGATCCCCCAGAAATAATGCCACATATCTACAGCTATCTGATCTTTGACAAACCTGAGAAAAACAAGCAATGGGGAAAGGATTCCCTATTTAATAAATGGTGCTGGGAAAACTGGCTAGCCATATGTAGAAAGCTGAAACTGGATCCCTTCCTTACACCTTATACAAAAATTAATTCAAGATGGATTAAAGACTTAAATGTTAGACCTAAAACCATAAAAACCCTAGAAGAAAACCTAGGCAATACCATTCAGGACATAGGCATGGGCAAGGACTTCATGTCTAAAACACCAAAAGCAATGGCAAGAAAAGCCAAAATTGACAAATGGGATCTAATTAAACTAAAGAGCTTCTGCACAGCAAAAAGAAACTACCATCAGAGTGAACAGGCAACCTACAGAATGGGAGAAAATTTTTGCAATCTATCCATCTGACAAAGGGCTAATATCCAGAATCTACAATGAACTCAAACAAATTTACAAGAAAAAAACAAACAACACCATCAACAAGTGGGCAAAGGATATGAACAGACACTTCTCAAAAGAAGACATCTATGCAGCCAAAAGACACATGAAAAAATGCTCATCATCACTAGCCATCAGAGAAATGCAAATCAAAACCACAATGAGATACCATCTCACACCAGTTAGAATGGCGATCATTAAAAAGTCAGGAAACAAGAGGTGCTGGAGAGGATGTGGAGAAATAGGAACACTTTTATGCTGTTGGTGGGACTGTAAACTAGTTCAACCTTTGTGGAAGTCAGTGTGGCGATTCCTCAGGGATCTAGAACTAGAAATACCATTTGACCCAGCCATCCCATTACTGGGTATATACCCAAAGGATTATAAATCATGCTGCTGTAAAGACACATGCACACGTATGTTTATTGCGGCACTATTCACAATAGCAAAGACTTGGAACCAAGCCAAATGTCCAACAATGATAGACTGGATTAAGAAAATGTGGCACATATACACCATGGAATACTATGCAGCTATAAAAAATGATGAGTTCATGTCCTTCGTAGGGACATGGATGAAGCTGGAAACTATCATTCTCAGCAAATTGTCACAAGGACAAAAAACCAAACATCGCATGTTCTCACGCATAGGTGGGAATTGAACAATGAGAACACATGGACACAGGAAGGGGAACATCACACACCGGGGCCTGTTGTGGGGTGGTGCGGGGGGGGAGGGATAGCATTAGGAGATATACCTGATGTTAAATGACGAGTTAATGGGTGCAGCCCACCAACATGGCACATGTATACATATGTAACAAACTTGCACGTTGTGCACATTTACCCTAAAACTTAAAGTATAAAAAAAAGAAAAGAATGGTATTTGTGGTAGGTTTTGTTCTGTGGATATTCTTTATCAAATTAACATTATTGTTTATTTTAATTCTCAAATTGCTCTAGATTTGGCTAGCAGGAGCTCTTCCAGGCTAGCTCTTCAGTTTTTGACATGCTTCCATCATTTTTTTGAGCTACTTCTTACCACAAGATGTTCATCTTGTACACACCTTGTACAGCCCTCGAGTCAATTGATTTCTTTTAGTGAGAAGTGGTATTTATTTAGAATCTAAGTTGTGAGGGCTACTGATGTGGCTTTGCTTCCAGGTCCTCTCAAAAGGCTGAGCTGGGAAATGTATTTGTTCAGATAAATTTATCTATCTAAATCTATCTTATTGTCTATCTAAACATATCTATCTAAATATAGCTATATAAATCTCTGTATCTCTCTATCTCTCTGTATCTAAAACCATAAATTCATTCTAATAACTGGAATTCCAGTTCAAAACCACAGGATACTTTCCGGAGTTTTCTCTTTTTCTAATTGTAACTCTTTTCCCTAATGGTGAGAATCCTGGTTCTGCTAATGTCAATACGCTAGCTTATTTCCTTAAGCCAGAATATATAGAAGGTAGTTTCAGGATTTCTAAATATTTTTTAATTCGGGTGTTTATCTGCTTCCTCTTATGGCTTCACATCACTGAGGATTTCTGCTGATTGTCCTTGTGGAGCTCTGTCTCTGTCTCTTGGGTGTCCTGAGACTTGTTGCTCATGAAGACACAAATCAGGTTATTGGAGCACCCTGAATGTTAAGAACTGTTCAGATGATAGGAGGAAAAGCATTCTGTACCCTCTGTGGGCTGGATGTGAATTCCCTTCTGAGCCACCTGGAGTCTGTCATTACCTTGCCAAGATACCTGGAGGAAGCCTGTCCTGTCGCTGATCTCCCTGAACTATCGCACTCTCCATGGCAAGGAAGATGCAACCGATTGTTGACTCATCTTGGCCTTTTGAGGAGAATTGATCTACTCACATGGGGACAAGATTGATTTTCATTTTGGAAATTATATTTTTAACTTTCAGGATACAGCTATTAAAAAGATTCACATTTATTGGGAAACCAAATAACATCACTAAAACCAACTAAACAATGACAAAAAAACCCTAAAACTCTTGGATTAAAAGCAAATCATCAATAAACTAAAACATATTTAGAACTGAGTGATAATGTAAACACTACACATCAAAAGGAAGCTGCCCTCCTTCCTTTCTTCAAATGTTTCCTCCTCTGTTTCAACATCTGCCTGCCTTCTTCCTATCCATCATTCTTTTTTTATTGTATGTGTGTATGTGTGTGTGTGTGTGTGTGTTGGTTTAGATTCTGAACAATATATAAGTGACCAACATAAATCAGGTAGATTGGTGCTGACCAATAGGGTAGCAACACTGCTAACAGAACAAAAAAAACTGAAAATATGCTTGGAACAATATGCTCTATAAACAACTATATAACTGTGCAAGTAATTGGACTACTTTAAGTTTTGATAGGGATGATTTTAAAAAATTGAATATATATAATACTTGAAATCTAAACTATTAGCTAAAATTTGAGTATATTTTTTTCTGGAGCATATTGAATATGCAGTTATGAAGTAATCTCAGCTATATTCAACTGATGTTTTATTTCCTCTAGAGTCTAACTAATGTTAGACAAAATTTTGCTGCGTTGTTTTTTCCTTAAGGACCAATATAGAGAAATGATTTTCTTGTTTAATATTGAATTTAGTTGATGAATGTGGACATCATATCCTAATTTTGTTGTCTAATCTCAGTAGCCTTTTGGTTATGAAAAATAAAAGCTCTGGTTGGTTTTAGCTAAGGACACAGACTTCAGAGAGAGTTGAAGACAATACATGGTGTCTTTGTCCCTGGTGCTTATCCCTGTGCCTTTTTTTAAACCACCCTGGTTCATATTTCTAGCACTGCAGAAATGATAAATAAGCCAGAAACATTAGCATAAGGGCAGTCAAGTGACTTATTGATGTATTATTTCCAAATTGGAATGATTCTTCTTTATTAAATATCTGAAAGTTCTTGTGTAATTTCAAAACTTCTTTCTCCCTTGGCAGAAATAGGAGAACCAGTGTTAGGAAAGCAGCACAACGATACCTGATGGATTACTTGAATCCTCTAATATTAAGTTATGTTAAAAGAAAGAGGTTCCATCGTCTATCACTTGAAGAGATGCCCTGGAGAGCTCAGATGAACCTGTATCTAGCAGGTGCACACTTTAACCTGGTTTTACAAAAGCTATGGGAGTGTACGAAGATGAAATTTGGCACATCACATATGATGGTCAGGTATAGTATATTACTGATGAAAAATACTTTTTTAGTTTCATGAACATGGATTGTATTTGTATGTTCAGAGCTCCAATGGTGCTAACAACTTAAGGAGGTTTACAGAGTGCTTCTATCTTTATACTGGCTCTATTAGTCTGTTCTCACACTGCTATAAAGAACTTCCCGAGACTGGTAATTTATAAAGGAAGAAGGTTTAATTTAACTCACAGTTCCATTGGGGAGGGCTCAAGAAACGTAATCATGGTAGAAGGGGAAGCAAACATGTCCTTCTACACATGGTGGCAGGAGAGAGAAGTGCAAGGGAAATACCATATGCTCATAAAACGATCAGATCTTGTGAGACTCATTATCATGAGAACAGCATGGGGAAAACTGCCCCCATGATTCAGTTACCTCCACCTGGTCCTGCCCTTGACACGTGGGGATTATTACAATTCAAAGTGAGCTTTGGGTGGGGACAGAGAGCCAAACCATATCACTAACCATTGGTTTATTTCTTAAGTTTTAATCTCAGAATCTTTCACAATTATGTGCTGGATATAAGTGATAATTTGATTGTAGCTTGAATATGTTTGTTGATCTAGCTTTCAGTGCAAGGGTAAAATGTAATTCCAAGAGAAGTTTAATATGAATTATAGAATAAATGTAGATATTAGTAGGCATTAGGCAAATGTCTATTTCATAGAGGCGTACTTTAAGATCATATTTACTCACCCAATGTCAATTTTCTATCATTAACTCAACAGACATTTTTAAGCACTTACTGAGTGTCTTTGGCTAAGTGCTGTGAGAGATAAAAATAGAAGATACATACATAATATGGAATACTGTGTAGCTATTAAAAAGATACAAAATCAATGAGCAAAAAGCACAAGCATTCTTATACACCAATAACAGACAAACAAAGAGCCAAATCATGAGTGAACTCCCATTCACAATTGCTTCAAAGAGAATAAAATACCCAGGAATCCAACTTACAAGGGATGTGAAGGACCTCTTCAAGGAGAACTACAAACCACTGCTCAATGAAATAAAAGAGGATACAAACCAGTGGAAGAACATTCCATGCTTAGGGATAGGAAGAATCAATATCGTGAAAATGGCCATACTGCCTAGGTAATTTATAGATTCAATGCCATCCCCATCAAGCTACCAATGACTTTCTTCACAGAATTGGAAAAAAACTACTTTAAAGTTCATATGGAACCAAAAAAGAGCCTGCATCGCCAAGTCAATCCTAAGCCAAAAGAACAAAGCTGGAGGCATCACGCTACCTGACTTCAAACTATACTACAAGGCTACAGTAACCGAAACAGCATGGTACTGGTACCAAAACAGAGATATAGACAAATGGAACAGAACAGAGCCCTCAGAAATAATGTCACATATCTACAACTATCTGATCTTTGACAAACCTGACAAAAACAAAAAATGGGGAAAGGATTCCCTATTTAATAAATGGTGCTGGGAAAACTTGCTAGCCATATTTAGAAAGTTGAAACTGGATCCCTTCCTTACACCTTATACAAAAATTAATTCAAGATGGATTAAAGACTTAAATTTTAGACCTAAAACCATAAAAACCCTAGAAGAAAACCTAGGCAATACCATTCAGGACATAGGCATGGGCAAGGACTTCATGTCTAAAACACCAAAAGCAATGGCAAGAAAAGCCAAAATTGACAAATGGGATCTAATTAAACTAAAGAGCTTCTGCACAGCAAAAAGAAACTACCATCAGAGTGAACAGGCAACCTACAGAATGGGAGAAAATTTTTGCAATCTACTCATCTGACAAAGGGCTAATATCCAGAATCTACAATGAACTCAAACAAATTTACAAGAAAAAAACAACCCCATCAACAAGTGGGTGAAGGATATGAACAGACATTTCACAAAAGAATACATTTATGCAGCCAAAAGACACATGAAAAAATGCTCATCATCACTGGCCATCAGAAAAATGCAAATCAAAACCACAATGAGATACCATCTCACACCAGTTAGAATGGCGATCATTAAAAAGTCAGGAAACAAGAGGTGCTGGAGAGGATGTGGAGAAATAGGAACACTTTTACACGGTTGGTGGGACTGTATGTAAACTAGTTCAACCTTTGTGGAAGTCAGTGTGGCGATTCCTCAGGGATCTAGAACTAGAAATACCATTTGACCCAGCCATCCCATTACTGGGTATATACCCAAAGGATTATAAATCATGCTGCTATAAAGACACATGCACAAATATGTTTATCACAGCACTATTCACAATAGCAAAGACTTGGAACCAAGCCAAGTGTCCAACAATGATAGACTGGATTAAGAAAATGTGGCACGTATACACCATGGAATACTATGCAGCCATAAAAAATGATGAGTTCATGTCCTTTGTAGGGACATGGATGAAGCTGGAAACTATCATTCTCAGCAAACTATCGCAAGGACGAAAAATCAAACACCGCATGTTCTCACTCATAGGTGGGAATTGAACAATGAGAACACATGGACACAGGAAGGGGAACATCACACACCGGGGCCTGTTATGGGGTGGTGGGAGTGGGGAGGTATAGCATTAGGAGATATACCTAATGTTAAATGACGAGTTAATGGGTGCAGCACACCAACATGGCACATGTATACGTATGTAACAAACCTGCACATTGTGCACATGTACCCTAAAACTTAAAGTATAATAATAAAAAAAGAATAATGAATATAAACTATTTATTTTTTTTGATGCAAGACTGTTCAATGCCTAGACCTTATTTTAAAAAAGAAATGAGGGCTGCGTGCAGTGGCTCACACCTGTAATCCCAGTACTTTGGGAGGCCGAGGTGGGCGGATCATGAGGTCAGGAGATCGAGACCATCCTGGCTAACACGCTGAAACACTGCCTCTACTAAAAATACAAAAACTTAGCCAGGCGTGGTGGTGGGCGCCTGTAGTCCCAGCTACTCTGGAGTCTGAGGCAGGAGAATGGCGTGAACCCAGGAGGCAGAGCTTGCAGTGAGCCGATATCGCGCCACTGCACTCCAGTCTGGGCGACAGAGCGAGACTCTGTCCCAAAAAAAAAAAAAAAAAAAAAAAAGAAATGCCATTGATTATGGACACATTACTATATATAGTAAGCATTGTCATTGAGTTCTGTTCAAATCAGGTGGTTTTAAGTTGAAATAAATTATCGTTTCAGAGCTCACAGAGCCGGCACAGATATTTTTATTCCCATTTTCAAGAGCCCTTTCAGAGAAATATATATTGATGTTAAAATTCCTAAGAGCAAAATTACATTGCATAATTTTAAAAGTTAGTGAAAAAATGTTGGGCTTTGATTAAGTGACAAAACCCTTCATGATTTAAAATTTGGGAGTACTCACAAATGTTTTAAAAATAAAAATAGATTGCATTTGACAGATTTAATTCAATTTTGCTTATATTGTTTTTTAATATGATTTTTCCCCCCTTGCAGTTTCCGATCATGTGATCCTAACATGTTTTCACTGTATAATTCAGGAACAGTATTACCAACAAGAAAATTGACTGTAGAAAATTATAAAGCAATGCTTGATTTCCTTCTTACAGCCAAAAAAAGAAAGGCCAACTTACCATCAGGTAAAATAAACATGTTAGTTTATTATTAAATTACCTCTAGATTTTTATTCACTAAACAACACAGCACACATACACATTGTGGACACACAAATGTATACACCCAGTTTTCCAAAGGACCAGCAATTTAGTTGAGTTTTGATATTTTGTAGGAGATTCTTGTTTGCTCTATTTTAAAAAATTTCTATATTCTTATGATATTATTGCATATATTTGGAAATATCTATTTTGTATTTTAACCTTAGCCAATTAGATTGTTCAGCAAATATAATGTTTTAAATTTAATATTCATAGCCTTTGGTGGTTCAAGATAGGTGAAGACTTGCTATTGGGTATTATGTTTTAGTGCAAATAAGTTCCCAAGCAAAATCCATCAAACATACTAATACAAGCAGTCACCCAAACTATCATGATAGCTGATTTTGTATTCAGGGGAATCCACCATTGCCCTAGGATTTCCAACCAGCATCTTCCAAGAAAGCTCACTCTAAGATGAATGAAGCCTTGTTATCTAGTCAGGTGACAGGGGGCTCCAAAAGGTAGAGACATGCAGGTAAACAGGGTTCTTTTTTTTTTTTTTTTTTTTTTTTTTTGGAGACGGAGTCTCACCCTATCACCTGGGCTGGAGTGCAGTGGCGATCTCGGCTGGCTGCAACCTCCGCCTCCTGAATTCAAGCGATTCTCCTGCCTCAGCCTCCCCAGTAGCTGGGATTACAGGCACGTGCCACCGCGCCTGGCTAATTTTTTGTATTTTTAGTAAAGACGGGGTTTCACTATGTTGGCCAGGCTGGTCTCCAACTCCTGACCTTGTGATCCACCTGCCTCTGCCTCCCAAAGTGTTGGAATTACAGGCGTGAGCCACTGCGCCCGGCCGAAAACAGGGTTCTTGATCAGGGTGTGCTCTGGAAACTGTAGTCTGACGAACCTGACTAATTTCCACACCCCTTTCCTGCAAAGATGATGGAACCTGGACACTTTCTAACCAATGATATGGTTCATTTCACAAATAAAAATTTATTTCTAATGCCTTTAGGCTCTTACATACTCATATAGACTTTTAGTAATGACATTTTAAGTGCTATGGGATTTATTGCCAACCAGAGTTCTTGGTATGCCAGTTAATGCCCCAGGAGTGTTGATTTATGTTTGAGGGACTTGGCATGCTTTCTGACTTCTTCTAGGATATAGATTAGATTTCACAGGTATGTGCATATCATACTGTGTATAGTGAAGTATTTGAAAGTGAATTCCATAGCCATAGAGTCTGGTTTTTGAATATAGATTTTAGTATACAGCTTCCTGAGTTTTTCTTTTTTTAAAACTGGCTCTCTACCTAAGACCTACCATGAAATTGGCAATAGAATATTTTGCTACCGAGACTTACTATCTAATGCAGGGTTCTAAGAGAAAGTTGGTGGCAGGAGAAAGCCTTCTTTTTTATGCCACACCAGGAGGGGAATGCGTGGCCGAGGTTGCTGCATTGCCTAACTCCAGAGGTGCAGCTCACTTTCTGATATATTGTCTTAGGAATGGCCTGTTTGGGAGGAAATGAAAGGACAGTAGTATTTTCTATTTTTCCTTTCAAAAAACATGTACATTCCTACTTCTGCATTGTTCCTTTTGCCATCGACTTTGTCTGAAATGACGTTCTCTGTATTTCCCCATATAGCTAAATGATGCCCATTCTTTAAGACCCAAATACCTCCTTCTCTAGAAACTTTCCCTGGTTCATTGTATCTCTGATAGTCTTGTCCTTTCTCCAAGTTTATGTAGCATTTGTTATCTGAATTACTCACTTGATCCTTATCACCTACTGTGTTTTCTGGAACTTAATTCTATGTTTTTAATCATGTCATATCTTATTTTTGTACTGTAGATGCTGAAGAATTTTCTACATTTATTAATTCCATAATGAGTGATGAAAATATGTCCAAGACACAAACAGTTTATGACTCAGACTCTCAATCAGGTTCTAGTGCTAAAGAAAAGGACCGAGGAGCAAATTTGTGTGTAATGGATCATTTTATGAAAATCTTTTTATACTGCAGGAGAGCAATGGTAATGCAATCTTTCTTGTTTGCAGTGTAGTAGACATAAATTTCAGCCCACCAACTTGGGCGTTTAAGATACATTGTGTTTATTTTCTTATTATACATAATTTTAGTTGTGACTTTGAGATCTCATCTTGCTGGGTGTATCCTAAGTCACTTTTGAGGTGTACCTGCAGTGATACTGAGGGCATGTGTTGTCCAGTTGTCAGGCAGAGGGGGGAAGCTTCTTTAGTCATTGCCAGCCATCCACCCAGAGCCCAGGTGTTCTTTGTCCCTGTTCATGCAGTTCCTATGAATATGCATGCACCTCTCTGCCGAGACATGGGGTTCTCTCATAATGCAAGGGGTTCCTCTATGGGGACTTGATCTCTCTTGGGGGTACCATAGATCTCTCTTTTCTTTCTAGGACAGGGAAAGATCTTTCTAGGCTCTAAGAGAACCCTGCCCTTGCCCCCGGTCTCCTTCTTCCCATCACTTCCATGTTCTCTCAAATGCTTTTCTTTCTTTTTCTTCTTAAATATTATATGAGACATGATTAAACCCAGAATTGGAATTGTTAGCTACAAAGAAATCAGTTTCTTTTTTTCACAGCAGGAAGGGCATAGGGCATATACTTTAAACTCCTCAAGAGGTAAAGAGAAATCTATCCTTTCTAGATAAGAAAGGAAGACAGGTTCTCATATGCCCCATGGAGTGGACAGAGTGATTTTTACATAATGTAATGTAAACCTGGATCACCTGCTTTGACCATAAGCATCGAATCCTATCCTGGCCTCCAGCTTCAGGGCCCTGGAAGAGCTGGTCCTGAGCACCTTGCAGAACTCAGCTCCTCTTACTCTTGCTGTTGTTTGGCTCACTCCCATGGGTCAGCAGTCTTGAAAGCACTTAGTTTGTTCCATCCTCAGCCCTCAGTTTCACCTTGCTGTTCCCTGAGCCTCAAATGCTCTTCTCCACCCAACACCCTCACTGCCACTTTCACATGACTTGTTCAATATTCAGATGTTTGCTCAAATGCTACCTCATCAGAGAGGACTTCTTTCCTGACCACCCTGTCTAAAGCAACCTGTCCTGTAATGCTCTGTCAGGTTCCAACTCATTTCTGCTTTATTTTT
Organism: Homo sapiens; assembly: GCF_000001405.40. Taxonomy (NCBI): domain Eukaryota; kingdom Metazoa; phylum Chordata; class Mammalia; order Primates; family Hominidae; genus Homo; species Homo sapiens. The sequence continues at coordinate 96,651,178 of NC_000012.12, forward strand.
CTTTATAAAACTTCTTATTGCTTGAAATTATGTTTTTATATGTCTACTTTTCTAGTGTCCGTCTCCCGAAATGAACGTAAGCAGCATGAGGGCAGACCCAGTTTCCCTTGCTCGCTGCTGAATTCCCAGCACCTAGAACAATGGGTTAGCCACGCTGAACCCATGACTCCATTTCCTCATCTGTAAATTGGGTAAAATACTAGTACCTAGTGCACACTTACTTCATGGAAATCTTTGTTCGAAGTAAATGAGATAATGCATATAACAGTGTCTAACTCATGTAAGTGACCCTAACAAATGATGTTAGTTATTTTTACTATTGACACATAATATTTGGAAAAAGATGAAGTTGTTCAGAGATCTGTAACTTTTGGAACTTTGGGATCTTTTAAATTTTGTGTTTGTCATAGGTTCTTGCTCATCGTGGTGGCTATTGGACTCTGCTTCAGAACTGCTGTCGGGCCTTATGGAACTTTACTCAGGAACTACAAATACTTCTTAAACAGGCAGTGGATCTTGATAAAACATTTCCTATTAGCCAAGATGGTTTCCTCTGCACCTCTGTTTTACCATTCTATTTGGGAGCAGAATTACTTATTGACATGTTAATACAACTACAAAATACCAGTTCTATTAAGGTAAAGACACTTTGGTAATTATTTTTATTATATTCAGTTAAAAATATCGTACTGTGCATCTTGGTATAAGTAGAAACTGTTTTTTTTTTTATTTCTCATTTGGTTTGTCTACATTTCATTTGCTTCTCATTATAATTTTGTTTACAATATATAACTTGCATTGATGTTAACTAACAATAGCTTAGCCTGAAAATTTAGCTTGTTATAGGGAAGGGAAAGTAACATGAACTGAACTCCAGCCCCTACATAAATTTGCCTTAATACACTTAATCCTTATAACAATTTTTTGCCAGATAAAGAAATAGATTCCAAGGAAGATCACATAGCTTGAATAAAGATGTGATCAGCTGGTCTTTATTCCACTGCTTCTCTGTCCTGTTCTATTATTCTGGTCTGCTAGAATTTACAGCCATTTAAAATTTATCACACTGTGGTTTAAAGCATGGAAATAAAATTGAAGTAATATAAATAGAATATAACCTAAACGCATTGAAAATTAGTAAACACATACACATGTTGTGCCATGAGGCTTATAACATTTCTAGAGGAAAATATTTGGCAATGGCAGAAAAGACAAAGAGGGTAAATTATTAAGGTTTTTACACTTTATATAAAGTGGTACAATATTAACTCTAAGTGATAAGAATGTATTTAATGATCCCTTGAGTAACTAGTGAAAAAGAGACATAGCTGAAAAGTCAACGAAGTAAAAGGGAAGATTAAGTAATGCTCAGTTAACTCAAAAGAAGGCAGGGAAGAAGGAACAAAGGAACAAAAAACATGGGACAAAGAGAAAACAAGTAGAAAACATTCACTCTAACTCAATGATGTCAATAACTGTATTTACTATTAGTGGGTTAAAGATGCCAAATAAAGGGTAGACATTGTCTGACTGGATAAAAAAGCAAGACACATGTACCCGTCTACCAGGAGAAGCACTCTGAATATAAAGAAACAGGTAGATTGAAAATAAAAATATGGAAAGAGATATAACATGAGAACAATAACGATAAAAAAGCCGATGAGTCTATATTGTTAGACAAGATAATATAAATCAAGGAGCATTATGAGAGATAAAGAGGGACATTTCGTGTTAAGAAGAACCTCAATTAATCAGGAAGACATGTCAATCATAAATATGTATGTACCTAATAAGAAAAATTCAAAATACATTCTGGACATCCAAAGCTTGAAGAACTTCCTGGTTGATAAACACGTTGATGTGTCAGGAGGGTGACATGCCCTGATTCCACAGGGAGAGGGCATGGCAGCTCTGTGCCAGGGACCCTCTCAGACTTCACTCCATGTACCTCTTCACTAGGCTGTTCCTGAGTTTTCTTTACAATAAAACTGTAATTGTAAGTACAGTGCTTTCAGTGAGTTCTATGAGTCATTCTAGTGAATTATCAAATTGAAGGGGCTATGGAAACCCCTGAATTTATAGCTGGTCAGTCAGAAGATTAGGTGGCCTGTCACAACTGTGGTACCGTAAACCCAGGTGGAATGGAAACAGAGCGTAAGTGCACATGATGTGTTCACTGAGATGGGTCATATGCAGAGTCAAAAATAAGTCTTCAAAAATGTAAGACTGAACTCTTGAAGAGTATGTTCTTTGACCATTACAGAATTAAATTATAAACGGTTTGCCATAATATAGGAAGAAAAATCTCCAAATATCTGGAAATTAAATAATACAATTCCAAATACCCCATGAGTCAAAGAAGAAAACACAAGAGAAATTAGAGAATATTTGAAACTAATAATAACACATCAAAATGTATGGCATTCAAATGAAGCAGGGCATAGACGGAAATTTATAGCTTTCAATGCTTAATAGGAAAGAAAAAACATATAATATCAATTATCTAAATGTTTATATATAGAAAAAAAGAGCAAATTAAATCTAAACTAAAGAGAAGAAAGGAAATAATAAAAAGAAATAAAAGAAATGATAAGAGCAGAAATCAATTAGATAAATATAAAGCAAAAACAATAAAGTCAAAATTTGATCTTCTAAATTAAAAATTAAATCTAGTATACTCATAGAAATACTGATGAAGAACAAAAGTGAGAAAAGCACAAATTACTCATATTAGTAGTGGAGAAGGGCTATAACTACAAATCCTATAGATATTAAAAAAGGAAATATGATCAATTTTTGTTAATAAGTTTGATCACTTAGGTGAAATGGACATATTTATTGGAAAGCACAACTTAACAATCTGACACAAGAAGAAACAGAAAATATGAATTGCCCTAAATGTACTAACAAACTTGACTTCATAATCAGAAACCTTCACATAAAGAAAATTCCAGACCCACAATATTTCTTTGGAAAATTTGAGCAAACACACATGGAAGAAATAATACATTTTATACCAATGATTTTTATTTGGAAAATTTAGGCCGGGCGCGGTGGCTCATGCCTGTAATCCCAGCACTTTGGGAGGCCGAGGCGGGCGGATCACGATGTCAGGAGATCGAGACCATCCTGGCTAACTCGGTGAAACCCCGTCTCTACTAAAAATACAAAAAATTAGCCGGGCGTAGTGGCGGGCGCCTGTAGTCCCAGCTACTTGGGAGGCTGAGGCAGGAGAATGGCGTGAACCCGGGAGGCGGAGCTTGCAGTGAGCCGAGATCCCGCCGCTGCACTCCAGCCTGGGCGACAGAGCGAGACTCCGTCTCAAAAAAAAAAAAAAAATTTATGGGGTACATGAGAAAATTTGTTATATGCATACAATGGGTTGTGATCAAGCCAGGGTATTCAGGGTGCCCATCACCCAAGTACAGTACATTTTCGTGAAGTATTGCATTTACTCCTTTTATCTTACTGCTCCTTTAACTCACTCACTTGTCTTCATCCTCTCCTCTCACCTCTCACCTGTAACCGCTACCCTTCCCAGTCTTTGCTATCTACCTTTCCACTGTTAACCTCCATATGTTCACATTTTTTAGCTGCCACATGTAAGTGAGAGCATACAATATTTGTCTTTTTGTGTCTGGCTCATTTCACTTAATTTTTTTTTTTTTTTTAAGAAATGAGACCAGCTTAACCCTAACAAATACCAACTGGAAAAGTATGAACTAATATCCCTCGTGAACATAGATTTGTCAATTCAGTGAAATCTCAGTGAAAATACCAATAGGCATTCTTTGGGGTATGAATTGAAATTCATTTTAAAATTTATAAGCAAATGCAAAAAAATGTGAATGGCCAAAAAAATTTTTTTTTAAAAGAACAAATTGGAGGATTCACTATATATGTGATATCAAGGCTTACTAAAGCTATGGTAATTAGGAGAGTATGATACTGACCTAAAGAGAGAAATATATCAATGGAACAAATAGAATCTGAAAATAGACCCATATATATGGTTTTTTTTTTCCACCAAAGGATTCAAAGCAGTTCAGAGGTTTCAAAAAGAAATGTCAACTCTAGGACCTAGATTGTTGCATTTAAATACATTTATCACTAAAGGAAACAGGGCTTCTTTGGAAAAAAAAAAAAGCTTGACTACCTTACCTCCTATGTGAACTATATTTGAGGATGACCAAATAGTTGATGAAGAGGAATTTTTCTTTACAAAAGTATCCAGGTAATAAATGAAGAAAGGATGTTGGAATTAGAATTACTAGGTTTCTGTAATTCTTAATGAATGAATTGGAGGATCAAGAGCACCTTATGGAGTACACTTGCCAAAAAACAGAAATCTAACTGGAATCAGTTAGAATACTTACATTTATCCCACAATTTGTAGAAAATACAGTGGACAGAAGAACATTTTAAATGAAATTACAGGAATATCCTCAGTATAATTCAGATTATGGGAACTCTACAGGAAAACAATCTGATTTTTTTTAACAAAAAATTTAATAAAGGAGGAGATGAAATCTATAAATTAAAAAAGACAAGAGACATAACCAATTACAATGTTTGGACCTTATTTTAATCTAACTAACACATACAGTTAAAAAAATCTGTAAGGCAATAAGGGAAATGTAAACACTCTTCAGTATAATTATTCAATAATGATTTAAAGGAATTTCTGCTAATTTCTTTTTTTTAGGTAGGATTATAGTATTGTAGTTATGTTTTTGTATAACTAATTTTTACTTTTTAGAGATAAATACTAAAATATTCATAGATTAATTAATATAATTTTGGGGATATAATTCAAAATAATGGGGGAAGTGAGTATGTCCTAAGAGTTGATAATTATTGCAGCTGGTGGTGGGTACATGGGCTTCATTATATTATTTTCCCTACTTTTGTAAGTGTTAGAACTTTTCTTTAATAAAAAGTTTTTAAAAAATCACACATGGCCCATACAAAATCTTCAAAACTTAAAAGAGTCTGGCCTTGGCTGTGCCAGAAACCTCAATCTCCATATGCTATTTTGATCTCCAAATGTCAGTCTTGTTCATTTCTCAGTGTTGTTTATTTCTCAATGTTGCCAAATTTAGGAGATCAATAGACAATTCTCTCCCCCCCCCTCCCCTTTTGGATTGGGATCAACTGAGAGATGGGTGCTGAACAAGGCAATTGAGATAAAATATCAGCTTTGTTGGTTTTTTTTTTGAGATGGAGTTTTGCTCTTGTTGCCCAGGCTGGAGTACAATGGCACAATCTCGACTCACCACAACCTCCACCTCCTGGGTTCAAGCGATTCATTCTCCTGCCTCAGCCTCCTGAGTAGCTGAGATTACAGGCATGCGCCACCACACCCAGCTAATTTTGTATTTTTAGTAGAGACAGGGTTTCTCCATGTTGGTCAGGCTGGTCTCAAACTCCCGACCTCAGTTGATCTGCCCTCCTCGGCCTCCCGAAATGCTGGGATTACAGGCATGAGCCACCATGCCTGGCCCTCAGCTTCATTGTTGATAAACACTATATTAGATAATGTAATAACTACAGAGGACTTCCCTGTCCTTCATCCCAGAAATAAGGCATAGGCATGACTAACTGATAGCACATCTGTGCTTCTAGAAGACTTACTGTAGAATCAGTGAATTACAGTGATTGAGCTCATAACATAAATAAAATGTCAACTACTTTTTAAAAGTATGTCCCATGTGCTGGGCACTGTGCTGAGGATGCAAATTCATGTAAGTCACTGGTGCTACACCTGCTATTCTTACCTACACAGCCTGACTTCAGGTGTGCATACTGCATTTCACAGTCCGATGACTTCCAAAGTCTCTTCTAACTTCAAGGACTACAGCTCTTGTTAGAGGGGATGTTTATCCTCTACTTTTGTTGATACTTCACACCCATGTATATAGGTTACTTTTAGTGGTATTATTGGGATGGGAAGGCTGGACTTGAGTTACCCAACTGTTTTGGGCTATAATCTGGCCCTTATATGGATCTAAGAGGCTTTGTTTTGCCTTAAGAATTTCCAGAGGTATACACAAATGTGTCAGGAACTCATAGGACATGCACACTATTGGTACATAGTAACTCTTTAGGCAAAAAGAGGGTCTCCTTGATGCTTTCCTTCTCCATAGGTGTGACATTTGCATCTAGGAATGGACATATTATTGTATAAATTAACGAATGTAACCAACGTATTAGGGAACTTCATTATGTGTTTATACTAAAGTCCAGTTTCTTCCTAAAAATCTTACCATAATTTATTTCATATCCTTACTTAAATGGATAGTGACTGTATACCAAGAACGATAGACAGTAATCTGTGTTGTCCAATATGGTAAACATTAGCCATATGTGGCTATTTAAATTTAAACTTGAATGAATTAAAATTAAACGAAATTAAAAATTCAGTTGCACTAATCACATTTCAAAAGCTTGGTAGCTGCAGGTTTCTAGTGGCTATAGGGAACGATAATGAACAGCACAAATATATAGCACGTTTCCATCATCACAGCAAGCTTTACTGGATAATACTGCATCAAATTATCAAGCTTTGACTTGCATAAGAAAAATATTTTTTCTTTTCAGTTGAGTTCTTTTCCATGTTACATTTTTATTACATTCAGTTTTCAGAAAAAATATGCAGTAAAATCTGAAATTACACATTTTTTTTTTCACTGTGCTACTTGCAGCCTATTGAAGACAAAGGAGAATTCAGTGTTCCAAGCTGTTATGGGAATATTAAAAATGACAACGGTGGTTCTAGTCTTACCTTTGAGCATCCTTTGGATGATGTAAATGTGGTTGATTTGAAATGGATCCACGACTTTGTATTAAAATCTCTGGAAGTTTTATATCAAGTGGAAAAATGGGAAACACTAGTATCTCTTGCCATTCAGTTCAATACAGTTTCACAGTAAGTACTGCTGTAAGGGCAATTAAAAGTAGAAGACTTCATTGAAAAAAAAAAAAGTCTTTTAACTAATGTTTTCTTTTTAATGTATTCTTTACCCCTGTCTAGTGAGAGGTATACAGAACAAGTGACACCACTTCTGGTGTATGCACAGCGCCAGCTTCTGCTGAGAATACAGAAGTTCAAGGGCCCAGATATTACCCAACAACCTTGTGCAAGGTATGAGGCTGAATATGGAGAGAAGGTAAGTTTAAGTTAGTTCTATTATTCATGCTGTTGTGATTTCTAATTAGTCCACATATAAAATACAAAGATTTAGAAGTCAGATAAATCTTATTATTTCTGCTTTAGTATTTCCACTTACTGGCATTTATCATTCAAATCAACAAACATTATTGAGAGCCTGCAGTCAAGGCAAACAGGAACTAAGTCCCTGTCCACAAGAAGTTCATATCAGGCCAAGACTAACTTAGCCATAAAGCACAATGGGGATGGTGTCTAGAGCCCAGAGTACTTTTTTTTTTTGTTTTTGTTTTTGTTTTAGATGAAGTCTCACTCTGTCACCCAGGCTGGAGTGCAGTGGTATAATCTCAGCTCACTGCAACCTCCGCCTCTTCCTTAGTGTGTTAATTCAGTCTGTGGCTCTAAGTACATCTCTATGATGATGACTTTTAAAATTACATCTCCACTGTAGATCTTTTTCCTAAATTTTGTGTTGATATATCTAACTGCCTGTATCAGCCAGGATTCAATCAGGGGAGCAAAACTCGTAAAGACAGGGCTATTTTATCTTTGGAGGGGAAGAAATAAATTCAGTGTCTCCCACTGTGCCCTCACAACATGATTCTGACACCAGATGTGTGGGAATTTCTCCCCACCACTAAGCAGGAAATCAGTTCTGCAGTGGACACCAGCTGAGTGTCTTTCTTTTTTTGAAACAGAGTTTCACTCTTGTTGCCCAGGCTGGAGTGCAATGGCACGGTCTCGGCTCACTGCAGCCTCCGCCTCCCAGGTTCCTGCGTGTCTTTCAATTCAGTTTCTACACAATGTACCTGGAGATAGCATCAGATCCCAGAGGTGGGGGGGTTCTGCCCCAATTTCCAATGTTGATCTCAACACCTCCTGGGTTCAAGTGATTCTCCTGCCTCAGCCTTCCGAGTAGCTGGGATTACAGGTGACTGCCAACACGCCCGGCTAATTTTTGTATTTTTAGTAGAGACAGGGTTTCACCATGTTGGCCAGGCTGGTCTCAAACTGCTGACCTCAAGTGATCCTCCCACCTCAGCCTCCCAAAGTGCTGGGATTACAGGTGTGAACCACTGTAATCTAGAGCTGACAATACTTTCAGGGGCCCACTAAATGTTTTAATTTCTTTTAAAATAAGAAGAAAAAAATAACTTTCAGGGCAAATAAAATGTTTGAATTTCTACTTTCATATTCTTGTATTTATACCAACGCAATTATAAAATATCATTTTTAGTATTTTTCAATGGAGAAATAGACTCATGAAGGCAAAAGTACCCAGGGGCCCTTGAAAGTCATGGTATATCTTGAATCAGGCAGAGAAAAGAGATAAGTACATTTTTCCATTGACTAATTTAACAAAGTGCATTGACTACCCAATCAGACCCATTGCATACAGTTGTACTGTGGGTGACCTGCCCAAGGGCCCCTGGCATACGTGGGGCCTGAAATCCAGCCCCTCCTTGCCACACCAGCCTATGTGCTTGAGGTGTTGCATCCAGCCAGCAAGGACTCAATTTTCTTCTTCTCACAAAGTTTCCTTATGGCCCAGTGGTAACCTTGCCTCCTGCATATTCTGTATGGTGAGAATACAGTTCTGAGTTCCTGTTTCATAAAGTTTAATTTCAGAGGGTTGGAAATAGGGCCAGAAAATAAACATGTAAACAGATGAGTAGAAAGACTTATAATCATTATAAGGTCTCTGAAGAAAATAAGTCAACGGACTAGAGATGAACTGGGTGAGAGGTGGTAACTTTAGTAAGGGTGATCTAGAAGACTTCTTGGAGATGATGGCATTTGATGAGAGGGGCCAGCCATACAGTGATCTAGGGAAAGAACATTGTAGCCCAAGAGAAAAAGAATGGCCCATGCCCTGCAGTGGGACAGAAAGAAGGCCTGTATGGCTGAAGTGTAGCAAACAAGGGGCATGGGAGAAAGAGGAGGCTGCTCCTTCCGAGGATTTTTTGTTGCTTCTTCTTCTCCCCAGTGTCCCAATGTGAGTGTACCCCAAGACTATGTTCTTGGACCCCTTTTCTTCTCCATCCACATACTCTTCCATAGTGAGTTAATTCAATCTATGTCTCTAAGTACCATCTCTATCATGATGAATTTTGTAATTACATCTGCATTCTAGATCTTTCTCCTGAATTTTGTGTTGATATATCTAACTGCCTATATCAGCCAAAGTTCAACCAGAAGAGCAAAACTAGTAAGACAAGTCTATCTTATCTCTGGAGGGGAAAAAATAAACTCAATGTCTCCCACTATGCTCTTACATGATTCTGACACCAGATGTTTGGGGATTTCTCCCCACCACTAAGCAAGAAATCAGTTCTGCAGTGGACACCAGCTAGGTGTCTTTCAATGCAATTTCTATACAATCTACGTGGAGATAGCATCAGACCCCAGAGGTTGGGGGCTCTGTTCTGACTTCCAGTGTTGATCTCAAGCCCCAGGTTGTGACCTGTGCTTCTGACTGACAGGTGACAAATTAGGGTTCTTATGACCCACTCCTTGGGTTCGATTAATTTGCTAGAGTGGCTCACAGAACTCAGAGAAACACTTGCTTACATTCGCCAGTTTATTATAAGGAAAATCACAAAAGATACAGATGAAGAGATACATAGGGTGAGGCAGAGGGGAAGGGGCACAGAGCTTTCATGGATCCACCAGCCTCCGGGAACCTCCACATGTTCAGAAGCTCCCTAAACCCAGTCCTTTGGGGTTTTTTTGTTTAATGGAGGTTTCATTATGGAAGCATAATTGATTAAATCATTGGCCATTGACAATCAGCTTAACCTTTCACCCCTCTCTTCTTTGCAGAGGTTGGGGAATAGGGCTGAAAGTTCTTATCCTGCCGTGGTCTTTCTGGTGAGCAGCCCCTATCCTGAAGCTACCTAGGGGTTGCCAGCCGTCAATCAACTTATTAGCATACAAAAAGATACCACTTTGGAGATTCCAAGGATTTTAGGAGTTGTATGTCAAGAAACAGGGACAAGACCAAATATATATTTTACAGTATCACATCTGTCTAGCTAGCTAGCTAGCTGGCTATCCATCAGAGGATTTACTACAAGAATTTGGCTTATATGATTGTGGAGGCCAGCTAAGCAAGCTTCAAATCCATAGGGCAGGCAGTCAGGATCATGAGCAGGAAGGAACCCCAGATGGACAGAGGTTGTTACTCATAGGCAGTCAGTGAGGGAAGATCCAGCCAGTAGAGGACAGTTGTAGAAGCAGCTGCTGCTGGTGTTTGAAGTCCTGGAGACTGCGGGCATGTTAGACTCATCTGCTTAGGTCAGGTCCACTGAGAGTAATCTCCCTTGTTTAAAGTCAATTTAATTAGTATCTGCAAAATCCCTTCACAGTAGCACCTAGTTTGATTGACTAACGGGGGTGAATTGTGTGTATGCCAGAAAGTAGATGCTTCCCTCTCTTTCCTCCTCATAGTTTAGCCCTAACCAAGTTGATCCATTAAAAAATCATCACACTGCCCAATCATCATCATTTCTTAGATGAAGAATACAATTTCTAAATTTAGCACATCTCAAACAAGCCTGTTCTGCTAAGTCTTCTTCAGTCAATGACAAGCCTCCTGTCCTGGCTGCCAGACACCTTGGAGACATCCCTGCCTCCTCTCTTGCTCTCACACCCCACTTCCAACTGGTTACCAAGAGCTCTACCCTCAAAATACAATCCAAATTGGAGCACTGCTCGCTACCTCCAACACTCCCTCTTTAATTACTATAGAATGCACCTCACTATTTGTTTATTATCCAAACCCTTGTTGTATTTGCTTGGGTTAATGCAGTGACTTCCTAATCACCCTGAACCCCACTTTCAGCCTATAATATATTCTTTTTGTTGTTGTTGTTTTGAGATGGAGTCTTAGTCTGTCACCCAGGCTGGAGTGCAGTGGAGCAATCTTGCCTCGCTGCAACCTCTGCCTCCTAGGTTGAAGCGATTTTCATGCCTCAGCTTCCTGAGTACCTGGGATTACAGGTGTGAGCCACCACACCTGGCTGATTTTTGTATTTTTAGTAGAGATGGGGTTTCACCATGTTGACCAGGTTGGTCTTGAACTCCTGACCTCAGGTGATCCACCTGCCTTGGCCTCCCAGAGTGCTGGGATTACAGGTGTGAACCACCACACCCAGCCTGTAATCTATTCTTAATGCAGCAGATACAATCACCTTTTAAACCCCAAGTCAGGTTCTGTCACACCTCTGTTTAAAACCCTATGGTGGCTTCCCACCCTATTCAGAGTAAAGTGAACATCTTTATCATGACCTTAATATAACTTATCCTATATAACATATCCCCCTGATCTCTCCAGTAACTCCTGTCCTATTACTCCCAGGCAGGTTTTCACCGCACTGTTGTGTGAGCTGTTCCTGCCTCAGGGTCTTTGTATTTGCTGTTGCCCCTGCTTGGAGTGCTGCTCCCCAAACATCCACATTGGATCCCTCACCTTTTCCCAATCTTTGCTAAATTTTACATTCTCTGTGAGGCTATTCCACACTATCATATTTACAACTATGTGCCTTTTTGCTCTATGTCTCTCTAGAGCATTTGCAATTCTTTAATATATTATATAATGTACCATACTATTTGTTTATTATCTGTCTTCTCCCACTAAGATGTTTCACAAGAGTGAGAGTTTTTATTTTGTTCTCTGCTACATCATCCCTTCTTCTTGTAACAGTGTTTGGCACGTAATAGGTGTTCAGTAAAGATCCGTTTAAGGAAGCTGGAGAAATAGAAAAGACTAGATCAAGTAGGGCCTTATGAGGTTGTGGGAAGAAATTTGTATTTTATTAGGCTGCATTTACTTCTCATTATAAAAGTACTACTCACAAGGGACAATAAAGAAGAAGCATCTATATCAGACTGGGGTTCCAGGAGGACTGTATTTTGAGTGATAGGTTAGTTCAAGGGATGGGAGTGAAGAAATGAAGAGAAGAGGGTCTTGGGCCCTTTAAAATAATTTTTGTCTTTTTAAAACTTTTCTGTTTTCAGATATTTTATTATCTTAGGACTCATATCTGTTAGAAAATAAATTATCAAAATACTACAGAGGAAGTTAGTTCTGAAAAACTTCACCAGGGAAAATAAAATTGCATTAATTATAAGTAGGGTGGAAAAATCTGCATTGGGAAAGCAGATTATTTTTTAACTTATATAATGGAAGATATATTTAGACCAGTGAATTTATAGAATATTAGGAAATCATATTCTAATTGCTCTACATAATTTGCCTAACGTTCTTCCAGCTGTGCTGTACAAAAGAAATATGAAAAATTATGGAGCTGCTTTTTTTCATGAAAGTTCTCATGATTAGACACTATTCTGCCAGCTTTTTTTGTAGCATTGTTATGTATCTCTTTATTCTGATAAATAAAAAATGAGAGAAACATTTCAAGTAAGCGAAATTTTTAACTATAAATACCCGACTAATATTTGTTTTCACCTTTCTTTTTAAAGATAACTTGCCGAAATTTCATTGGGAAGCAGCTTAAGATTAATTCTTCAACCATTGAAGCAACAAGCAACTGCACAGATTTGCTAAAAATGCTTATCTCTTCAGGTCAGAACCAATCTTAGCTTGAATGTTTGTTTTCTCTAAATCGAGGTTTGCCATTGTGTTCTGCATGTCAAACCTTCCATAATTAGTATGTTTGTAAAAATGTATTTTGCAGGTTTAGTTGACTAAAAATAATGCATTTGATTTTCGCCATCTTACGTTGCTATAAATGTTACTTAAGGGGGATTAAAACACATTTTATTTATTTTTATTTTAAACTTTTAAGTGCAGGGGTCCATGTGCAGGTTTGTTACATAGGTAAACTTGTGTCATGGGGGCTTGTTTTACAGATTATTTTATCACCCAGCTGTTAAGCCTAGGACCCATTAGTGATTTTTCCTGATCCTCTCCATCCTCTTCACCCTCTGATAGGCCAGAGTGTGTGTTATTCTCTTCTATGTGTCCATGTGTTCTTATTATTTAGCTCCTACTTATAAGTGAGGACATGTGGTATTTGGTTTTCTATTCCTGCATTCATTTCCTAAGGATAATGACCTGCAGCTCCATCCATGTTCCTGCCAAGGACATGATCTAATTCTTTTTTATGACTGCATAGTATTCCATGGTGTATATGTCTCACATTTTCTTTATCCAGTCTATCATCGATGGGCATTTAGGTTCATTCCACTTCTTTGCTAATTGCTCTACATAATTTGTCTAATGTTCTTCCAGCTGTGCCTTACCAAGAACGTATGTGTGTGTGTGTGTGTGTGTGTGTGTGTGTGTGTCTTTATAATAGAACAATTTATATTCCTTTGGGTATATATCTATATATATATATATATCTATATATATCTATATATATATATCTATATATATATATATCTATATATATCTATATCTATATCTATATATATATATATATATATATATATATATATATAGATATATATATGTATATCCCATAATGGGATTGCTAGGTCAAATGGTATTTCTGTCTTTAGGTCTTTCAGGAATTGCATCACTGTTTTCCACAATGGTTGAACTAATTTACACTCCCACTAACAATGTATAAGCGTTCGTTTTTCTCCACAACCTTGCCAGCATCTGTTGTTTTTTTACTTTTTACTAGCAGACATTCTGACTGGTGTGAGATGGTATCTCATTGTTGTTTTGATTTGCATTTCTCCAATGATCAGTGATACTGAGCTTTTTTTCATATGATTGTTGGCCACATGTATGTTTTTTTTTTTGAGAACTCTCTGTTCATGTCTTTTGCCCACTGTTTAATGGGGTTGTTTTTTTCTTGTAAATTTGCTTAAGTTCCTTATAGATGCTGGATATTAGACCTTTGTTGGATGCATAGTTTGGAAAAATTGTCTCCCACCATAGGGAGATATGTCTGTTTACAATGTTGATAGTTTCTTTTGCTGTGCAAAAGCTGTTTAGTTTAATTAGATCCCATTTGTCAATTTTTGCTTTTGTTGCAATTGCTTTTGACATCTTCATCGTGAAATCTTTGCCTGTGCCTATGTCCTGAATGGTATTGCCTAGGTTGTCTTCCAGGGCTTCTATAGTTTTGGGTTTTGCAATTAAGTCTTTAATCCATCTTGAGTTAGTTTATGTATATAGTGTAAGGAAGGGGTTTAGTTTCAATCTTCTATATATGTCCAGCCAGTTATCCCAGCACCATTTATTGAATAGGGAATTTTTTTCCTATTGCTTGTTTTGTCAAGTTTGTTGAAGATTAGATAGTTTTAGATGTGCAGTCTTATTTCTCAGCTCTCTATTCTGTTCCACTGGTGTACGTGTCTCTTTTGTACCAGCACCATGCTGTTTTGGTTACTGTAGCCCTGTAGCATAGTTTTGAAGTCAGGTAGTGTGATGCCTCCAGCTTTGTCCTTTTTGCTTAGTATTATCTTGGCTATTCAGGCTCTTTTTTGGTTCCACATGAGTTTTCAAATAGGTTTTTCTTATTCTGTGAAGAATCTCAATGGTAGTTCAATAGGAATAGCAGTGAATCTCTAAATTGCTTTGGGCAATATGACTGTTTTAATGATATTGATTCTTCCTATCCATGAACATGGAATGTTTTTCCATTTGTTTGTGTCATCTCTGATTTCTTTGAGCAGTGGTTTGTGGTTCTTTTAGAGACCTTTCACTTCCATATTTAGCTGTATTCCTAAATATTTTATTCTTTTTGTAAAATGCATTTTTAAAAAGTTCAATCTGTAAGTTAGATAAGAGAAATAAAAGGAAAAGAGATATTGATAGGCAAAAACAAAGATGGAAAAAGGTTGTTTTGCACATTTTTTTCTTCTTTTTATCTTATTTATGAATGCTTTTGGTATTTGGCCTTTTGCTATTTTCCTTATTCTGTTTCAAGTCCCATAATAGCTTCCATTTCCATAATCAATATAGATTATTCTATTAGTTTTACTATGGTTAAGTTGTAGACCTTTTAACTAGAGCACAGGAGAAGATTTGGGAATGTCATGACTTCTTTGCTTTTAACTGATAAGCCCTGGATTAGTCAGTTCTCATGCTGCTCATAAAGACATACCTGGGACTGGATAATTTATAAACAAAAAGAGGTTTAATGAATTCACAGTTCCAGATGGCTGGAGAGGCCACACAATCACGGAAGAAGGCAAAGGAGGAGCAAAGGCACATCTTACATGGCGGCAAGCTGGAGAGCATGTGCAGGGGAACTGCCCTTTATAAACCATCAGATATCGTGAGACTTATTCACTATCATGAGAACAACATGGGAAAATCCACCCCGATGATTCAGTTACCTCCCACTGGGTCCCTCCCACCACATGTGGGGATTATGGAAGCTACAATTCAAGATGAGATTTGGGTGGGGATACAGCCAAACCATATCATTCTGCCCCTGACCCCTCCCAAATCTCATGTCCTCACATTTCAAAACCAATCATGCCTTCCCAACAGTCCCCCAAAGTTTTAACTTATTTCAGAATTAACTCAAAAGTCCACAGTCCAAAGTCTCATCTGAGGCAAGGCAAGTCCTTCAGCCTATGAGCCTGTAAAATCAAAAGCAAGTTAGTTACTTCCTAGATACAGTGGGGGTACAGGCATTGGACAAATACACCCATTCCAAATGGAGAAATTGGCCAAAACAAGTAAATCCAAAATCCAATAAGGCAGTCATTAAACCTTAAAGTTCCAAAATGATTACCCTTGACTCCATGTCTTACATCCAGGCCATGCTGATGCAAGAGGTGGGCTCCTACAGCCTTGTGGGTTTGCAGGGTATGGCCTCCCTCCCGGCTGCTTTCACAGGCTGGTGTTGAGTGTCTGTGGCTTTTCTGTGCACACAGTGCAAGCTGTCACCGGATCTATCATTTTGAGGTCTGGAGGATGGTGGCCGTCTTCTCACAGCTCCACTAGGCAGTACCCCAGTGGAGACTCTGTGTGGGGGCTCCAACCCCACATTTCCCTTCTGACTACCCTGACAGAGGTTCTCCATGAGGGACCCACCCCTGCAGGAAACTTCTGCCTGGACATTCAGGTGTTTCCATATATCCTCTGAAATCTAGGTGGATGTCCCAAATCTCAGTTCTTGACTTCTGTGCACCTGCAGACTCAACACCATGTGGAAACTTCCAAAGCTTGGGGCTTGCACCCTCTGAAGCCATGGCCCGAGCTGTACCTTAACCCCTTCTAGCTATGGCTGGAGCAGCTGGGATGAAGGGCACCAAATCCCTAGGCTGCACACAGCAGTGGGGCCCTTGACCTGACCCAGGAAATCCTTTTTCTCTGGTAGGCCTTTGGGTCTGTGATGGGAGGGGCTGCTGCGAAGGTCTCTAACATGATGTGGAGACATTTTCCCCATTGCCTTGGTGAGTAACATTTGGATCCTTGTTACTTATGCAAATTTCTGTAGCCTGCTTGAATTTCTCCTCAGAAAATGGGTTTTTCTTTTGTACTGCATTGTCAGGCTGTAGATTTTCCCAATGTTTATGCTCTGTCACCTCTTGAACACTTTACTCCTTAGAAATTTCTTCTGCCAGATACACTAAATCATCTCTCAAGTTCAAAGTTCCACAGATCTCTAGGGCAGGGGCAAAATGCTGCCAGTCTCTTTGCATAGCAAGAGTGACCTTTACTCCAGTTTCCAACAAGTTCCTCATCTCCATCTGAGACCACCTCAGCCTGGACTTTGTTGTCCATATCACTATCAACATTTTGGTCAAAGCCATTCAACAAGTCTCTAGGAAGTTCCAGACTTTCCCACATCTTCATTTCTTCTGAGCCCTGTAAATCTCTAGGAAGTTCCAAAGTTTCCCACAATTTCCTGTCTTCTTCCGAGCCCTCCAAACTGTTCCAACCTCTGCCTGTTACCCAGTTCCATAGTTGATTTCACATTTTCAGGTATCTTTATAGCAGCACCCCACTACCTGGTACCAGTTTACTGTATTAGGCCATTCTCATGCTGCTAATAAAGACTTACCCAAGACTGGATAATTTATAAAGAAAAAGAAGTTTAGCAGACTCAGTTCCACGAGGCCTCACAATCATGGTGGAAGGAGAAGGAGGAGCAAAGGCACATCTTATATGGTGGCAGGCAAGAGAGTGTGTGCAGGGGAACTCCCATTTATAAAACCATCAGATCTCATGAGACTTATTCATTATCATGAGAACAGCAGGGGAAAAACCAACCCCCATGATTCAATTACCTTCCACTGGGTTCTTCCCATGACACATGGGGATTATGGGAGCTACAATTCAAGATGAGATTTGGGTGGGGACATAGCCAAATTGTATTAAGCCCTTTTGGAATGTTTTTGGCCATGCAGCTTGTAGGAATGATGCAATAGAATGAGATGAAAATGGAAATAATACTTTCTCTAAATTGCATTTTTCATGTGTCTCTGTTTCTGGTATCAAAAAGCCATGTAAGTCTTCCCTTTGAAGTGTTAGGATTCTTTCACTTATTCATCTATTCATTTTATGTTTGTATATGCGTATAAATGTAAGCATTCATTCATTTATTTATGGAGCCAGTCAGCTAGTCATTCAGCAAACATTTACTGAGTATCTGCTATGTGTGAAGTGCCTGTACTAGGTACTGAGGATATAAAGATGAATAAGACTAAAGATTTGTTGCCCAGGAGTTTAGGGTCCATTAAAGGAGATGAATAAAAAACCCAGAGATTATAGTATAGAGTGATAAGATATGTAATGTTATTACTACTGCTGCTGCCATAAACAATAATAGTTAACAGCTAGCACCTGCTTTTGTGAGACTGCAAGAAATCCAGTGGGGCTAACAGCAAAGGAAAAGGCAAAAGCTGAGGTTAGAAAGGTTGGCAGAAATTAGATAATAAACTCTCTTAGAGGGAAGGATAGAGATCTAGTTTTATCTGGAGAACTGAGGGGAGCTAGTTAAAAGGATTTAAAGAAAGAAAGTGAAATGATCACATTGGCATTCTTTTCACTTGATCTTAGCCCAAAGGCCGAGAAGTGTTATATTTGCGTGTTTTTGAAAACCTTTGTCAGCTGCGTGGGAAACAGATTGAAAGGAGACCAAATGGAAGTAGGAGAGTGGCCACTGCTTTCTTGTGTCTTAAAGTAGAGATGATGAAAGCCTGGACTTGGGTGGTCAGCATAGAGGAGGGGACAGATGTGAAGGAGAGACAGAGGATGTCCACAGGACTGTGATCCACACTGGCTGGAGGTGGCGGATGGGTGAGGAAGGGAGGAGTTCAAGTCGCCTTGGTTTCTGGCTTGGGTAGCCAGATGGATGATGATGCCTTCACCCAGACAGGAAAACTGGAGAGGGGCAGGTTAGAGGAAAAGGTCGCTTTGGAATTACTTGCTTGGATTTAGTTCATCCAAACTTGGATGACAATGAGTAGAGCTATCCAGTGTATGGTTGGATATACTAATGCGGCACTCAGGAGAGAGCAGATTGGAGATTTGTATTTTAGTCATCAATGTATTGGTGGTGGTTGAAGTCAAGGGTTTGGATGAGGTCACCCAGGGAGAGTTACATGGAGCATAAACTTGAGGATGGCGTCCTGGATAGCACCAACATTTAGGAAGCTGCGTCAGTCAAAATAGGCTTCAGCTATACAGCAGTAACAAACAAGTGTCATTGCTTTAACACAATGGAAAGTCTGTTTCCTGTGCATGCTACTGTGTTCAGTGAGGTTGAATCCTGGGCTGCTCATCATGGTGGAATCTCCAGCTTGGTGCAAGCTTCCGTGGGTTGTTTCCAAGTCAGAAAACATAATTTTAATGTTATCTTCTAGGAGTGTATACAGAGAGGCATGTGGTGAACCCCTGTAGAGTCATGGGCTATGGGCACAGCCTTTGCTAGACCATATGTACATATACCGTATGCTTTATGTTAAGGGCTTTTCATGGATTATCATGTTTAATTACTATAACAACCCCAATAAAAGAATTATAATTATGCATTGCACATCAGGGACTCTTATGAATGCTTTGTGAATATTAGCTTACAGTCACCTAATGAGGTAGGTTTGTTATTGTCTCTATTTTTCAGGCAGGAAAAAGATGTTGTAAATCTTGCTCTAGCTCTTAAAGCTGTGACTTGAAAGTGACACAGGTCATGTCTGTTGACATTTCATTGACCACAGTCACATGGCCACACCTAACTTCAAAAGGGGTAGACAAGTATGTTCCTATGCTGTACTCAAGATAAAGAGGTACAGAGTGTGTGAAGGCCCTAATGACTGTCATGGGAACAAACAGAGGAAGAGCAGGACTTGAAAGAGATTGGGATGAGGCCTAAGAGCTGGGAAATGTAACAGGAGAGTAGTATAAACAAGGCCAAGGCAAGAGACAGTGCTAAGGAAAAGGAAGCAGTCAACTATCATAGAGAGAGAGAAGTCACATAAGATGAGGACGGACTGTTGTGTTTGGCAGTTTAGGTGGTCATTGTCACCGGCCTTTTTGCTGTGACACCGCCAGCATAGGGCCTTGTTCTAGCTGTTTTCTCTTCCTGAAATGCTCTTTCTCAATTCAGATGTCTGACTAATGAGCTCATCATCTTCTTTATGTTGTTATGTACCTCTCATCTTTTCAATGAGGCTTACCCTGAGCATTCAGTATTTATTTTTTTATTTATTTATTTAGATGAAGTCTTGCTCCAGGCTGGAGTGTAGTAGTGCTATCCCAGCTCACTGTAACCTCCATCTCCTGGGTTCAAGCGATTCTCCTGCCTCATCCTCCTGAGTAGCTGGGATTACAGGCACCTGCCACCACGCCTGGCTAATTTTTATATTTTAGTAGAGATGGGGTTTCACCATGTTGGCCAGGCTGGTCTCGAACACCTGACCTCAAGTGATCCACTCGCCTTGGCCTCCCAAAGTGCTGGGATTACAGGCATGAGCCACTGCTCCCAGCCTGAGCATTCAGTTTAAAACTGAACCCTGCCTGCTTCCTCCCAATTCCCTTTACTCTGCCATATGTTTTCTTTTTTTCTGAAGCACTTCTCACCATCTATTATATGGTATAATTTAGGGGTTTTTTTTGTGTGTTTATTGATAACTAATCTGTTCCTCCTGATAAAACGTAAGCTTTATGAGGGCAGGGATTATTGTTTTGTTCACAGATATAACCCAGTTGTCTTCATCAGTGTCTGATATATAGTAGGAACTTAGTATCTCTTTGCTGAATGAATGACTTTGTGACCTTAGAAATGGTGGGGAGGGAGTATTTTGAGTGGTGCATGCAGCAGTGGTGAGCTGTACCTATAGAAAGTCATTGAATAGAGGCCAGGCGTGGTGGCTTACGCCTGTAATCCCAGCACTTTGGGAGGCCAAGGCGAGTGGATTGCTTGAGGTCAGAAGTTTGAGACCAGCCTGGCCAACACGGTGAAACCCCGTCTCTACTAAAAATATAAAACTTAGCTGGGCGTGGTGGCAGGCGCCTGTAATCCCAGCTACTCGGGAGGCTGAGGAAGGAGAATCACTTGAACCCAGGAGGTGGAGGTTGCAGTGAGCCAAGATCGTGCCATTGCACTCCAGCCTGCATGACAAGAGTGAAACTCTTATCTCAAAAAAGAGAGAGAGAGAGAGAGAGAAGGAAAGAGAAAGAAAGAAAGAGAGAGAGAGAGAAAGAAAGAAAGAAAAAGAAAGAAAGAAATTGAATAGAGAATTGCTTTTCAAGTAACTTAGCACCGTCAGGAACTGGCAGGAAATGTAGAGCTGGGGGTGGTGGCTCAGGAGGGCTTTGTTTTGTTTGTATGTCTTTTTAATACAAGGAAAAAAAAGGATATTTACATATTAACTAGAAAAAGCCAGTAAAGAGGGAGAGCTTATAGATAGGAGAGAAAAGTATTGGATAGAGCAAGGACCTTGAGACAAAAGGCAGAGAGAGAGAGTGGGATACAGGGGGATTATGCTTAGACAGGAGGGTGAGACATCTTTTCTGCTAAGGCAGAAAGAAAGGAAAGAATAAACCCAAGCAGGGAAGTGTGTAGGTGGTAAAGGTAGAGATGGAAAGCATTCTCATTGGGTACTGGAAGTTTTCTCAATGAAGCAAGGGGCTGCGAGTATAGCCAATATTGATTGGGTTGGAGATTTCAGAAGGAATGAAAGAGTGGGCTGACTGATAAAGTCATAGGAGAAAGGAAGGGAGAAGGGTTGTAGAGTAATTTAGAGGGTCCAATGAGTGAGATTGGTGACCGTGAATTTGTAGGTGTTACTGCCAATGATAATCAGATTACCCCTCATAGTCAGAAACAATGGGAAGACCACCTTCTTATGGTCAATCATGTGTGATGAGTTTTTTTCAGAGTACAGTTCTTCCTGGGTGTGTTCTTTTATTGAGCTTGTCTGTGAAACCTGGGGAATTCTCCTACTTTGGGATCCATAACTCAAAATGTGATTTATGTTATCCCTTCCATCTTAAAAAGAGTTGCTACAAATGTGAGAAAATATGTGAAAAATGGTTGTTATCAAAATGATGACTAGCATCAAAGGGATAAGAAAAACATATCTAGTAAAATTCTAGACCTGTGTACCTGTAGATGTTTACTGATGATAGGTGCAATATATCAGAAAAGCACTTTGTTTGCCTCCTGTTAAAGTTACATTTGGAAAGGCAAGAGGGTGGCAGTGGGACAGAAGGGAAGGGAAGTGCAGTCAGGCTACAGTAATCCTTTGGGTTGATTCTCAATGGCGGTAGAGGCACAGACAGTTTGAGCAGTCATTAGAACAGGAATATTTGAATAGATAAAATTTTCTAAATACTGTAATGACAGTAATAATTTATTGAGCTGGAACTATATTTAGCTTCTTTAATTTTTACAGTCAAAGGAGGTAGATATTATTATGCTTATATTGCACATGAGAAAATTAAACATTACTAGTAAGTGGTGGGCCTGTGATTCAAACCCTGCTTTAATTACTCAATCCTTGAGTGCTCCACTGTGCTACCTGGCCTCTTCTCCGTTGCTCCCTTTCAGATTGGAATTGCCTCTAAATTTACAGCATTCAAGAAGAAGTTTGCTGTATTTCAGTGGTCACTGAAGACAGACACTTTATTCTGACTTACTGTGATAGTGTGGTAATTTTTAGATGATCCTGTATATTAATTATAGGTTTTACATGGAATTGTTATCATTAAAAGGTTAGCATCCAACTTGTAGCTCTCTCTAAGATTTTAGGACCTCTGTTATTGGGAATGTTTTTTGGTCTATGCTCTTGGGTTTATTTGGCAAAGTTTTAGAATGCTGAATTTTTCCAGTATACTGAACTCAGATCATCAACATATTTATAAGCATGTTGGGTCTTATGTATGTCATCACCCTGATATGTTTGCAATTCTTTTAAAAGACAGAGTACTCATGATGGTTTCCACACCAGATCGCTGCTTTAGACCATCATAGATTTTCTTTCGGCATAATGGCATTTAGTGGTGATGCGATACATTTAATTCTTCAGAATAGATATTGCAATGCTCCAGTGCCTAGGAACATTTGGTGTACTCATTATTTAACAGCATCCTATTCTCCCTTCAACTATTTAATAATGCATATGTAATTTGGTATAGTCTCTGTAGGATTTGGAGAAGTGAGAACACCTCACTTTATAGATATTCTTGTATGGGTGAGTAACTTGCCTGCTTGTTAAGCTCCATAGGGGAGATAACTCCATGGATATGCCTTTTATTGAAGCTGTTTTTGCATTCTGCCTGGGATCACTCTCTTGAGTTTTGACCTTACTGGTGTTTAAGTTCTCTGGTAGAGTTATTCAGTCCTCAGGTGTGTTGGAATTTTCAGCCCTTTGGCAGGTGTGTTTGATTAGTGCCTTTGGGCATTTGGATTGATGTGGCCTCGAGTGTAGGAAGCAGCCCAAATTTCAGATCACTTGCTGGGATCCTTCCGTGGTGGACCCCTTTCTCAGGAGTCATTGGCATTTCAGCTTTCATTTCTAGAGTGGTACAATGAAAGACACAATGTTTTTCTTTTTTTTTTTTTTTTGCTTCTTCTCCTCCTTCTTCTTTCTTACCTATTTCAAACTGTTGAGGCTACTAGTGCCTTTGGAATAGCTTCTTAAATTATCCATGGACGTTTTCAGAGAGGAAACCCCTTGAGGCAGAGCTGTCAAGATAAGGGCCCTGAAGCTAATGCCGCCTCCTCATTGCTTTGCATCATTTATCTCATGTAGACAGCCACACCACCACCAACAGAACCCTAATTAGACAACCAGGAAAAAGATCTGCAGGGCTTGAAAAAAGGGGAGAAAAAGAAAGTGAAATATAGTTTAGGAAGAACACAAAGAGGAATTATTTATCAGCCAGATAAAAAAGTAGTGGGATGATTTTATTCAGACTGTTCTTGTTATAAATAAAAATTTTCAGATTTTATTCTAGAATGTAAGCTTGGTGAGAATAGAGACTGTCTGTTTTGTTCACTTGTGTCTCCCTTTGGTGCCAGGCACAGTGCCTAGTACTTGTGAGCACTCAATTTATACCTATTTAATAAATGGTGCTGGGAAAACTGGCTAGCCATATGTAGAAAGCTGAAACTGGATCCCTTCCTTACACCTTATACAAAAATTAATTCGAGATGGATTAAAGACTTAAATTTTAGACCTAAAACCATAAAAACCCTAGAAGAAAACCTAGGCAATACCATTCAGGACATAGGCATGGGCAAGGACTTCATGTCTAAAACACCAAAAGCAATGGCAACAAAAGCCAAAATTGACAAATGGGATCTAATTAAACTAAAGAGCTTCTGCACAGCAAAAGAAACTACCATCAGAGTGAACAGGCAACCTACAGAATGGGAGAAAATTTTTGCAATCTACTCATCTGACAAAGGGCCAATATCCAGAATCTACAATGAACTCAAACAAATTTACAAGAAAAAAACAAACAACCCCATCAACAAGTTGGCAAAGGATATGAACAGACACTTCTCAAAAAAAGATATTTATGCAGCCAAAAGACACATGAAAAAATGCTCATCATCACTGGCCATCAGAGAAGTGCAAATCAAAACCACAATGAGATACCATCTCACACCAGTTAGAATGGCGATCATTAAAAAGTCAGGAAACGACAGGTGCTGGAGAGGATGTGGAGAAATAGGAACACTTTTACACTGTTGGTGGGAAAGTAAACTAGTTCAACCATTGTGGAAGTCAGTGTGGCGATTCCTTAGGGATCTAGAACTAGAAATACCATTTGACCCAGCCATCCCATTACTGGGTATATACCCAAAGGATTATAAATCATGCTGCTATAAAGACACATGCATAAGTATGTTTATCGCAGCACTATTCACAATAGCAAAGACTTGGAACCAAGCCAAATATCCAACAATGATAGACTGGATTAAGAAAATGTGGCACATATACACCATGGAATACTATGCAGCCATAAAAAATGATGAGTTCATGTCCCTTGTAGGGACATGGATGAAGCTGGAAACCATCATTCTCAGCAAACTATCGCAAGGACAAAAAACCAAACACTGCATATTCTCACTCACAGGTGGGAATTGAAGGATGAGAATACATGGACCCAGGAAGGGGAACATCACACACCGAGGCCTGTTTTGGGGTGGGGGGCAGGGGAGGGATAGCATTAGGAGATATACCTAATGCTAAATGACGAGTTAGTGGGTGCAGCACACCACCATGGCACATGTATACATATGTAACAAACCTGCATGTTGTACACGTGTACCCTAAAACTTAAAGTATAATAAAAAAAGATACATGACCAGTAGTCATGATGTGAGTCTTCATCTGCTGAATGCTTACTCCATGACAGGCTCTGTGCTAGACACTCTGCACCTCCACACACAGGTTAAAATAGTAACCCTCTGAGCCATCCTGATTTTGGTGAGAGGGATGCTCTGGAAATAAATAGGACAGGGACAAGCCTGAGAAAAGTTAATGAAGGAAGAATTATCATCCCAGTTTTAACAGATATTTAAAACTATGGCTTAGAGAAGGTAACTATCTCATATTATTATATGTGGGGGCTTCCAGCTTTCCTCCTTTCATTTGCTTGCTGTTATGGGCTGAATATTTGTGGTCCCCCCCACCTAAATGTTAAAATCCTCACCCCTAATATGATGATCTTAGGAGGTGGGTCCTTTGGAGGATAAATTAGGTCATGAGGGTGGAGCCCTTATGAATGGCATTGGTGTCTTTACTTTTATTTAGTTATTTTTTTTGAGATGGAGTTTCATTCCGTCGCTCAGGCTGGAGTGCAGCGGCACAATCTCAGCTCACTGCAACCTCCACCTCTGGGGTTCAAGCGATTCTCCTGCCTCAGCCTCCTGAGTAGCTGGGACTACAGGCGCCTGCCACAAGACCTGGCTAATTTTTGTATTTTTAGTAGAGATGGGGTTTCACCTTGTCTCCTGACCTGAGGTGATCCATCTGCCTTGGCCTCCCAAAGAGCTGAGATTATAGGCATGAACCACCACACCCAGCTTGGTGTCTTTACAAAAGAGACCCCAGGTTGCTCTGTAGCCCGCTTCTATCATGGGAGGGAGGACCAATGAGAAGGTAACCGTCTGCGAGCCAGGGAGAGGGCCCTCACCAGAATCTACCATTCTGGTCTCCTGATCTCAGACTTCTAGCCCCAAATATCTGTGCAAAATAAATTTCTTTTCTTTTCTTTTTTTTGAGACAAGGTCTCACTCTGTCACCCAGGCTGGAGTGCAATAGCATGATCATAGCTCACTGTAGCCTGGAACTCCTGGGCTCAGGTGATCCTCCCACTTCAGCCTCCCAAGTAGCTAGGACTACAGGCACATGCCCCTGCACCCAGCTAACTTATTTTATTTTATTTTTTTTGTAGAGACAGGGTCTTGCTTTATTGTCCAGGCCTGTCTTGAACTCCTGGCTTCAAGGGATCCTCCCTGCCTCATCCTCCCAAAGTGCTGGGATTACAGGCATGAGCCACAGCACCTGATGAGAAATAAATTTCTGTTGTTTATAATCCACCCAGTCTATGGTAATTTCTCATAGCAGTTTCAACTGACTGAGATATTTGCTTAACTTCTTTTCCTGATCTCATTCTCTAAGGAGAAAAAGATAAAAGCCAAGCTCATGAATTCTTCTAAGAAAAATAGAGAAACAGAGCAGAAACCTACAATCTTCGGGGTGTTGTGGATGAGGGTGGGGGCATGAGGAGTAGGAGGTCTGCCTGCCTGGGACCATGCAAGACTGGGCATGGCTTAGCAGAGAGGGACACTAAGGAGGGAGATGGTGGGGACAGGGCAGAGCAGACAGGAGACTGAAACTGGTAAGGAAGAAGAATGAGAGCTTCCAGGGAGTTCACAAGAACCACTTTGGCCTAAGTATTTGATTCTCTTAAATGTGTGATAGGGAATTGTGTCAAGACTGAATTTGCAGGGGAAACAATTACTTCTGTCAATGCGGCCATGTCCCTGGTTTGACTGAAGCCTCCAGGATTTCTGGACATTAGGGTATGTTGAAAGATGCTGTCTCTGTGGCCACAGAAAGTAACCCTGTGTTACTTATTCCATCAGGACCTCCCTGCTCCCTGGGCTCATAATGACTCCAGGTTTCTTCCCTTATTAACTTTCTTTAGGCTCATTCCCATCCTATTCTCGAGGCATCTCTGTGCCCAAATCTGGGTTACAAATCTGGGTCATTGTCTGTTACCCAAGATTTGTTGTCCTTTGGTGAATCATCTGGGGAAGGCACTGGACTTGAACACCGGTTCTTCCATTCATCTCTTCTTAAGGGCTTCAAACAAGTTCATACCCCTCAACTTCACTTTTCCTCCTTTGTAAAGCGTCAGTGATTTCTACTCCTGACCATTTTTAAGGTGCTGTGAGGATCAACTGAGATTAACCTTTAGAAGTGGTTAACTTCTATACCCCTTCGTTTTTGTATTTTTAATTAATTTTTTTCTGAGACGGAGTCACCCAGGCTGGAGTGCAGTGGCGCAATCTTGGTTCACTGCAACCTCCACCTCCCAGGTTCAAGTGATTTCCCCTGCCTCAGCCTCTTCAGTTGCTGGGATTACAGGCATGCATCATCATGCCTAGCTAATTTTTGTATTTTTAGTAGAGACGGGGTTTCACCGTGTTGGCCAGGATGGTCTCAAACTCCTAACCTCAAGTGATCCACCTGCCACGGCCTCCCAAAGTTCTGGGATTACAGGTGTGAGCTGCCTCACCCTGCCTAGCTATTCCTGTTCTTATTCTAACTATCTAGAGCCACTTGTCTCTTTTGTCCTAATCAAGTTTTCCCTATCCTCGAAGGCACAGCTGGCCTATCTTCTCTTCCACAAGGTCTTTGTTGCTCACCTTTTCCTGCCTACACTGATCTCTGTCTTCCATCTTTCCCTTATTTTGGCATGTAACCAAATATTCCCTGCAAATGTGACTTTATTACTCCAGTGTTGGAGTGTCCCATCCCTTCAGCTAGATAGTGAATTTCTTGAGGGCAAAGACCATGCCTCTTAACCTCTTCCAACTTACCATGTAAGTTGCTATACTGTTAAGACCTTAGATTTTACAGGGGGGCTTCCACTTGTTCAACTTGTTGAAGAAATACATTCTTTTGTTTTCAGTCCTGCAAACTGTGATT
This sequence comes from Homo sapiens, assembly GCF_000001405.40. Classification (NCBI taxonomy): domain Eukaryota; kingdom Metazoa; phylum Chordata; class Mammalia; order Primates; family Hominidae; genus Homo; species Homo sapiens. The sequence goes on from NC_000012.12 coordinate 96,678,959, forward strand.
CCTCTCTCTTGGTCCTGCTTCATGATGTATGCAGCAATGCTGCAGCTGAAGTCCCAGGCCCTCACTCACTCTTCAGAGACCTCGAAGCAACTCTCTCCCACTATCTCCCCTTTCTGGGCACTTTTCAGGACAGTTAGTTAGTTCTATACCCACTCCTGGGTCCCCCTCTTCCTTTCCTCTGCACCTTTCAGTATTAGGAATCTGTCTTTTCCTTCCCTTCCGAGAGCAGATGCCCATCTCCAAGCAACTTTATTTCTTCCTTTGTTTCTTCTTTTTGTCTCTTTCCCAAGGCACCTTTGCTTTGAAGAGGCTGCTGAAAAGGAGTAGATTATTTCATTTTTTATGATCAGCAAAAGAAAAAGGAGGCTTCATGGGGAAAATTGGCAAGATCTAAAGTTATTTGCATTTCATAAGAATCAAAAGTTTTCCAAGCTTTTTTTTTTTTTAAAAGGACCTTCTGGTATACTAAAAGAAAAAAAAAATTGATCTGAATGTTGAAACACCTGCTGCAGATCTGGGGGCTTTGAATTTAGCGGCTTTAGGTTGGGACCAAGAAATTCTCTGAATTATAAACTTGCTGGCTCTTACCTTGGCTTGGTGCAGCATTTCATCCCCAATATTCCGCTTTTCTTTCCTTTCAGAATACAGCCGAGCCAAAGCGCTTGTCTGCGTGCCCGTGGACGTGACAGACACCTTGAGGTGTTTTAGAGAGACACTGGAAAAATCCAAATACCATAACAGATCAATCCGACACAGCAGAAAGTTGCTTTCATTATTTCTTGCACAGACACAAGGTAAAATGCATGTTCTGTATCTCTGAATCTTTCTTTATGTGGGGTGACCACCCTGCAGATGTCCCTCTTCTGCCCTCTCATTCTTCCCTCCCCGTGTACATGCAACACTCCCTGATGCCTTTCACTTTCCTCTTGTCCAGTGGATCTATTCTGTGTCTTACACTTTAACCAATGCACTTTCTCACTCACTCGCTTTTATGCTTTCTGTGAAACTATCAAACTCTCTTGAGTGTATTAGATGTGACAATATTCATTAATTTTTGATTCTGTACATTTATGTTCTTCTTACAGTTTTCTTTAGGTGTGGCACTATGGTCTTGTTTTACTTCATAAGTAGACGGATTGAATCACACTGAGTTAACTAGAACCTTTTGCCAAAACACTACTTTATCAGTGGCAAAGAAATGGGTACCTTTTAAAGCAAGCATCAACAAGATTTCTTATTAATACTATAGATTTTGCTCTTAGGGCTTTTATTTTAGCTTAAAGCAAGATATTCACTATTGTTGGTTGCATTGCATTTATTTGTTTTCTCTTGTAACATCTATCTGCTTGTGAATTCAAGCAAAGCTGGGCTTTGAGTGATTAAATGGTAACCTCAGAGAAGAGTACATTCAAATTTAGGCTGGAAAAATCCTGAACTATCTATACTTAACTTATTTAAAATTTTTAAAAATCCTGTTTTATATTTATGATTCTTGCTATTCAAATTGGTCAGAATAATAAGAATAAATTTAAATAATAGACAAATACATGTAAAATAATATAAAGTTATTAAAAACAGATTTAAACTTATACTTAATTAAAATGCTAATTTCCACTGAAATGATCTTTTAGAAATTTGACCAATTGTTTTTACAAATGCAGACAGAGTTTTATTTATTTACATATTTATTTGTTTGTTGTTGTTGCCCACCCCCCACACTTTCTATGATATGTATCCATAGTTTTTGGTTATATTGTCTGCAGACTCACATTATGTTAAATTAGTTCTCCATATCCTGTTTGGCTTCTTTTAATTGCTCCATACATTAACAATGGGTAAGGCTGACTGGGCGCCGTGGCTCACGCCTGTAATCCCAGCACTTTGGGAGGCCAAGGAGGGCAGATCATTTGAGGTTAGGAGTTAGAGACCAGCCTGGCCAACATAGTGAAACCCTGTCTCTACTAAAAATACAAAAATTAACCGGTGTGGTGGCGTGCACCTGTAATTCCAGCTACTCAGGAGGCTGAGGCATGAGAATCACTTGAACCGGCGGGGCAGAGGTTGCAGTGAGCCGAGATTGTGCCACTGCACTCCAGCCTGGTGACAAAGCGAGACTGTCTCAAAATGAAACAGAACAAAACAAAACAGAAAAGCACCCCCCCACACACACACACAAAAAGTGGGTAAGGGCATAAATAAAAAGGCAAATGCAATTCCTAGGAATGGTTTATACCAACTCGCTCTGAATCTCACCTGGTACCAAAATATTTTCAGTAGTTTATCTCTAGTCCTCAGGCTGTAGACTTCAAAATCTATACTAGCTTCTTTCTCTATTACTTTTAACTACTTCCCCTAGAATATAGATTTTTCTCTTATGTCTTCTCTGATCTTATAAAGAGACAAGGTTTTTCCTTTTTTTTTTTTTTTTGTCTCAGGCCAGAACTACCTGTGTGTTGCTTCTATCCCAGAGGTTTCTGGCCCAGAGGCACACTAACACCTTACTGTTGGAAGCTATTTAAAAAAGGCAAACTCAAACTATGCAACTTCCACCAGTCCCCACAAGAAGCAAAGCTTTATCTCAATATTTGCTTTCTGGCTGACAGTCCTCTGTAGTGCTTTTTTTTTTGGATGGAGTCTTGCTGTCTTGCCCAGGCTGGAGTGCAGTGGCGTGATCTTGGCTTACTGCAAACTCTGCCTTCTGGGTTCAAGCGATTCTCCTGCCTCAGCCTCTGCCTCCTGGTTCAAGCGATTCTCCTGCCTCAGCCTCCCGAGTAGCTGGGACTATAGACATGCGCCACCACGCCCGGCTAATTTATTTTTAGTAGAGACGAGGTTTCACCATGTTGGCCAGGCTGATCTCAAACTCCTGACCTCAGGTGATCCACCCGCCTCTGCCTCCCAAAGTGCTGGGATTATAGGTGTGAGCCATTGTGCCCGGCCCCTCTGTAGTGCTTGTGATGAGATAACGCAGACATGGAGCCTATCCACACATACCTAGGGTCTTCAGTTATGATCCTGGATACTAAGTTTAAGGAAATAGTGTCCCTCAAACTGCAAAAATGTCTCAGCTATATACAAAATATTTCCTTTCTTTTTGCTTTCCATTTTCTCTACCTTCCCTCCCAACTTCCCTTCTTTCTACATTTTAAATTGATTTATTATTATTATTTTTCATGAATTTAGGAGAGAAAGGAGAAATAAATGATTCAAAATGTACTTCTGGAAAGGTGGAATTTTGCCTGGGGACAGAGGAGATGCATATGTCAATACCCCCTGACCTTTCTCAGGAGCACTTCAGAGTTTTTAGTTCCGTGGAGAAAAGCAAACTTCCATATTCACAACTTGGACTTGTAATTTCTTCTTATCACCAAACTATTGGTAAGAGTTAGCCATTATGTACTCATTTTCTTTAAATTTTTTTTTTTTTGAGACGAGGTCTCATTTTGTCATCCAGGCTGGAGTGCAGTGGTGCCATCACAGCTCACTGTGTGATCACAGCCTCAACCTTCTGGGCTCAATCCATCCTCCCACTTCAGTCTCCCAAGCAGCTGGGACCACAGGCTCACACCACCACACCTGACTAATTTTTATATTTTTTGTAGAGATAGAGTTTTGCCATGTTGCCCAGACTGATCTTGAACTCTTGGGCTCAAGCTATAAGCCCACCTGAGCCTCCCAAAACGCTGGTACAGGAGTGAGCCACTGTACCCGGCTATGTCTCCATTTTCAATATGATCTTCTGCATTAATGCTGAGATTGCATCTGGTCCTGAAATCTTACTTTTAAAAGAAAGATAAAAGAACCTATATCCCTGCAGCAGTGACAGAACAGCCTGGAGACAGAAGAAGCTTCCAGCCTCCTCTGTTTACCCATTTTCTTAGCTTGTCCATCACTATTGTGAGATTCTAGGCCACCCTTCTCTTTATCCCTCTTTCATTGGAGCTGTGAACTCTTTGTGGGGATGGAGATGATGTTCTTTTTTTCTGGTCCCATCTAATTCCATTTTCCTTGTCTTTCCCTTGATTTGCTTTTCTACAGCTTCAGTAGTATATTCTTAACCCATACGATAGACCCAATGTTCTCTTTTTTCCTAACAGACATTTTATGATGCCCCTTTTATTTCCTGAAATAAAATTTGTATTTAATATATTCTTCTTATACACATTATTTTGAAACAAATTATTATGAAGCTCTAAATATAAAAATAGGGGAGAAATAGCATCACTTTATAATAAAAGAATCAGTTTGTTGGTATGTAAATGCTTAGGCATTAGAAGCTGTAAAGAAATAATCAGATGCTTATATCCTGGATATGGAATCACCATGAATGTGACAGTTACACATGCAGACAGAGACAGGTATGTTGTATTGGTGACTCAAATACTATCAACATGGTTAAGTTTTGTGACATGATTTTCTAAAATGGCAAATTAATCTTGGTAAAGTCCTGAGCAAAACAAAGTACTACAGTGGTTGCAATGTCTGGAAAATTCAGAAATCATGTACATTTAGAAATCATGCAGAAATACCCTTTTTATGTGGAAAACGAAGTTCGATGTGAATTCAGATAGTTATAAACAGGCTTATCATCTTTTCCTTCACTGTAGGGGAAGTTTCTGTGCCTTGCAGGCCATCTGACATCTTTGGTCTTAACCTATGAGTTACCAAGAGATGCCCCCATTGTGACATCTAGCAAAACCCTTTCTCACATTTCTAAAATAGCCTCTAGAGAACAGCATTGTCCTCATTAGAAACCACTGCCATGTTGGTTGGGGTTTTTGGCTACACATCCCAGAATGCATGCATTCATTAGAAAAAAAAAATTGTGTGATTTTGTTGTTGTTTTTTTTTGAGATGGAGTCTCACTCTGTTGCCCAGGCTGGAGTACAGTGGCACGATCTTGGCTCACTGCAACCTCCACCTCCCGGGTTCAAGCAATTCTTTTGCCTTGGCCTACCAAGTAGCTGGGATTACAGGCATGTGCCATCACACTTGGGTAATTTTTGTATTTTTAGTAGAGACGGGGTTTCACCATGTTGACCAGGCTGGTCTTGAACTTCTGACCTCAGGTGATCTGCCCGGTTTGGCCTCCCAAAGTGCTAGGATTATAGGCATGAGCTACCTTGCCTGTCCAATTATGTGATATTAAAGATATTTTCTGCCTTCAGGTAAAAGGAGAAATCTGATATGTGGTGATCTTGTCACATGTCTGCTAAAAAACAAACCCTTTGAGCCTTTCCATCTGCTATAGGATAACATCCACATTTCTCCAAGTGGCAGTCAGAGGCCCTCAGAATCTGACCACTGCCTCCCACTTCAGACTCAGTTCACCCTCTCCAGAAAACTATACTCCAGTCATGCCCATCATTCCTATACATACCCAGCCATTCTCCCTTGCATGCCGTTTCTAAGTTTCTCTTCTCCTGTCTCTACCTGTCTGAGTTTTATTCCCATGATGCCCCATTATTACTATCTGTTAGAGCCAGTCTTTCACTCTGTAATCAAACAGAACGTTTGCTCGCTCTCTTTGTATATATATCGTGTGACATTTGAAGGCGCTGTTAACTTGCAGTTTGCTTATTGCAATCTACACAGTTAAGGAATAGTGCAGTTTAAAAAATTCTTGCAAATATAAAAAAATATTTTTCTAGGAACTGACATTTGTTCTTTTACTTGATTAAAAATATAGATGTTCTCCAAGCCAGCAATCAAAGAAGTCTTAAAGTTCAGGCGTTGCATTCACTTGGAAGTCTTCTCATCTTCGCAGAAAAGAAAAGGTAGATTTTTAGAAGTCTGTAGAACAAGGGCAAAGGTTTTTTATTTGCTTGTTTGAAGAAGTTTTTAATGAAAAAACATTGTCTTTCATAAATTTTAGTTCTTCAACAATACTACATTGCTACATTTTATTCATCAAATGCTACCTGAGAGAAACCATTAAGAACAGTGAATGTATTATAGTTATACGTATGTTAATTGACGTTGCTTCGGTGTATTTGCTTTCCCTTCTGGAAGATAGATTTAATAATGGGTCTCAGAAAACTTACTGCTTGATGCTTTGTCTCTGTTTTAGGGCTGCTTTTAAGTGTTGGTGTCAAGCTCTTGATGACATATTCAGAAAACCAGACGTGCTACACACGTGGAAAGAATTTGGCCCCTCACTCACCAATGTCACCAACAGTCATTCACCTCCGGGTTTCAAAGACTACAGTGAGGAGTTTCTGTCAAGAGTTGGCATCTGGGGGTGTTTGCAAGGAGCAGTCATATCAGCAAAGATAGCACAGTGAGTGTGAGGATGGAAGGATCCCCGTACTAGCTAACAGCTTCCTTGTGGGGTGCCCTCCTGTGCCATACAAAGTGCTATGCCTCATGCACACTGGATTTCTGGGAGGTTATGTCCATATCATACAGGGCCTTACAGTTTATTTACTTATTTGTGATGTTTATTGCTTATGATTATCTCTTCTTCCTGTAACACAACTCTTGCCCCAAAATATCAGTGTCACCCGGGCCCAGGTGTTTGCTTTGCTTACTCATGGATCCCAAGTGCCAGATATGCAGCTGGCATTCAATAACTACTTGTTTTTTTTGTTGTTGTTTGGGTTTTTTTTTTTGAGACGGAGTCTCACTCTGTTGCCCTGGCTGGAGTGCAGTGGCTTGATCTCAGCTCACTGCAACCTCCGTCTCCTGGGTTCGAGATTCTCCTGCCTCAGCCTCCCGAGTAGCTGGGATTACAGGTGGCCACCACCATGCCCAGATAATTCTTTTGTATTTTTAGTAGAGACAGGATTTCACCATGTTGGCCAGGCTGGTCTGGAACTCCTGACTTCTGGTGATCTGCCCACCTCAGCTTCCCAAAGTGCTGGGATTACAGGCATGAGCCACGGCGTCTGGCTCAACAATGACTTGTTGCGTGGTCAAATGAATGAGCAGTTGGTGAGGAAGCAGGAAAACAGTGTGGAGGCAGTCAGGCATGGGCCTCATTCAAAAGTGTACTAGAAACCAGTTACTTTCAACAAGTTTCACATTCCTTCTGAGCCTCAGTGTCCTCATCTCTAAGCCAAGGTGGTAAAAATTACATGCTATACTGCATCAGTTTGCTAGGGCTATCATAACAAAGTACCACAGACTGGGTGGCTTAAACAACAACTTTGTTATCTCATGATTCTGAAGGCTAGAAGTTGGAGAACAAGGTGTTGGTTAATTGGTTTCTTCTGAAGCCTCTCTTCTTGGCTTGTAGAAAGGTCACTGTGTCCACAGTGGTCTTTCCTCAGCATGTCAATATCCTAATCTCCTCTTCTTATATGGATACCAGTCATATTGGATTAGGGCCCACCTCTGTGGCCTCATTTTCACTTAGTTACTTACCTCTTTCAATGCCCTGTCTCCAAGCATGTTCACAATCTGAGGTTACTGGGTATGTTAGGCTGTTCTTGCTTTGCTACAAAGAAATACCCAAGACTGAGTAATTTGTAAAGAAAAGAGGTTTAATTGGTTCGTGGTTCTGCAGGCTCTACAGAGAGCATGGTACCAGCATCTGCTGGGTTTCTGGGGAGGCCTCAGGAAGCTTTCAATTATGACAGAAGGCCATATTTGAATATGGGAGCCCGCATCTCACATGGCAAGAATGGGAGCGAGAAAGAGTGGGAGGTGCCACACTCTTTTAAACAACCAGATGTGATGTGAACTCACTCATCACCAAGGGGATGGCACTAAGCCATTCATGAGGGATCCACCACCATGATCCTAACACCTCCTGTCAGGCCCCACCTCCAATACTGGGGATAACAGTTTAGCATGAGATTTGGTGGGGACGTATATTCAAACTATATCACTAAGAGTTAGGACTTCAACATATGAATTTCTAGGGGATAGAATTTAGCCCATAATACATACTGTATTAGTGTCCTTTTTGCTGCTGTAACAAATTACCCTAAACCTAGCGGCTTAAAACAAAACAGGTTTATTATTTTACAGTTATAGAGTTCAGAAATCATAAAATAAGTGTGTCATCAGGGCTGTGCTTCCTCTGGAGGCTCCTGGTGAGAAGCTGCTTCCTTATCTTTTCCAGCTTCTTGAGGTCTCTTGCATTCCTTGGCGCATGGCCCCACCTTCTGTCTTCAAGACCAACAGCTGAGCATCTTTCCCCCACACCTGCCTCTCTCTGTCTGTCTCTCATATTTTCTTCCATCTTCACATCTCCTTCTCTGTCTCTGACCCTCCTGCCTTTCTCTTATAAGGGCCATCGTGACGATCCAGGATAATCTTCCTTATCTCAGTGGCCTTAATTTAATCACATCTGCGAAGACTTTGTTGCCCTGTAAGGTCACATATTCATAGGTTCTGGAGATTAGGGCATGAATATCTTTGGGGGACCATTATTTAGCCTACCACACATAACACATGTGAATGTCTTCAAGAATGGCTTACGCATAGCTAGCACTCACAAATATCTGAAGTATTTCAAATTTCTGATTAACATGAGAAATTTGAAAAGTATGGAGGGATTAGAGGTATAGGTTTCCTTCATCTCTCCAGTTACAGTTACCTCTTTAGCTTACCTGTCGGAGGTGGTGAGCAACAACCTGCATAGTGTTTTAAGCTGTAGAGCACACTTAAAACTTAACTGTTCCTAGGTAGTGATCACATTGCTTTCAGATTAGCATCTTCAGTCAGGGAAGTAAGAAAGTACTGCTTTAAAAGTATTAAACGTCAAAGATTTAGACCTCTGTCAAGTTTGATTTTTTTGTGCTCCTGGGATAGAACACACACACGCACACACACACATACAATTTTCTCTCTCTCAACAAAATCTGAGCTTGTGACTTATTGGAGCTTGGCAATTGGGAATGGAAAAGCCAAGGAAAGGAACAGCTTGGAAAGGAACAGCTACAGCCTTCCTGCCAGAGGGCACCTCCGCTTCTCTGAGCTTCTGAAGTTATTACCAAGTGATTTTCAACAAACAGAAAGTCATTTCCTGGTTTCCCAGCCAGAAGTCTGACTGCCATAGGAGATGTCATTCTACGGGGGCTTTGGCTGTTTTCCTAGACTCCCTGAGTAGAGGAAACTCTTCTCCCCGCCCTGTAAAATACCACACTTGAAGATCCACACAGTGAAGCTGAACTGAGGTAGACTACATTAACATTGTTGTTAATGTAGTGAACCTGACTGGTTTTATCTAAGAAAGACTTAGGAGAAGGTAATGTGGTTTGTAGTTGCAAATGTGAATTTTAAGACTCATATATAGAACACTCAAACTCTTCTTCTAAGGGACATAAAATGAAAGAGTTGTAAATGGAGAGACATTAATGTTTGGTGGAGATACTTAATGTTGTGAATGGCTCCATAATAAACAGCTAGAGAGAAAATACAATGCTTCAGTCTTTAGGGGGAATTATTTAACCGCACTCATCAAAAGCCTTTACTGTGCGCCCCCTTTTACCAAAAACTTCCACGTCCAGGGGTTCATTCAGTGGAACCAATAGGATAAGTGCTCAAAAGTGTAGGCATAACAATGTTTACCTCAGCATTGGAAAATGCCAAAGTGGAGATTCATATTTTTATGTTATGGCACATCTGTATGATAAAACATTAAAGTTCTTTAGAATAATGATATAGTTCGTTATGTCTGTGAATGAAAAATTTGTTTATAAAGTAGTATGTATTGCATAATTCTAGTCTTAATATGTATGTATATGTTTCTCCGTGTGTATAATTATATACAGAAAAAGTACATATAAGGAAATTGACTAAAATGTTACTAGTAATCATATTTAGGCAGTAGGATTATAGGGGATTTTTTATCTTCTTTAATATATTTTCCTTCTATTTTCTTATATATTTATATGTATGCATTTTTCTTATACTTTTTGTGTTCTAGATATATATGTAAAGACATTTATATCAAAATGTTTTTGGAAAATTTCTACTAATCAATTTTTTTTTCTTATACTTACTTAGATTTATTAAGTCATTGAATGTTGAAAAGAAAACTGACTGTTGCATTTTGTCTGCGTTACTCTTTCAGGTAACACTCTATGTATGTATGTTTTTCCATTGTAGCACAACCATTCATTGGATCAGTAAAAAAAAGTTTATCATATTCAGAAAACTCACAGGTAGCAAAATAACATGAATCTTGATTAAATATGACAAGCCCGTCTTTCTCTTGCTGGCTGAACCCCTGTGAGACTTTCACCTTTAATTTTTTTTTTTCTTTTTTTGAGACGGAGTCTCACTCTGTCAGCCAGGCTGGAGTGCAGTGGTGTGATCTCAGCTCACTGTGACCTCTGCCTCCCGGGTTCAAGCAATTCTTGTGCCTCAGCCTCATAAGTGGCTGGGACTACAGGCGCGCACCACCACACCCAGCTAATTTCTTGTATTTTTAGTAGAGCTAGGGTTTACCATGTTGGCCAGGCTGGTCTCAAACTCCTGACCTCAGGTGATCCACCCGTCTTGGCCTCCCAAAGTGCTGGGATTATAGGCGTGAGCTACCATGCCTGGCCCACCTTTAATATTTAACAGAGTCAGTTTTCTCCTTTACACTGCAGAAGAAGGAGTTTTACAGATGGGGAAACTGAGTCTCCTGTCATTAGGAAGATCATGTTACTAGTAATCAGTATGAAGCCAGTCTGACTTCAGATAGTTGCCTTAGGTTACCTCATCTCTAAATTCAGTTTTGCTTGGTTATATGATATAAAATCTATCTTATGATAAAGGTGAAAAATAACTTGAAGACTACAGGAGAGGTATGCTTACAGTTCTCAGAATTTTGGTTTGCCTTCACTGAAGAAGAAAGGAGCTTTTATTTGAAATACAAGACATTTTGAAATTCCAAAATGTAACCAGGGGCCTTTGTAATCTACTGAAGGTTCTATTTACTTTGAAGGATGGGCACTCTTGTTCTGTGTATCAGAGAAGTCTCACAGCTTATGAAATCTAAATAAGTGAGTTCTTCAGGAAGGCCTTCTCTGAATGGAAGGCCAGACTTTTCAATTTTCTTATGTTCCTTACGCCTCTTGCCTGGGCTTCAAAGGGAAGAAGTACAGGAGGCAAGGGTGTAAAGGAAATGACCCGACTCTGACTTCTTACGTCGCATTCTTTACTTTCTGATACTCCTTGTTCTTGAAGATAATGCTGTTTATGTTTTAGAAAATATGTGTTTTAACAAATATTTAACTTTCTGCTTAATGTGGACAATATGTGTATTATTTCTTAGTAATACTATACCTAAAATAAAAATTAGCTGGTGGGATTTATTTTAAAAGCCTATTAATTCTTTTTATGGTTTTAAAACAAATTTGTGATAGTAAAAATTTCAACAACTACAAAGTATTTTAGAATAGGATATCTCATGACCTTAATAAGCCATTGGATTGAAATTCTTTCTGATATATACATTAAAATAATTTCATGATGCATTTGTCATTAAGAAATTCTAATTGTTAAAATAACAAAAGAAGCACCCTTAAATGAAAAATGTGTTTTGTGTGTTCATCTTGTTTCTCCAACATCTAGTGTAATGTTGGTTACATAAATTACCAAAAACTAGTGGTCAAATTAAACAATAATCTTTTCATTTAAGCAGGTAAAAGTTTGGAATTACCTCTGCCTGATTGAGACTTCTGAAACAAGTAGTCATTTCCTCTACTTATAGCTTGGTATAGTGGAAAGAACATAGTTTTTTTTTATTTGTTTGTTTGTTTGTTTGTTTTTTAGCTAAATAGACATGACTTTGAATCTCCTTTCTGCCATCGTTAGCTGTGTGACTTCAGATAAGTTGTTTAAGCCTCAATTATATCATTTGTGACATAATAATCCTTCTAAGAGCAGGTTAAAATAACATTAAATGAGATAATGTTTATAAAGAATTTACCAGCAGTGCTTAACATATGATTGACCCTCAACAAAACATAATTTAATATAATGATAATTTCTTTGAAAATAAGAAGTATCCAACTACCATGGAATTTAAAAAGCCCATCTGGAGTGATAAAAGCATTTGGAACCTGTAATGATGATAATATAAATGATAAGTACCATTTATTACAAAGTACAGTGTGCTAGGCATATACTAAGCATTTTATAAAGCAATACATGTATTTATCTTTTTTGTTTCATTATTGAAAATGCTATCTATAGCTCTTTATATTTCACTTTTTTTCATTTTCAGGGTTTGCTTAGAACAACACTTCCACATCCCAAAGCTGAACGTTGCTATGCTCAATATGAAATCACTCAGCTTCTCCCAGGCATTGAACTCTTCTCAGATAGATACAGGGCTGACATTTGCTCTGTAATTGCAAGTCTGTATTACATTATACGTGAACTGCACTTTGTTAGGCAAAACCTAATAGTAAGTAATTTGTAAAATAAAAATTATATATCACTGGGATATTTTGCTCCACTTACCTCATACTTTTAAAATTTTGCTAATGTTCTTTTGGTCAGTTACTGTTTAACTTTTAAACTCTATATATGTGGGATTCTTACTTACACTTCAAACTAAAATGTATTAATTAATATTCTTTCTTTGCATTTTGGATACAAAAGCAGTCTATTTGACTTTTTCTCCTTTTACTGTGTTACTTTATATTTTTTTCTTAAGTTAGTTGGTGAAATTGATCAGAATGCATCACTGATCTCAAACACAGAAATCTAGTGTACTTGTAAGCCACTGCATTAAGTTGTTCAGGTTATATCAATCCCAAAACTGTGAGAGTGTTTCTTTATTGAGATAAGTTTATCTTTATGTCTCTTGTCTTTTCTCTGTCAAGGGTGCATCTAAGAGAAAAATAGGTTCTAAGTATGAGGTAAAAGACAGACATTTCTTAATGTCCTAGGAAATAAAAAATCCAAGTACAGCTCTCCTCTCCTTTGGGGAAAGAAATCACAGTGTATGTCATAAATTTGAAGCTGGTTGCATTAAAAAAATTAGTATGTTCTATTAGAATTGTTGGCCATTTTATATTTTCCTCCATTATTTCATCTTTTTTCTTTCTTTATGTTCTTTCCTTATTTTTTCGCATCTCTTTTTCTCCTTTGTTTGCTTCTTTACATCTATTCTTTCTCCTTTTCTGCTTTTTTCCCTTTCCTCCATGATTTTCATACCTTCTTACTTTTTTCCCCCACATATTTTTTTCTATTCTCTCGGTATATTTGTTCTTCTGAATTCAACTCTCTCTTTATACTGAAAATATTTATTGCCCCCTGATATGAATTGTTAACTTATAAAACCATGTATTAAAGAGATTGATAAGTGCATTTAACACTTGGCAGACTTGGTGAGATATTGTTTATTTTTTAAAAATAACAAAATGGTGCCCCTCTCACTGTTAAAGGGATTCATTTCTGGGTTGAAGAAATAGTTCTATCCCCTGGGTAACCTTTAGCTGCCTAGTCATATTCGTATATAATACATATCACTGTGCTGGAAAAGAAATGAGGTTTTTTTTTTCTCTAAAGCTGAAGAAATTGAGAATGTTTTTCTGAATAATTGAGCAATTGGCAGCAATAAAATGGTGTGTTTTTATTTCTTACTAAAGAAAAGAAACTAAATCTCAAAGGTAATCGCCAACTTTTAATGTTTTGTGCTGCATTAATTGTGGAAAAAGGTATCGTGTTATGTTTGTAGGGCATAGTTATAGAAAAATGTATTGTATTATGTTTGAAATCATTTAAGACCAGTTCTAATCCTTTTAAAAAGCTGTTGCTATTAGCAGCTGCCAGTTGACTGACAATTAGAGGTTCCCCAGGTGAAATTGCAAGAAGTAAACAGTTTCCATTTTGTATTACATTAACCTTCTCCAGAAGAAGCCCAGTGGCTAAGGGGACTTCTGTGGAATATAAAATTTGCTATGTGACCCAGAGCTGTGGAGCTATGGGAAATAGTTTGCTAACTAATGGGGATCCCAATCTCCCTTCCACTCCATCTTCCTTTGGCAGGGAAGGCTACAGTTGCAGGAGCTGAGCTTCAGGTTTGATTTGAGGTCAGGAGCTGTTCCAGTGTTAGGCAAAACTGTCCTCTCCACATCTTTCTCTGGATGGATCGTGGTTGGGCCATTTGAAATATTGATGGTCTATAAGCCTTCACATATATCCATGGGACTTCAAGAGCAATTGAACTTGGGGTGAATTCTAGGAAAATAAAAATATTATGAGAAGAGTAAGCTTGGGTTTTAACCAGTAGAATATACGCTATGTGAAGGCAGGGACTTGTTAGATTTTGTTCTCATTCAACGGTGCCTAACACATAATAGGCATGTTATAAATATTTTTTGTTGATAGACAAATTCTAATTGAAGACAAAAAGCAGCTGGCATTGAAATGAATAAGTAGGATCCAGTTAGGGAGCAGAGATTGAGTTCCTTTGCTTTAAATTTTCCATTTATTTGGTAGCTCATTTGCTAGAATTTTTCCACAGGCCACAGTGATTCATATATTTATGTTGAGTTAATCATTTTCAAGGAAGATAATTGATTAGATTTTAACCTCTTCCTGCTTAAAGAGATGTGCAACCTAGGTTTGGGGTACCAAATGGCATCTACTGGGAACTGTAAGTCTCTGATAGCATCTTAAAGTTCCGATAAACTTATGAAGCATGTGCTAGATAGATTATTTCACTTATTTTCAACAGTATAGTTTCCTAGCATGGAAAGCAAATCAGTATATAACATATCCTATATTTAATATTTGGCTAAATTTGATTATTAGGTTATTAGTTTGATAAAATATATTTTGAAACAAAGAGTGTTTTTCTCCTGATAGGTTCTGCCTCTCCTTGCATTGTATCAATATTTTGTTTCTGGAATTTGTCAAGACATAACAAGAAATCTAGAAGCAAGAATCCTCAAGGTATGTTACAAGCTTTTAAGACATTTGATATTCTTGAACTATTAAGGATATTGTCATGTATTAATTTGATTCTAGGACTTATAATAACAAGCTGATAATAACATGGCATTACACTGATGTAAGAAATAACTTACCCATTATTATAATAAAGTATGAGAAAGAGCCAGTCAGAAAGGTGTAGATTATTTTATGCTTGGGCCACAGTAAAGTGAGGAACAGCTGCACATGGAAATAAGGCTCACCCAACACCAACTGGCCTGGAAATCACCACTTCTGAGAGACTGGCTTCCTGGTGAAGACCAACTGAACCAGATTTCTGAGCTTCTGTGAATTTATTCCTAAGAGCCTTTATGGATATCATGGTACACAAGAATTTTTCAATGCACAGGTAATTGAATTAACAAGATCAGATAGATGCTAAATTACAAAAAATCTTATAATCCAGAAGTCAGTTAAGGTTCTCTGCCTTTGAGATTCATGTGTGATTGATTGGCTTGAACACCACATGGAGTGGGAAGCACCTTGTTCTCTCTGCTCTCTTTCCTAATCACCCATGTTGCCAGCTCCCACTTTTGTTGAATTTGTTTTGTACGTGGATAATCTCAATATCCAACAAATATGCTCCCAGTTCTGTACTTCCTCAACTCTAATATAGAATTCAACTCTATTTTATATCTTACGCACACACACACACGCGCACACACACACACACAACATATATTCACCCTTTTTTCTATAGTGGACTTTACTAAAAATTAGGAAGACAGAGAAATTTAAGTTGAGGCAAAACAAACAATTGAAGATAGAACATTTGGCTTTCTTGAGCTTAAAATCTTTCTTGGCCATCATCTCATGCTTTTGCCTCCAACTGAATGGAGTAATCAGCTATGGGCTGGTAAATGTCACAATTGGCTCTGAAAAAAAAAACCTCAAGGCCAGGCATGATGTCTCACGCCTGTAATCCCAGCACTTTGGGAGGCCGGGGTGGGCGGATCACCAGGTCAGGAGTTCGAGACCAGCCTGGCCAACATGGTGAAACCCCATCTCTACTAAAGATAAAAAATTGGCCAGATGTGGTGGCAGGTGCCTGAAATCCCAGCTACTCTGGAGGCTGACGCAGGAGAATCACTTGAAACTGGAAGGAGGAGGTTGCAGTGAGCTGAGATTGCACCACTGCACTCCAGCCTGGGCGACAGGGCGAGACTCCGTGTCAAAAAAAACAAAAACAAAAAAAAACAAAAAAACACCTCAAAAGTTTCATTTGTGGCATTTTCAATCTCCATCCATGGTGTGAATACTCCCACTATGTCTGACTTCAAGCTACCGACAAGACATCTCTAACGATGGAATCGGGGACAAGATGTGCACAATCAGCTCTTGCAAATTGGAGTGAGTGGGCTCCAACACACCACTGGCTTCATTCATACTTCTGCTTTTGTGGAAATACTCTCTGCGTTTTGTCCCCAAATTTATCCCATTTTCTAATAAGGGAAAATTAAACTTCCATTTGAATTTCGCTTCGTGTCTAAACCCTGCCCTGGGGCCTATATTTTCAGACCCAAATAGTTTGTTGCATGCTATTTCTAAGTAAAGAAATTAAGAATTCTAGTGCTGATTATTAATAATTTTAACCTGGGAATAAATAATTTGTTACTGATCATGAAAATTTCTGAATCACCCTCTCTGAGTTACTGAACTCTTATGAGTTCTCTTGCTTTTGAATTCCAACACTTTTAAAAGAAACTCCATGTAACTTTTCTCTCTTTTTTACAAAAGATAATGTTCTCTTCAATATTGCAAAATTCTTGAGGCTAGGATCTGTATCTTATTCATCTTTTAATTCCCTGCAGTATCTTGAGTAACACATTCACATAGTTGAAATTCAGTAATTAACTATTGAATTTAAAATCTGCAGGCATTTATCAAGTGCCTACTGTCCACTCTCTATAGTGTTTAGTGGGAACTCACCTAGAAAATACTTGGTAGATATTTATTGATGTAACTCTAAAACAACATTTATTGAGTACTTTCTATTTAAAAGCACCATGTTAGTAACTCCAGTCAAAGAAATGTAACCAATGGTCCTTGCTTATAAGGAAGTGAAAACTGAGAAGAAAGACAGAATGTATACCCAAGACAATAATGTTGGTACCTGCCACTCGGTCATTTCCAAATGAGTGTGATGAACACTCTCCAGGAGTTCGAAAGAGGAAAAAATGGCTTTGAATCTTTAGGTTTCATAAGTAGGTAAGATTTAGACTTGAAAAGAGTAGAATTCATGGAGCAGGAGAGAGGAAAAAGGGAACATTTCTTGGCAGTCAGTGTGAAAGATAGGTGAGAAAATATTGACTTGTTTAGGGGGTGGGGTGGTTCAGTTACACTAGAGTGGAGGTTTTGGGTAGGCAGGTTGTAGAAGATAACATGAGTATACCAGAGGTCGATGACATTGAGAATACCAGGGACCTAGTCTTGAATTCCCAACTCTGAAGAGATGTAATTTGGAGGTGGAGCCATGAGAGAAATGAAGAGATTGCAATATCTGAATTGTGTAACATGTACAGTCTGGTCTGTCCTTAAGAGGCAAGAAGCATGAAAGGGTTGCAATGATCATAACTCAACAAGAGGAGATCTAGAGGGGCACCAAAGGACATAATCTGGAACAAAATGGCTAGATGACTTTTTTTTTAATCATATTGTTAGCACTTGGTAGCTGTTTTTGTCCTAGAGTAGCATAAAAACCAGAGAAGAACTGTGGACTCAATTCTGGAGAACTGGGTTGGAGAATTAATTATAGAATTTATATAGAATCTTATTATTTTCTATAATTAATTAATTATAGAAATTGGATCAGGAGAATGACATGATCATATCTGGTATCTGGTAGCAGTGCCAGGAGTAGAGTAAGCAGTGGGATCTTATTGGCATAGTAGGATTGAAAAACCAGACTAGGGTTTTGACAGAAGCAGTGAAAGAGGACAAATGATGGATTATACAGAGGAAGGAATGACAGCCTGTGTGAGCAGAGTTTGCCTGACCTTTCTGAAGTAAACTGGGGTCAGGGAGTTGGAAGAGAGAAAAGTCATAGTCAGGAAATAACATGCAATGATGCTTCCTGACAAATCAAAGAGCAATAATAGATCACACTCTGAAGTTTCTATAGTGCCCTAGTGTCTTTCAGGGAAAGCTTTAAGACCTCTTCATGATCAGCTGGCCTGGCTTCACTTTAGAACTGCCAACATCTTGAAAGATTTGTCACTGTCAACACATCAAACCTAGAAAGGGTACCAATGATCCTATATTTGTGTGAGTGAATGGTTGATTTATGGGTAGTTCTTTTTGCTGTCTGGCTTGTTTGTGTTTGCAGTGTTGGTCACCTCTGAAAATATATGTCCATTATTTACCCAATTGATTTTTCAAATGGTCAGATTGGTATGATAAACTGAAGCCAGAAAGAGTCCATGTTCAGAAATCTTATAGTCAAGACTCAAGGAAACTAACCACATACAGATATGGGGAAGTGTTTCCTCCTAGGGGTAATGAGAAAAATGGTCATCTAGAAACCTGAAAGAGTTTATGTGTCTCCCCTGAACCTCCTTTGATATTATATGGCACTGGGGAGATTAGACCCCAAGGTGTCTTAGGCAAAGACCAAAGTATGCAACTCAATAGACAAGCTATTTTCTCTTTCTTATTAATAATATTTTCCTGATTTTTATATTTTATTTTCATGTTACTTATGTATCCAATTTCCCACTAGCCCACCTTTTTATTTCTTTAAAATTCACACACTCTTGAGATTCCTAAGATAATAATAAATGGGAAACAGAGAGTATGATGGGTGGACATGCTGAGGATAAATGGAGTTTTCTTTTCCTATGTTATGTATTTACATGTTAATCTAATTTCATACTTTATTCTCTGCTTCCACATTTACCCTTCTCTATTCTCTACAAAGTCACTAGATAGCTTTCACAATTTAAGTCAGGTTAGGGCCCTGTCCTGTTTAAAACTCTCCAATAACTCCTTACCACACAGAGAATAACATGCAAAATCCCTACTCTGGTCTTCAGGTTCTACTTGACCTTTCTTGGCCAGCATTCACATTCACCTCCTGACCTCCTCCCCTTGCTCCCTGAGTTCTGCCGTATGGCCTCTACACTAAGGTCCCTTAGCAGATTTTCATGTCTGTCTCCTTTAATGCCATTCCCAAATCTTCTCTTGAAGGTTTCCTTCACAGAGAATTCCTTCCTGACCACAGTCTTGAAAATAGCATTTGTGAGTACCCTGTATCCCTTTGTATGTTGTGTATATCTTCATGTGTCACTGAAACTTAGATAAACATGCATCCCAATGGAACATAACCTCCAAGAGGGCTTGGTACATATGTGGTGCTCCATAAATATGTTGAACAAATTTAAGTAAGAACTCCTTTTTCTATAATTTTCTGATTGATGATCCTGCTGGATTATATTCAAATTAAGCCATATAAAATATATCGCTATAAATTGATTAATATTTTAAAATATATGTATTTAAAATTAACAGTGGCCATTAATTATGGATAAGAAAATTGTTCATTGTAGCACTATTCACAATAGCAAAGACATGAAATAAACCTAAATGCCTATCATTGTTAGACTAGATAAAATGTGGTCTATATACACCATGGAATAATATGCAGTCATAAAAAAGAATGAGATCATGTCCTTTGCAGCAACCTGCATGGAGCTGAGCTGGAGGCCATTATCCTAAGCAGACTAACCCAGGAACAGAAAACCAAATACCACATGTTCTCACTTATAAGCAGGAACTAAATATTAAGGACACATGGACACAAAGAAGGGAACAATAGACGCCAGGGCCTGCTTGAGGGTGCAGGGTGAGAGGAGGTGAGGATCAAAAAAATAACAATTGGGTACTATACTTGTCACCAGTAGAGGGCTGTGACTGCAAGTTGTTCAGGTTCTTGGCGTTTTGAACAAAGAACTGGACAAAACGCCCAGCAAAGCCAAGAAAGAATGAAACAAGAAAAGAATGAAAGCAGAGGTTTATTGAAAATGAAAGTACACTCCACAGTGCGGGAGTGGGTGTGAGCAGCGGCTCAAGGGTCTGGATACAGAATCTTCTTGGGTCCAAATATTCCCTGGAATCTTCTTGGGTCCAAATGTCCCCTATTCCCATGGCCACTTCATGCTCACCTCATGTAAATGAAGTGGTAGCCCACAATCAGTCTGATTGGTTGCAGAAAGCAGCCAACCAGAGACTGAAGTAAGTTAAAAAGGTTACTCTCCTATGCAAACATCTGATTGGTTGCAAAAGGCAACCAATCAGAGGCTAGGGTGAAGTAACAAAGTTATACTTCTATGCAAACGAAGACTCGCCTGCAATCAGTCTGATTGGTTGCGGACAGCCAATTTCCTATCTGCCCCGCAGAAAAGGTGGGGGTTTCCAAAGGGAGTAACCTCTGGTCCTTTTGTTACTCAGGCGTGGAAAGTTAGGGTTTTCCTTTCGATTTAGTTCAAGGAAGTTCGCGTGAGACAGCCTTAGATTCCCTTCCTTCAGTCCCTATTCTCCTGCCTCATACTTATTACCTGGGTGATGAAATAATCTGTATACCAAACCCCTATGACATGCAATTTACCTATGTAACAAACCTGCACAGGTACCCTGAACTTAAAATAAAAGTTAAAAATAAAAGAAAATTAGTAGTTGTCTCTATGTTGATACATTGTGGAGTTAGTCTCCCAGTTTGACTTGCCTCGTTGGGCTGGAGAACATTAGGAGTGTTTTTGTTTTGTTTTTCTTTTGAGCTATAGTTAGTAATGGGAACAAAAAAAATCATTAAAAAAACTTTTATACAGCTATCATAAAAATATTAATGTGTTTGCCTCTGATGAAGTAAGCAGCGTCTGATAAATGTCCATTGTTTTGAACAGCCGCCTGCTGTTGTTAGCTTCTTGGTCCATTGCACATGTGTATGGGCATACACATAGACACACGCATCTCTCTCCACTGTGTCTAGTAAACATTAATTCATAATGCATTACCAACATTAAGCAGAAACTTTGGATCTCAGAAAGTTGACGATTTTCTCTATACTTTTGTTTTCTAAGTAAAACAAATTGTTTAATTAAGTACCTCATTATTTCCTTTCCTTTACAGATAGAAGTCCTTATAGATTTGAGATTCTTTTCTGAAGCCTTTTATGAGATATCCCAAATTTTCTATGGAAAAAACATGCCTTGTCCAATACCTGCAGGCTATAAAGCCACTGGAAAAATGAAGGTAACCTGACAATTTGATTCAAAGCAATTTCTTTACCTATGAGGGATACATTCCTAAAATGTAAGGAACATTCCCACGAAAGTGTATTTACAATCTCTGGTATTTTAGCCCTCTTTGTTAAGCCTGGTTACAACTAACATCAGGATTTTATGAGGTTTCATTTGTCTGGGTTGGAAGAGTGTCATGGGGGAGGGAGCATGGTTTTGGAGTAGTTTTTGCAATCGAATTCTGGCTCAGGGATGCTGCATGTTGCTTTTTGTTAGTTACCATGGGCAGTCTCACTAGGCACATTTATCAGCCACTACTGCTTAGTTTTTTGAGTCTAACATTATAATTTCTGGTTAAGATTTTAAATCAAAATAGTCTTTCCTTATGTCTTATTTGCATCTCTTTGATTTTCATACTTTATACCAAAGTTTTAAGAATGTGTTCAAATTTCTTCTGATTTCTGTGAGGAGAGAACATTCCTCCATATTGTCTAACCTTTTTTGATTTTAGGAGATAGTTTTTACCTGGCTTGTTTAATTTGTATTTATAAACTGGATAATTGAAGCATCCTTGAAAATGAATACTGGAGTTGACGTTTAAAGCATAAATTAAATCAGAGGGAGCTATTATTTTCCTCTCTTTTAGTCTTCATGGTGGTCTGGGAATCACTGGGTGATCATGCTTCAGGCAGATGCTTGGACCCTCCTAGACCAGCAATAAAGGAAATGGGAGAAGGTAGCAAGTCAGTTTGCCTGGGAGAGAGTGTGTGTGTGAGGAGTGAGACTGATAGGCACAATACCAGCTGGTTGGATTCAAATTTGGAGGACCTAAAGCAACCTGGAGAATGAGCTATAAGTCTTGAAAACCACTAGCATAAGCTGACATTATATTTGCATATAATATGATCATTACTTCAGAGTATTCCCCTAAAATGTACCTGCTTATTACTCCATATGACTGCTACAGCATTATAATTTATTGTAATAGGGGATGAGGCTATCCACAGAACATCCCAAGAGGGATGTTTGTTAGGCAATTGGATACATGTATGTGCATGAGTATGTA
This sequence comes from Homo sapiens, assembly GCF_000001405.40. NCBI lineage: Eukaryota > Metazoa > Chordata > Mammalia > Primates > Hominidae > Homo > Homo sapiens. The sequence goes on from NC_000012.12 coordinate 96,701,147, forward strand.
TGTATATACATCCATATATATGCATATATCTGTGTGAGATTGATAGGTAGATGGATAGAGAGATACACATAGAGAGGGGAAAGAGAGAGAAATTGGAGTCAGTTGATTGACTGTTTTGCTCATTTTCTGTGGCATAAATTTAAGCATCATCTTACCTGGATTAAATTAGCAATATTTTCTTGCTTGCTCCTCAGTTAATTACACTTTAATTAGTTAAAAAAATATTTTTTGAGTGCTTACTGAATACAGATGCCATTCCAGGCATGGAGATAGAGCAGTAGAAAGACAGCAGGGGGGCTCCTGCTTTCCTGGAGCTTACAGTCCAGTGAGGAAGACAAACACCAAATACATTAAGCACATAAGTATATGTCAGGTATATACACAGCTGTCAAGGACAGTCAAGCAGAGTTGAGGGGATGGAGAGTGACCAGGGCAGTGGAGTGCTGTTTTATTCAAAGTGGTTTGGAGAATCTCTATAATAAGCAAGTTTTGAGGGAAGTGAGCCATGGAAAGATCTGAGGGACCAACCTTCCAAGTAGGAGGAACTGCAAGGGCAAAGGTTCTAAAAGGGATGCTTGCAAGATGTGGTTGAGGAAAACCAAGTAGGCAAAGTGAGGCTGCAATGAGGAGGAGGAGGAGGAGGAGGGACCTAGGAGTCAGATCATGTAAGACCTCATAGGGCTTGATAAGGACTGGAATTTTCTCTAAATAAGATGGGAAACTGCGCAGTTTTGAGCAGAGAAGTGACGTGATAGGAATTAAATATGAAAGGACACTGCTTACTATTGGGGAAGAGGCTGTGGGTGGGCAGGGGTGTACATTGGGACACCAGTTAGGAGGCTGTTGCAGATAATCTGGGTGGGGCATAATAGTGATTGAGATGATTGTGCCGAAGGGAGTGAACAGCAGTCCGGTTCTGGGTGTGTTGTGAAGGTACAGCCAGCTGCATTTGCTGATAATCGTTTGGATACAGGATGTAAGAGAAAGGAGGCAAGGATGACTACAGAGTGTTCAACCTGAGCAACTGGTAGGAAGATTTTTTCGTGTACTGAGATGGGGAATACTGCTCCAGATAGGAGCATGTTAAGTATGAGACATGTTAAGTATGAGAGTCCCAGTAGACATCCAGGTGGAAATGCAGCATAGTTAGGTGCAGATCATATAGGGTCTGGAATTCAGGGGAGAGTTTGGGGTTGCAGGGACACATTTGGGAATGCTGGAAGAGAGATTTAAAATCACGGAACTAGATGAATTCAGCTGGGGATGAGGCAGATAGAGAAAAGCAGAAGTCAGAGGACTAGACATTAGGGTCACTCACATTTAGAGTCCAGGAGGATGAGAAGGAAAGAGAAACCAGTTGGGTAGGATGAGAAACAAGAGAGAGTTTTCAATGGTCACTGCCTTCACTGAAATAAATAAAAACAAAAGTTCAGAAGCTAATTTTTACAAGTAGATTCCAAACTTCATTTTTATCAACTAGTTTTCATAAGATAAATGTATGGGTGAATCTATCTCCCAGTAGATTCTGATTTCAGATTTTGTATTCTCAAAGTTAATTTGCAGCTTTCGAGCTTCAGTTGGGAATTTCAAAAGTGTAATTAAAAGAGGAAGTGTGTTCAGGATTTATAATTAAAATAGGTGCCAATGTTATTAAGCTGCAGGCTAGTTATTTAAAGAAGGGATTAATGAATTAAGTTTCACTTGTAAAAGAAGTAACTGAAAAAGTCCTACAGATTACTATTGAACTTTTCACAGGCCTTTAAAAAAATTCTGTATTTTAACATTATACTCATATTGGTATTCTGCTCTTATCATCAAATCTAAAGTCCCATTATTAAACTCTCTTTAATGTATACCACCAAGAATTTCCCCTTGGATTCAGTTACTCACTTTTCAATGTATTATGGGTAATAAAGAATATCTTCAAAGAAGGGAAAAATTTTTAAAACACCAATACTTTTTCAATAAAAGCTATCTGTGATATATCGTTTTGGGAGGTTCCCTTAAAAGCAGATCCTGAGACTAGGATTTGGGAACAATAGTGTCCTTGGGAAGTGATTCTAGGAAGTAAGATGAGCTAGCAGGAAAGCTAGATAGGGGAAAACCAATCCAGAGAGTGTGAACGAGAAGGTCACCGATATGGGTAACTGGGGCTCTCAGAGAGACTGGGTAGAACACTTCTGTTCTTCTTTGGTAAGGTTTATTCTCTGCACTTCTAGCCTCTCCTGAACATTCTTATGGCCAGGCAAAGAGCTACAGGTACTTGAGTAGGACACCATCTACATGTGAGCAACCTGTCCATGGAAGCTGCTGGTGACTTCCTGGTGACCAAGGGGGATGAGGGAGGGGCAAAGGGACATCGCTGTTGGATTCTACCAATGGGAATCTTTTAAAAAGGGCCTTCTATACCAAGAGAGATGCATCCTACTAGATACATCAGTCTCCTGTGGCAAATAAACTAAATGTTTCCTAATGCAACATTATATTTAGAGCCAAATATAATGACAAGTAATACACCAAAAAGGAAAAAAAAACCAAAAATATTTATTCTGATAGCAATACAATTTTATCTCAAACTGGTAACGATTTTTTTAAGTGATAATACTGACTGTTGTTAAAAGTGCAATAATTCTGACATTTTCATACAATGTGGGTGGGAGTGTAAATTGAGCCAGACTCTTTCAATTTTCTCAGTATATTCATATCTTTTGACCCAGAAATTCTGCTTCCAGGAATCTATCCTAAGGTAATAATCAGAAATATAAACAAAATAGTCATCAGTGTTATTTAAACTAGGGCTGAATGATGGGATAATGATGGGGAAGTGGCTCCCTCAGATATCCAGCAATAGGAAAGAGGTTATTAGGCTACATTCATAGGATAAAGTATCACCTACACATTAGACTGAAGTTTACAAATAATGATATGGGAAGAAAATTATGATGTAATGTTTAGTGAACATGGAATAGAAATCTATTTTTAAAAATTTAAAATACATCGGCCAGGTGCAGTGGCTCACGCCTATAATCCCAGCACTTTGGGAGGCTGAGGCGGGCAGATCACGAGGTCAGGATATCAAGACCATCCTGGCTAACACGGTGAAACCCCGTGTCTACTAAAAATACAAAAATTTAGCTGGACGTGGTGGCGGGCACCTGTAGTCCCAGCTACTTGGGAGGCTGAGGCAGGAGAATGGTGTGAACCCGGGAGGTGGAGCTTGCAGTGAGCTGAGATGGCGCCACTGCACTCCAGCCTGGGCGACAGAGCGAGACTCGGTCTAAAAAAAAAAAAAAAAATGTATGTGTGTATATATATATATATATATATATATATATATATATATATATATATATATTTAAAATACATCAAAAAGAAGTTAGTAGGAAAAACATCAAATATTAACATTGTAATTCTTAAAAGAAGTTGACTTATGTATGATTTTTACTTTATACAATACTTATCTTTTCTGACTAGAGCATAAATTACTTTTCCAATAAAAATGATAATTAAAATAATTTTAGAACACATTAAATGTTTTATTGAAAAGAATACTCAAGTAATCTTGTTCTTGCTGTTACTATTTTGTATTTTGACAGATCTTTCAATCATTTGACTCAGGAAAACTTCTTACCAGTAAAGAAAATATACAGGTAAGGATAATAATATTTTATAAACATGGTTTTCCTAAGTGTGGATAATTTTTGAGTCATTCTAATCTATTTGGTTGATACAGTCTTTGATTCTGAAAATCTGCTGTGTAATATTCTTTTCTTTTTTTTTCCCAGTATCTTTCACAAAAAGAGGATTCTACTGCCCATCTAAATACATTTGTTCCTGTCACTAATGGAATGATTGGGACTTAAGCACTTGATGACCTAGTAATATTTGAATATCTTGAAATAATAATTTTAAAAAACTTAGGCGTATTGGCAGTCTATCTCTCCTAGAAAGTGTTAGAGCAGAAGAGTTGTGGCACAACCATTGTTAAAGGGGGCTATGAATGGGGAAGGAGTTCATAGAACCAGACGACAGTTAATGCAGATATATACACATGGTTTTTATTTTTTTAAGTGCTAGGAAACAGCATTAAGTAAGGTATTTATTTTTAATTAAATAATTTTGAGAGATATTTTCTCAAAATTGCTTTATTTTTGTCTTCCATAATTTTAATAGGACTATATCTAACTTTTATTAAATGTAATCTTATTACTTTTCTATTATTGTGCATTTTATTCCACAAAGTTCACTTTTAATTATCCTTCAGATGATTCATTGTTTTTTTTTTCCTAAAAATTTGTTTTAATTTATAAGCAATTTGCCTGAAATGAAATAACTGGTATTAGGAAGATAGAAATACATATTCTTATTTCATTTTAGTGTTCCAAGACCTTGGGGTGTCTAAGAATATTTCTGTCTTTCCTATCTTAAATGCTAGAGCATCCTAAAACACTTCCTTAGGGAGTGGTTTTTGGTATAAAAAGAATGTCTGTCTGATGATTTCTTTTTATTCAAAAAGAGACTAACAGTATAATGGAAACTCAGTTTCTATTAGCTAGTTAGTTAAAACAGTACCGTTGGTCTGCTTAAGACTCTTCAGATTATACTTTATGTTTTTTTGCATAAAGGGAAAGAAGGGAGTGTTAAATAGTATTACTAATTAATCTTCTTTTGATCCTCAAGTGTTTGTGTGTAATTGTCAAGGCTCATTAAATCACTGTTTGCTGTAGAGAGAAAAGACAAGAGAAAGCTTCTCTCAACCAATCTGAAGTTTCATGCTTCAAGCTCTTCCAAACAATGGAATTTTTTTTGTTTACGTAAGGCAAATAGTTTCTCTTTTTTTTTTCTAGAATAGATAGCCCCAACATCTGCCTTATGTATTAATTCAACAACAAAATCAAGAGCCTATTGTGTGCAAGGCAATAGGCTGCCAATCAGCATTAGTTCTGATGCTGTCAATCAACATTAGTCAATCAACAATACAGAAAAACTCCAAGCTCTCATGGAGCTTGTATTTTAATGGGCAAGACTAGTAATAAAGCATGATATATAAGTAAATATATTATAAATATGTAAATTATATAGTGCATTAGACGGAGAACCATGCTGTGGGAGAAAATAAATGCAGCTGTGCATAAAGGGAATTGGGAGCATGGGGCTAGGTTGGAGATGGTAATTTTAAATGGGGTAATCAGGTTAGTCTTCACTGAAGTGGCTTTTGTAAATAGACCTGAAACAGCTAAAGGTGCAAGTCATATGAAATCTGGAGAAGGAACAATCTAAAAAGAGGGAAAGGTAAGTGAAAAGGCCCTGAGACAAGATTGCCTAGCTTGGCGAGGGACATCCAAGCCAGTGTGGCTAGAGCTCTGTGAATGATGGGAGCAGTAGGAGATAAGGTCAGAGAGGTCAAATTGAGAAGGGGTTGTAGGGCCATTGTAACTAGGCTGTTATCTGAGCAAAATGAAGAGCCACTGGAGAGTTTTGAGCAGAAGTGTGTCCTGACTGATTTATGCCATAAAGGGATTACTTTTCCTAATCTGTTGAGCCCACCATGTGCCAGGTACTGTTCTGATGCTGTCAATCAAATACATCAGTCAACCATAATACAAATTCCCAAACCTCAAAGCACTTACATTGTGTGTGTATGTGTGTGTGTGTGTGTGTTTGTGTGCGCACGTGTGTGTGTGCTGGAGATACTGAGTTTAGAGATGTTGAGTTTGAGATATCTGTTAGACATCCAAGTGGAGGAATTGAGTCAGAAGTTGATTCTGTGAATTTGGAGTTCAGAAGAGAGGTTGGAGCTACAGCGAAAAAGTTGTGATTTCATCAGCATTCAGATGAAATTAAAACCATGAGCCTGATTAAGATCACCTAAGGGGAGGGAGTGAGGAGAAGGAAGAGCACTGAGTTCCAGGACAGTCCAATATTAAGAGGTATAGGAGAAGAAGAACCAGCAAAGAAGACAGAAAAGGAGAGGCCAGTAGGATAGGAAGGAAACTAAGGGAGTGTGGTGGCCTGAAAGCCAAGAGGAGAAAGCGTGTTTGGAAAGAGTGGGTGATCAGTAGTATCAAATTTTGATGATGAATCAAATACAATAATACACTGAGTCTTTAACTTGAATTTTTTTTTTCACATTTAATGTCTCTAAAATCAGAATGCATTTTACAGTTCATGGCATGTGACAGCTTAATTGGCATATAAAATAATGGCATCAGGTCAGAAGTTACATGGTATTCAAAGACTGATAATTGACCATTAGATTTAGCCAAGTGTAGGCCATCAGTGGATTTGACCAGAGGGTTAAGACGTAGGGATGGAGTGGGTTTAGGAGCAAATGAAAGGAGAGAAACTGGAACTCTTCAGAGTGTTGCTGTGAAGGGGAGGAAAGAATGGGGTAGTGGCTGGAGAAGGAAGTTGGGATATAGAGAGTTTTTGGGTTATTAAAATGGAGGAGATGAAGCATGGCTGTGTGCCGATAGGAATGTTTCTACAGAGATTAGCATATTTATGATATAGGAGAGAATGGCTGAGTAGCCCATTGGAGAAAGGAGTGAAGGCCTAAGTGGTAATGCCAGCCTTAGGTAGCAGAAAGGAAGGTAGAGCTGTTGGGGGCAGATGCTCAGGTGGATGAAACAGATGGAGGAGTTTGCTCTACTCTGACTGCTTCAGTTTTCCTAGTGAAGTGGAGGAAGCAAGGTCATTGGCTGGGAGGAAACCAGGGAAGGAAGGGTTAGAATTTAGAGGAGAGAAGGGCGCAAAATGGTTGTCTAAGAAAGAGAGAGAGGGTGAATGGACTGGCAAAATATTGGAATATTACCAGGCAGCATTGAGGTTTGGTTGGGTACTTAAAATGGGACAATTTGTGTGATTGTGTGATTTTCTCCAGCCGTTTTCCACCCCAGGGATGCAGACCATAAGAGGGCTCAGAGTTGGATTTCAGAGTTAGAGCTGTGATTTTGCTAAGGAAGTGTGTTTGGATAGGTGAGGACCCAGGGAGTTGAGGGTGTATATGGGAAGGGGTTCTAATGATTGACGGTGGACTCTAAGCTGGGTAGGGAGATTGCTTGTCTGCCCATCTTTTCCTGTTCCTGTCATAGTATCTCTGATTTACTTACACTAAAGCAGAGTAGCCGATGTGTGTGTCTAATGAGCTTTCAGTTTGTCTATTTTGATAAAGAATCCCATCCTTCACTCTGAGCACCAGGTTTACTCTGCCACGATGGCAGAGCTGGCCTCATGAGGCACAGGTTAGAAATTGGTGGGGAACAGCAGAAGCATTGTTGAACTGTTGAGATGGTTCCGATGTTACATGTCTCTCTCAGTAGACCTCCCATTTACAATACCCCATGCCCAGCCCTATATCCCTTCATCCAACACCAAATGTGAACTGCAAAAGAATGAATATAATAATATCTGAAAAAGTATTTTTCTAATTTGCTCTTTTTCCTTTTTTCCATTTTTTAGGCAATTGATGAATTAAGAAATAAAGGCTTGCCTGCAGTTCTGGTTACAATTGGCCAACCACATCTCTTAAATAAGTTTAATTTTGTTAAAGCATACTTTTTCCTAAGTGTGGCTGCGACAATAAATTGTGTCCCAGAAAATAAATTTAAGACAGTAATTACCAACAAGAGCAAACCAAACCTACCAAACTTGGAAGGTAATTGTTTTATTTTTTGCTTATTTCTCTTTCTCCTCCCTTTCCCTAACTGTTCTCCCAGCCCCCACTAATCTATATAAATGATACAGTATATATTCTTCCACAGTTTTCTCTATGCTTATATAATGACACACATATGTACTTATGTCTAGGTGTATGCATACACATACGTGTTTATATATATATCCATATTCATATGCTTTATATATAATACACTATCATATGTATACACATACATGATAGGATAGGATTTATCATTTATTTACAAAATGGTATATTCACACTTTTCTGCATCTGGTATTTCCCATGCAGAAAAACTTCACTGAAATCACTCCAAGTCTACTGCTTTGCTTTGGTCCATTATATTGACTGTATAGTATTCTAGGCCATGATCATCCCCCATGAATGTTCCTTGGCAACAAAGTGCATGTGCACCAATAGAGGAATGATTGAATAAGAAGAAATGTGTACCTCCACTCGTGCACATGCACTTCATTTCCAAGGAACATTGCCACAGTGCAACATACCCAGATGACATAGTATATCTTTCTATGGGGTATATAACCCATGGATGGGATTTATGGGCCACAGGGAAATTTTCAATTGTATTAGATGTTGCCTTAAAAATAGGTGATTTTTACCATTCAGTATGATGTTAACTGTGGGTTTTTCATAGATATGCTTTATCAGGTTGAGCAATTTCTCTTCTATTCTTAGTTTGTCAAGTTATTTTTATCATTGAAAGGGTGTTGAATTCTATTCAATGCTCTATCTGCATCTATTGGGATGATTATGTGGTCCTTGCTTTTTATTCTATTGATATGGTATGTTACATTAACTGATTTTTGGTCGTTTAACCAACCTTACATTCTTGGGATAAGTCCCACTTGATCATGGTTTATTATTATTATTATTATTATTATTATTATTGTTTTCGAGATGGAGTCTTACTCTGTTGCCCAGGCTGGAGCACAGTGGTGCAAGCTCAGCTCATTGCAACCTCTGCTTCTGGGTTCAAGTGATTCTCCTGCCTCAGCCTCCCAAGTAATTGGGACAATAGGCGCCTGCCACCACGCCCAGCTAATTTTTTGTGGTTTTCGTAGAGATAGGGTTTCACCATGTTGGCCAGGCTTGAACTCCTGATCTCAAGTGATCTGCCTGCCTCTGCCTCCCAAAGTGCTGGGATTACAGATGTGAGCCACTGCATGTGGCCAATAATTCTTTTTACTTGTTAGATTCTGTTTGCTAGCATTTTGTTGAAAATGATTGCATTCATACTCATAAGAGATATTGGTCTGCAGTTTTCTTGTAGTGTCTTTGTCTAGTTTTGATATCAGAGTAATTCTGGGGCCTCTATTTTAAAATGTAGGTTTTATTATTCAGGTATGGTGAGACCAACAGATCAGATGACTGCTACTGAAAAAATAGTTACAGTTTCCAAGAGGAAGGGTGCGCCACACCACTGTGGGAGAAGGGAACACAGGAGAGCTTGGCTGCGTCTCAGGAGGCAGAGGGCAGTGCAGGGGAAACATGAGCAAGAACCTTTACTGTGTTTGCTATGCAAATGGATGGGTAAAGCAGAGTGAACAGGCTTAGTATTTGAATAATTTTAGTTTGAATAATTTCAGTGAGCCCTGGGGGCATAGGGGCTGTCTCTAGATATCTGATAACTGGTCTTGGGGTGATTAGGGCAGGGGAAGGGTGGCCTGGGGTAAGAGCCTAATAAAGGAGGTGGTGGGGGCATGGGCTCTTTAGTTTGCACATGAAAGGTGTACTCACAGGTGAGTCTTTTACCATCTCTAGGAACTGGGAGGTCAGCAAGGCCCCAAATGTTATCATTTCTACATCAGACATACAGAATTTTTTTTTTTTTGAGATGGAGTTTTGCTCTTGTCACCCAGGCTGGAGTGCAATGGTGTCATCTAGGCTTACTGCAACCTCCGCCTCCCAAGTTCAAGCAATTCTCCTGCCTCAGTCTCCTGGGTAACTGGGATTACAGGTTCCTGCCACCATGCCCAGCTAAGTTTTTGTATTTTTAGTAGAGACGGGGTTTTATCATGTTGGCCAGGCTGGTCTTGAGACATACAGAAAATGTAAAGGCATAATTAATATAGCCTCATAGAATGAGTTGGGAAGTGTTCCCTCCTCTTTTATATTTTAGAAGAGTTTGTGAAGAATTGATATTAACTCTTCTTTAAATGTTTGGTAGAATTCAACAGTGAAGACATCTGAGCTTGAACTTATATTTGTGGATAGCATTTTGATGAGCAATTCAATCTCTTTACTTGTAGTTCTCTTAAAATTATCTATTTCTTGACTCAGTTTTGGTAGTTTGTGTCTTTCTAGGAATTCATCCATTTCATCTGTGTTATTTAATTTATTGGCATACAATTTTTTCATAGTATTCCTTTATAATTCTTTTTTTAAATTCTGTAAGGTTAGTAGTAATGTTTCCTCTTTCATTTCCAGTTCTATTAATTTGAGTCTTCTCCCTTTTTCTTTCTCAGTCTACCTATAGGTTTTTCAATTTTGTTGATTTCTTCTACTTTTTCTTCTGTTCTCTGTTTTATTATTATCTATTTCAATCTTTATTATTTTCTTTGTTCACTACACTTATGAGTTGGGAAAAAGACTTAGAGGGGCTCCTGTGTTCTCAGTGTTACTTTGCTTAAGCTAGAGACTCTGTCCCACAAGGTGGTGAGGCTGGGTGGAACAAGGGAACCCTGTCTGCTTAGTTGTGCCAGTTTGAAGTGAAGTTTCCATCTCACTGAACAGGCAGAGGGAAGAGAAGTAGTCATCTTTCTCCAAATACCACAGACTTGCAGTACTGTTCTCACCACATTTTAGTAAGTGTTCTTGACTAGATGTTTAATCATTTGCTGTATGACCTTAGAATCATTTCCAGAGACTTTAAGCATTAAAAAACCAATAATTTTTACTAATTTAATGGTAAAGTGGGTTCATAGAGCTCTTCACATTGGGATGCCAGAAGTTAATCTCCTGAACAATGTGTTTTTGAGATTTATCTGTATTTATGTTTGTAGCTGTGGTTCCTTTATTTTCACTTTATTTCTTCATGTACTGGTGATAGACATTTAGACTGTTTTCTGTAAACATTATTATACATGTCTCTGAGTGCTTATGAGTAAGAGCTTCTATATATCTAGGAATGAAATTGATGTGTCATATTTAACTTAAAATTTAAAGTTAATTAGTATCTCTACCCTCTTCATAGATCATTTTGTTCTGATCACCCTTTCCTACTTTTATGATTTGATAGCTTTAGGTTTTAGTTTTATTTTTTTGTTAGTTTGATATTTATACATTATACTATTTTTTTTCCATCCAATGGTTGTTTAGCTTTACCTACTTATTTGCTGTTTCCTTTGCTCACCATTACTTACTGCGTTTCAGACTTTGGATGTCTCTTTTGCCTGAGATGTTATATCCTTTGTAAGTTTAGATGAATAGCTAGTGTGTCATTATCATTTATTTAAAAAATCTATCATTTCCTCACTGAAATAAGAAATTCATTATATAATAAATTCTCATATGTACCAGGTTATGATTCTTTTTTCATTTTACAGCTTTAAATTTAATATGTAATAGTTGTACATGTATGTGGGGTATATGTTTTTTTATATACACATAAAATGTGTAATGATCAAATCAGGGTAATTGGGATATCCATTACCTCAAACACTTGTCATTTCTTTGTGTTGGGAACATTCTGAATCTTCTCTTCTGTTTTGGAATATACTATATATTCTTGTTAACAGTAATCACCCTACTGTGCTATCAAACACCAGAATTTATTTCTTCTATCTAATTTTATGTTTGTACCCATTAATGAATTTCTCTTCATCCCTTCTTCCCATCTCCCCTTCCCAGCCTCTAGTAACCACCGTTCTCTCTACCTCCATGAAAACAATTCTTTTCTTAGCTCTCACATATGAGTGAGAACAGGCAATGTTTTTCTTTCTGTGCCTGGCTTATTTCACTTAATATATAATTAACTCAAATAACCCAATAGCAAAAGAAACACAAGTAATTAAAATAAAAAGTAGGCAAAAGACCTGGATAGATATTTATCAAAAGAAGACATATAAATGGCCAAAAAGCATATGAGAAAATACTTAACATCACTAATAATCAGGAAAATGCAAATCAAAACCACAATGAGATATAATCACACCCCAGTTAAAATGGCTTTTACCAAAAAGACAGAAAACAGCAGATGCTGGTGAGGATGTGGAGAAAGGAAAATGCTCATATACTGTTGGTGGGAATGTAAATTAGTACAACAACTATTGAAAACAGTATGGTCATTCCTCAAAAAACTGAAAGTAGAGCTACTGTATTATCCAGAAATCTTTTCTGTATATCCAAAAGAAAAGAAAATCAGTTTATCAAAGGGATACCAGCACTGCCATGTTTATTGCAGCACTGCTAACAATAGCCAAGATATGGAATCAACCTAAGTGTCCAGCAGTGGATGAATGGATAAAGGAAATATGATATATATACACGATGAAATATTATTCAGCCATAAAAAAGAATGAACTCCTGTCATTTGTAGCAACATGGATAGAACTGGAGGACATTATGTTAAGTGAAATAGGGTATGATTCTTGATTCTCTATTTTGGACTACTGATTTTCCTGGCTTCCTGTGTTAATAAAATAGTTAATTTGATTTTATAACTGAAAACTATTTATTACCTCCTATGTTGTTTGAGAATTGAGAATATAACAGTGAAAATAAACACAAAAAATACTCTCTGAAAACTTGTTATGGTAGAAAAATACATAAATTAAATGAATAAAGGCATTGTGGGTTACATGGTAACAAGTGCTTTGGAAAGCAGGAAAGGGGGTTAGGGAGTGCAGGAGTGGGGTGTGATTTAAAATAGGGTTATCAGGAAGAGTCTTAATAAACAGATGATACTTGAGCACAGGTCTAAAAGAGGAGAGGGAATGAGACGTGAGTTTCTGAGGAAGAGTATTCTAGATAAAGGGAACAAATACCGAGACCCTGAGATGGGCGTGTGCCTGGCATGCTTGAGGAACAGCTGGAGCCCAGTGAACAAAGGTGAAAGTTCCAGGAGAGGCTGTCAGGGAGATAACAGAGTGATTATGAAAGGATTTGAAAGTCATAATAAAATATTTGGCTTTTATTCTGAGTGAGTTGGAATACCACTGGAGAAATTTTAAGAGGAAGAATTAAAAGTTTCTAAAGCCTAACTCTGGTTTCTGTATTGAGACTAGGTTAGGCTATGGGGTTAGGGGAACGAACAGGGTGAATATATAAGACCATAATCATATTTCTTTTTACAAGGCTATTGAATAATTCAAGTTAGAACTTACGTTGGCTTCAACAAGAGTAGTAGCAGTGGAGTTGGTGAGAAGTAGCCAGATTCTGGATATACCTTGAAGGTGGAGTCAAAAAGATTTGAAAGGAAGATCAGAAGTTCACTTTGAGGCATGTTAAGTGTGGGATGCCTATTAAGCACCTGAGAGGAACTAACGAGTAGATAGTTTGAGATATGATTCTGGAGCTCAGGAGAGAAGTCCACACTGAAGAAATGTTTCGCAATCATTAGTCTATAGATGGTATTTAAAGGCCTAAGACCACACGTCATCTCCATGGCAATGAGTTCAGATGGAGAAGAGACAGGTGAAGGAATAAATGCTTGGGTTCATCAGCAAGAGGTCAAATAAATGAGGAAGAATCCACAAAGGAGACTGAGAAAGGATGAGTGAACAAGGTGTTTTGAGGAGGAAGGAGTGATCAATTGAATCAAAAGGCCAAGGAGGATGGAGGTTGGACTTAACAAAAGGAATGTCATTGAAGAATCTAGAAGATAAACTTTGTTGAACTAACCCTTATTGGAGTGGAATCAAACAGAATGTGTGCAGGGGAATCAGAGTGAATGGAGATAAATGGGTAGGCTGCTGAAAGGGACAAAAGAGGGTTTAAAAAAAAAACTGAAAAAGTAGCAGTCTGTTTTTGTTTTGATGGGAATCATCAAATAGAAAGAGGGAAAATAATGATGGTGCAAGGTGTGGAGTGAGGAGATATCTAACATGATACCCTTAAGTAGGCAAGATGGGAATGGAACTAGTACTCAAATGGAGGGTTTGGCCCTACATGGCAACATAAAATTCACCTATAATGACAAGTTGAAGGGCAGAGTGTATAGGTTCACATGCTAATGGATGGAGAGATGTATTGTGGGTATGTTTGCAAGTTATTTGCTAATTTCTGTGGTTTCTTCATTGGAATAGGAAACAAAGACATCAACCGAGTGAGAAGCAGGGAGAAAGTGTTGGAGATTTAAGGAGAGAAGAGAAGGGATGAAGTAGTTGTCTTAGAGCATAGGAGGGCAGATGGACTAGGGAAATGGAGCAGGACTTCTGGGCAGCTTGCAGAGCCTTTTTGTATTTCTGGTATGAATTTAAAGTGAGAAGAGTTAGCATCGTTTTTTCCCAGCCACATTAAAATTCAGGGGTGCCGATGTCAACAGAGAATTGGATTTGCAGGGGCTTGGGGATTGACTAGGTGGGTGACATAAAGGAGAGATAGGCAAGGAAATTTAAGGTGTTTGCAAGAGTGATTATGTTTGATGGACTAAGGAACTAAAACTGGGTAAGGAGGGATGAGATGGCAGGGGGAAGAGAGGGAAAGGGAACAGTGAAACACTGGTACTGTCAATGGATTATGGGTTCTAGAAGGGGTGAAGTATTGCTGGATTCATGATTCCTGAAAGAACAATCTGGAAAAATATTAGTACTTTTGTCTGTTAAGGTCATCACTATTCACCCTTCACTTTTTCCTATTTTCCTCATATATTCTCAGGAATATTCTACCTGCATACTTCAAGGTAATTCAATCTGATTCTAAACAAGAAAACTATGATAACAAAAGACAAAAGGCACTTTTGGCTTTTTCATTGGAATTCGTTGAGATGCTTGTATTAATTTTAATGTAATTTATATATTTTTATTGTCTTCCCACCCAAGAACATAATATATTTTCTCATTTTTTTCATATTTTGTGCCCTTTTTATGTTCCCTTCCTGGAGTTCACAAACAGGCCCATATTCTCTACTATCACTTGTAGATAACATAGCAGCTAGTTCACTTACCAGGCTACTCCACTCAAATTAAAGACTTTGAAAAACTTTCAGTTTCCCTTTTTCTCTCGTGCTTTTCCCTTCAGCAGGTGACATCACCTCACTTCACATCCAACTCCTGATTTTAGTTGATTTTAATTCTAGATTCTTATTAGTTTTCCCTTAGCATGTCCATTCAATTTCAATAACTTTATTTAGTACTAACTTTTTACATATATAATTACTGGTTTAGAATTAAATATGTAGATTTTCTATCGTTTCCTCAGTATTTCTAGATGTTAATCCTAGTCTTCTGGCTTCCATAAATGCGGATAAGAGATCTATTTCTTTTATTTTAGAAAATTTGATTTTTTGCTTGGAGATGTTTCTCTTAATTCTTTTAGATCAGGGATTTTGCTGGAAGCACATCTGCCTGAAACCTGCCTGAACATTGAAAGGATCTGCATTTTGACAAAGCATTTAGTTCCAGAAAGCATTTTTTGGTACTCTGCTTGCACTTCCATAAGTGTTCTTATTATTTTGGGTTCAAATTGTCATGCTTGCTCCTAGCAGTTCTGTTTCCCATTTGAGTTTCCTCTTCTTGCCTACTGAGCCCCTGTAGAAGTCAGGCTAAGCTGGTCTGTCATAGCAAATCAGTCTTTAAATATCATGGCTTAACACAGCAAGGGTTTAGTTCTTGCTCAGATTGACAAGGGGCTGTGTTTTGCAGAGCCACTCAGGTACCCAAGTGCTGCTATCCTGGAGGCACACCATCTGAAACACTCTGCTCTGACCTTGCCTAGAAAGCCATAGGGTGGCACATGAGCCCTTAAATGGAACTCTGGAATTTAGTCTGGAATTCTTATGTAATTGGATAAGACCGAATTTAACTGCAAAGAGGCCAGGAAGTATAGCTTGCCAGGTGCTCAGAAAGGAGAGGAGTATGCATATAAGTGAACATGATTAGTCTGAAACACAGATCCTAGATATGGTGTTATTTTTGCTGGTCATCCCATTGGGGTTCCTGTTTTGTTGGTATCAGCTATGCAATGGAGAAGGTGAAGTCAGTGAGATGTAGAGTGGCAGGCAGGTAACTAGCCTTCCTAAGGCATCAGGACTCCTATATCTCTTCGCCTATGGATGGCCTATCTGTCTAGCTCTTCTTTTTATTCTAGAGGAGAACACTCATGTGGGACCCATGTTAATTTTATCACACATGGGTTCATGAAAATGTCTAGGTTAAACTCTTCCTAGGGTCTTTTGTATGGTAACATGCATTCCAGGCTTCTTTTGTACCACGTTCAGGCATTTGGTTTGTCTCCATCATTGTCTCTGTCATTCTTACTTTCTCCCTTAGGTGAAAAAGCCCAGTCCCAGATCCTCCTGCTGGGCCTTCCAAGAGCCCTAGCCCTCCCTCATCCTCAGCTGACCCCTAGATTCAGACCCTCATAATTTAGGAGACTAGCCAGGTAGGGAAGTGTTGCTGTTGAAAGAGGAGAGGAAGTTCGGTGTATTAAGTTCCATGTTATTTCAGAATTTTTCTTTGTACTTAACAAACTTAATTTCTTCAGGTGGATATATTTTTCTGTCATTTGTAGTCAAATGATTTGTGGTTTATCTTTCTCTCCCACAGTCTAGAAGCCCAGTTGAATGAAGCAGGCAAAGACTGTGATCTGAATTCTCTCACTTCTCCCCTGTTCAGAATAAGAGCAGGCTTTGGATCGTGGATGGAGATTTTGAAAGAGATATTTGAGTATTGTGGATTATGCTCTTCCAGCTGGTCTCACGCTCAGCTCTTAGACTGAGGGGCTTGTTCACATCAGCAGAACTGATGCTTCCATGGAGATCTTATTGAAATGTTAGAAATATCTGGAAGAGGGCTTTCAGGAGTCCTGGGATCCCAGAAGAGGAAAAACTATATCAGTAGCCAATAACTTGAATAACATCACTAAATACCTAAAAAATTCTTTCAGAATTGTCTGATTTGTTGTAAGAATCAGCTTCAGCCTTCTAATATATGACATTAGGGACTATTTGATACAGGAATATGTTTCTATATTCCCGTGTTTCTATATTATCATTGTGTTTTTTAAAAAATTATTAAACTTATGGATAGTTTTCCTGTGAATGATGAGTTTTAAAAACTATTAATAGAATTAGGGTGGGTGCAGTGGCTCATGCCTATAATCCCAGCACTTTGGGAGGCCGAGGTGGGCAGATCACTTGAGCTCAGGAGTTCAAGACTAGCCTGGGCAACATAGTGAAACCCCATCTCTACAGAAAATACAAAAATTAGCCGGGCATGGTGGTGTGCGCCCGTAGTCCCAGCTACTCGGGAGGCTGAGGTGAGAAGATGGCTTGAGCCCAGGAGGTGAAGGTTGCAGTGAGCTGAGATTGTGCCACTGTGCTCCAGCCTGGGTGACAGAGCCAGACCCTGTCTCAAAATAAAATAAAATAAACCTAGAATTAATATTTAAACTAACCATAGATATCCTTGGTCCTTCCAAAATTTTGTGTCTTTATAGAGATATATTCAAAGGATGATGGAAGTTCATTTTATAATCTTACAAAACTTAAAGATGAGATCACTCTTAGCATGCTAAAGGTAAGTTTGAAACTGTTTTCAAACCATTAAGTTAGTTACCAAAAATCCACTATTAGGCCCTGGATGGGCCTGCTTTCAGAGTTATGCTTGCTCTTGTGAGAGCAGTTACCTTTTCTTGTGTAAGAATGGGTTGGAGCCAGAGGTGGAGTTTACTCCTCATGAGAAAAGTAGATGTCCAGTGGTGTCCAGCTTTGACTTCACAACCTGATTAAGGTGCTTCAGAAAATATGATTCGGCTGGGCGCGGTGGCTCACACCTGTAATCCCAGCACTTTGGGAGGCCGAGGTGGGCGGATCACCTGAGGTCGGGAGTTCAAGACCAGCCTGACCAACATGGAGAAATCCTGTCTCTACTAAAAATACAAAATTAGCTGGGTGTGATGGCGCATGCCTGTAATTCTAGCTACTCAGGAGGCTGAGGCAGGAGAATCGCTTGAACCCAGGAGGCAGAGGTTGCAGTGAGTCAATATCACGCCACTGCATTCTATTCTGGGCAAAAAGAGCGAAACTCCATTTCAAAAAAAAAAACAACAAAGAAACATGATTCATTATTTGGTGGGATATGAGTATTCCATCCCGTTTATCATTTCCCAATAATAGTGATGACAATGGCATCAACAGCTTTTGCATGATTATTTAATTTTTATAACTTTATGATGTAGGTAGTAATCATTTTGAACTGTGCTGTGCTGAACCATGAGAAAACTGAGGCTTAGACATCTAAGAATTTGACTAATATCATACAACTAATAAAATATAGATCCAGGAGAAGGACTACATCTTTTTGATTCAAAATCCATGTTCTTAAACATTATACTGAATTGCCCTAATATTTATATAATATTCACTGCTCTGCACAAATACATTTTTAGTGGCCTGTCACTTGAAAGATTGGTTGGTCCCTTTATCTTCTGCCATGTTAGGCTGCTATTTACTATTGATTGTCTACTGTAAAAATCTCATTATCTTCACATTACCAACTAGGTGACCATACTTTAACTTGAAATACAGTTGATCCACATTATTCACAGATTCTGTGTTTGCTAATTTGCAGATCTACTGAAATTTATTTGTAGCCTGAAAATCAACACTCTTGGCACTCTGTTGGCTATTCGTGAACACACGCAGAGCACAGAAAAATTTGAGCTGCTCAATGCACGTATTCCCAGCTGAGTTGAACAAGGAGATGCTCTGACTTTTTGTTGCCACTCTCATACTGTAAACAAGTGTCCTTTTCACGGTCTATTTAGTACCATGCTTTTTGAATTTTTGTCAATATTTACAATGACCCTCCAGCATAGTGCTGAAGTGCTGTGGAGCATTTCTAAGTTAAGAGGGCTGTGGTGTCCCTTATGGAGAAGCTATGTGTGTTAGATAAGCTTCCTTCAGAAGTGAGTGCTATTGGCTGTGAGTTCAAGGTTAGCAAATTAACAGTATATATTAAATATACTGTTATATATCCTTAGCCATAAACACACATTAAACAAGGAGGCTGTGTATTGAGCAGTTAATGAAAATGTTGTGACCAGAGGCTCTCGGGTACTTTTCTCCATGTCTCCCCTAGGAGCAATGGCTCAGTATCCAGTAATCAGTGTTTGCAAGAACTTTATAGAACATAACTACTGTGAATAGTAAGCACCAGCTGTGCACACAAGAAAAGGTCACTGTCATGCATGCTGACGCTTGCTTTCACTTTCCTTTTCGTTTTCTGTTGCCTTTTTCCTTTTTGCTGAACTCTCTTCTCTGGTAATTAGATACCAAGTTCCTTTTTGGTCTTCCATTCATTGTTACTTTTCAGTACATGAAAAATATTTGCTAAAGAAGAAAGAGACAGTATTTGTATTATTTCTGAACTCACGTGATGTATGGTATCCTTTCCTTAGTCGATGTTACTGATGGAAGCTGAGGACAGGCTAAACTTCCTTCTGTCCGAGGTGGAACAGAAGACCCTGTCTCAGTGCTCCGCTGGCGAGCTGGAGATTGTGGTGGAGGCCCGGCTTCAGCTGGCTGCAGTTGCTCTGCAGAGGCACCGGGCGGCATACAGGTGCGTCTCTCCATGCACAGGGGAGGGATACCTTTGAAGAGAGTTCCTTCACCCTAGTTTATTAAATAGACTTAAATTTTATGTAAGTTTTAGAAATTCCTATATCCATAGTATGCTTGCTTTTTATTATTCAGGGAAGTTTTCATACATGATTTCACTTAAAATTATAGCTCTGGCTGGGTGTGGTGGCTCATGCCTGTAATCCCAGCACTTTGGGAGGCTGAGGTGGGCAGATCACTTGAGGCCAGGAGTTGGAGACCAGGCTGGCCAACACGAAGAAACCCTGTCTCTACTAAAATATGAAAATTAACCAGGCTTTGTGGCGGCACATGTAATCCCAGCTACTCGGGAGGCTAAGGCAGGAGAATCACTTGAGCCCGGGAGGCAGAGGTTGCAGTGAGCTGAGATTGCCCCTCTGTACTCCAGCCTGGATGACAGAGCAAGACTCTGTCTCAAAAAAAAAAAAAATTACAGTTCTCAATAAAGCAATTATTTTATGAAGGCACACAGCTGGGTTGTTTAATTTCATATATAGAATGAACAAATTAACAATGCTTTGATTTTTTTATACATTTAATTTACTTTTTAAAAAGACTAAACCTTTTTACGAATAAAAGCTATGGAGTGTTTTCTTTTTTTCTAAAACATTGACTTAAAATATTAAAAACAAACCTATTTTGAAAAAGTAAGTTTCTGCATCATATTGCACTGAACTGTTTAATAAACTGTTGTAGGTAGCTAATTATTTAAATGTGCTGCAATTGTTAGTGTCAGCTCTTTCATTTAGTTTGTTCATCGATTTATTTATTTAGTCAACCAGTATCTGTTAACTCTCTCACTGCCAGGCTCTGATCTAGGCAGTGAAGATATAAAGATGCATAGAATACAATTTCTGTATCCATATGCTCACAGATATATAAGCAGTCAGGTAGAGTAGTAAAAATAATATTACAGCGCTTTTTTCATATTTAATAATATGGACATCCACATTCAAGAGTTTCTCCATGCCATTTGTGATAAACACTTCTATCATGAGGTCCTCTGACACATTCAATAGTGATTCATCTAATAATGCATACATTTCTTATCATTCATTAATTCGTTTAAAAAATAAGTTTGTGCACTTTCAATATGCTAGGCACTGTTCTAAGCTCCTGGCAAGTATCAGTGGCCCAATACTCATATATACAGTCTAAACAAAATATATAACAATATTGTGCAAAATCTTGCCCTATATTCTAATAGATAATAAACATGCTGGCAATAAACTATAAACACAAGTAAATTACAGAGTGTGGGCAAAAATGATAAGTGCTATGGAGAATATAAGGAGTAGAGGTTGGAGGGGGACGAGTTACCATTTTAAAATCGTGTGGTTGTAATAAGTGTGACTCCATTTTGATGTTCAATGGCTGACAGCTTTCAAGCCCGACCACTGTCCTTCTCTTTCTGCCCCTGACCTGAGCAAGCAGATAAGAAAGCCCATCTGTTCCCTCCTTTGGTGTTAGTGGAAAGTTCAAACCATGTAAGTCCTGGCCCATGTGCAGGAACTCTTACCTCAGTGCCACCCACCAACCACCATAAAACTCCAAGCCAGTCTCTTTTCCTTACTTTCTCCATACATTTTCCCACCTGTTTGGGAACCTGCTCTGATCTTCTTGCAAGGTCTCTTTATGTGAGCAGTACCCCATTTCATACCCTCTTGACGTGTGTGTATCTGGGATCAGTCGTGACATCTGAACCACATTTTGGGTGGTCAGGGCAGGCTTCATTGATGAGGTGACATCTGAACAAAGTACTTAAATGAGAGAATTATCCATGCAAATATCTATAGACAAAGTGTTACAGGCCATGGAGACATGCCTGATACATGTTTGAGGGACACCTCCAGGCCTCTTGTGGCTGGGGTGGAGTGAGTGAGGGGCAGAGTTGCAAGGGAGATCGGCAAAGAGGTAACTGGTGGACAAGGAGATTACATAAGACCTTTTGGCCAGGGTAAAGACTGACTTTGAGTGAAGTGGGGAGTCATTGTGGAGTTTTGAGCAGAGGAGTGACATGATCTGATTTTCATTGTAAAGGGTTGGCTCTTGCTGCTAGTGTGAGAATTGATTATAAGAGGAAAAGGGTGTGAAAGCAAGGAGATGAATTAAGGAGGCTATTATAATAACAGAAATATGGTGGTGTTTCTTACCAGTGTGATAGCACTGGAGGTAATGAGAAGTATTTGGATTCTGAGTAAATTTTGAAGGTAGAGCCATTCTGTTTTACAGATATTGGATGTAAGTTGTGAGAAAAAGAGAGGAGTCAAAAAAGAAGTGGTCATTAACTGAAATGGGGAGGTTGTAGGGGTGCAGCTTATTTAGGGGAAACACCAGGAATTAAAATTTGGATGTATGTAGTTTGAGATGCCCTTAGATGTACAATTGAAGATGTCAAGTATTCTGAGAGTCTTTAGAATATAGACAGTGTTATTCAAATCTTCCCAGCATAAAGAAAAGATAAATGTGTAAGGTGATGGATATACCAATCACTGCTATTTAATTATTACACATTATGTAATGTATCAAAATATTTTATGTACCCTGGAAGTATATATGTCTATTAAGCATCAATAAAAATACAATGATAAGAATAATACAAATTTAAAAGTACAGTATAACAACTAAAAAAAGTAAAGACAGAATTTTAATACTGGATGAGCTCCGTTAGGGGGTATAAATAGATGGAAGAGAGAAAAGGACCAAGGATCAAGCCCTGAGTTTTGTACTCCAACTTTACGAGACTGGGGAGAAAATGAGGAACCAGAAAGGGGACTGAGAAGAAGTGACCAGTAAGATAGAAGAAAACCAAGAGATTATGGAACCCTGAAAGCCAAGTGAAGAAAGTGGTTGAGGAGAATGGAGTGACCAACTGTGCCACAAGCTTCTGATAGATTGAGTAAGGTAAGGATAGAGAGTTGACCCCTGGATTTAGCATGGAGGCCAATGGTGACCTTCACAGGAGTAACTTTAGAAGATGCTTGGGAAAGATTATGTTTAGAGTTGTTTATGAGAGAATGGGAAGAGAGAAACTGGAGCCCACAAATAAAGATGATTCTTTTTTTTTTCTTTTTTTAAATTATTATTATTATACTTTAAGTTTTAGGGTACATGTGCACAGTGTGCAGGTTAGTTACATATGTATACATGTGCCATGCTGGTGTGCTGCACCCATTAACTTGTCATTTAGCATTAGGTATATCTCCTAATGCTATCCCTCCCCCCTCCCCCCACCCCACAACAGTCCCCAGAGTGTGATGTTCCCCTTCCTGTGTCCATGTGTTCTCAGTGTTCAGTTCCCATCTATGAGTGAGAACATGCGGTGTTTGGTTTTTTGTCCTTGCAATAGTTTACTGAGAATGATGACTTCCAATTTCATCCATGTCCCTACAAAGGACATGATCTCATCATGTTTATGGCTGCATAGTATTCCATGGTGTATATGTGCCAGTTTCTTAATCCAGTCTATCATTGATGGACATTTGGGTTGGTTCCAAGTCTTTGCTATTGTGAATAGTGCCGCAATAAACATACATGTGCATGTGTCTTTATAGCAGCATGATTTATAGTCCTTTGGGTATATACCCAGTAATGGGATGGCTGGGTCAAATGGTATTTCTAGTTCTAGATCCCTGAGGAATCGCCACACTGACTTCCACAATGGTTGAACTAGTTTACAGTCCCACCAACAGTGTAAAAGTGTTCCTATTTCTCCACATCCTCTCCAGCACCTGTTGTTTCCTGACTTTTTAATGATTGCCATTCTAACTGGTGTGAGATGGTATCTCATTGTGGTTTTGATTTGCATTTTTCTGATGGCCAGTGATGATGAGCATTTTTTCAGGTGTCTTTTGGCTGCATAAATGTCTTCTTTTGAGAAGTGTCTGTTCATATCCTTTGCCCATTTTTGATGGGGTTGTTTGTTTTTTTCTTGTAAATTTGTTTGAGTTCATTGTAGATTCTGGATATTAGCCCTTTGTCAGATGAGTAGGTTGCGAAAATTTTCTTCCATTTTGTAGGTTGCCTGTTCACTCTGATGGTAGTTTCTTTTGCTGTGCAGAAGCTCTTTAGTTTAATTAGATCCCATTTGTCAATTTTGGCTTTTGTTGCCATTGCTATTGGTATTTTAGACATGAAGTCCTTGCCCATGCCTATTTCCTGAATGGTAATGCCTAGGTTTTCTTCTAGGGTTTTTATGGTTTTAGGTCTAACGTTTAAGTCTTTAATCCATCTTGAATTAATTTTTGTATAAGGTGTAAGGAAGGGATCCAGTTTCAGCTTTCTCCATATAGCTAGCCATTTTTCCCAGCACCATTTATTAAATAGGGAATCCTTTCCCCATTGCTTGTTTTTCTCAGGTTTGTCAAAGATCAGATAGTTTTAGATATGTGGCGTTATTTCTGAGGGCTCTGTTCTGTTCCATTGATCTATATCTCTGTTTTGGTACCACTACCATGCTGTTTTGGTTACTGTAGCCTTGTAGTATAGTTTGAAGTCAGGTAGCGTGATGCCTCCAGCTTTGTTCTTTTGACTTAGGATTGACTTGGCGATGCGGGCTCTTTTTTGGTTCCATATGAACTTTAAAGTAATTTTTTCCAATTCTGTGAAGAAAGTCATTGGTAGCTTGATGGGGATGGCATTGAATCTATAAATTACCTTGGGCAGTATGGCCATTTTCACGATATTGATTCTTCCTACCCATGAGCATGGAATGTTCTTCCATTTGTTTGTATCCTCTTTTATTTCATTGAGCAGTGGTTTGTAGTTCTCCTTGAAGAGGTCCTTCACGTCCCTTGTAATTTGGATTCCTAAGTATTTTATTCTCTTTGAAGCAATTGTGAATGGGAGTTCACTCATGATTTGGCTCTCTGTTTGTCTGTTATTGGTGTATAAGAATGCTTGTGATTTTTGCACATTGATTTTGTATCCTGAGACTTTGCTGAAGTTGCTTATCAGCTTAAGGAGATTTTGGGCTGAGACGATGGGTTTTCTAGATATACAATCATGTCATCTGCAAACAGGGACAATTTGACTTCTTATTTTCCTAATTGAATACCCTTTATTTCCTTCTCCTGCCTGATTGCCCTGGCCAGAACTTCCAACACTATGTTGAATAGGAGTGGTGAGAGGGGGCATCCCTGTCTTCTGCCAGTTTTCAAAGGGAATGCTTCTAGTTTTTGCCCATTCAGTATGATATTGGCTGTGGGTTTGTCATAGATAGCTCTTATTATTTTGAGATATGTCCCATCAATACCTAATTTATTGAGAGTTTTTAGCATGAAGGGTTGTTGAATTTTGTCAAAGGCCTTTTCTGCATCTATTGAGATAATCATGTGGTTTTTGTCTTTGGTTCTGTTTATATGCTGGATTACATTTATTGATTTGCGTATATTGAACCAGCCTTGCATCCCAGGGATGAAGCCCACTTGATCATGGTGGATAAGCTTTTTGATGTGCTGCTGGATTTGGTTTGCCAGTATTTTATTGAGGATTTTTGCATCAATGTTCATCAGGGATATTGGTCTAAAATTCTCTTTTTTGGTTGTGTCTCTGCCCGGCTTTGGTATCAGGATGATGCTGGCCTCATAAAATGAGTTAGGGAGGATTCCCTCTTTTTCTATTGATTGGAATAGTTTCAGAAGGAATGGTACCAGTTCCTCCTTGTACCTCTGGTAGAATTCGGCTATGAATCCATCTGGTCCTGGACTCTTTTTGGTTGGTAAGCTATTGATTATTGCCACAATTTCAGATCTGTTATTGGTCTATTCAGAGATTCAACTGCTTCCTGGTTTAGTCTTGGGAGAGAGTATGTGTGGAGGAATTTATCCATTTCTTCTAGATTTTCTAGTTTATTTGCGTAGAGGTGTTTATAGTATTCTCTGATGGTAGTTTGCATTTATGTGGGATCGGTGGTGATAACCCCTTTATCATTTTTTATTGTGTCTATCTGATTCTTCTCTCTTTTTTTCTTTATTAGTCTTGCTAGCAGTCTATCAATTTTGTTGATCCTTTCAAAAAACCAGCTCCTGGATTCATTAATTTTTTGAAGGGTTTTTTGTGTCTCTATTTCCTTCAGTTCTGCTCTGATTTTAGTTATTTCTTGCCTTCTGCTAGCTTTTGAATGTGTTCACTCTTGCTTTTCTAGTTCTTTTAATTGTGATGTTAGGGTGTCAATTTTGGATCTTTCCTGCTTTCTCTTGTGGGCATTTAGTGCTATAAATTTCCCTCTACACACTGCTTTGAATGTGTCCCAGAGATTCTGGTATGTTGTGTCTTTGTTCTCATTGGTTTCAAAGAACATCTTTATTTCTGCCTTCATTTCGTTATGTACCCAGTAGTCATTCAGGAGCACGTTGTTCAGTTTCCATGTAGTTGAGCGATTTTGAGTGAGTTTCTTAATCCTGAGTTCTAGTTTGATTGCACTGTGGTCTGAGAGACAGTTTGTTATAATTTCTGTTCTTTTACATTTGCTGGGGAGAGCTTTACTTCCAACTATGTGGTCAATTTTGGAATAGGTGTGGTGTGGTGCTGAAAAAAATGTATATTCTGTTGATTTGGGGTGGAGAGTTCTGTAGATGTCTATTAGGTCCGCTTGGTGCAGAGCTGAGTTCAATTCCTGGGTATCTTTGTTAACTTTCTGTCTCGTTGATCTGTCTAATGTTGACAGTGAGATGTTAAAGTCTCCCATTATTATTGTGTGGGAGTCTAAGTCTCTTTGTAGGTCACTCAGGACTTGCTTGATGAATCTGGGTGCTCCTGTATTGGGTGCATATATATTTAGGATAGTTAGCGCTTCTTGTTGAATTGATCCCTTTACCATTATGTAATGGCCTTCTTTGTCTCTTTTGATCTTTGTTGGTTTAAAGTCTGTTTTATCAGAGACTAGGATTGCAACCCCTGCCTTTTTTAGTTTTCCATTTGCTTGGTAGATCTTCCTCCATCCTTTTATTTTGAGCCTATGTGTGTCTCTGCACATGAGATGGGTTTCCTGAATACAGCACACTGATGGGTCTTGACTTTTTATCCAATTTGCCAGTCTGTGTCTTTTAATTGGAGCACTTAGTCCATTTACATTTAAAGTTAATATTGTTATGTGTGAATTTGGTCCTGTCATTATGATGTTAGCTGGTTATTTTGCTCGTTAGTTGATGCAGTTTCTTCCTAGTCTCGATGGTCTTTACATTTTGGCATTATTTTGCAGCGGCTGGTACCGGTTGTTCCTTTCCATGTTTAGTGCTTCCTTCAGGAGCTCTTTTAGGGCAGGCCTGGTGGTGACAAAATCTCTCAGCATTTGCTTGTCTGTAAAGGATTTTATTTCTCCTTCACTTATGAAGCTTAGTTTGGCTGGATATGAAATTCTGGGTTGAAAATTCTTTTCTTTAAGAATGTTGAATATTGGCCCCCACTCTCTTCTGGCTTGTAGAGTTTCTGCTGAGAGATCCACTGTTAGTCTGATGGGCTTCCCTTTGTGGGTAACCCAACCTTTCTCTCTGGCTGCCCTTAACATTTCTCCCTTCATTTCAACTTTGGTGAATCTGACAATTATGTGTCTTGGAGTTGCTCTTCTCGAGGAGTATCTTTGTGGCATTCTCTGTATTTCCTGAATCTGAATGTTGGCCTGCCTTGCTAGATTGGGGAAGTTCTCCTGGATAATATCCTGCAGAGTGTTTTCCAACTTGGTTCCATTCTCCCTGTCACTTTCAGGTACACCAATCAGATGCAGATTTGGTGTTTTCACATAGTCCCATATTTCTTGGAGGCTTTGTTTGTTTCTTTTTATTCTTTTTTCTCTAAACTTCCCTTCTCGCTTCATTTCATTCATTTCATCTTCCATCACTGATACCCTTTCTTCCAGTTGATCGCATCAGCTCCTGAGGCTTCTGCATTCTTCACGTAGTTCTCGACCCTTGGCTTTCAGCTCCATCAGCTCCTTTAAGCACTTCTCTGTATTGGTTATTCTAGTTATACATTCGTCTAAATTTTTTTCAAAGTTTTCAACTTCTTTGCCTTTGGTTTGAAATTCCTCCTGTAGCTCGGAGTAGTTTGATCATCTGAAGCCTTCTTCTCTCAACTCGTCAAAGTCATTCTCCGTCCAGCTTTGTTCCGTTGCTGGTGAGTAACTGTGTTCCTTTGGAGGAGGAGAGGCGCTCTGCTTTTTAGAGTTTCCAGTTTTTCTGCTCTGTTTTTTCCCCATCTTTATGGTTTTATCTGCTTTGGGTCTTTGATGATGGTGATGTACAGATGGGTTTTTGGTGTGGATGTCCTTTCTGTTTGTTAGTTTTCCTTCTAACAGACAGGACCCTCAGCTGCAGGTCTGTTGGACTTTGCTAGAGGTCCACTCCAGACCCTGTTTGCCTGGGTATCAGCAGCGGTGTCTGTAGAACCGCGGATTTTCATGAACCGCGAATGCTGCTGTCTGATCGTTCTTCTGGAAGTTTTGTCTCAGAGGAGTACCCGGCCATGTGAGGTGTCAGTCTGCCCCTACTGGGGGGTGCCTGCCAGTTAGGCTGCTCGGGGGTCAGGGGTCGGGGACCCACTTGAGGAGGCAGTCTGCCCGTTCTCAGATCTCCAGCTGCGTGCTGGGAGAACCACTGCTCCCTTCAAAGCTGTCAGACAGGGACATTTAAGTCTGCAGAGGTTACTGCTGTCTTTTTGTTTGTCTGTGCCCTGCCCCCAGAGGTGCAGCCTACAGAGGCCGGCAGGCCTCCTTGAGCTGTGGTGGGCTCCACCCTGTTCCAGCTTCCTGGCTGCTTTGTTTACCTAAGCAAGCCTGGGCAATGGCGGGCGCCCCTCCCCCAGCCTCGCTTCTGCCTTGCAGTTTGATCTCAGACTGCTGTGCTAGCAATCAGCAAGATTCCATGGGCGTGGGCGTAGGACCCTCCGAGCCAGGTGCGGGATATAATTCTCCTGGTGCGCTGTTTCCTAAGCCCATCGGAAAAGCTCAGTATTCGGGTGGGAGTGACCCGATTTTCCAGGTGCCGTCTGTCACCCCTTTCCTTAACCAGGAAAGGGAACTCCCTGACCCCTTGCGCTTCCCGAGTGAGGCAATGCCTCACCCTGCTTCAGCTCGCGCACGGCGCGCTGCACCCACTGTCCTGCGCCCACTGTCTGGCACTCCCTAGTGAGATGAACCCGGTACCTCAGATGGAAATGCAGAAATCACCCGTCTTCTGCGTCGCTCACGCTGGGAGCTGTAGACCGGAGCTGTTCCTATTTGGCCATCTTGGCTCCTCCAAGATGATTCTTTAGAAGAGTTTTACTATGAAGGGGAGTAGAGAAAGAGGGTGACTGCAGTTGGTAGAAGTAGGGTCAAGACAAATTCTCTTGAAATGAGAGATGATAATGAAAAAGACCCAGTACAGAGAGCAAATGTGATGTTCTGATATGATTGGCACACAGTCGAGTAGGAGCCCGGTCCAGTCTTCTCTTTTTCTCTAATACAGAATAAAGTTATCCTCTAGTTTGGGAATACAGAATAGTCTCTGGAGGCTAGCCAGGGGACTAGCTGCCTGCCAGGGACACAGATGGAAAAAGTCACCCAAGAGAAATCAGTTCCCCAGGCTGATGCCATTAGAAATTGTGGGGTCCAAATTGACATCATCCATGAAATGCAGAAACCCTGAGAAGTTAATTTAAAAAGGTCCTGACATCATAGAGCTGGAGCAGAGGCATACCCTGAACAGTCTCATAGAGGTTAACCCAGGAAATGCAAGACTTCTATGGAAAATAACTCCCACCAAAGATAGCACCGAGTCAAATATTATAAATCAGATGAAGAAACAGCCATAACAGAGAGTTAGCAGACACAATAAATGTCAGACTTCACAGCCCAAGAAACAAACTGTTCAAAGATAGGAAGGATAGAAGAGAATCTACAAAGAAACAGTGAGACAACATAAAAAAGGAACAGATGAATTTGGAAAACAGCAAAATAGAAATTCTATAAATGAAACAATATAGTCACTGAAAGAGAAAAGAAATGATCAAGTTAGATGAAAAATATTTTTTTCTCTCCTTATTTTTTTCATTTATAATGAAATTCCATACATTAAACCCCATTCAAATTGAAATTTGGAAGAGGAGTTGCATTTAAGACTTTTAGACTGTCATTCTCTTTAAACAGGAGAATCCCACTTATATGTTTCCCAAAGGGGAAATCAATTCAGCAGAAATCCTCATTTGCTTTGATTGGAAACATATAATCATCTCATCAGTATAAGCCTACAAGCTTTGACTGAAGGCTGTTCCATGACTAACCACATCTAAATCTAGATGACAGCAGAGGATTTGGGAGATTTATAATTTTTGTAGTTTTTAAGCAGTGATGAAAATCTGTAAAGTATGTTTGGAGCAGTGATTCTGAAAGTGTGGTCTGCACATCTCTGGGGGTGTCTCCCAGACCCCCTGGGCATGGGGGTGTACATGAGGTCAGAACCATATTAATAAAATTAAGACAGCATTTGCATTATTCACTGTGTCGTTCACACTGATGCTGCAGAAGCAACAATGATAAGACTTCTGGCGCCTCACCATGAATCAAAGCAGCAGCCCCAAACTGTACTAGTAGTTACTGCTGTCTTCATTCCTGCACACTTGTAATTTAAAAAAATGCCAGTTTCACTTAAGAATGCCCCTGGCGAGGCAGTAAAATCTTGCACTTATAAATCCCTATCCTTGGATATATATTTTTAACATCTTATGGGAATATTATATGGGAAATATGCCTAGGTATGTCTGCTGCTTATGAAAGCTATGGTTGACTTGAAGAAGAATGTGTGTGATTGAATTGAGAGTTGGACAGGCTGCTTTCTTCATGGAATACCATTTTCATTTGAAAAACAATGGACAAACTATGGTTATTCAGACTTGAGTATTTGGCAAATATTTTATTGAAAATGAGCCAAGTGAGTATGCCACCTCTAGGGTAAGAACTGATAGTATTTGTTGCCGATGATAGAATTTAAACTTTCACAGGAAAACTAGAAGTTTGGGAAACTTGTATGAGCCACCACGAGCTTGACAATTTTCTAATATTTAGATTTTTTTCCTGTCAGATTGGTAGAAATACTAAAAACATGACTTTTAAAAATATTGTATAATAAAATGCTTCAATATTTGGGGGAGCTCTATAACTCAGGGAGACAATATTTCCTAAATGACTTATGCATAATGTTACAAAATCCTAGTGAACAAGATAGAGCAGTAGATTTTAATGGAACAAAGTAGGAAAAGTTCAGCAATATGTGGTATTAAATTCTACATTGCAACAAACTTTAAAAAAAAAGATCACTTGTCACATGATAATTGTCATTTTGATACTACATTGGTGTAGTATCAAAGAAGAACTTTAAAACAGTAATTTGAAGCAGCTATTCAAATACTTCTCCCATTTCCAATGACTGTGTGACGCCTAATCTTCATACACTTCAACCAAAACAATATTTTAGGAAAGACTGAGTGTAGAAAAAGAGATGAACAATCTTCTGTTAAGTAGGGGTGTGTGTGTTTGTGTGTGTGTGTGTGTGTGTGCGGTGTGTTTTCAGACAGAGTCTTGCTGTGTCACCCAGGCTGGAGTGCAGTAGCAGGATCTCAGCTCACCGCAACCTCTGCCTCCTGGGTTCAAATGATTCTCCTGTCTCAGCTTCCCGAGTAGCTGGGACTACAGGTGCACACTGTAGTGTGTGCTACTGGCTAATTTTTGTATTTTTAGTAGAGTTGGGGTTTCACCATGTTGGCCAGGCTGGTCTCAAACTTCTGACCTCAAGAGATCCACCCGCCTTGGCCTCCCAAAGTGCTGGGATTACAAGCATGAGCCACCATGCCTGGCCACTTGGTAGCTTGTTTTTTATTAAACAAGACATTAAAGAGATTCATGGCATTCTTCTCATGAATTTTTTTGAAAATATAGTTGTTTGCATAAAATATTTTATTTATTTTAATATGTAATAGGTTTACTATTTTTATTTTAAGAGGAATTAATAAATGTTAAGGAAATTAAGACATTTTTAGCTGAATTTCTAATGTTGGCAAATGTCGACGGAGCTCTTTTGGGTTCTCAATAATTTTTAGAGGTATAAAGAGGTGCTGAGAATAAAAAGCTTGAGAACCACTGGCTTAGAATATTGTCATATGTATAGCTATCTTTAAGGACACATGGTAGTTGATGGTAGAATATGCTCAGTATAATAACATACCATTTCCT
Organism: Homo sapiens; assembly: GCF_000001405.40. Taxonomy (NCBI): domain Eukaryota; kingdom Metazoa; phylum Chordata; class Mammalia; order Primates; family Hominidae; genus Homo; species Homo sapiens. The sequence continues at coordinate 96,732,806 of NC_000012.12, forward strand.
CCATTGGAGTTTGAAGGGAGAAGACATTTTTACTATATAATTCTCTATAGAACTGTTTTTTTTTTCCAAACTATGTGTCAGAGAGCAACAGCAGCCCTAGAAAATATTTATCAATACCTTCATTCTTTCCCCAGCTCTCTGTGTATCCTATACCCTTTTGGTATGAAGGATATGAGTGGTTTTTATTCTTTTTGGGGAGGAAGAATGAAATGAGAAACTAAAAATTACAAAATGGCCATAGAAAGGACTGTCATAATAGAACTTTAATTTGAAAACCAGATAGACATATGCAAATAGTGTGCAAGTATATCAGAATTGCTCCTATTTTAAATACACGAACCTGGCCCTTGGGACAAAACCTGCAAAAAACTTTGATGTTATTGCCTTTTTGGAGCAGAGTTGTCATTTAGGGGAAGCCTACTGTCAAGATGAATGAGTTTTTCTCATGTGAACTTTACCCCCTGTGAGCTTCTGTTTGGGTACTGCTGAGAGTGTTGGACAGTCCCTTTTTTAAATGATGGTTAGCTTGACATTTCATGATACTTCTAATAAAATTATGTGTCAAGGAAATTGAAAGGCACATTCCCTAGGGTGACAGGTAGAGTGAGTTGCATGGATTTTATGAGAACAAACTGACCATTTTTGTCATGAATGCTAATAAGAAATAAATGGGATCAAAGTTATTCAAATTGTATTTCTACTTCTAGGGCTGCCTCTTTCTTTCAAAATCCTGTGGGTTTTTTTTTTTTTTTTTAATAAGTGTTCCTTCCTATTCTCCTTTACATTTGATCTATTGTTTAAATGGAAAAATATTTGGGCCTTTTAATTTTGTGTCAGACTGAAACTTTCTTCTTTTGAGATTTTAGACTGTTGGCAGTAGGTAATCCTCACATACTTTCTATCTGTCTAGTGTAGTGGAGAAACTAGAAATTTTCCATTCTGCAACTAAGCAGTACCGAGTGGATTAGGACATACTGGTATGTCTTATATTTTATTCATTAAGTTTTTGGGTTAGTAAGATGCCAAACCTCATACCTTGTTTCTCTTAAAATCAGAATTTGGGTTTCAAGATGAGAAGAATGGAATGGGTACCACTTTCTTTTTCCAGGGTTTTCTATCAGCCATGCTGAGTTAGCCTTGGAAACTACTGAGTAAATGAGGTGCCTCAGAAATGTGTGTAGCTTTGAGGGAGGAAGAGTGTGGGGAGGGCACGTTTCCTGTGCACACACTGACTCCATGCTATGTTTGTTGTTGTTGTTATTTTCTTGGTTAGTTTTATTTTAAATAAAAAACAAGTTAATTACAGCACCTTAGAAAATTTTCTACAAATATCTAAACCATTTTAATGGCTCAGCAAAATCTTGAGAGTTTAAAATTCAGTAACTGCTAAGAAATTGGGATGTTATTTAACAAATTAGAAAAAAAATCAATTTAGTCTCTCCCCACCTCTCCTGGCCAATTCAATACATTAATAATGATAATAGCTAGCATGCATTATGTGCCTCTGCTTGCCAAGCACTCCTATTTGCTAAGCACACTCCATGCTTTCTAGAATGTCAGTTCCACGAGGGCAGGGATTCTTGTTTGTCTTCTTTACTGCTATATTCATAGCCCCTAGATTTCTCCCTGGCCCATAGCAGATGCTCCATATGTACTTTTGGATTATTATAAGGATTAAATAAGATCTTTATTTTTATGAAAGGATCTTATTTAACCCTTATAATAATCTCATGTCATGAAGTTTGCACTGTTATTATCATCATTACTGCTTTATAGATAATGAGATTGATAATTGGGGTTCCCAAGATCACACAGTTAATATATGGGAAAAGTGGAATTTGACCTCTCTCTCTCCAGTGTATGAATTCTTAAAAATTAGGTTATTTCACATGAACTAAAAAGTTTTTTTAAGTAGAAAAAAATACAATTAAATAACAGAATCTCTAGAAATATGTATTTCCAAAATTACAACTGACTACAAAGAAAAATGTCAACTGATTTAATCTGTGAAATATTTTAATTTTTATAAGTACAATAACAACAAAAACCATTACACCAACCATACATAGAAAAACAAGATTTTTACTTCAAGTAAATATGACAAATAGTTCCTTTCATTTTTACATAAAATTACTGATAAAATTGATAAAAAGAGACTGTTGATAAATGGTCAAATACCATAAACTTTTCATTAAAAAGAAGAAATTATAACTAGTATGTATACACCTGGAAAAATATCTGTCTGCTTACAAAGTGAAGTTAAAGCAATGAATGAGGTCCAGATTTCTACCTGAAAAATAGCATTGGGGTAATATTCCCTGATAGGTTCTCCACCAACTTCCCATTGAAAGACATGCTCCCCACGGAGATAGAAAAATAGAAAAGCTTTAATAGAATTGAAAGCTAAGCATAATAATTCAACTTTTGCAAGAAATGGGAAAACTTTTTTTCAAATGTAACCCATAGATGAAGATGGAGTCAGAACCACAAGGGATCATCTACATCCACTTTATCCCCTGAAAGGAACAGCATCGGGGGCCAGGAAAGAAGAGTGGTCGCTCTACCTTCTAAGCACATAACTCAGAAGGGGTTCACTATCCAAAAACCTCGGCAGATACCCTAACACTGTGCAGAGGCTTAAGGAACTACTCCAGCCAACAGAAGAGATCCATCTCATAGTTAAGACTGAGAAATGAGGCAGTGATTCTGTAAAAATGACTGGTGGTGGGCACTGGAGCTAGTTTGGGCTCAGTGTAAATAATGATAAGTTTGCATAACTGAATACAGATGTCAAAACTAATTCCTGAAAAAGGTGATAGAGTATAAAGATAACTAACAATGACCTGGGGATAATATATCAGATTTTAATAACCAAGTGGATGTGGGAGAGATAGGGTAATTAAAAATTATGAAATTCTTCATCCTATATGTAGGGAATAAAAATATGTTGGTTCATTTTATACATTGAGAAATAGAGAAGCAGAGTAGAGAAATTATGTTTTTAAGATGGATTAATGGAGAAGTGTGTTTTGGAAAATATTAAACATAACTGCTATTAGAATCTAAACCAGAATATATATATTTCAAATCAGTGTGGAAAGTAAAAGGGAAATAGTCTTATGGCAGAAGACACAAAACAAAGGAAAAAGGAAGAATACACTCAGAAAGCATAAAATAATAGAAGAAAACAAGGCATGTTAATTATGCCCATAAATGTAAAATAGTTGAAACATACTGGATTTGTGAGGATTTTTTGGTTGCAAGTGACAGAATCGCAACTTAAGCCAAATCAGCCAAAAGGGGAAATTTTCTGATTCATGTGAATACAAAGCTGGGGAAGGCAGAGGTAAGGATGGGCCTGAGGGTTTACTGAGAGCAAAGGCTTGAGTGCTCCTGGAATCACCTCGTTCCATCTTCTCTCTTTCAGCATTATGTGTTAGCTTTATTTGATCAGGCTGGCTTCCTCTACAGTGCTGGATACATGTCTGCCACTAGATCAAGACTTCTAATGCCCCAAATTTACCAGAGAGAGAGAGAGCACAAGACTGTCTCTTGCTTCAGGTTCAGATACCAGGGAAGTGCTCTGATTGGCCCGGCTTGGCTCATGTGCCCATCCCTGGTCCCAAGCACCATGGCCAAGGAGGCAGGGTCATGAAAGAATATGGAAGCCCTCACTAAGAACTAAGAAAAGGGGGTAGGCAGAGGATGGAAAATAATGTCCCAGAAGGATGGGATGTTTGATGCTTTTCTTAGAACAGAAGAAGAATGCTACTTGAAGTAGTAGATATAAAATTGAACTATAAATCACTGTCAAAAATGGTCCAGACATCTTTAAAACTAAAAGGATTTTCAGTTATCAAAGATACTAAGAAAAGATAAAGAAACAAAGATGGCAATATCAATATTATGCTAAGTAGGATGCAAGGCAAAAGGCATTGAACTGCACCAAGAGGCCCATTGATATTGATGAAAGGTACAGTCAACAGTGACTATATAACAGCCATAAATATGATACTAACACTATATGGATAGCAAAAATTCAACAAAACCAAACTTGGTAGAAACTGTGAAAAGACAGAGATGGTGTCATAGAGTAACAGATAAGAGTACAGGCTCTGGGGCTGATTGCCTGAGTTTTGAACCTGGCTCCTCTTTCTAGCTGTGTGACTTGGATCAAGTTATTTAACATTTCTGTGTCTTCATTTTCTAATCTGGAAAATAGGGATGATAATAGTACACGTTGAGTATCCCACATTCAAAATGCCTGAGGCAAGAAGTGTTTCAGATTTCAGATTTTTGGGGGGAGTTTGGAATTTTTGCATTATTCTAGTTGAGCATCCCAAATCTGAAAATTTGAAATCTGAAATGCCCCGACAAGCATTTCTTGAGTGTCATGTCAGCACTCAAAAAGCTTTAGATTTTGAAGAATTTTGGATTTTTGGATATGGGATACTCAACTTGTATCTATAACCTTGTAGACTTGTGGTGGGGAGTGAATGAATTTATTCACAGGAAGTGCTTAATATAGTACCTGTCAGGTGGCAAACACTTGGTAAATACCAGTTATTATCTTTTTTTAAAAAAGATTGTGGGGAAAAAAAGGAGAGAATTTCTGTGGCCAATGTTAGCACAATATTTTCAGTTTTTAATAGATATATTATATATTATATTTTATATATATATATGTTTTGTTTTTTTTTTTGAGACAGAGTCTTGCCCTGTCACCCAGGCTGGAGTACAGTGGCGCCATCTTGGCTCACTGCAACCTCTGCCTCCCGGGTTCAAACCATCCTCCTGCCTCAGCCTCCTGAGTAGCTGGGATTACAGGTGCCTGCCACTCTACCCAGCTAATTTCTGTATTTTTAGTAGAGACGGGGTTTCACCGTGTTGACCAGGCTGATCTCGAACTCCTGACCTCGTGATATGCCCGCCTCGGCCTCCCAAAGTGCTGGGATTACAGGCATGAGATATATTGACCAAAAATATAGATCAATAGACCTGTATAGAAATGTAATTTAAACACTGAGCATATGTACCCCTTCTGGGAGCCTTCTTATAGGATCCATGGACACTGATGAAGCTGAACATACACTGCATCAGAATCTCAGTAACGGATCCAAAGGAGGAGCGAGCATGGAAGGCAGGCTGGGGATGGGGGAGGGCCCTGGAACGTGTAAATCTGATTTACAGCTTGAAGAGATCACTGTGGCTGCTGTGTGGAGACCAGGACTGCAAGGGCAAGAGTCATGGCAGAAAACTGGTTAGGAAGCTACTGTGGTCATCCAGCCTGGAGATGATCGTGGCTTGAACGAACGCGTTAGCAGTGGAGGAGATGAGGAGCCCTATTTGGAAGGTGAAGCCTGTTGATGGATTGAACATGAAGTGCGACTCACAGAGGGGAAGCCATGGCAACTTCTGGGTTCTGCGTGTGGGATGGAGGACACGGATGAGGAGTGGGTTTGGGTGGAGGAGATGGAAGTGAAGGGGTCTGCTTTTAACTTGCTGTTACTGGTTTCCTAAGACTGTTGTAGCAAAGTACCAAAAACTGGGTGGCTGAAAGCAAGGAATTTTATTGTCTCACAGTCCTAGAGGCAAGACTTCTGAAATCGAGGTGTCGATGGGGCCACACTTGTTCTAATGGCTCTAGGGGAGAATCCTTCCTTGCCTCTTCCGGCTTCTGGCATTTGCTGGCGGTCCTTGGCGTTCCTCGGCTTGTAGGTGCATCAGTCCTGTTGCATGGCCCTCTTCTCCCTGTGTGTCCTCACATAACCTTCCCTCCAAGCACGTCTATGTCTAAATCTCCTTTTTTTTTTTTTTTTTTTTTGAAACGGGGTCTCACTCTGTCGCCGGGCTGGAGTTCAATGGAGTGATCTCGGCTCACTGCAACCTCCGCCTCCTGGATTCAAGCGATTCTCCTGCCTCAGCCTCCCAAGTAGCTAGGACTACAGACGCGTGCCACCACGCCTGGCTAAATTTTTGTATTTTTAGTAGAGACTGGGTTTCACCGTGTTAGCCAGGATGGCCTTGATCTTCTGACTTCGTGATCTGCCTACCTCAGCCTCCCAAAGTGCTGGGATTACAGGCGTGAGCCACTGCACCCGGCCCAAATCTCCCTTTTTACAGAAACAACAGTCATATTGGATTACGACCCAGCCTAATGTCCTCATTTTAACTTGGTTGCTTCTGTAACGAACTTATTTCCAAGTAAGGTCACATTTTGAGGTACAGGGGGTTAAGACCTCAACATACCTTTTGGGGAGACAAAATTCAACTCATAACACCTGTTAAATGTGACTGTCGATTAACTATTCAAGTGGAGCTGTTAAGTGGGGAAATTGGATGGATATATTTCGGCCTTCATCCAGTTTTTTTTTAATGTGTGTGTGATGAACATCTTCAGGCATACAGGTTGTTCTGTATTTTGAATTTTGTTTTGGAATACATTTTCAAAAGAAGACAGCTCTTAATATATATCATTAAAATATTTTGAAGAAGTGTGATGCAATGATAAGTTTACTATTCGACAGGGGAGGAGAATATAACGGCTTAAAATACAGACAAATTTATGTATGGAGCAACAGGAAGTGAAGAATTCCTAACTCCTGGCCTCCATTTTCTTGACAGAGTACATTTCCTTTCTGGCACTGCTAGACAGAGATTAAACAATAATTTAGCTTGAATTTCTAAGTGTAATAGCATTAGGTAACATAGTTCCATGACCTCAGAAAGCTGGAGAATCACATTCTGATGTACATAAAGTACATATATACTCATTTTATTAAAATGAGATTGCCAATACATTTTGTTTTGGATCTTGGAAACGTCACTCCTTTATTCTTCTATTCACTCATTTTCATTTAAAAATATTTTTTAGTTTCTATTATGTCTCAGTCACTATGGTAGATGCTCAATTTCAATAGGGAATAAGACAAATTAGCTGTGAAGCAATACTCAGGCAATGAAATATGACAAGTACTAGTGTGTGGTTAAGACCAGGGTACTATTAGGGCCTGCAGAAATGGCACCTAACAGTTTTGGGGGTTGTTGGCTGGGGTGTGAGAATGTTTTTTGGAGAAAGTGATTTAGGAAATAACATACAGATGCCACAAATATAATACTGATAACATTTAAAATATATTTTCTATTTTAGTGCTGCAATAGTATTTTCTACACTTACACTTCTCCAGGATTCAAAACTTTTTGAAAAGAAGGTAGTACAGGATGACACAGAGAATCCTGTCTCTCCAGGAACTTCTGTAAGTATGACTTAATGTCTGTTCTTACAATACTTATCATATAAGAACTATTGGCATGCTAGGATATTGTCTAATTATTTAGATGAAGCAAAGGAGTAAAGTAGAAAAAACATTGAATTTGGAGTAAAAAGATTTAGGTCCTATTAATGCTATTTATTTATTGGTATACCTTGGACAAATCTCTTAATTAAAAAAAAATTGGTTATCTCATTTGTGAACTAATGGAATTGGGATATAATAATTACTAAAGTCCAATCCAAAGTTCCAGATGTACCATTATATTAATCTAGCTTTTATCTACCTAGCAAATAAAGTTGTTTCCCAAGACTTGCTCCTCATTCCGCTTTTGAATCTATTGCCTTAGCATTGCCAGTCAGATACCTGGGCTGTTTCCTGCTTTGGATTCCTCATAGTTAGAATCTTGCATTCAAGCTCTCAAATCTGACAACTAATGTCACATATTCTCTGATTAGGCTTTGATAAGACCAAGTAATTTAACAATACAGGATTGTTTAGGACTGAATTATAAAGATTCATCATATAGAACCCTTGCTCATTATTTCAAGTATTACTAATAAAATCGCTAATATCTAGCATCATTACAAATTAGCAAAACTAATTGTCCTCAATAGAGACTCATTTCTTACTATATTGAAAGCAATAAAAATGCTAAAAAGCAATCTAACTCTAAAAATTGACTTAGAATAATGATTGTCAATTGGGGGTGATTTTGCCTCCCGGGGGAAATTTGGCAATGTCTGGAGATATTTTAGGTTGTCACAACTGGGTGGAGGCGGGTGCTACTGGCATCTACTAGGTAGAGGCCAGAGAAGTTGCTAAACTTCCTTTAATCTACAGGACAGCCCTCCACAGCAGTTATCTGGCCCTAAATAGGTCAGTAGTGCTGAGGTTGAGAAACCCTGATTGAGATTAATGTGACCTATCTTTTCATTAGTGACAGGAAATCTGAGCATTGAGTGATTAAGTTCTATTGATGGACATTTTTTTCTGTATTGCTAATCTACATACTAGACTCTTTGAGTACTTCTTGTGCCCATTTGAATCACTATCCTCCCTGTGGGCCTCTGTCGACTGCTTACTCTTGGTTTTTTGGTTTTTTTTTGAGACGGAGTCTCGCTCTATCGCCCAACCTGGAATGCAGTGGCACAGTGTCGGCTTACTGCAACCTCTGCCTCCTGGGTTCAAGCAATTCTCCTGACTCAGCCTCCTGAGTAGCTGGGACTAGAGGTGCCTGCCACCATGCCTGTCTAATTTTTGTATTTTTAGTAGAGAGTTTCACCATATTGGTCAGGCTGGTCTCGAACTCCTGACCTCAGGTTATTCACCTGCCTTGGCCTCCCAAAGTGCTGAGATTACAGGTGTGAGCCACCGCGCCGCGCATGTTGACTGCTTACCCTTGTTTCCAGGGAACACCTTGCCCTACTCTTCCTGTACTACCCACCTGCATTTGAGCCCCTTTAGGCCCCATTAGCTACTCCTGGCTAGCACATGTTGCTGATTGGTTGGACATGAGGAGCTGTCAGAGATGCATAGCAGGAAATACTTAGAACAAATGACAGTTTTTCTAAATGATTTTAAAGTTCCTAGTGTCTACGATGGACTCCACTCCCCCAGAAATAGCTTTCTTTGCACATCTCTCCTAGCTCTCAGTAGCTCTGGACATTTGTCACCTCTTTGTAAAGTGTAATATTGAGGGTGGCAAATTAATTATAATACGTGTTTGGAATATGAGCAGCATACAGCAGCATGACACAGTGGATTAAGACTGTGGACTCTGAAGGCAGGAAGACATAGGTTGGAATCCCACCTCCGTCAAAATATGACAGTGTTTAGGCAAGATAGTTAACCTTCCTAGGTCTCAGTTCTCCCAACTGTAAAATGGAAATGATTATAATACCTCTTTGGCTGTTAGGAGGATTAAATGAGATAATATATACAAAGCGTGTAGCACAGTACCTGACACATAATAACTAAATGGATATTAGTGAATATTATTTATTTTTTAGCCCTTGAAATGACATTTACAAAAACTTTTAATGACACAGAAACTGCTGATAATATAATTTGCAGTGAGAAATTCACACTGCAAAACTATTTTTCAACAATGGGTACGGAGAGAAAAGGAAAGCTGAAAAGCAGTATGCTAAAATGTTAATAGAGGATTTCTGGATTGTGGGTGATTTTGTTTTGAATATTTTTTATATTTTATAGAATGTGCAAGAATCATTTCTAAATTTAAAATTGTAATACTGTGGAATGATACCAGATGCCTTTTAAACTTACATTACATTTAGTCTTAGGCTAGAACCTTGACATTATTAAATGGAAAGATAACCATCATTTTAATATTGTTTAGGTCACTGAAAATAAAGATGACAGTGAGTTTTTAGATCCTATTTCCCTAAATGCCCGAGAATATTTCAACATTCATCTGTGGTTGAGGTGCCGCTTAGCATTGGTGACTGCATTTGTTGCACAGATTCATGGCATTGGAATTGTGAAAGGTACAAACATTTGCTTAATCAATGTTTTCATAAAAATTAATTTTACATAGGTGAAGAGGGGTTTATTGGGATATATTTTATTATGTTAATGTTTTATAACTTTCTAGCTTGATCTGCTTATAGAATTAAAAATTCAGGTTATTAATATATAGGAATATTTTTAACAGCCCTTTGTATCATTGAAAGTGGCTTATATCTTACTAATGTATGCAAAACAGATAAAGCAATTTCATAATACGAATGACCAGGTCTTCTTGTCATCTGGGAAGGCAACTAAGTGTAGGAGTGAAGAGCACAGATTACTGGAGCCAACCCACTTGGGTTCAAATATTGGATCCACTACTTCCTTGCCAAGCCTTTCTTTGCCAAGTCTCTTAAATCCCCCTTACTCAGTTTCCTACCCTGTAAAATGGAGACAATTGTACCTACTTTATAGGATTATTGTCAGAATTAAATGGGTTAAATTTATACTGTTCTTAGATCACAGCTTGGCACATGTAAATGTTAGTTCTTGCAGTGATTAATCATTATCTATTTGTATACCTATCTATTCACTCATTTCTATCCATCTTCCAAATTAAATTATCTCATGCAATATCATCATTTTTGCAGCACTGGAAAGTCCTAAAGTACTTTCCCCCAAATTACAACACATTTATTTTCCATGTTTCATGTAGAGTCTGTTTTCCATCTTAATATACTCCCCTGTTCTTTGATATTACACAATATTTCTGTGATGAAAATTGGGGCTATTACACATGTATAACTTCTGACTTTCTCAATGCATTTTAAATAACCGCATTTGTTTATTTTAGAGGATGATATGACAGATTGCCTGAGCCTCATCAATGAAGTGTGTATGGAGGCAAAAAGCGCAGGGGACACGGAACTGCAGGCTGAATTCTTGACGCAAGCTGTAATTCTTGGCCTACAAGAAAAGCATTTAAAGGCAGACATCATGACAAACCTTCAGGTAGAAAGGAAACTTTGTTCGTATTTATAGTCAGGGAGGGATTCCAGTTAGAACAAAAGGAGAGAATTTCAAATTCCACTAGGTACTGAATGCATAACAATTAACATGTCCAGCTCTTGTTTCAGTGAATTGGAAACAGTACTATCAAAATGAATAATTTTATTTTAATAGGATATAATACATTTGCTGGAAGGAAATGAATTTATTTCTCCTCAATCACGGCTAACCCTGGCAAGAAGCCTAGTTTTGCTGGATGACTTAACCAAAGCTGAGAAATTCAAGGAATCTCCCTCTTCAAAAACAGGAAAATTAAATTTGTTAACTCGGGCTCATAGCATTCTAACTGAACAGGTGAGAATGCTTTTGTGTCTGCGAGACATAGAAACTTACTTTTCTCTCTTTCCTCCTATTCCAAACCACGTCAACTAATTGCTCATTACAATATTTGTTTTTTTAATAGATGCTAGCTTTTGGAGAAACAATTGAATTTCGTTCATCAAACACTAAATATGCAAATCCATTACAGCCTTTGAAAAATATCTATCTTCCCCATGTCATGTTATTGGCCAAAATAAAAATGAGAATTGGTAAGAACATTTAAACTTATATTGCCCTAGAATAACTGATAAAACTTTTTAAGTTATTTTTAGGCAGGCTATCATATGAGTGCATTTAAAAGAGGCAATATTTATGAATACTCAGGCTCCATTTATTTAACCAATAGTTTTTGATCACTTATCATATGCCAGACTGTGTGATGTATAGATGGTCTTTATATATGAATAAAGTATGTGGTTGATTACCATAATATAACATGCATAACTGCTTGGTCTAGACTATTGCACTTTATCCAGGTCATCAGTCTTTTGGATTAAAATTATGCCCACATAATTTACTTCAAAATTACCATGCAATTCAGTAACTTTACTGAAAAAAATCCTACAAACACAAAATACATTTCTTAAATAATCTGTTGTCTAGCATATTTAAATTATAACTAACTGTTAAAGAAGATTTTGGAAAGGAATGTGTTAAATGCATTATGTATTTTATAACTGATGTTATGAAGTACTTACATCTTTAAAAATGCTAATTTAATGCCTGTGAACAAAAAAATAGTTTATTTTTTATTATTTATTTTCTTTCTTCAACATTTATTTTAAGTTTAGGGGTACATGTGCAGGATGTGCAGGTTTGCTATATAGGTAAATGTGTGCCATGATGGTTTCCTGCACAGATCATCCTATCTAAGCCCAGCATTCATTGGCCATTCTTCCTGATGCTCTCCCTTGCTCTACCCCCCAGTAGGTCATAGTGTGTGTCATTCCCCCTCGACGTGTCCATGTGTTCTCATCATTCAGCTCCCACTTATAAGTGAGAACATGTGGTGTTTGGTTTTCTGTTCTTGTGTTAGTTTGCTGAGGATAATGGCTTCCAACTCCATCCATAGGACATGATCTCGTTCCTTTTTATGGCTGCATAATATTCCATGGTGTATATGTACCACATTTTCTTTATCCAGTCTATCATTGATGGGCATTTAGGTTGATTCCATGTCTTCTCTATTGTGAATAGTGCTGCAGTGCACATATGCTTGCATATATTTTTAGAATAGAGTGATTTATATTCCTTTGGGTATTACCTAGTAATTAGATTGCTGGGTCAAATGGTATTTCTGCCCCTAGTCTTTGAGGAATCACCACACTGTCTCCACAGTGGTTGAACTAATTTACACTCCCACCAACAGTGTAAAAGCATTCCTTTTTCTCTGCAACCTTGCCAGCATCTGTTGTTTTTTGACTTTTTAATAATAGCCATTCTGACTGGTGTGAAATAGTATCTCATTGTGGTTTTGATTTGGATTTCTCTAATGATCAGTGATGTTGAGCTTTTTTTCATGTTTGCTGGCTGCATGCATGTCTTTTGAGAAATGTCTGTTTATGTCCTTTGCCCATTTTTTAATGTTTTTTTTTCTTGTAAATTTGTTTGAGTTCTTTGTATACTCTGAATATTAGACCTTTGTCAGATGGGTAGATTGCAAAGATTTTCTCCCATTCTGTAGGTTGTCTGTTCATTCTGATGATAGTTTCTTTTGCTGTGCGGAAGCTCTTTAGTTTAGTTAGATCCCATTTGTCAATAAAAATAGCTTAAATAAAAGTGTTAATGAAGGTGATATTCATTTTTTTTGGAAGCTCTGATAACTTGTTTGTAAAAGTTTAAGAAATAAACTTGTGTCTTACAAATATAGGAATTGTCAAAAGTCTTCATATTTTTATGAGTCAAGGTCCCTTGAAGGGACAGCATCTTATGTTCCTTCACAATACTCTAGTTAGTGCCTTAACTAGTGGACTGGCTGATAATAGTATTTTCAATCCCAGGTGGATGGTATAGTTTCTCTGCAGTGGGAAAACGGTGTATCAGCCTAACTCTGCTTTGCGAGCATGGTTAATGACTCCAGCCTCCTTCTGCCTCTCTCTTTTCTCAGGGGAGGAGCCTGCCCCTTTATCAATGCTGCTGAGCCTTTTGGCCTTGCTGTAGCTCCTAGTTGGCTCTGTCCTTCCTGGGGACCTTGCTTTGGCACTTTTACCCCTCTCTCACATGTTTTCTACCTTCCTTACTCAACACATCCTTTTCTCTCCTTCCCTCAGTTTGTAAATATTTTCAAATATCCACCAGTAAAAAAATAAACTAAACAAACAAAAAACAATAACAAACCTACTGTAAGCCTCTGTCATTCTCACAAAACATCCTTCCAGCCAGACTCCTTAAGGGTAGAGTCTGCTCTCTTCCTCTTCTTTCCTCCCCTCTCATTCACCCCTCACCCCACTTCATTCTGGATTTGGACCAGAGAAATCACTCTTGAGTTCATCACCAAGGACTTAATCTATAATTCCAATATGTAGTTTTCAGACCCTCCAAAGCATTTGACATTGCTGACACTAATCACAACTTCCTGAAACTCTGCTCTCTGGATTCTCAGGTGCTGCATTCTCCCAATTTTCCATCTCCCTCTCTGGTTTCCTATCCATAATTACCTTTCTATTTCCCTAGTCTATCCTTTAAGTAAATGATCTCTATTTGTTCTGGCTTAAAAGGCTTCTTATGATGTGGTCCAAGCTGACCTGTGCCCCTTCCCACCCAACCCTCTGGTCACACTGCATCACTGTGACTGCACGTGATGCATGCGGTGCTGCATGCTTTACACCTTTGCACATGCGATTTTCTCCATTAGGAATAATCTTCCCCTGAAATCCCATTCCTACCATATCATTCTCTTCCCTCTCCTCCCCACTACTCACTGGCTCCCACACATGCAAATACATTTCCTTAAACTCTGTCCATTCTTCAGATCTCAGTTAAGCATCACTGCTTCCAGGAAACTTTTCCTGAACCCCAAGACTGGGTGATGTGCTTCAACCCCCTTCTAATTGATTATTCTTATTGTAATGCTTACCATGTTGGTTGTTAAGGACAATTTACTTGCTTGTTTGAAGCCTCCATTACGACATAAGCTTCTTAAGGCAACAATTTTGTTTTGTTCATCTGATATCCCGGGCACCTAGCACAGTGCCTGAAATCAAGCAATCAATCAATAATGGTGCTTTCAGATTTCATTCATCCATTAGACTACTATGCAACCACTAATAATAATGTTGCAGAATAATTTTTATACAATGGAAAGGTGTTCGCACTACATTGGAACATATATAACACAACATTACAAAATATTCATTGTATACATCAAAATATCATTGGAAAATAGGGACTCCCCTTGGCAGAGGTGATTATGGATGATGTTTATTGTCTTCTTTTTGCTTCTCTCTCTCCTTTAATCTGCTATAATGAACTACAATGAACACATATAACTTTTGTAACAAAAAAATTGTTCAAGAAATATGTTTTGGTCAAGGTACAAACCTAATGAAAATTAAGCATTTAGCACCAAGTACCATTTCCAGCAGATAGTATGTGCTCAGTAAATGTTAGCTCCTTTTCAAATATTTGAAGAAAAACTAGTGGACAGTGCTGTGGAAAAAAAGACTAACACACAGGTTATTAGAAATAGGAAACTGCAGAGCAAGCTGGTTAGATGAAGATTTGGGATCTAGAGGATCCAGGCCTGAATCTTGGCATTACTATTTCTTAGTTGTCTGATCTTAGAAGTTATCCAAGCTCTTAGACTTCATGCCTTATCTGCAAAATGGAGGTAGGCTATTTTCCCTATATATTTGAAATAATGAAATGAAATCAAATATATATAGTATTAAACAGTGCCTGGCACACAACAGTCATGCACTAAATGGTAGTACAGTTGCTGTTATTTCTTACATCTTACTTTATCTTTACTACTTATTTTACTTTAGTTTCTTTATCTTTGTCAGTTTGATCAATTTGTTTTTATGACCTTTTTTTCTGTTATTTTAGACATTCATTGTACTTTTCCTTTCCCAGTCTGCAGACTCAGATATGTGGTTCCCTACTGTAATACCCAGATCCAACTTTCCTCTCACCAAGAGGCTCTTACCTGTTTCCCTCATAGGCCATCCCCAGTTAGATGGGACTTTAGATGAATTTATGTTTCCCTCATAGGCCATCCCCAATTAGATGAGACTGTAGATGAATTTTACCTTCCTACTTTAAAAGTTTAAGGAATAAACTCACCATCTAGAGATATCTAGAAGTTTCGCTCCTTCTCTCCTACTGTCTCTAGCTCCCAGATTTTACTGAGATAATTTAGTACTTTTTAAGCAAAGTATCCTGATGCTTTTCCTTTAAACTAGTTCTTTCCTTTTTAAAGAAACTCTATTTCTAATTTCTAATATCTAATCCTAGTCATTGTACCACTGAGAAAGTGCTGCTGTTCTTCTTCCCTCCTTCTTTTCGTTCATCTTCAAAGCCTTCAGAGTCTTTCAGTCTCTGTTCTGCTTCATAGGTTGTTGATTGAATCCTTTTCTCTTTCTTTTTAAGTGTTTTCCTCAGATTATATTCTGATTCCATGTTCTCTGCAAATACCTTTCTTGCACTCTGACAGGTGAATGATGTGCTCCCAGCTCAGTAGCAGAATCTTTGGGTGTGGCTGTTTTTTCTCAGGGTTTGTTAGAGATTATTCCATCATGTCTAGCTTTGAGTGTCTCAAATGAGAACTGCAGTGTCAGTCTAATTTTCATTTTCTTTTGGTAAGAAATTTGTTCTTTCTTTCTGAAAACTTACAGCATTTTCTCTTTTGTCTCTGTAGCTCAGGAATTTTACCAGCATATGTCTGGGTATATGCCTTTTCTTTCTCTGCCTAGAAATCAGTGAGCACTTTCAATCTGCAGATAAGTCTCTTTCCAGCTGTCAGAAAATTTCTTCTTGCTTAATTATTGCCTAGTCACTCTCTGTTCTTTCTTCTTCTTCAGTTACTAGTACATCGAGAGCCATCTGGCCTATGTTCAAATCTTAAGCATGTGATTTAACTTCTTTGTGCCTTAATTTCCTCATCTCAAAAATGGGAGTTTTTACAGTAGTCTGTTTGACTGCTGTAACAAAATACCTTAGACTGAGTAATTTATAAACAGCGGAAACCTATTGTTCACAGCTCTGGAGTTTGGGAAGTCCAAGAGAATAATGGAGTAGTAGATTTGGTGTCTGGTGAGGGATGGCTCTGCTTTGTAGATGGCACCTTCTATGTGTCCTTACATGGTGGAAGGGGCAGACAGGCTTTCTCAAGTTTGTCTTTTACGAGGACAAGTCTGTCTTCTTGTTTTTTACAAGGACAGTAATCTCATGCAGGAGGGCAGAGCCCTCACGACCTAATCACCTCCCAAAGTCTCTGCCTCTAATAACATCATGTGGGGGTTACATTTCAACATATGAATTTTAAAGGGACACAAACATTCAGGGGATAATAATGGCACTTACTTGATAAGATTGTTAAGAAGATGTTAAATGCCTAGACCAGTGCCTGGGCCATTGTAAGCACTATTGAGTGTTGACTATTATTATTTATATATCAAGTCTTGATCTGTCTTCTAAGTCTATTATGTTTTCCTTTATAATTTCCATTTATTTTTGTCATCTATAACTTGAACTACTTTTACTTCCACTTGATCTTTCTGATTATTAATTTAGGTTTCAGCATTGACTATCTTCTCAAAATTATCTGAAAACTTTATATCTCTATACATGCTCTTACTTTTTTGATTTGTCATCTGAATTTTAATCAGTTTTATTTTACTACTGCCACCTTTTCTGGGGGTTATATTTATTCTTCCTCTTGTCAGCTGCTGGATCTTTTTTGCCAGGCTATTTTACTTTGTCTGTTTATTGTGGGTCATGTCTAGCTGTTGGATTAATTTCAGTAGTGGCCATGCTGCAAGTGGTGGTTAAGAATAGCTAGTTCTGCCTATATGGGTTGGCTGTATACCAGACTTCAAAAGTTCAATTCCCTGTGAAGCACCAGGAGAAGCAGCAAAGGCCAATATTCTTTAGTTTCAGGAGTGAAGAGGACTCAGGCCACCTTCAAGCCCCTCACAGGTCCTGGAAAACCAAGAAGGCAGCCAGCCAGAGCTGTCACTCTTTGGAGCTAGAGACCTTGTTCCAAGCTCTTTTTGGATGCTGTCCCTGATTTTTGATCCAAGGCTGCCTGCCCTGGTTCCCAGGCTCTTGTCCATCCCAGAGTGCAGAAGATCCTGTACCAGCTCTGTCTGTTCTTACCCGTCACCTTCTAGGACCCACCTGTCTCCTGCAGCAGCAGCAGCAGCAGCAGCAGCAGCTCTGGAGAAGCTGATATTGGATTAGATTGGGAAAGGGAGGGCAGAAAGGCATGCCCAAGCTATCAACTGTGCAGAATCTCCCATCTCCCTTCTGTTCCTCCCTCTCGTTATTATTATTGATCATTGTTATATGTTGATGATCATCATCACATATGAATTTTATAACTTGACATAAATTACTTCCCCTTTATATTAAGTTTCCTCCTTTATAAAGTTAGGCTGACTTAATTGGCCTCTTGAATTCCTTCCAGCTTGTTGATCTCATGAGAGCTATTTTTCTCTATTTTCAGTCTACAGTTTCTTCAATTATCAGGACATTTGATTTCTACAGGAGCTTAAAATACAGATTGTGTTAAATTGTACAGATTGTGTTAAATCAAATATATTCTGTACTTTTCTGACTTACTAATCTTGAGGATGTGTCACCACTCAATGACAATACTGTTGCCGTGTTTTAGAGTCACTTAAGGCTGAACAGCTTGCTTCCTGGTGTATTATATTAAACACAGACTTAAAAAACAAAACCCAAAGCAGCTTTTCTGTCAAAACAACATCAGTTTTACAACGTCTTTTTCACAGAGTTGATATTTACTGGAAAAAGGAGCACTTAAATATTATAAAGCATAAAATCAGCTGTGACTTGATGCTTTCTTGATAATTTTCCTTTATAGTATAGATTGTGTCACACAAATGGACTACTTAAAATTTTTTTTCATGTGAAAGTCTCTGATAGAAAAAGGCATTTAGAGATTTTTTTATAAGACAAAAATAAACATCATGGTTATTTAAAATCTTTTTTTAATTAATGACTGAACCTTGAGCTTCCTTATTACATGAAAAAGTAGATTACTGATTCTATGATAGGAGTGAATGAAAGTTACTTACATTTCTTATGTTTATTCAATCAGCAAACATTCATTGAGGGCCACTTATATGCAAGAATGGTGCTGGGAAGTGGGGACATACTAGGAAGCCAGTCCTCATCTCTGCCCTCAAGAAGCTTATTATCTAGTTAGGGAGGGAGAGAAAATAGTTCATAATCCCTGTAACAATTCTAATTTTAACAAAAATCTAGAAGACAATTCAAGTATTATTTTTATATATTAGTGCCATTATCATATTGTATATCATACCATATCATGTATCATATCATATGGCACTAATATATAATATAAACTGTATAGTACTAATACATATTATATATACATATATGTGGCATGATGACATGAAGTATTTGTTATTTTTGTCTTATATTGATATTTGGTATAATATGAAACAATAAGTGAAATATACAAAAAGGGGAGATGTTGAAATATGGTTGTGCTGAACAAATTAGCATATCTTTTATTTCCCTTCTAGCCTGGGATCTAATCACAGTTGATAATTGTTGAGGTTAAGAGTGTGGGCTCTAAGAAGGAATTCTTATTCAATTCAATCCCCTTGAACAAGTCATTTAACTTCCCTTGTTTTCATTTCCTCTCCTATAAAATGTGGGTGAGTGCCAATGTCATTAGCCTCTGAGATGACGTGAGTGGCATGCATAACATATTTAGAAGGGCACCTCCTCACTTGTTTTAAGAGCTTTGTAGGTGTCAGCTGTTCTTCCTGTTCCATGCCTGGCCTCCTTACTCTTCTGGGAGCCTCCCAGAAGCAACGGCTTTTCCTCTCCATATTCTTCTTCTCCGTATTCACTTTGTCATCTCCGTATTCTCATCAGTGTGCTGCCATCCCGCCTGGTTCAGAGTAAGGACTCAGTAACTTCTTCCTGGATGAGAGAGAGAGAGAGAGAGAGAGAGAGAGAGAGAGAGAGAGAGAGAGATTGAGGCTGTCCATCATCCTGCCATTCACATAGCACATGCCTGAATTAAAAGTTTACAAAAAGTTCTAGATTTAAAAAAATATATCCTTTGTAGGGCATAGCAACTTGGAATTAGAAAATTTCAGAACCTAAAGATACCTCACGATTTTGTAGTTCTGCTGCATTTTATTTTTTAGCATTTAGTAGCCAAGAAATGTTTTAAAGACATGTAATACCCAATATTTCAATCATTTTTTCAGAGGACGCTCAAGGCTTGGAGGCATGTGGGGACTTGTTCAAAGCCTCAATGATATGGTAGCACCAATGACTGGCCAGGATCCAGCACTTCAGCTAGAATTCAGTATCTGTATCAGAGTCCTACACTGCCTTTCTGTTTATATTACTTTATTGTGTGTTCAATTATCCAATCAATTAATTATTTCTCCTACTTCCATTCTCCTCTTTATGCCAACTTTTTTGTTCTTTAAAATTACCAAAGAGAAGGTGTTCATCTGCTTTTAGCCTAGACAGCCACATTCTCTGGGATGGTTTCCCTAACTCCCCCAATCTGGGCCTGCTAGCAAAGTGCCCCGTGCTTTCTCTGCTACACAATTGGCCATGCAGTATTTTGATTGCCTGTCTGGCTATTCATATTCTCCATTAAACAAAACACTAGGCTTCATGACCTCCCTCTTAAGAGATAGTGCAATGTTGTAGTTTAGAGTGTGGGCCCTGGAGCCAGACTGCCTAGGTTCAAATTACGGCTCTTCTGTTTACCAGCCATCTAACCTTGGGTGAGTTGCTGAAACCTCACTGAGCTACTGCTTTGTCCTCTGTCAAATAAGCTTGATAATGGTGCCCACTCAGAGTTGCGGGGATCATATGAGTAATGCATTTAAGTCCTTCAGAGGGTGGCTGGAATGTAGGACACATTTAATAAATCTTAGCTCTTATTATTTTCTTTTTTCGTTTTTGTCAAGTACCTAAGCACTTAGAAAATATTTGTTGAATAAATGTCTGCCTGTCTGGCTCTGGGGTCACACAGATAAAGTCTAATGTCTCTTCCATACAATGGTTTTTTAAGTAAAAACATGTTAAATAATGATGGGGCCTAATAAAAAGCATAGCATGTAGTCCTTGTCCATCATGGGTTTGCTGTCTAGTGGAGATGACAAAACAAAACAAAACAAAACACACAAAGCAAGTAACCACTATAATGCTTAATAGAAAGAAAATTACTGCCCATTAATATTTGCAAATTTTATTGGGAACAACATAAAATTTCCAGGTGTTTCCCTATTAACAACTTCATCTTAGCAGCATGAAAGTTGTTCTGTAGAGCATTGTGAATTTTAGAAGGAAAGGGTTTTGAGAGATTATCCTTCATTTAAAAAAGAAGAAAACATGTTAGAAATGTATCAAAGAAAAAATTTCAAAGGGTTATTACTGTAGTTCATTGAAATATTGGGTATTATATGTCTTTAAAACATTTCTTGGATGCTAAAAACTGTAAAAACTACCAAAGTTCTTGATAGATTTCATTACTGTGAGAGCAGTCTGGTAACTTGGAGGCTTGTTATAAACACCGTGTATTTTTTTGTTCTTCCCCACCGAACTGTTTTTCTTTTAGGACATACAGTGGCCAAGCAAGTATATTACAAGAATAAAAGGAAGGACCCCTCGAAGTGGTTACCTGCTCTTCATCTGTTTGATGTGGCACTGAAGCTCTGTAGAACAACAGCAGTGGAGGAACATGAGGTGGAAGCTGAAATCCTTTTTCAGAAAGGTAAAATGCATCTGGGGTCAGAACTATGATAAAATTTATGGAATTCTTTTTTCTGTCAACAACAGGATTCTTGAAAATCTGGTCCCTGACTATAAAAATTACAAACATACAAAGGGCTTAGAGATGATTAACACAATGGTACCTCCACCAAATCCAGTCTTAGGTAAAAGAATGCTGTTTATTTTATGTCTAGAAAGAAAAAAGTACTACTGCTTCATTTCTTTTATAATTGTAATTGATTCTTCTTACACAAAGTTTCAGGTTTGACTGAAAAATGGCAGCATAGCCTCTTAGCTATAAATAATATTACTTAAATAATGCTTGGAAGACATTTTTTCTGCATCATTTCATTACTTAGCTAAACATTTTGGTTAATTTTTATAAGTAAGAGATACATACTCATTGAAATTAAATAGATATAGCACACCTATACTTAAAACTTATATATAACACCTATTTCCTCAAGACATTTATATAATTTTATTGTGGGCATTTTACCTCTGAGAAAAAGATAAGGATGAGTGCTATCATTTACTGAGTATCTATTAAATGCTAGGTGCTGTATTCAGTATGTTCAATATGTATCTCATAGTGCTAATTCTTAAAATAGCTCTGCAAGGTAGGCATGACAAATCCTGCTTGATGATGAGGAAAATTAGGTGCGGTCTGGTTAAGTGACTTTCCAAAAGTCAACAGCCACTAAATGATAGTGCCCAGATGTGAGCTCAACACTGGCCAGCTCTGTGCCCTTTCCACAGGCTGCATGAAAGCTGTGAATCCTTTCTATAGTGATTATAGAAGTTTCCTTTCCCATCCTTGTTGCTACCCATGTGCTCTGCTAGTGCCTACATTTTTTTTTTTTTGAGGTGTAGTCTCGCTCTGTTGCCCAGGCTGGAGTGCAGTGGCATGATCTTGGCTCACTGCAACCTTCGCCTCCTGGGTTCAAGCAATTCTCCTTCCTCAGCCTACTGAGTAACTGGGACCATAGGCGTGCACCACCACACTTGGCTAATTTTTGTATTTTTAGTAGAGATGGGGTTTCACTATGTTGGCCAGGCTGATCTCGAACTCCTGACCTCAAGCTATCCACCCGCCTTGGCCTCCCAAAGTGCTGGGATTGCAAGCATGAGCCACCAGGCCCAGCCTGCTAATGCCTATATTTGAAGGCTGCAGCTCACCATGAGGGCTGGGAGCTGTGAGGGCCAGCGCATTTGCATTATCATAGAGAGTTTTCAGCCATTTGCTGACTTTTTAGGATTTATTTTTTCTCCTTAGGTTTGTGATTTTTCTAAAATTTTAAAAGTGTTTTCAATTTATTTTTAACTGACAAAGCAATTGTATATATTTATGGGGTATAGTGTGACGTTTTTGATACATGTATATATTGTGGCATGATTAAATCAAGCTAATTAGCATATCCATCACTTCACATACTTATCATTTTTTTGTGGTGAAAGCATTTAAAATCTATAATTATTATTAATTATAGTCACCATGTTGTACAATAGGTCTCCAGAACTTATTCCTCCCATTTAACTGAAACTTTGTACCCTTTGACCAATATCTCCCTATTCCCCCACCCTCCCTGACTTTTTAAGATTCTTCAGTTAAGTGAGATCACGCAATATTTGTCTTTATGTGCCTGGCTTATTTCACTGAGAATAATGTCCTCCAGGTTCATCCATGAGGTCTTCAAATAACAGGATTTCTTTCTATTTTAAATAGTATTCCGTTGTGTATATATATCACATTTTCTTTTCTTTTTTCCTTTTTTTTTTTTTTTTTTTGAGACTAAGTCTCACTCTGTCACCCAGGCTGGAGTGCAGTGGTGTGATCTCGGCTCACTGCAACCTCCACCTCCCAGGTTCAAGTGATTCTCCTGCCTCAGCCTCCTGAGTGGCTGGGATTACAGGCGCGCACCACCATGCCAGGCTAATTTTTGTATTTTTAGTAGAGATGGCGTTTCACCATGTTGGGCAGGCTGGTCTCGAACTCCTGACCTTGTGATCCGCCCTCCTCAGCCTCCCAAAGTGCTGGGATTACAAGCGTGAGCCACCACGGCCAGCCATATCACGTTTTCTTTATCCATGCACCTGTCGAAGGGTACTTAGATTGATTCCATATCTTGGCTATTGTGAATAATGTGAATAATGCTACAATGAACATGGGAGGGCAGATGTTTTCTATGATATCTGTGAAGGAGACAGGGGAAGGAGGAGAATGCATGTCAAAAAAGGGAATGTAAGATACAGGAGGAGGGAGAAGCACAAAGTAAGGGAATGGAGAGAGAAGTTAGATGGGAAGATGGGAAGACCAGTTGTGTAGGGCAAGCCAAAGAAGGCTTGCCTCATGTTGCTTCCTGAATGCAGGGGAAGCCTGAGGGTTCTGAAGAAGGAGGCAATGGATCTTTCCTCATTGGCTTACCTTCTGGAAGAAATAGACAGACATACAAAAGGACAGCACATCAAATATTCTGAATTTCCAGCATGAAATATTTGTTCTTAAGTTCTAAGTGCTAGAAAAAGGAAAAACCATCTTTGTATCTTTTTCTTCTTTCAGGCAAAATAGAACGTCAAATACTAATGGAAGAGAAATCTCCAAGTTTTCAACTTGAGAGTTTATATGAAGCTATACAACTAAGCCTGAAAAATGATCAAAACTCAGGGTAAAAAGATATTCCATTGTTGTAGCTGTGTGTGTTTGGCTTGAGCCCCGTGTTCTTGTAGTACATTGACCACTCAAGGCTGGATTGCTTGGGATGCCTTCTGAAAGCAGGGCTAGTTCATGGGGTCCATCTCAAGCTTGTTGCTCTTTGTTCTGACCCAAAGCCTCCTTTAAAGTAATGGTAAATGATGGCTGTCCTCATAGTGGGATATTGGCCTGTACCCAGATCTCGTGTCAGTCCCAGGATTTCTGGGGCCTCCTCAGGATGACTGGCTTCTAAACTGGAAGATCCTTCCCTAAATGTGCAGTTGTGTCTAGAAGGAGTTCGTGTGGCTGTGAATTCACTCTGGTCATCAGGACCAGGACTGGCCAACTTAATTCTTAATTCTGTATGAATATCACCTCAATATTGAGTAAGCCACCTTTATTACAACTGCACTGATCCAGGTGCACTGATCCCCAGCTGACAGATTTGATAGTGAATACATAGACCTAACCCATACCAAATCACTGCTTTCTGCATTGCATAACTCTATGTATTTCTTTCTATTTTAATTAGTGTAGGAGGATAGAGAGGGGCCTCCATTTTCAAGGCAAATTCCTCCAGCCCTGACCTTCACTGATTTAGTGTCTTGTGTGCTAGAATATTCCAGAATGGTCTTGATGCCAGGCTTCCTGGCAGTTATAGCATGGAGTGTTGCCACCACAGGAAAAGGCAGAGTGCTAAGCTCTCTTCCAGAACTTCCAATTTTAGTAGGGAGGAAGATGCTAGTATCTATGGTCAAAAGTGCTATGAAAAGAGGGTGTGTGTTTGTGACAGATGCTGGTTTTGCCAGTTTTTACCTTTCATCAGCTCAGAAATTGTTGGCAAATGATACCAATGATTATGCATGGTGAAGCTATTTAATAAGTACAGTGCTATATCATTTTAGATTGATAAGAGACTCCTACCTAGAAATGGCTCTATTGTATTTTCATCTGAAGAAGCCAAAGATAAAAATTTCAGGATCACCATTAACACTTAAGGTAAGAGTCTATTTTATTAGAAATTATGAGTTAATTGCCTTTGAGCTTGCTATTTTGGTAACACTGTGCTATTGAAATAATGAGGCTGATTTTCCTGTGTGGCTTGGAGAAATTAATTCATTTCTTTGTAGTTACACTTGTAACTATGTTACAAAGAGATATCTCTTTGGACATTTTATATAGGGCTTTGGAAATTATTTTTATATACACATTTCTGCCTGTGAAAATGTTATCCATAAAATGTAACTGTACATAAATATATACTTAATATATAAATATACAGTTATGTTTCATGGATAACATAAATGCAAGGCAATGAATGAGTCATTAGTATTGATCAGGAAAATTCAAGAAATGACATATTGGTTAAACAGATGGACAAGTGAAGTTTTCAATACTGATATGGCCTATAAACAGATTACCTCTTGATAGAATCATTCATACATTCATCACGTATCTATTGAGCATCTACTATGATCCAGGTACTCTCATAGAGGAAGATGTTAAAGCAGTGTCTAAAACAAACTTGGTCCCTGTTCTCATGGAGCTTGCCTTTCAGTAGAGGAAAACAGATAATAAACCAGTAAAGGAAGGAGATCAGAGGAGGAAAGGTGGGAGGAAATGAGGGAGAAGGAGGGGAAGGGCATGTATTAGTTCATTTTCACGCTGCTAATAAAGACATACCTGAGACTGAGTAATTATAAAGGAAAGAGATTTAACGGACTCATAGTTCCATGTGGCTGGGGAGGCCTCACAATCATGGTGGAAGGCGAAAGTCACATCTTACATGGCAGCAGACAAAGAATGAGAACCAAGTGAAAGGGGTTTCCCCTTATAAAACCATCAGATCTCCTGAGATTTATTCACTACCATGAGAACAGTATGGGAGAAACTGTCCCATGATTCAGTTATCTCCCACCAGGTCCCTCCCACAATGTGTGGGAATTTGGGGAGCTACAATTCAAGATGAGATTTGGGTGAGGACACAGCCAAACCATATTAGGGGGTGACTTAGGTAGTGAAATTTGGAGCTAGGAATAACTTGTATTGGTGGAATTTTCAATGAATGACCTGAGAAGGGGTGATGTTTGAAGTAGGGTTTAATGAATGAGGAGGGACCCCAGCAAAGAGTTGCAGAGGGGTCGCATCTTGTAGCTAGAGCAGTGCTTCCAAACTAAGATGTGGAAACACCTCTGAAAATCTTGTGAAATGGCAGACTCTGATTCAGTAAATCAGGGATGGGCTCTGAGATTTGGCATTTCTAACGAGCCTCCCAGGTGATGCTGATGCCGCCGGTCTGTGGGCCACACGTGAGGACCAAGGTTCTAGACTCAGGGAGATCCCAGATGCAGGAATAATTTGGGTGGGTTTGAGGTATATGAACCCAGTAATTTTATTTTTTGTTTTTAAAATTTTAGTGGGCTTTTCTGTTTCATCCTTATTGAATAATCATTTGACCCTCCAAGAGATCTTTTCAGAAAATGTTGGCATCAAATCTTTAATTTTTGAGACAACATAAACATGATTTAAAACCTTTAGGCAAATAGAGTCTCAGTCAATTCTTACCAATTATTCATATGGCAGCTGCCATTCATATGGCAGCTGCCTTAGGTAAATGGCCCCTCTTTTTTTAATCAAAATAATTGCAAACTAGAAAAAGTTACTTTGTGTTGTTTGATAAACATGTTTATTTCCAGTAACAGAAAAAAAAAAAACCCTTGTTTTTATAGCAGGTGGCAATACAAATTAATAGGATGCTAGGATGATAATATATCAGCTTTCTGGCCCTTACTAGAGAAGTGCTTATAATTAAGAACATAAAGAAGTTAGAATCTGAATGAAAACAGTAGTGTAATTCCTTACAATATGATCATTATTTTCTGTATGTTTTGACATAGTATAAATATTTTAGCAAGTCATAGAATTATTGGAAGCACAGAAAACAGCCAAAACCAATTTAAAAAATTCATGCAGACATATTCAGACCATGGAAATATAACATTTGAAATATGTCCTAATAAAGACAACACATTATAAGCCCTTAAAAGGAAGCACTATTGTTTCACTTTTATGTAGTGTCCATACAGCAGAGTGACCATAGTACCTGTGTGGGTTTGAATCCTAGCTTCACAACTTACTAGCTATGTGACTGAGGTCTTTCTAAGCCTAGTTTCCTCGCCTGTGAAATGGAGATGAGGATCCTTACCTCTTAGAGTGGCTCTGAGAATTAAACAAGATAATGGGCTTGTATGTAATAAGTACTTATATAAATGGAACTATTATTTCTCGTTATGTAACATCAGCTAAACGTCTTTATTCTTCTTCCTATTTTGTTAGTAGGTACTCAATAATTGATGCCTGTTGACATCACTATTTCTTAAACATTCATTTATTTACTCATGAACTGAACACTTACTGAGGGCTTAATGTACATTAACCACTTTCTTTTCCTAAGGATCACAGAGACTAGCAAGAGAGATAAATAATTGTATTGCAATGTGACAAGGACTATAATCACAATTTGTCAAGGTGGAGAAGTGGGGCAAAGTAGGGACTAATGCTGTTTTGGGGAAATGCTGGAGAAGGCTTCACAGATGAAGTACATTTTGAAGGATAAGTGGAGTTCTCCAAGTAGTTATGTGGGAGAAAACAGTCCACAGAGAGATCAGCATGCATACATTTAAAAAAAAACTAGAGGTATAATTTCCATCCATGAAATTAATGCATTTTAAGACTGCAGTCCACAGATGTTTAGTAAATTTACAGAGTTGTTCAACAATCACCACTATCCAGTTTTAGAACATTTTCATCATCCCAAGAAAGATCCCTTATGCCTATTTGCAGTCAATCCTGTTCCCACCCCTAGTCCCATGAAACCACCAAACTGTTTTCTGTCTCTATAGATTTGCCTTTTCCAGACATTTCATGTAAATAGAATGATAGAGTTTATTTAAGTTTTTCTGAGACAGAGTCTTGCTCTGATGCCTAGACTGGAGTGCAGTGGCGTGATCTAGGCTCACTGCAACCTCCGCCTCCTGGGTTCAAGCAATTCTCCTGCCTCAGCTTCCCGAGTAGCTCGGACTACAGGCATGTACCGCCATGCCCAGCTAATAGAATAATAGATTTTGTCTTGTTTATGCCTGCTTCTTTCACCCAGTATAATGTTTCATAGGTTGACCCATGTTGTAGTGTGTAACGGTAGTTTTGTTGTTGTTGTTGCTTAATAGTGTCTCATTATATGGATATGCCACTTTTTTTTTCTTTATCCATTCAGTAGTTGATGGACATTTGAATTGTTTTCACTTTTTGGCTGTTTTGATAAATGATGTTTTGCACATTCATATACAAGTTTTTTTGTGGACATATGTTTTCAATTCTTTTGAGTATATACCTAAGAGTGAAATTGCTGGGTTATATGGCAACTCTATGTTTAGCCTTTTGATGATCTGTCAGATTGTTTTCAAAGGTGGCTCTACCATTTTACATCCTTACCAGCAGTATATGAAGGTTGCAATTTTTCCACATCCTTGCTAACACTTGTTATTATCTACCTTTTTGGTAGTACCCATGCTAGTAGGTATGAAGTGGTATCTCACTGTGGTTTTGATTTGCATTCCTCTGGTGGCTAATGATGCTTGGATATTTTCATGTGCTTATTGGCCATTTGTGTATCTTCTTTGGGGAAATGTCTATTCAGATCTTTTGCCCATTTTTATTGGGTCATTTGTCTTTTTTTATCATTAGCTTTGAGAGTTTTCTTTTTTAAAAATATATGTATTCTAGATACAAGCCCCCTATCAAATAAATGATTTGCAAATATTTTCTCCTGGTTAGTCGCTTGTCCTTTCATATTGTTAGTAGTGTCTTTGGAGGCACAAAGTTTTTAAATTTTAATGAAGTCCAAATTGTCATTTTTTTCTTTTATAGATTGTGGGGTTTTTTTTGCGGCATATCTAGCACCCTTTGTCTAACTGCAGATGTTGAAGATTTTCTTATATGTTTTCTTCTAGAAGTTGTATAGTTTTAACTTTTACATTTAAGTCTGTGATCCATTTTGAGTTAATACTTGGGTAGAGTGTGAGGTAAGATTCTAAATTCTAAATTCATCTTTTTGTCCATGAATATGCAGTTGTCTCAGCACCATTTGTTGCAAAGACTTATCCTTTTCTCGTTGGATTGCTTTGGCACTTTTGTTGAAAATTAATTATAAATGCAAATGTTTATTCCTGGATTTTCAATCCTGTTTCATTGACCTCTAAATCTACCTTTACTTGAGTTTCCACTGTCTTGGTTCCTGTAGCTTTTAGTAAGTTTTGAAATTGTAAAGTGCATGTTCCAACTATATTCTTCCTTTTCAAAACTGTTTTGGCTACTTTGACTCCTTTGCATTTCACTATCTATTTTAGGATCTGCTTGTCAATTTCTGCAAAAAAAACTAAGGAGATTTTTGTTGCCATCTTAACAATATTAAGTCCCCTAATTAATGAATATGGACTGTCTCTTCATTTATTCTGACCTTAATTTCTCTCAACAAAGTTTTGTCTTTTTAGTGTATGAGTCTTATACATTTTTGTTATTTCTATTGTCAAAGGGATTTTTGTTTTAATTTTTAGATTGCTTATCGCTAGTATATAAAAATACAGTTCATTTGTGTGTATTCATTGTTTTGCGTCCTGTGACCTTGCTAAACAAGTTTAATAATGTTAATTGTGTTTGTGTGTCTGTTTGTGTATTCCTTAGGATTTTCTACATATAGGATCATGTCTTCTGCAAAGAAAGACACTTTACTTCTTCACTTCCAATCTACATGCATTCCACACCCCTTGCCCGGGTTTTCTTTCCTGTTTACATAACCTAGAATCTCCTGTGCAATGTCGAACATCTCCCCCATCTGGAAAACGCCCACCATATTCTTTGTCCACTCCAAATTTTTCTATGGTGGGCTCAAGCCCAACTTCCTCAATAAAGGTTTCCTTTCCATTGGAGTTGACTTCTTTTTTCTTTGAATGGCTGGGTCACTAGTTGGTCTTACATTATAGTTATTTAATGTTGTTCTCTATTCTTCATTACATGCCTGTTAGTCTTGTTACCAGAATTTAAGTAGATAAATTGCCCATGCTTATGTAGTCAGTAAGTTAGCAATTGTTACTCCAGATTAGTCCCATTACAGCTAATGATTAGGGTTTTTTTTTTCTTTTTTTTATCTTGGAATGGGGTTATATTGCTTAGATTTCCCCATAGGTAGATCTTTCCAGGTGTCATCTTCTCCCAGGCTTAATGCTAGAGCTAAGCTAGGCCACATTTACGCCTTATACTTGTTGCTTTGACATCAGCATTGTACACGGCCTTTCTTTTTCTCTGGGAGTCTTCTAGCCAGAAGTAAAATAAAGATACTTTTGTTATTGTTTGTTTTATTCTGCAGGTTCATTGAAAATTAAAGAATTGGTCAAAATATGGGCATCAAAGAATTAGCACCCGTGGGGCTAATTGAATTGTTAGCTCCATCCAGATGATTTAAATCTTAAGAAACTACTACTACTTATTTTAGTTGTCTTTAAAAATGTACAGCAGATACTAGCTACTGGTGGAGTTTTGTTCTGTTCACTTCTGTAGCATTGACTTTCTATGTTTAAAAACTGAATATATATTTTTAAAATATATATTCATTCTTTATTAAAGAAACCCCCATGGTAAAAAAAATCCTCAATCATTGTTTGTTTGTTTTGCTATTCTATGGAACTTTATGATAATACTATCTCTTTAATATTTTTCTTAGCAGGAAATATGATAGCAAATACTGCCAAAAATCTTTAAGCAATGTTGTAATTTCTGATGCTGTTACACAATATATTCAACTTATAGGTTTTCTATTATAATGGCACTTAATTTTACTTAAGATGCCATTTTTGGATGGGCATAGTGACACATGCCTGTAATCCCAGCACTTTGGAAGGTTGAGGTGGGCCGATCACCTGAGCTCAGGAGATCAAGACCAGCCTGGGCAACATGGTGACACCTTGTTTCTACAAAAAATACAAAAACTAGCTGGGTGTGGTGGTGCATGCCTGTAGTCCCAGCTACTTGGGAGTCTGAGGTAGAAAAATTGTTTGAACCTGGGAGGCAGAGGTTGCAGTGAGCTGAGATTGTGTCATTGCACTCCAGCCTGTGTGACAGAGCAAGACTATGTCTCAAAAATGTATATATATAATTTTTGTTAACTTATTACACAAATAATTCAAATTCATTATAGAAAATTAGAAAAAAATGATAAGAATAATTTAACTACCTTAAAACTTGGGATAACTGCTGTTAATAATTTTCTCTGCTTTTATGTACAGGGAATGTATATGTGTGCATATTTTTTAAAAAGAAGGATTGTACTTTTCATACAATTTTGTAACCTACACTTTTCTTTCCTCAATGTATTTCGAATATCTTCTCATGTCAATAGATACATTATTATCCTTAGTGACTACATAGCATTTCACTAAAATGTCATCTTCAGAAGATGAGAAGAGTTATCACAAAACTTTATATCATAACACATTTGCCATATTTTTAGCCTCCTCTCAGAAGAAGTAGTTCTGTTAAAGAAACATCAGCAAATAAATTTGAAATGTACAGTTCATTAGCCTGGATTGCAATAAGAGCTGCTGCACAGGTTGGTGTGATTTTTGTTTAATCTTTCTTCTTACTGTCATATCTGTATTCTCTGCCTTTAAAGAACACAATATACCTGTAAAAGAGAAAGGAGTTGGGTGTGATACCTCATGCCTGTTATCCCAGCACTTTGGGAGGCTGAGGCAGGAGGATCACTTGAATCCAGGAGGTCGAGACCAGCCTGGACAACATAGCAAGAGCCCATCTCTACAAAAAATTTAAAAATTAGCTGGGCATGGTGGCATGCCTATAGTCTCAGCTACACAGAAGGCTGAGGCAAAAGGATTGCTTGACTCTGGGAGGTCGAGGCTGCAGTGAGCTGAGATCCCACCACTGCACTCCAGGCTGGGGAACAGAGTGAGATCCTGTCTCAAAAGAAAAAAAGAAAAAAAAATTACATTATTTGGGATTTGTGCCAATTATGTTTCTTTGGAAAGATTAGAAATACTAGTTATGTTTAGTGTTTTCAATCTCTCTATTAGCCAGACTTAGTTCTCTTTGTTTCACCTTTTCTCAGTGAAACTATTGGCAGATATACATGTGTACATATTTGACATTTTGGCAACTATCTGTCATAGCTAGGTAAGGTAGCTTATTTAAAGTGATTTATGCATTAATTAAATTGTCAACCCTAAATTATTTGTTTGACTATGATATATTCTACATATCAGGGATCACATATTATTTTTTCAGGTTGTCTTTATTTTTTCCTCCAATGTATAAGGAATATTATTTTATGAATTCACTTTTTTCACATTATTTACCTAATAGATAATCTATGAATTAGAAAGCTTATATTTATAATTCTAATTTATGCATTAATTGTAGGTCAGTGAAGCTGTGCTGGCAATTAACTTACTTATTGGAAAGAAGAATACTAGAATGCATAAAGTTAACCAAGTGGCATTACCAAATATCCCAGAATTTGCTGCTCTGGATCTTTTGTCTTCGTATACAGATTATTTGCTTGGTATGTTTGGATGTCTACATATTATGCAAAAAAACTGATATATGTAATATAGAATCAAGTTTCAAAGATTTAATTGTAATTTGTTGGCTTTTAGCTTAGATGGGATAATGTTTGGGGGCACTTCCAGGGGATCATAGGGGTCCTAGGGCCAAAATAGAGGGCTCTTAGCTCACTGCACATGTGTACCTGTTACTCAGTCAGCTGCTGCATTTCAGATGCATGTTCTTTTAAAAAAATGATATTTTACATCTGTTTCTTTTCCAGTTCACACATATCAAATGGGACCTTTTGGGACTGTTTGCCTCTCTGATCCTTTCATCCAAAATCTACATGCACTCTCCCACTCTGATATGCCTCCCTCTTCTTTTCCTTAGTGATTTTATATTTGTATATATGTTTGATTATGTGTTTAAGCTCTTTCTCTCATTAAATTATCATCAGCTACCTGAGAGCAGGGTCTTCATATATTCAATTTTCATCTACAGCAAATTGCACAGTGCTTGCACATAGCAGACATTCAATATCAACATTTGTTAAATGAATTAATGAAAGAAATTAGCAAAATTTAAACTGGACTGCAATACTGTTTATGTTTTTGCTTAGTTACTCCTTTGATAGTAAACTATAATATAAACCTCTATATCAGATAACTGGTAACAGGCATTTAACATTCATTTATGTGTTTTTCCATTATTTCACTCAAAAAATATTTATTGAGTGCTTCTTGTGTGCTAAGCACTTGGATAGGTGCTAAGAAGCAAGACACTAGTCTTACTTCCAGACTGACATTTCACTAACATCCACCTCTAATTTTGCTTGGTGCTAGGCCAGCATTGAGCCAAAGGAGAAGAGTTTTAACCTTCTCCTTTGGGAGTGATCTTCCTAATACTTCTGGAATCACATCTGTAGACAGCGTCTTACTCTGCTGCATTGTTGGGTCAGCCTTAGTTAAAGTGTTAATGTCTAACGTCCCCCTCTTTGGCTCTTTTCTGAAGCATAGGTGTCCCAAATTATTTTGCAAACTATTTTATAGATTTTTTTTTACGCTGAGGTTTTGTTTTCTTACTTTTATTTCCTTCGTGCCTGGGAGAATTTTGCTTTATTGGCTTTCTGAGCCACAGCCTGAACATCAGACTGGGTGCTTGCTCTTCTTTAAGGTTCCCATAGGTGGGTTCTCTGGGGACAAAGCCATTGACCCTACACAGGGCAGTTCGGCAGCCCAGCAGCCAGGAGGAGCTGGTCACCACTTCTTTGCTTAACACTGTTTGGCAGCTCAATTCTCCCTGGTTCAGAATGCCAGGAAAGCATCTCTCTTAGAAGCACACATTATTGTACAGTATTAATAATCAAGAGATTCAGTTGACATCCTAGCTCTCCCAGACCATTTCATTTCTCTCAGCCTCATTAGAAACTAATCTACTCTAGAATCTGAGGCTAATCGCTCAGTCTCTTGTCCGTA
Source organism: Homo sapiens (assembly GCF_000001405.40). Classification (NCBI taxonomy): domain Eukaryota; kingdom Metazoa; phylum Chordata; class Mammalia; order Primates; family Hominidae; genus Homo; species Homo sapiens. The sequence continues at coordinate 96,766,678 of NC_000012.12, forward strand.
GACTGAGAGATTAGTCAAAATCTAAGACGATGACTGAAACTTCCAATATGGCTATTTCTTCTTCATACTGCCTCCTTATTACTTCTGAATGATGTGTTTACTTTACCCTAGTCATTTCCTTGTGTTTTCCCAGTTTTTAGGGCAGGGATGACCAATAAGTTTCATCCAAGATGGACCCTAAAACTCAGTGGCCTACAACAACAGGAACTCATTCTTCCACTCAGCTCATGTGTTCTGCTTCAGGCTGTAGGTCGGGTTCAGGTGCATTCTTATGTACATTTGTTGTGAGTGAGGCCCAAGCTAAAGAGACAGTGGTTATCTGGGGTATGATCTTCTCATGGTAGATACCAGAGCAAAAGAGCCACAAACCAAATCACACAAATGCATTTAAGGCCTTTCTTCACATCCCATCCCATTGGCCACAGCAAGTCATAGGGCCAAGTCCAATATCAGTGAGCTAGGGAAATATACACTGCTTGTACAGGAAGGGAGAGAGGCATGGATGTTTGCTAAATGAAAATCCAAACTATCGCATATGACAAATTCGATGGCCAATGGCTACCTGAGAAGAACCTCTGTATGATTCAGAGGAAAGAACCATAGAAAAGACACGAAAAAGGTGCTGTGATTAATTAATGATGTCAGCCAGGGGCACACAGTGGAAAATGGCATCCTCTAAACAAAACCATGTTTGTTGATCCAGTTGAGTAGGTAGTCTTCATCTCAGTTTAATACTAGAACCTAAGCTTTCTTGTTCCGTGTCAGTGGCTTTCATAGCATATTACATTTTTTCAGTTTCCATTTTATACCATTAGCCCTTCTTTACTATTTTAACTACGAAATTACCAAATTTTAAAATCCAATCTGTTTTGCATTTTGCCTTGCCTTAAGAATAATAATTTTGCCTTCCAGTCCTTTCCTGGCAGGCTGATAATTAATTCATGTTGATGACTTCCCTCACTTCAGTGTTGGGGTTAGAAGGAGGTTCTGAATTCCCACTTGGTTGCCACTAATACCCAGATGGCAATGAGGTTCATATTATAATGGCTTGCTAAAGGGCAAAATTCCTTAACAACAACAAATAAAACTTGTTTGATTTTCCTTGCATTAGCATAAATTAGCATCCAGCAAAAAACCTCCTCAGTAATCTTAGCTTTAAACAATACTAGCATTGATCTACACATGAGGTGATGAACAACATTTACTGTTACTGTATGTAGAGTACTGTACGAGATATTTACATTCAGAGAGAAGGAAGAGTCAGAGAACACCTCAAGGAAGCAGGTCTTACCTTCCATGAGCTTCTAGTCATGGGCAATCAGAACAGGCATATACCCTGAAATGATAGACATTCATTTTTTGGCCAGGTGCAGTGGCTCATGCCTGTAATCCCAGCACTTTGGGAGGCTAAGGTGGGTGGATTATTTGAGATCAGGAGTTTGAGACCACCCTGGGCAACATGGTGAAACCCCGTCTCTACTAAAAATACAAAAATTAGCCGGGTGTGCTGCTGCACACCTGTAGTCCCAACTACTCAGAAGGGTGAGACAGGAGAATCGCTTGAACCCAGAAGGTGGAGGTTGCAGTGAGCCGAGATCGCACCATTGCACTCCAGCCTCAGTGACAAAGTGAGACTCTGTCTCAAAAAATAAAATAGAAAAAACAAAATTCATCTTTTAAGAAGAGCATAATAGGCTGGGTGCGGTGGGTTATGGCTATAATCCTGGCACTTTGGAAGGCCAAGAAGGGTGGATCACTTGAGGCCAGGAGTTCAAGACCAGCCTGGCCAACATGGCAAAACCCGATCTCTACTAAAAATACAAAAATTAGCCGGGTATGGTGGTGGGCGCCTATAATCCCAGCTACTAGGGAGGCTGAGGCAGGATAAATGGATTGAACCTGGGAGGCAGAGGTTGCAGTGAGCCGAGATCACGCCACTCACTGCACTCCAGCCTGGGTGACAGAGTGAGACTCTATCTCAAAAAACAAAACAAAGCAAAATAAAACAAAACAAAACAAAAACAAAAACAAACAAAAAAAGAAGCAGAGCATAATAATGAAGGCAGATTAAAGTGCCACAAGCTAAATCCATCTATGCCTTCTGAGGGGAGCTGGACACAGGCAGGATGGCATATGAGTTAATTAAGAGCGTTGTTTTCTGGGAGAGGTATATTATGGGGCAGGTGTAAATTGACTCAGGGGAAGCAAATTTTATCAACAGAGCAATTGATGACAGGAGCATTATGACAGAATGGACTAGTCATGTGTGGAGAGTGGACTATAGATCATCCTGCCAGGACCAGAGAGCAATTGTATGACATCTATAGCACAGTAAGAGAGTTAAAGTGATGCACCTAGTACAATTACTGAGGTATTCTCTGTAGGAACAGACACCTTGAGATGTTGGCACTGGCAATGTGGGGCCATGTTTAAATTCAATGCAAAGAAACCTTTATTTCATGCTACCTACTTTGGGCCCAGTTATATTCAAGTATATACTCTTATCATTTTGTCTTGATTTTCTTGTGGCCTTGATAAAAATTTCAGCTGGGATTAAAATTATTAAATTCTGTATTTAAATTTTGAATTCAAAGTAACATTTAGGATTACTGGTCCCAGATGCAGCCTCTTACTACTACATAAACAATATATACAGAAAACTATAAATGCCTGTCTTGCTAAAAAGTGATGTCAGTGAATGTTAGGTCCAGGGTCAGTTTCCAGCCCATGCTGAGGTCGGAGGGGTGTGGGTGGATGGGGAGCAGGGAGCTGAAAGAACGTTCGGGGGGCTGTAGGTATGTGAAATATAGCTTTATTCAGCAGCTCTCTCATCAGCAGCTCTCTTAGACAGACTGCTCTGTCTTGGCTCCTTGCTGTGACCACTGCCACACACAGCTGCGCAGCCAGCTCTCCCTTCAGGGTGAGCAGATTAACTCTTTCTTTCTCTGGGCATGAGTGCAGCTATACAGTGTCAACATGGCAATTATACCTTTTATAGACAGTAGTGGCTCAGAGCCAAATGATGAGCCTTCCCATGGCTACATGGCTGTGATAACAAATAGAGTTATACACCTGCGCTCTAAACTCACTGAGTCCCGCAGAACGTAAACACCCTACTTTGGCCTATCCTTGACCAAAGCACATCCATTACCTTACAGTGAACCTATTGTCAGAATACAAAAAGAGATCTATGGAGCAGAGCCAAGAATCACAACTGGGCTTTAATGTATGTTTTGCCTCTTGAAACAGAGCAAACCTTCCAGCCTGAAAAGAAATCTGATTTTTCCCTCCCATACCACCTTGCACCTGGTGCAGAGATACAGGGTCGATAACAACTAATTAAAAAGTGGGATGCAATTCCTCTACTATTATCTTCTGTTTTCCTATTCCTCTAACACACAATTCCCCATAGTAGGGGAACTGGATTGGTATATTACTACTCAAATCCCAAATAATTATACTACTTATAGGTGGGAATGGAGAAAAATCATCTGTGGTAGTGAAGGTGGGATGTGTGTGTGTGTGTGTGTGTGAATTTGTGTGTGTGTGTGTTGCATCCGAGTATTAGAGATGAGACAATTGGGTCATGACAAGGACCAGCCTCAGTGAAGCAGACTTGTCTTGGTCAAATGCCTGCCAGAGTCCAGAAACTCCACTCAGAGATTCATACACTGATCACTGAAATCTGAGAAGGGACAGTACCATGGCTAAGAGGAGAGCACACACCCTGTCAATTGTCAGGTACTAGGTAGGAGGAGACCCTGTTTATTTAGACAGAGTCAACAATGTAAAATAAGAAACAACAGATGGTTCATGTGAGAGAAAACATTCTTAGAAGAGCACAGTGGAATGCTGTCCTGGAGACTGAGAGGAAGATTTACCCTTCAGTGAACTGGAGGAGACTCAACATGATTGTTTGCTACCCTTAGCAGGGCCCAGGCCATCAAGATTCACACGACAGCAGAAAGCTATGACTCAGGAAGTGCCAGATAATAAGGGGATGAGTGGCACCTGATGCTGTGTGCCACAGCTATCTTACTTGATTTCATTTATGTTTCAGGAAAATCCTGTGGGAGTGTCATTATGCACATTTATAAATGAGGCAAGGTGCTCATTCAGAGAGGTTATGTAACTTGTGTACTATTCCACTACTAATTCAAATCCTGATCTATCCAATTCTAAAGGCTCTGCTGTTAAGCTTTATGTTGGGTGTGATAAGAAAGTATTGCCAGGAACTTAAAATGCAGAATTGATGCTTCTAGTCAGCCTGCTGGACTGCTTGGATGGAGTTGACATGAGTGATGCCTCTGCCCTTCGCAATCCAAACACATTAACAGTGGTGGGTAAATAGTACAAAAATTGTTTTAATTTGTAGCTGAGCTTGAAACCAGGAAAGGAAAATTCCAAATTGCCAAAGCAAATTGGAGATTTGTAGCAGGGCCTGAACCTGAGGACTTCACTGGAGAGGAATTCAAATTAGGCCTTAACAGATGGAACTGGGACTTCAGTACCAGACTCAAGGAACAGTCTGGAAAGAGGGCCCTGCAGGTAGGGAAAGTCAGAAACCAGCTAACTATATAAATGGGGATTCAGAGTGGGCTTGTCCACAAACTGGGGACTAGAAATACACTGTCCACTGGTTTGAGTAGATTCAGGGAAACAGCACAAATGCCCACATTAAAACCCACTTTAGTCCCGGAAGCAGTGGCTCACGCCTGTAATCCCAGCACTTTGGGAGGCCAAGGCGGGCGGTTCACGAGGTCAGGAGATGGAGACCATCCTGGCTAACACGGTGAAACCCCGTCTCTACTAAAAATACAAAAAATTAGCCAGGCGCGGTGGTGGGCCCCTGTAGTCCCAGCTACTCGGGAGGCTGAGGCAGGAGAATGGCGTGAACCCGGGAGGCGGAGCTTGCAGTGAGCCGAGATAGCGCCACTGCACTCCGGCCTGGGCAAAAGAGCGAGACTCCGCCTCAAAAACAAAAAACAAACAAACAAAAAACAACAAAAAAAAACCCCACTTTAGGTTGTAAGGTTGTAATTCACACCACCTGAATGATACATGGAAATTGGCATTTTAAATACTGGCCCAGAACCAGTGAAACCCAGGGAGCTCTGGCCTGGGCTGATGGGAAGCGATTGCAAAGGGATCCTTCTCCATGCAGGACAGAAGGGACTCTTCCTCAATCTTCCCCAATTCTTCTGAAGATGGTTATAGTACAAATTGTATCTGGACAAATTCTGGTAACATCTTTGGGTTAGGAAGAGAAAATAATTGTAAGTATTCAGTCAGAAAAAGAAAGTTTTCTAAAAAGGAACAAACACTGAACTGTTCTTAGTTTTTCTCTGCAGCATTAAAGATCAGATTACATTGGTCTAATATGTATGGAGTGTTTTTTTCTTTTAGTTTAATTCATTTTTTTGAATAGGTAATTTATTCTCAAGAATCAAAACTCAAAAGATACGAAAGGGTATCTTTCCATCTTCTCTGCAAGTGTCCAGTTCTCAGTTCCCCCCAGAAACAATCAATTATTACCAGTCTATTAGTGTCCTATTCCTGCTGTAACAAATTACCACACATTTATTGTCTTTTGGTTCTGGAGGTCAGAAGTCCAAAATAGGTCTTATTGGGCTAATTCAGGTGTCACCAGGGATACATTATTCTAAAAGTTCTGAGGGAGAATCTGTTTCCTTGCATTTCCCAGCTTCTAGAGGCCACCTGAATTCCTTGGCTCATGGCCCCTCCCTTTATCTTCCAAGCCAGCAGCGTAGCATCTCCAAATCTCTCTGACCCGAAACATACTCCTCTGACTTCGTTTCTGCATATACAGACCCTGTGATTACATTAGGCCCACCTGGATAACCCAGGATAATCTCCTTATCTCAAAGTCAGTTGATAGGTGATTGGTGGGCAATTTTTTTTTTTTTTTTTTGAGATGGAGTTTTGCTCTTGTTGCCCAGGCTGGAGTGCAATGGCATACTGCCCAGGCTGGAGTGCAATGGAATAATCTCGGCTCACTGCAATCTCTGCTTCCTGAGTTCAAGCGATTCTCCTGCCTCAGCCTTCTGAGTAGCTGGGATTACAGGCACCCACAACCATGCCCGGCTAATTTTTGTATTTTTAGTAGAGACAGGGTTTCACCATGTTGGCCAGGCTGGTCTTGAACTCCTGACCCACATGCCTCAGCTTCCCAAAGTGCTGGGATTACAGGCGTGAGCCACCATGCCTGGACTGGTCTGCAATCTTAATTCTCCTTTGCCCTGTAATCTAACATATTCACAGATTCTGGGGATTAGACATGAACATCTTTAGGGGACCATCATTCTGCCTCCCAGAGTCATTTTCTTGTGTTCCCCACCAGAGATGTTACATGCTTATATCAACTGTCAGAGTTCCATTGTAGAGGTCAGAATCCACTCCAGTTCATTCAAATAGAATGAGATTTATCAAAGGACTTTCAAATTCAATGGGAGAGCTAAAGAAACCAATTCTAGGCTGTGTCCAGAAATGACTAAGCCACATGTAACTGGACCACCAAGGCACAGCTTTTGTTTGTTTCCTATAAAGGAAACTTGTAGATCAGGAATTTGTCTGAAGAATAGAGAGCTTCTGCTCAGCTGTAGGCTTAAAAACCACACTTCTTCTGCCAGAATCACACCAGCCGAAGAGATGCCTTGAATCACCTGTCTCCCTCACCGCTTAACCCAGTTCCACCTCCAAGTCTTGCATGAATGCACTGAATTTATAATACCTAAAATCCCATCCAGGACAATAGTTGCAAGGACATTTGGGAAGTGTCATTTTTATCTTCATAATTTCTTCAATATAGAAAAGCATATTTGGAGTTTAAGATGGATGTTGAGTGAACCAACCTGGTATATGCACTGATACATTGACATATTTTTCCCTTAAAAATACAAATAGTGGTATAACTGTACACATAATAATGCTCCTTGCTCTTTTTTCTTTAAATTAATATAAATGTATCTTGACAATTTTTCCAAATCATCACATAAGCAGCTTTTTTATGGCTGTATAATATTCCTTTATATAGGTCCAGCATAATTAAATTCATTAGTCTCTTTGATAGCTATTTATGTTGTTTCTACTCTTTTGCTATTACATTCATCTGTACATCTTATACATTTGTATCATTTTGTACATAGGCTAGTATATCTATTGGGTCAATTCCCATAAAGCAAATGTCTAGATCAAAGGGTGATTTCATTTGAAAATTTGATATTTTTTGCCAAGATCATTCTAAAAAGGTTATGCCACTTTGTACTCCTGTCAGCAGTTAATAAATGGTCTTTTTTCAACACCCTTGCTGACAAAGGTACATTATAAACATCTTTTAAACTTTTGTTGACATGGTGGGAGAAAAAAAGGTTCAAATTTAATTTGCACATATCTTGTGAGGACTAAGCTTGAACATCTTTTTGTGAACTCTCTGCTCATAATCTTTCCCGATTAAAAAAAAATTTGGCCTTTAAGTATTTGTAGAAGTCCTTTATTATGAAAATCAACATTTTAGTTGTGATATTTGTAAATATAGCTTTCTAATTTTTCAGTTGTTGCTTAACATTTTACATGATAGTTCTGTTCCATGAAGAAGTTATTTATTTCTATATAGTAGAAATTATTAATCTTTTTGATAGATTTTGGATTTCTGTCATAGTTAGAAAAGTCCTCCCTACTCAGATTCTTTAAATAACTTATAGAAATCTATTCGGAATATGTAAAGTGTGACAAGCGGATATAAATTTAATTTTTCCAGATGGCTACCCCATTTCTGTACTTTTCTTTCCGTTCTAATTGATCTGTCCATTCTGGTTTCAATACATTTTTTAAATTTTTGTAACCTTATAAAAATATACTTAATATAAAGATAAGTCCCCATTAATTACTCTCTCTTGTGGCTTTTTTATGTGTTAAGTCTGGAAGCAGCTTGTCTAGTTCCAAAAAGTCCTGCTGTATTTTTATTGGGATTACGTTATATTTAGACATTAACTTAGAAATAACTTACATTTTTATTCTACTGAATCATCTTAACCAAGAATATTATATGCCCTTTATATTTTCTAGTTCACATCCCTTAGGGTGTTTTAACATTTTCTTCAAATAAGTCTTGTACTTTTCTGGTTAGGTTTATTTTTAGAGATGTTATCTTCTTATTGTATTATAATTTAAAAAAATTATTTCTATTAGTTGTTTTTATGTACAGAGGCTACTGATGCCACTATATTTACTTTATTATCCTTAGATATTTTCTCCACTTGGTCATCCATGAACAAGGTTGAAGTCACCAAATATTTTCTGTAAATAGTCAGATAGTAAATATTTAAGTCTACTTATTTAAGTCTTTATGGTCTCTGCTGAACCTACTCAACTTGCTATTGTAGCATAAAAGGAACCATAGTCACAGTGTAAATGAATGAGCATGGCTGTGTTCCATTAAAACTTTACTGTGGGCCGGGCGCGGTGACTCACGCCTGTAATCCTGACGCTTTGGGAAGCCGAGGTGGGCAAATCATGAGGTCAGGAGTTCGAGATCAGCCTGGCCAACATGGCGAAACCCCGTTTCTACTAAAAATACAAAAAATTAGCTGGGCATAGTGGTGGGCACCTGTAATCCCAGCTACTCGGGAGGCTGAGGCAGGAGAATCACTTGAACCTAGGAGGCAGAGGTTGCAGTGAGCTGAGATGGCGCTACTGCACTCCAGCCCAAGCAACAGAGTGAGATTCCATCCCCGACCCAAAAAAAAACTTTACTGTGGACATTGACATTTAAGTTTCATATGATTTTCATGTAACACAAAATATTATTCTTTTAATTTTTTTCCAACCATTAAAAATGTAAAAACCATTTTTAGCTCATGAGTCCCACATAAACACGTGTGGCCAGATTTTGCCCATGGGCTAGAGTTTGACAACACCTGGACAAGGCGAACAGAGGTCCTCTGCTGCTCACATAATTGTTCCTCCTCTTATATCTGTAGTTTTTGTTTTTGTTGACAAGATGTTACTTGGACTATGAATATTCTTAAGTATTATATCTTTATTGTGAATGACACCCTTTAACATTATAAAGGTCCCGCTTTTGTTTCACTTTTTGGCCAGAATTCTACCTTGTCTAATACTGAGATCACAAATATTGCTTTCTTTTGGTTTACATTTTCCTGCTACACATTTTTGCATGTTTTTATTTTCAAACTTTTGAAATAATTTTATTTTAAATATGCTTTTACATAGGGCATAGAGTTGGGTTTTCTTTGTTATAAGACCTGATAGTATTTTTCTTGTAATAGGTGATTTAAATGTAAATGTATTGATATGTGGGGTATGTTTGATGTTATTATTTCAGATCACTTTACAATATGTATACAATAAATTAGGAAACAAAACCAATAAAATTAGAAAGTTGTAATTTTAGGGGAAAAACTATTAGCCAACTTTTTCAGGAAAATTAGTTATAGCAAAAAGAAAACTTCTCACAAATGATAAGAAGAAAGTAATCAATGATGTTAAGAAATTAAATTTTTAAAGATTTTTTTGGTTCAACTTTAAGCAAATTTGAAAACTTCTATATAACTTGTAATTTCCTGGGAAAATATAATTTATCCAGATTTACTTTAGGTAAAAAAAAAATTAGACAAATCTATTAGTATAGAAAACAATACAGTTCTATTAGAAATTAAAGCTGAAAAATTAAAGTTTATTAATTAATTTAAAAAGAATAGTAATAAACTCATTACAAGTTAACATAAATAGCATATTACAGATCTCATTAATGTCTGACCCAATAAAAGATAGTTGAATTCTCACACCTACTTCTGCAGACAATCTGCTGCAATATAATGTTTTGGTTGAAATAATTTTTTTAAAAATCCAGCCTCACACAGATATGTAGTTAGAAAATGGAGGAGTATTTCAACAGCCTTTTCAGATAATTGTGGATAGTCTTCTTTGAAACTAAACCAGAACTGCGTAAGTGGTAGTTTCTTAAAAGTTCATTCCAAAGTAGAATCTGAAATTATATCATTAAACTTTTTGAACTCTGTTATATCAAAATACATTAGTCTGTCTTGCTGTTGAATGACATCTTTTACCCATGCATGATTTTGTAACATTGTATATTAGGCATTTGGAAAATATGGACTTCAAATATGCAGGTCTTCTAAACATGTATACATTTTATTGGACAATATAAAAAATGTTAAAATATCACCACAATTCCTATCAGAAAATTCTAAGTATTGAAAAGTTCATAGTGGTAGATATAAGTTTTCCAAAATTCTAAATCGTTACTTCAAAACTTGAATTTTATCTTTGGCAGCACACCCGTCAGTTGTTTCCCTGGAAGTCAGGTATACTTCTTTCATTTTTGAACAAATGTTTGCCTCCTACCTAAGTCTGAAAACATTTTGTCTTGTCAGCTGTTCTTTCAGTAAAAATGGCAGTCCATGAAAAAAAAAGTAAAAGTGCTCATTCAGCTTGCAACTCAAAGAATCCCTGAAGTGCTTTTCCTGGAGACAGCCATTGCACTTCAGTATGCAGCAGGAGTGTTTTTTGTGTGCTTCCCATTTTATCACAGAAAAGATGAAAAAAGTGTGTGCTCAAGGGTCAGTAGTTAATAACATTAACAACTTTTACTGCTTCATCAAGGATATTCTTTTTTTTTTTTTTGAGATGGAGTTTTGCTCTTGTTGCCCAGGCTGCTGGAGTGCAATGGCGCAATCTCGCCTCCCTGCAACCTCCGCCTCCCGGGTTCAAGTGATTCTCCTGCCTCAGCCTCCTGAGTAGCTGGGATTACAGGCATGCACCACCATGCCCGGCTAATTTTGTATTTTTAGTAGAGACGGGGTTTCTCCATGTTGGTCAGGCTGGTCTCAAACTCCTGATCTCAGGAGATCCACCCACCTCGGCCTCCCAAAGTGCTGGGATTACAGGTGTGAGCCACTGCGCCTGGCCCATCAAGGATATTCTTAAGTGAAACTGACATTTGAATCAATGTGTTCATTCTACTATGAGGGCATGGCAATGAAGAATGCAAGCACTGCTAGGATGGTTTGGTGCCACTACCTTCCTACATTTCTGCTAAGGCACTGGCCATTAAACTTACCATTGCTTTTGTGCCATCAATGCCAAATGCTAACACATTTGTTCCAGGATAAACCATTAGATTCAGAAAAAGTTGCCAATCATTGACATAGGAAGAGATCTTTGAATAGTTGGTGCTGATACTGTTAGACAAATATAAGCAAAACTGCAAGTCTAGCCACATCTGTAAATTTGAGCCATTTGTAGTACAACTGTTATGTACCCGTACAAATTTTAAAAATAAAAACAAAAGGTAATCTAGGCATGCTTCTTTGAAAAGTTTTGAGCCATTTACAAGGCAAAAGTATAATTCTGCAGATGAGTTATGAACTGAGTCTTTATGTTTGCAGCTACATTTAAAATCTAACAAGTTATTTTATTATTGGAAAGTGCCATGATTTCATTGGCTAAATTTTTTTCCATGGGTGATTACTGCAAATGGAATATTTAGGTCTTAGACCTCAGGATGTGCATTCATCAGTGTCAACTGTATAAAATTTTATTAGTCTCTAGGTTTTTGTGTACATTTCTCTAACTAATGCATTTATCTAGCTTTGAGTTTGAAAGGCTGCAACAAATAATTTTTTTGGCTCATCACATATAGGTTTATAATTTTAAAATCTTTTTTCTTTAAACTATGAACAATTGGTCTCAAAATAATTCTTCAACTTGACTGGCACTATAATACTATTCAAAAGTGCACAGCTCACCATCAAGAAGTATGCTTTGCAATTTCTTCCTGAGATTTACATCTTAGTAGCATCACCTGTCTCCTTCTCTATACATTCTACTTGATGACAATTGCTTTGGGCATTATTCCACACATTTTGTGGCTTAGGATTTTTAGCTCTTCTCTGATTTACTGAAAATGGAATTTGTGTTTTTGTTACTTGTTTTCTTTCTTGTCTTGTGATAATTTTCAGGGGGTAAAAGGGATGTGCCAATCTTATATGAATGTCTTCAAATTGGAAGTCACCACAAAATTGTTTTTTAAAAAATAAGCATTTTACTCTATTATAAAATATATACAGAAAAGAACACAAATCATGGCCGGGCGTGATGGCTCATGCCTATAATCCCAGCACATTGGGAGTCTGAGGTGGGTGGATCACCTGAGATCAGGAGTTCAAGACCAACCTGGCCAACATGGTGAAACCCTGTCTCTACTAAAAATACAAAAATTAGCCAGGCGTGGGGGCAGGCACCTGTAATCCCAGTTACTGGGAGGCTGAGGCAGGAGAATCTCTTGGACCCAGAAGGTAGAGGTTGCAATGAGCTGAGATCGTGCCATCGCACTCCAGCCTGGGCAACACGAGTGAATCTCCATCTCAAAAAAAAAAAAAAAAAACCCACAAATTATGAATTTACAGCTTCATTAATTAACACAAAGGAAACACCCATGTAACCACCACTAGGTCAAGAAATAGAATAAGACCAGCGCCCCAGAAGTCTACATCATGTTCCCTTCTGGCCCCTAGCAACCTCTTTTCCTTCTGATTTGTAACAGATAGTTTGGCCAGCTTTTGAATTTTGTGTAAATGAAATCATATAGTCTTTTTGTCTGACTTCTGTTCACCCCTATGTTTGTGTGATTCATCCTTTTGGTGGGCATAATAGCACAATTTAGTGTTCATTCTACTGTTGGTAAACATTTGGGGTTATGAATAATGCTGCTATGAATATATTTGTATGTGACATTTTTGTGCACAGATGTATGCATTTTTATAATATGCCAAGGAATGGAATTGCTGGTCATAAGACATGCATGGTTTTAGCCTTAGTGGGTATTGCCAAGAAGACCACTTAATCTTAATTGCAATTAAGATTTCACTACATGAAATCTTATATGAATTATATGTTTATTATTTATATATTAATTTATATATTAACATATATATATTAATTATATATTTCACTACCTGACCAATCAAGTACAGGGCCTTATAAAGACTACAGTGGTTTACTTTTGGTGAACTTTTTAAAAAGAAAGTTACTTGAGAATGCACCCCAGCACAAAGGGTTGCAAATGAAGAAAGAAGTAGATGTAATATAGAAAAAAGAAAGGAAGAGAGGAAAGGGCCCTCAGTGTTGCCAGCTATGCAGTAGTCTAGATTGCAATTAAGATTAAGTGGTCTTAATTTAAAATTTATTTTGATGACAAAAGAGATTGAACACTATTATATATGGTATATTGGCTTTTGCATAGTTTTTGGGGGTGAACTTTTTCTAAAACGATGCCTATTTTTCCTGGGAGTTTTCTGTCTTTGGCTTAGAGATATGGAGGCATTCTTGATATACTCTGGATATGACCCTTTGGTAGATTATTTGTATTGCAAATATCTTTTCCCATTCTTTGTTTTACCTTTTTATTCAGTAGTAGTTTCTTTTGATTATCCAAAGTTTATAATTTTTATGCCCAATTAATTAGTCCTTATAATGGTTTGTATGCTTTTTGTGTTCAGTTTTAGAAATCTTTTCCTAAACAAAAATCATAAAGGTACCTTCTATGTTTTTATCATTTTTAATCTTTCACAGTTAGATCTACAGTTCACCCAGAATCTATTTTTGTGTATAGTGTGAGGCTGAAATTAAGATTAACTTTTTTTCTGTATGGATATATATTTAACCCAGAACAGTGTATCGAAAAAGACCCCTTCTTTACAACACTGCAGTGTTACATCTCTCATAAATCAAGTGTCCACTATGTGGGGTGAGAGAGAGGAGAGGGAGAGAGAAAGAGAAAAGGACTGACTCAGCAAAGAAGTTTCAACTTTCAACTAACTGATATTCAAGATAGAGATAAAGGAAAAAATAGGAGGTACACAGAAACAAATACAAGAATAGTTTGCAGGATTGAACAGCGATCAGTTCAAGTTGAAAAGGCCTATTGTGTTCCAAGCAGCATGAATGAAAAAGACTAGACCTAGGTCCAAAATGAAATTTTAAATCATCACAGATAACGAGGAGTTGATAAAAAATATCCCAGATGGGGAAGTTCAGGCCAACTAGAAAGGAATGAGAATTTGACTAGCATCAGGCTTCTCACCAGCAATAGTAGATGCTAGAAAGCCACAGAGCAAGGCCTTTGAATTTAAGGGAAAAATGAGTGTCCACTAAAATTATGTATTTCACTAAATGACCAATCAAGTACAAGGGGCTTGTAAAGACTCCAGTGGTTTACTTTTGGTGAACTTTTTTAAAACAAAGTTTTTTGAGAATGCGCCCCAGCACACAGGCTTGCAAATGAAGAAAGAAGTAGATGTAATGTAGAAAAAAGAAAGGAAAGGAGGAAGAGAGGAAAGGGCCCTCAGTATTGCCAGCTATGCAGTAGTCTAGAAATATGTCAGCACAAACTGGAGTGGCAAGTTTGTGATCTCAAGTATGTCTTCAATAGCATGAATGGAGTCTAGAATGACTAAAAAGCTAGATGATACTAGGAATACGGTAAAAAGTGCAAATATTACTTCTCTCAACAAGGAAGAAAAGACATTCAGAAATTCTAGGGAAAAATATTCTTTACGAATTCATGGTCCAAATAAGAAGCGAATTGGAATATGGCCTTATTTAGAGACTGGCGTGAGTAAAAACAATCCATTTGACCTTTGTGCTGAGAATTTTATCCTTTGTGGGTCACAAGGTTTGACAGTGACCCTTAGTGAAAGTAATTTGATCATATTGAAGCAAACAATTCCTATACAATCATAATAATGTAAGTATTGTTTATTGATTTTCAACTTATTGACAAAACAATGAAGGGTTTGTTATGGGTATAGAACAGAATGTAAATGTTACCAACTTTGGAAATAGAAAACCCAGCAAGGAGAAGGCCATAAAGGTGTGCAGGTACTATTAGAACACAAAGGAAGGCATCAAGAGATATGACCTGTATTTAGAGGAACCAGAAAGAGCTTTTAGAACATTGTTGATATATAAAAATAGGGGAACTAAAAATGGTGATATAACTATAGACATTTTGAAGTGAAGAAGAGTGGTTTTATGGCTAATATTTCATGTCACAGAAAAAGTCACTAGATATATTTTCTAAAACTGATAGTTTAAGAAAATGGTATAAGGAAATTATTTTAAGAGTTGGAACTAACTATTAGAAGAACTAAAGTACAAATGGTTAAAATGCTTGTCTCTGGGAGAGGGAATTTTATTTTTGATTATGTTAATGTTTGACTTTGATCAAAATAAGCAGCATATTAAAAGATACATCATGTCAAATTGGATTATTTCCAGGAATGCAAATGTAATTCAACATCAGAAAATCTGTTGAACTAAGTCACTACTTTAATAGATTGAAAGAGAAAAATAATAATCATCTCAAATAGGTGCAGAAAAATTCAATAAAATTCAACAACCATTTATGATTCTAAAACTGGGAATTAAAAAAATATTAATCTGAAAAAATTACAAGTGGGAAAACATGCCTACTGTATTTATAGTAAATATTCAGATGCCAAAACTATTCCCTTTAAAATCAAGAGTAAGAAAATGCTATTATTACTTTGATTCACAATTGTTCTGGAAGTCCTACCCTGCACAATAATATAAGGAAAAGAAATAAGAAGTACAAAGAATGGGAAAGTAGAAAAAAACCATCATTCACTGCAGATTATTCACATAGACACTTCCCAAGAAGTACAGGCAATAAAAATATTTAGCAAGGTTGCTGGATGTAAGATTTTATTTCTATACATTTTTAACAGAAAACGTATTTTAAAAAGATGTTATTACAGTAGCTACAAAAATATATAAGACCTCTAGGGATTAATCTAACCAAAGTTGTGAAACAAATTATAAAATTTCATTGAAAGAGATAAGAAAACATACCATGTTTATAGTTAAGAAGACTCAGTATTGACAAATGCCAAGTATTCTAAAAATGATTGATAGATTTAATGTAGTTCAGTAGTTCAGTAGTTTTATTTTGTGGAATTTGACAAAGTGATGCCAAAATTTATATGAAAGAACAAAAGGCAAGATTGGTCAAAAGATACCTAAAAAAGAACAACCTAGTGATTCCACATCCAGGTAATTTGTGCATGCGTGCACCAGACAATATGTACTTAAATATTTATAGCAGCCTTGTTCATAACAGTAAAGACCAAAATAAAACAAAATTAAAAAGAAATCACATGTCCATCAATGGTAGAATAGATATATAAATTGTGGTATATTCCTATACTGAAATACTACATAATAACAAAAAATATCAGTAAATAACAGCCACCTGCATTAGCCTGGCTGAATTTTCAAAGCACAATGTTTAAAGGAAAAAGAAAATCATAGGTAAATGCATGCAGTATGATTCTCTTCCCATAAAGTTCTAAAAAGATAAAGTTAACAATGTTTTATTTATTACATGTTATGTAATATATATGTTTAAAGAGTGAAGGACAGATATGGGATTAGTAACACTAAATTTTGGATAGTGATTATTTCTGGGACATGAGCTCAGGCAGCGAGAGTGAAATGGAATTAGAGAGCGGCTTATAAGATACTCCCAAAGTACTGGGAATTTGTAATCCAAGGTGGGTGGTGAGTACATGGAGATTCATCTTATTCAAGAAAACATGCATAGGCCACTAACCATAGAATATTTATCTTCCTTTTTTCGCTTCCCAGAGACAACCACTGTTCTAATCAAATGTTATTTATGTGCATGTATATATGTAAATGATAGAAATAATCATATTGTTTTCAAACTTACATAAATGGTATCATACTCTATATCACCTGGAACCTGTTTGTTAACTCATTGTACATTTTCAGGATATATCCATCATTACTCTTATAATGCCCATTTTAAAGAAAAGTAAGAGGTCGGGCGCAGTGGCCCATGCCTGTAATCCCAGCATTTTGGAAGGCCGAGGCAGGTGAATCACCTGAGGTCGGGAGTTCAAGACCAGCCTGACCAACATGGAGAAACGCCGTTTCTACTAAAAACACAAAATTAGCCGGGCATGGTGGCGCATGCCTGTAATCCCAGTTACTCGCGAGGCTGAGGCAGGAGAATTGCTTGAACCCGGGAGGAGAAGGTTGCGGTGAGCCAAGATTGTGCCATTGCACTCCAGCCTGGGCAACAAAAGCGAAACTCCATCTCAAAAGAAAAAAAGAAAAGAAAAGTAAGAGTCAGAAAATCAAAAGCCCAGAGAGGCCGAAGGCACAGAGAGATTCAAGGTCACACACTAGTGAGTGTATAGCTGGGATTTGAACTGAGACTCCACACTATATTTTCTCTCTTGTAGATGTAATTCATTCACTTTAAATGGCTTCAAATGATTAGACTCCTGTTTATATTTTAAAGTTTCCTTTTTTAATATTGCAAACAACACTTTGTGCAAAACTCTTGGTACACATATATGGGTATCTGCATTTTCAGTTTTCTTAGATCTTGCCAAATTGTTTTCCAAATAATTGTGAATTGCTCTCACAAATAATGTGTGAACATTCCAATTTATTCACGTTATTATCAATATTTATTATTTTCAGATTTTGGTGTCTATCAGTTCCTAAGGGATATGAAATGCTATTTCATTTTAATTTGCATTTTTCTAATTTTTAGTGATGCTAAAAATTTTGGTCACTTGGGTTTACTTTTCTATGAATTGCCTGTTGATATTCTTTGTCCACTTTTTCTATGAATTGCCTGTTGAAATTGTGTTGCTTGACATTTGTTTGTTGATTGATGCAAAGTGTTTACACATTAAAGAGAGTTCATATATATATATATTTTAAATATCTTTTCTCAGTCTGTGGTTGGTCTTTTAACTTGGTGTTTGGTGTCTGCATGATACAAAAGACTTTTAAATTGAACATAGTATCATGTGTCAGCATTTCCTTTATGAGCTGTGCTTTTTTTCTGTTCATGATTGTTTTTCAAGGAAAGCATAATATAATATTGTATTACAAAAAAAAGTTTTTCACTTTCAGACAACTACCAAGTCCTCTTCCAGACTTCCTGTACATTTTTGTACCAAAATGATGATGTGTGTGACAGCGCAGATGGTAGAAAAAAGACTCAGACCAAAGTGGATATTACATGGATCCTTCTACTGCGCTACTATATTCACCTTCAGAGGATTAATAATCTGAGCAAACTGCTAGGTAGGTTTTTTGATGTGTTAAGAGAGAACATATTTCTTTCTAATTCCCATTTAAGTCATGTTTCTTGTTGAGAATTATAAGATACTTTTGACATCTTTCTGAGTGACTGTCATCAGAAGATGAAAATTTCATGGGTTCTTAACCTGGGATACATGCATCTTTGGATAGAATAGTACTTCAATGTAATTGGTTTCTTTAGAAATTCTATATATATTATTTCATATGTTTAAAAACATCATGATAAGGAGGCATCCAGAGGCTTTCCAAGACCACTGCCAAAGTTAAGAACTAGTGATTCCAATGTGACAGTTTATGAAATGAACAAGATGACATTTTGGCTTTAGAGAAAGAGTGGTCCAGTAGCCGGTATGTCAGAGGGAAGAAATGCATGACTTCAGATGGCATATTAATTCCGTGGAGTTTTTTTTTTTTAATCATTGGTGCTATCTAAAAAATATCCAGAAAAACTGATAAAATCTGCTTCACATTAGTCCCTCTTGTGATTGTGTGACATTGTTATGTTTTATCTGTGCTCATAATGTTGGTGATCCAGTGTTGCCCATCAGTGCAAACAGTCAGAAAAGACAATTTGACCCATGCCAGGGCACAGTGATGGGGAAACCAGAAGGGCAAATAGGCTGAGTCACAGAGTTGCTAAGCACAGTTACCAGGAGCTCACAAGCCCTCTGAAAGGTGTCAGGACGAAAAGGTTCATGGTGATGGGGGCTAGAGCAAGGGAAGTTCAGAGGGAAAGGACATGGACAAGAGCCAGTGCAGCCAGCCCTGGTGATCCCTTGCCCCTCAGCCAGTCTGCTCACCTCTGAATTCACCTGCTGGCACTTCCCACAAGTGCCATGTCTTACTGCTTTTCTGCCCTGGGCTTTCTTTGAAACTACTGAGGTTTGACCAGCCTGCAGACAGGGTTTCCGCAGACACAGGAGTAACCTTCAGCTATTGAGGTAGGGAGCTCCTAGATAAACATACCAGCTTCTCAGTCTCTCGACGGGACAGTTCTACGTGGTTTGTCAGAAGGTTCCCAGTGGGACTGAGCCCTCACTGCCCAAGGCTGTAGCCCACTCATTTACTCACCCTTATTGGCTCTTTTTGTTTTCTCTGTCACACTTTGTCCATTCCCTCACTTGTGCTTCTTGAAATGACTTTTCAAATAAACTGTCTACAAATTCTTACCTTAGGATCTGTTTTAGGGGGAACCCAAAAGAAAATAGGTACATGGAATGTATGGCACCATTGTTAATACCTAAAACTAAGCATTACCCTCATGTGCCTTTGAAATTTTCTTTTTTTTAATCTTTTTTTTTTTTTTTTGTCACCCACGCTGGTGTGCAAGGCTGCGATCTTGGCTCACTGCAACCTTCGCCTCCTGGGTTCAAGTGATTCTTCTGCCTCAGGCTTCTGAGTAGCTGGGATTACAGGCGTGTGCCACCATGCCCAGCTAATTTTTATATTTTTAGTAGAGATAGGGTTTTGCTATTTTGGCTAGGCTGGTCTCAAACTCCTGACCTCAGGTGATCCTCCCACCTCAGCCTCCCAAAGTGCTGGGATTATAGGCATAAGCCACCGCGCCTGGCCTGAAATTTTGTTTCCTTCTGTGGCAAGAAACAATTCCATTAGTGTATAAGCTCTAAAAACAGAGGGACGTCATTGGCAGCCTCTAGCGGAGGTGGGAATATGTAACGATAGTGGTTAGTGAGCAAATACCAGCAATATTGAGATCATCCCGTTTTCTAATATGAACCTAAACTAAGGTATTTTTCTTTCTTAAGCATCTGCAACACCAGTATCTGGAATTTCTTTGCCAGATGATACACTTCTCACATCCCTTTACAACTCTGAGTTGATTTTGCGCCAGAAAGAAGTGCATTTTTTCCTTAAAAAATTCTTACAGCTGTATTCTTCTTCTTGTATTGATGAATTTCCAAAAGAACTTCTTTGTCAACTGGAAAATCCCCCTCTTTCAGAAAAAGACTTACGTGAATCATCTGCCAAGGTAACGTTTTTTGAAACATGATATATTTACATAAAACTTCTTGGAATCATCATTATATTTCAGAAGGAAACACATTAGCTTCCATGCTGGCACAGATTTCTACTTCTCTCAGAGTTCTAGGGAAGGCTCATTCCTGTGTTACCATGTGGATAGGCTAACCAAACATCCTGGGATTTTAGGACAGTTCACATTTCAATTGTTCAGTCTTGTTCTCATAAGTCTTTTAAAATGCCTTAGAAGTTTCTATATTCCTGCACAAAACAGCATCTCTCAAGCAACCATTTTGCCAAAAAGTTACACAGATTTCAGTATCATCACTCTATAAGAAAACTAGACTGATAGTGTCTAAATCTGTGCCCAGTTTCTGTACTTTGGTTTTAAATGTGTGATAAAAATTATTCATTGTGAGTACCTTTTGCAATTGTGAGTGTAAATAAATAATAGAGGTAACACTTTAAAATAAATTAAAAGTGTGAAGACTTTTTATTTGGAAAAGTGTTATTAAATTGGATACATTTTCCCAAGATATGTAATATGGAAACTTTTTAAGGTATTGATTGTAGAGACATAAAAAGAGGAATATAAATGGAGATTTTTCAAAATTAAAGCTACTAAAGTCTTGAATAGCAGTAGTTTGGATAAACTTCCAAAATGAATGTGTTAAAAGACACTGAAAAAGTAAAGGATTTTACTTAAAAATAAGAATATGTATTTGAAATTTGGTATTCAACCAACCTATGTTGAATACCTACTGTGTGCCAGAGACACTGTTAGTTGGTGGAGAAAGGATGGATAAAGCGTAGTCCCTGTACATATAGTCTCAGTGTGGTAGTAGAGAAACAGTGACAGGGTTAAAACAGAAGAAAGTTACTTTATTTCAGAGATACTTTCTAAGAGAAAATCGCAGGATTAATACTAGCAGAAATAATGTGAAAATTAGTATATCTTAGTTTTACTTTCAATACTCTCAATAGGGCTGATTGGCAAAGGATAGATGAAAAAGTGAGGTTTTTTTTTTTTGGTTTTTTTTTTGAGACAGAGTCTCTCTCTGTCGCCCAGCCTGAAGTGCAGTGGTGTGATCTTTCTTGGCTCACTGCCGCCTCTGCCTCCTGGGTTCAAGCGATTGTCCTGTCTCAGCCTCCCGAAAAAGTGAGTTATTTAAGAAAGAGGTGATGAAGTCATGAAGCTTATGACACAAGAATGGAAAGGAAGAGATGGCTGTAAAACATATTTGCTTAAGTAACACTGAAAACAACAACAACCGAAACAGTTTTGTGACTCTTTGGAGCTGGAAAGTGAAGAGGAAATGACTAGAGCCTCTTGTACCATTTGGAACTTCTGTCTGTGATCATTAGTGCATGGTGACATCATTAGCACATACAGGGGAGGCAGGAGCATGAGCACATTTTTCTGCTTCGTAGATACAGAATTTGAGATTCTTGTAGAAAACTCAAGTGGACATAGCATATTGTAAGCTTCCAATACATATCTGTGAAATGAATAAGTTGTACAGAATTCTTTCAAAACTAGAAAAAAATCACTGATTTATTTTGAATTATCTCTACTTTGGACTTTACCATTGAACTCTTTAATTTTTATAGCTATAGATTTTCCCATATAAGATATGTTCATGTTACTGTTGCCAACTCTCCCAGAGAAGTTCCCAGAGAACTGAAAATGTGGCTTGTTCCAGAATGGTGACCCTTGCTTATCTTATCCTACTAGAATATAGCAACCTTATGTTTTGGGTAGATTAAATTATACATTTTTTTTTTTAAAAATCACTCTTTTGAACATTCCTTCCCTACTCAAGAGAGTCAGATGACTGTTAATAAATTGTAAGTTTTTAAAAGTAGTGGAAAAACCTATTAAGATATTTTTAAGAATCCAGTTAAAGAAATGATTCTCAGTTGGTGTTATGCAGTGGCCCTCAGTGCAATGTATTGAAAGCACACTGGAAGATTTTTCAAACGACTTCCTCTCTCCTAGATACTGGGATATTGTGGCATGCCCAATGCTCAGCAACCCCATTCTGTGCCCAGATTCTAAATCATTCAGGAAATAAGAGAAAAGAGTAAAACAGATTGGGATTTAAAAATGCTCATCTTTATGAGTGATGAAGTTGATATTATAGGATGTGGTTTATATTTATTGGTGAAATGATCTTCCTAGTAATGAGTACCAAAGTAGACAGATTTTCCAATCTGGCCTCATATTATTGGGTCATTTCAGGCTCCTCATGTGGGGACAGGCTCCTTAAAATCTGTTGCGTGAGGAGCAGAGAGTGTTCACTTCCTGCAAACATTTTACTCCCAGGAAGAAAGCGCAGAAATAGGCATGCCCAAAGTTCTTTTTCCCAGATTCAGCAATCGAGTAACACTCCCCCATGGGAAGGAGTGAGTGAGGACGTGAACAGGCCAGGAAGGTAATGTTAATGTCTGGCCCTGCACACAGAAGGGCACAGTGGGAGTAGAATGAAATCATTGCCATCTAACACCAGATTCAGATTCACCCCTCCTGGGAACTGAGACTATTTTTGAGGATTACTGCCAGGTGTCACAGATACCTCAGGCATTTTGGAGTAGGGGGCAGAGGACGGGAAGACTGAGAACAATAGTTTCAACTGATCTATTCTTGTGAATATTATGTAAGAGTTTGGAAACTAATAGGTGTGATTTCTTAAATACTGTTCTACAAGGAGCTCTGCTTGAGTATTTTAGTATTAAGGGCAGCCTATCATTACCCATTTCCTAAAGATTATGCTCCAAATGTTCAAGCTTGAATACGTTGTAAATACAAGTGACATTTCTAATGGCAACAGTGTTATCAAAGAGTTGTTTCACCCTGTTTGCTCTTTTTTGATATAATTAGTGTAACACTCCCCAGGAAAATCAGCTCTGGAGATCATTGTCTCTTGCCTGACAGGTGAAGCCACCTCATCATGTGTTCGTTTCACTGGGGTAGACAGCTAATGAGCATAAAGCCTTTCGGATTTATATATACATATATAAACTCCAAGCTTGGCTGATTTTTGTAATAACATTTTTGAACCTTTAATCACTCAGGAGGCTATTTCAATCAAACTCGTTCCATAATTTGATACTTAAACCTACTTTCCCCCACAAAGAAGTAGATGCCTTTCCAGAACAATCATTGCTCCGTGTTGTGCTCATCAGTTGTGTGATTCTGCATGTTGTCAAGTCTTTCGGAGCTTTGTGATGGAAAAACAAAGGTGGCAAACAAGTTACATTAAAAATTTCCCAAAAAGAATATGATTAAAACTGTGCATAATGCTGAGTTATTCATGCTTGGACTGTATGCTTGAATACAGTCAGTTGTAAGGTTAAATATCTGACTAGTGTGAGCTGCTTTATTGTTTATAGGACTGTGGCAAACCAAGGTTCTCCTGGTAGGCCTGTTGTTTTATTTCTTTCAAAGAACAAAAAAAAAAAATAGAATAAAAGTACTCAGTGTATAATTCATCAATTAGCATATGTAATGAATCCTCTTAGCAACTACATATATAGTATTTGAAAGGTAATGGAATATTAAATACCTATTTTGATATTGACTTATGTTTATAATTTATCATTATTAGACTACTGTGCTAATAAACAATGCACATATTGAAATAAAAGGTATTTTTACTTTTCAATACTTATCTAGTTATTGAATATGAATTGTTTGCTAAAATAGTTGTCAGAACCTCTGAAAATCACTCAGATATGAAGAAATTTAAGAAATTATTTTTTGAATTAATTATTTACTTGATTTTTTTTTGATGAACTGCCTGACATAAAATTATTCTTAATTAAGCACTTACAAATGATGATTTAACCCTGCTAATCTTGCTTATTGTGTATTTTGATCATGCTTTTAGAAGCAAGGATTCTGGTTTATAATAGCCTTTTATGATTGTCTCTAGACATTTAGAAAACTTTTCACATTTAATATTACCTTTCAGTCAAAACATTTTTTCTTTTATCAGTAGACAACTTGAAAGGTCAGTGTTTTTATTTCCGTTTTTATTTTATTTTGAAGACTTAACATTCACAGTCATATTATATCTTGAATAGGCTCAGAAATAATGGGAGGGACAAAGCCTTATAGAAACACCAGGCATTTCTTTCTGGCCACTGACAAATACTGCTTGGTCCTCAAACCTTGACAGGCCTTAGATATCAAAAAGACTGAAGTAGAGGGACCAATTCCCAGCTGCCATGCTACAAGCTTGGGTATAACAAGAAGTTAATATGGAAAGTAGTTTGCACTTCATTGAAGAACGCTTTTTTTTTTTTTTTTTTGAGACGGAGTCTCACTCTGTTGCCCAGGCTGCAGTGCAGTGGCGTGATATCGGCTCACTGCAACCTCAGAAGGTCCTTTTTTTAGACTTGAAATATTGTTTTTACCATTATTATCTCTATGGCTAGCCTATTGTTTTGTTGATCATTAGCAACCATGCTTTGCTTTTTCAGCTACCTTAAACAACTAATTAAGTAATTTACCAAATTGGCAATTGCATTCTATACATTTATATTTCTGAAGATTCCTCATTCAGTGACCAAAGTTGCATAAAAGAAGCTGGGCCCACATTCATCAAGGACAAAACTTACAAATCAGCCACATTCATTTAAGGAGAGGAGGATTTTAACTTTTCAGAGCAAGTGGGTTTTACAGCAATGGATTTTAGACTTTGGAGCAAAATATGTCTTATTTTCCATATGGCATTGCAAAAAAATACTATTGGAAAAATAAATAGTAATTTATAACCACACCCTTAGTGTATTCACCAGTGAAAAAAACAGAAACCAAATAGGTGTTCCTAGAAACAGTGGTAATGTTGAGACTGAAATGTTGGCATGGGCGTTTTCCCTGCTAGATCTTCACCCTGTAAGACTTACCAGAGTGGAAGAGATTTGTTGAGTTCACTGGGTTCTGAAGCATTTTTTTTTCTTTTTTTTTTTTTTTTGAGATGGAGTCTTGCCCTCTCGCCCAATCTGGAGTGCAGTGGCACGATCTCAGCTCACTGCAACCTCTGCCTCCCAGGTTCAAGCAATTCTCCTGCCTCAGCCTCCTGAGTAGCTGGGATTACAGGCGCACGCCACCATGCCCGGCTAATTTTTGTATTTCTTTAGTAGAAGCGAGGTTTCACCATGTTGGCCAGACTGGTCTCGAACTCCTGACCGTGTGATCCACCTGCCTCTGCCTCCCAAAGTGCTGGGATTACAGGCGTCAGCCACCGCGCCTGGCCAGCATATTTTTACTGTAGGAGAATCTTCTCTGTAGTAAGCCAGGGTTAGTTTTAAGATTTACCTCCATAAAACAAGCTGAGACAATCCCAGAATTTTTCAATATAGCCAAATAATTTGTTTCATATATGTAACAAATTTATTACCAGTAATTAAACTGATGTTTTTGTTTGTTCCCTAGTTGTATCGCGATAGTTCTGTACAATCCATTTTATCTTTTAAGCCTGTTTCAGGCTCATCTTGTGTGGACATAACGCCAATAGAAATGGTAACGCAAGCTTCAAACAAAGAACTTTGCTTTCAATGGTACATTCCTCCCCTGGATAGACCTCCCAAGGAGACAGAACCTATGGTATGTAATGTACTTATAGAACTCAATATTTCATTTATATATAAAGCTTAACTAAACCATTATAACTTGGAGAGTAGAGGACATTCTCTTATCATATAGATGAGAACAGGTATCAATATATAATCTACATTGTCTAGTAGAATAAATTTGAAAATAACCAAGAAATCGGGGAAAGTCTGATTCAGGCTGATCATTTTTCTTTTTCCTGATCCCATAGGGAAAATTTTCAGTGTGTCACCATTATATATGATGCTTAACTTTTTTTTGGTAGTTATTCTTTATCATGTTAAAGAATTTTTTTACTGCTATTTTGCTAAGAATATTTACCATGAATATTTTACTGTATCTATTAAGATTATTTTTATAATTTTTCTTTTTAATATTTAATTGATTTTATAATGTTAGATCAATGTTGTGTTTCTGAGATAAACTCAAATTGGTCATGATATATTTATTTTGCTGGATTCAGTTTGCTATTATTTGTATTAAATTTTCACCTCTGTTTTCCTGAGTAATATTGGGCTATTTTTATACTATTCTTTTTTAAATTTTATTATTTTTTAATTTCAATAGGTTTTTGAGGAACAGGTGGTTTTTGGTTACATGGATAAGTTCTTTAGTAGTGATTTCTGAGATTTTGGTGCACCCATCACCCAAGCAATGTACACTGTACCCTGCCTCACCCCTGCTCCACCCTCTCCCCCGAGCCCCCAAAATCTATTGTATCATTCTTATACATTTGCATCCTCATAGCTTAGCTCCTGTCTCATGAGTGAGAACATATGATGTTTGGTTTTCCATTCCTGAGTTACTTCACTTAGAATAATAGTCTCCAATTCCATCCAGGTTGCTGTGAATGCCATTATTTCATTCCTTTTTATGGCTCATTAGTATTCCATGGTGTGTATGTGTGCATATGTATATATCACATTTTCTTTATCCACTCACTGATTGATGGGCATTTGGGCTGATTTCATATTTTTGCAATTGTGAATTGTGCTGCTATAAACGTTCGTGTGCAAGTATTTTTTTTTCTTTGTATAATGACTTTTTTCCTCTGGGTAGATAGTCAGTAGTGGGATTGCTAGATCAAATGGTAGATCTACTTTTAATTCTTTAGGGAATTTCCACACTGTTTTCCATAGTGGTTGTACTAGTTTACATTTCTACCAGCAGTGTAAAAGTGTTCCCTTTTCACCACATCCATGCCAACATCTATTATTTTTTGATTTTTTGATTATGGCCATTCTTGCAGGAACAAGATGGTATTTGCATTGTTGTTGTTTTGATTTGTATTTTCCTGATCATTAGTGATGTTGAGCATTTTTTCATGTTTGTTGGCCATTTGTATATCTTCTTTTGAGAATTGTCTATTCATGTCCTTAGCCCACTTTTTGATGGGATTTTTTTCTATTTTCTTGCTAGTTTGTTTGAGTTCCTTGTAGATTCAGCATTTGTTTGTCTGAAAAAGAGTGTATATTTCCTTCATTTATGAAGCTTAGTTTCACTGGGTGCAAAATTCTTGGCTGACAATTGTTTTGTTTAAGGAGGCTAAAGATAAGACCCAGATCTTTTCTAGCTTGGTAGGGTTTCTGCTGAGAAATCTGCTATTAATCTTGTAGATTTTCCTTTATATGTTATCTGATACTTTTGTGTCACAGCTCTTAAGATTCTTTCCTTCATCTTAACTTTAGCTAACCTGATGACTATGTGCTTAGATGGTGATACTTTTGCAATGAATTTTCATGGTGTTCTTTGAGCTTCTTGTATTTGGATGTCTAGATCTCTAGTAAGGCCAGCGACATTTTCCTTGATTGTTTCCTCAAATACATTTTCCAAACTTTTAGATTTCTCTTCTTTCTCAGCAGTATTAATTATTCTTAGGTTTAGTTGTTTAACATAATCCCAAACTTCTTGGAGATGTTGTTCTTTTTTTATTCTTTTTTTTTTTGTCTTTGTTGGATTGGGTTAATTTGAAAGCCTTGTCTTTGAGCTCTGAAATTCTTTCTTATACTTGTTCGATTCTATTGTTGAGACTTTCCATTGTATTTTGCATTTCTTTAAGTGTGTCCTTCATTTCCAGGCTTTGTCATTGTTTTTTATTTATGCTGTCTATTTCTCTGAAGATTTTTCCATCCATATCTTGTAACATTTAAAACATTTCTTTAAATTGGTATTACCTTTCTCTGGTGCCTCCTTGAGTAGCTTAATAATCAACCTTCTGAGTTCTTTTTCTGGCAATTCAGAAATTTCTTCTTGGTTTGGATCCATTGCTGGTGAGCCAGAGGGATCTTCTGGGGGTGTTAAAGAATCTTGTTTTGTCATATTACCAGAATTGTTTTTCTGGTTTCTTCTCATTTGGGTAGACTAGGTCAGAGGGAAGATCTGGGACTCAGGGGCTTCTGTTGAGATTCTTTTGTCCCATGGGGTGCTCCGTTGATGTGGTGTTCTCCCCCTTCCCCTAGGGATGGAGCTTCCTGAGAACTGAACTGCAGTGATTGTTATTTCTCTTCTGGGTCTAGGCACCCATCGAAGCTACCGGGCTCTGGGCTGGTACAGAGGAGTGTCTGCAAAAAATCCTGTAATATGATCCACCTTCAGGTCTCTCAGCCATGGATACCAGCACCTGCTCTGGTGGAGGTAGTAGGGGAGTGAAGTGGATTCTGTGAAGGTCCTTGATTGTATTTTTTTTAGTGCACTGGTTTTGTGTTGGTTGGCCTCCAGCCAGGAAGTGGTGCTTTCAAGAGAGCATCAGCTGATAGTATAGGTAAGACACAAGGTTGCCCTAGGGTTGCCTGGATAAATATTTGGGTTTCTCAGGTGGTGGATGAGGACATAGAGCTCTGAAGAGATTATGTCCTTTGTCTTTGGCTACCAGAGTGGTATAGAAAAACAATTAGGTGGGTGCAGGGTTAGGCGTGTCTAAGCCTAGACTGTCCTTGGGCAGGGCTTGCTGTGGCTGCTGTGGGAGATGATGGTGTGGTTCTCAGGTGGATAGAGTTACGTTCTCGGGGAGATTATGGCTGCCTCTGCTGCATCATACAGGTTGCCAGGGAAGTGGAGGAAAGCTGGCAGTGACAGGCCTCACCCAGCTCCCACATGGCCCAAAAGTCCAGTCTCACTCCCACCGTGCCCTCCCAATGTCAGTGAGTTTATTTCTAGGCAGCTGGTGAGCAGGGCTGAGAACATGCCCCAGACTACAAGCCTCCCCGCTAAGAAAAAAAGCAGGACTTTCAGGTTTCGAGCCCCTCTACTTCTGTGCTTGTGTCTGCACTCCCCATTTGCCCCCTCCTCCAGATTCTGTCCAGGAAACTTTATATTTGGTTGAAATTGCTACAAAGTTCAGCTGGAAGTGTTCTTATCCCTGTGATCTTTCCCCAATTCCACTGGCAGCCCTCCCCAAGGATCCCTGCGAGATCAAGTTAGAAATGTCTTCCCTGGGGACTGAGAGTGCCCACAGGGCTCTTCCTGCTGCTTCCTCCACCCTGTATTTTGCTTGGCTCTCTAAATTTGTCTCAGCTCCAAGTAAGGTCACATCCTTCTCCTGTGATATGGACCCTCAGATTCCCCAGTGAGGATGTTTGTTTGAGGGTGGACATTCCCCCTCTCACACATTGGGCACTCACAGTTTTGGCTATCTTATGGGGCCTGCAGCAGCAAGCCACTTCCTTCAGAGGGTCAGTGGATTCTCTCAGCTTTCCTGGTATGTTCCTGTGTTAGTTCTTGTGAGTCTCCACAGGCTGCTCTGTCCATTCGAGTGGGAACTGCAAGTTCGGCCTATCTCCTATATGCCATTCTTGCTCTTATTATGCTTTTATACTATTCTTGTCAGATGTTTTTCATATCACGATTTTGCTAGAATCATAAAATGAATTGATAAATATATTGTGTTTTACTATTTTCTGGAGAAGTTTGTGTAAATTTGGAGTACCTTTTTTTATTTGATTGTTTGTTAGAACTCATCAGTAAAGCCAGCTGAACCTACTGTTTTCTTTCTGAGAAATAGCGATATCATTCTTAATAGTTTTATGCAGTCTTTAAGCAATAGTACTAGTGTACTGGTTTTCGGAAGTGGTGTCAGTTCTGATTGGGCCAATATCTTCTCTGGTAGTTTGTGCCTGTGTTAAACCAAGTTTTAAATGTTCTATCATTTTTGTTTACAAGACATTTTGGGTTGTCTGTTTCTTCTGAGTCAATTTTAAGTTGCTGTTCTAGGAATTTGACCATTTTATTTAAAATTCCTCTCATATTTTAAATCTATTTAATGTGTTTGTAATGATGTACGCTTTTTCATTTCTTATATTGGTTATTTGTGTATTCTCCTCTTTTTCTTGAAGTTTTTAGTTAGTTTTGGTTAATATATCTTTTTCTACTTTTTTGTGTTATTTTCCTAGCTGCTGACTTATTGCAATAAATGTTTAGCTCAGTATTCAGCTTTTTCTTACCTAATATATGCATTTTGAAGCTATGACTTTCTCTCTAAACATTGTTTTGGCTGCATCCCACAATTTTTTTATTATAGTGTTGACATCATCATCAATCAGTTAAAAATAGTTTTGTAAAATTTTCATTACGATTTCTCCTTTGGCTCATGGACTATTTTGACAAGTGTTTCTAAAATTCCAAACTATGTGGAGCTTTTCTAGTTATCTTTTGTTATCTATTCCCAGATTGTGTTGTTTTGTGGTAATAAAAAATTTTAGTGTGATTACTATTTGTTGAAACTCGATTTTTTTTTTCACCAGGAAAGTGTTAATTGTGTAAGTAATCTATTGCTCTTTAAGAGAATATGTACTCTTCAGTTGTTGAGGAAGTATTTATGTGTAGTAGGTGAGTTTGGCCAGTCTTGTTCAAATCATCTATATGCTTGCTGATTTTTCCATTTCGTCTGCCTTTTTTAAAAAATTAATTACTAAGAGAAGTATGTTTAAATCTTTCACTATGATTGTCATTGTTTAGTTTTTTCTTACAGTTCTCTCAAATTTTGCTTTACTTAATTTGAGGCTGTGTTCTTGGGTGCAATCAGATTGATAGCTGTTATATCATCTTGGTGAATTGAACATTTTATCATTTTGATAATAGTACTTTTCTTAATTATGCTTTTTAAATTACATGACCTTTTTGTAATAATGTTCACTTTCCCATAAAGCCTGCTTTATCTGATGCTAACATAGGAAAGTGGCTTTATTTTGCTTATTATTTTCATGGTAATATTTTTCCAGCCATTTGCTTTCAACCCTTCCATGTACCTGTGTTTAAATTTTGCTTCTTATAAAAGGTATGTTCTTGGATATTTAAAAATATTGTCTAACAATATTACCTTCTGACTGAATAATCCATTAATGTAAATACTAATATATTTGGTTTAAATCTACCTTGCTTTTGCTTGTCCTGGATTTTGTTGTTTTTCCTCTCCTTTAATATCTACTTTTGGATTGATTTCTTTATCATTCATTTTTTCACTATAAGTTTTGAAATTATGCATTCTTTTTGTGCTTTTAGTGGTTACCTTCAGGACAACATACGTACTTAACTTATTAAAATCTACATTGATGTGTATTTACTCCCCTAATGACTTACATGGCATTACTGTACATTTTCCTTTTTAACCCAAAATAATAGTATTATTTTTATTTGTTTTTCTTGTTTTATACAAGAAATGTTTGTTTTTTAAATTAATCTCCTACATATTTACTATTTGGTTTGTTTTTTACTCCCTCTTGCATTTTAGACGTTTCTTCTAGGATTACTTCGTTCTGTTGAAGTACATGCTTTAGAATTTCCTTTGGTGAGGATCTTCTGGAGGCAAACACTTCCAATTTTTGATTGCCTGTACATGTCATTATTTTACATTTATTTGTAAAATAAATTTTCATGGGGTAGATAATTTAAGGTCAGAAATCATGTTGTTTCAACACATTCAAAACCTCATCTACTCATTTCCATTTTTGCTGTTGAGAGTTAAGCCGTTGCTGCTTTGGAAGTTTTAGGACTTCTTTAACCAGTTTCTTTTGAGATTTTCCTCTTTGTTTTTTGCATAGTTGTACTGAGAATGGTCTTCTTTTTATTTTAGTGGGTAAGAACACATACTCTGGAACTAAACTGCCTAGGTTTGAATCTCATCTCTGCCACTTAACAGTTTTGTGATCTTGAGTAGATTAGTTAACTTTTCTGCATCAAGGTTACCCTCATCTGTAATTAGAGATAACTATAAACTCCTAACCTCAATAAAGAGTAGTTGTCATTATTATGTGAAATTATTTTTAAATTATTATGTTTTTAAAGTTTAATAGCTTCAAATATACATGAAGTATACTTGGTAATCATTATTTAAAGGCACCTTTAATGTTTATCAACAATATCTCCTTATAGATACTTTAGCTTTCAACATTCTGCAGAAAAGAGAGTAAACTGTGCCTAACCAGCGAATTAAGTACATAGCAAATAAGAGAAAACCTTAGTTTGCCTCTAAATGCAGTTTACATATTTGTATCGTAGATATAATTTATTTTAATGTATGTTATCCTTATATTTATATCCATTATCTATACCTTTATTCATATCTATATCCATATGGATGGACATTTGCAATAGGGCTAATTGGAGGATAGAAGGAAGGAGGGGACAAGTATTTAGGAGCAGTTCAGTATCAATCCATGAATTACTGGAGATTGAACAGTAATTCAGATTTTAGGATAGCCTTGAAAATGGGTCAAGCTTTTAAAAACGCAGCAGTTGGTCAATATAGCCTTTCACAGAGGGACATTCCACCATAGAATTCCTTTGATTGCTGCTTTGTGTAAGAAGAGCCTCAGGCTTTTTCCCATAAAACATTTGCCTTATAGTTTTGCCGTGTTCAGCATTTTTATTTGCTTTTTGTGTTCTGCATTGGTCTATTCTTGCACTTCCCAGCTCTTGAGTGCTGTCCCCTCTAGCTGCGCCTCTGGTAGCTTCTGCAACTCCTTGACTCATGTGACCCATGTCAAATCATGAAACCTC
Organism: Homo sapiens; assembly: GCF_000001405.40. Lineage (NCBI taxonomy): Eukaryota > Metazoa > Chordata > Mammalia > Primates > Hominidae > Homo > Homo sapiens. Next base: position 96,799,499 of record NC_000012.12, read on the forward strand.
CTGGGCCTGCCTCTCTTTGTTCTCCAGCACCATTTCTCACTTTGGCCCCTTCATTCTGCTACCTTAGGCTGGAAATCTGCTACTAACTCTTGGTCAATTATAATTCTCTTCCTATCCAGATACAAAAGAGAAACTTTAGCATATAACTCTCCAGATACCTTTCATGCTATTTCACATATTTTAAAAGTACTCTCCCTTCCAGTTAAATCCTTGCCAGATATTCCATATACATTTAAAAATAATGAATTTGTAGTCTCTTTTAGGGGAATGTAGTGCAGTAGTTTTCAAATTATGATTAAAAATAGTAATGGGTCAAGGAGTATAGTGAATCATAAATAGCATTTTTTAAAAAGAAATGAAACACAAAAAACACTAGAATGCTCTGCATATAAAAATGTTTCCTGAAACTTCCATTTTATGATATATATTGTTAAAAACAAAATTTCTTAGGTTGGTCTTCAGCATACGTCAAATTTTATTTACTTGCTGGCAAGGAGCTAATAAAAGATTATATCCATTCGGAGAGGGTTTGGAAATGGAAGGAATACATAGTCGGGAAACAGAATGTTTACCTAAGCAGTTAGTTTTAAAAAGAGGAAGAAAGCATAAAGTTTATTTCACAAGGTCACAGAAACACCATATCCATATCAGTTATTACAAGGGCAGTTTGCGGCAGGATAATTTGAGATGTCTGTATGCTGCTATTGGAAAAACAAAACAAAACAACATCTAAGAAGCAAATGCTAAGAATATCTTTGTGGCTGACAATTAGTGTAACAAGGTTTTATCCATCAACAGTTGTGTCTGACAATTAACATAGAAGCATGAACTAGTGTCAAGCAGAGATCAGAAGCAGAACACCAACTAAAAAATTCAGATTTAAGCAAATTGCTTGAGTGATTTTCTCTAGTCACAAGAAAAGATGCAGAACACACCATTTTTCCATTTTTTAGTTTGAGAATATTTTTCCCCTTTGACAATAAGCATGTATGTATTGGGTCATGATAAAAGATGTAGTTGCTGCCATAATGTTCAGTCAAAAAGTCAAGAAACACTGACCTAGATGCACTAGATCTCAGACTCCAGATTTTATCGTTTTGGAAGAAAAAGCTGAAATTTGTTTGATTTAAATATGGGTGTATTTAAGCATTCATCTACTCATCGTTTTAGGATTTTAGCATTGAGTTTAATGTTGAATAACTGGCTGAAGCTCGTGAAACCCACAAGATAATAATAAGAGAGAAAACTAATGTAGAACTCACTATGTTCAAAGCACTTTACTTACATCATTTCACAGCAACTCTATAAGATAAACGCTTTCATTAGCCCCCTTTTACAAAAAAGGAAGTGAGACACAGGATGGAAGAATATTAGTGGGCAAGGAGTCAGGACTGAAGCAATCTGACTCCAGAGTCTGCACATCTGAGCATGGTGCCATATTGAGTCCCCAGATGATGGTCCTGGCTATAGGCACTTCTAGCTTCTTGAAAGGATGGTAATGAAAATTAATAACTGACTTGAAGCTTTGGAGTTTTCAGGGACAAAAAGAATCATTGTGTGACGATGCAATTTAACATCCCTTGATCCACCCACTTGGTCCCTTTAGTTTATTCACCACATTGAAGCATAAATACCAATAGGAACTAGGGATGCTGGTGGCAGCAGAGTTGAAATCCCAGCATTGGGGATTTTGATATGACATTTTTCAATAATTCAGAGGGCTAATACTCCATGCCACAATACTTTGGAGTTAAGTTCACAGCTTTGAAAATCTTAGCTTCTTGAGTATACGAGGTAGAAATTATTCTATCCTGGTTGACAAAATTATCTTTAATAGAATATAATAGAACCACATTACAAGCTATTCATTGGAACTTTGTACAAACTGAGCATCTTTTGAACAATTTCAAAATCTTATACGGAGAAATACTAACTAAGCTGCCAGGGACTATCATTTTAATGAACCTCCCAGACAATGGCTTTAAAAATAGCTGCAAAGGGTGGTTTATTTAATTCAGAGAGACATACTACTACAGTTTAACTGTAAGAAGATGTAACCACGGCTAAAGGTTTGATTGACCAAATTTGTCTCCAGATCGTACCTTAGGACTTTTAGCTTTATCCTGTCTCATCTTCCTGCTCTTTTTAGGATCCAGCATTCCTAGGAGGATCCAGCCCATTTGAGGAACAGAATAAATTTGAATTATGTTTATAACTTGGGAAGGCTCAAGGAATACAAGTCACAGCTAATAGGGAGGAGGGGTAATAAGGAATCAGTAGCTGGCCCTTCCTTTGGGCACCTGACAACTAATTTGGAGGGAATCATTGCTGCTACAAACGTTGTTGTGTGGGCTGAGTTTGGGCTGACATGGCTGTAGCTGCCAGCTGGCCAAGGAGGGACAGGAAACTAGGCTCTCCTATGCATATCTAGGATAATACTCACTGCCCTCCAATGGGCTGCTGTGAAACTGAGAAGTGAGCGGACCACACTTCCTACAGCTTCTTGCTCATATTGCATGGCTGGGAAGGGTCCTGCCCTCCCTGATTGCAGGCCTAAGGTGCTGTTTTGAGAGTTTAACGCTGGGCTGTGCCCCAACTTCAGAACGAGTTTGAGTTGATGTGGCAGCAGCTGCTGCCTGACCAAGGAGGGACAAGAAAACCAGTCTCTCCTATGCATACCTAGAACAATACCCACCACCCTGCTACAGCCTGCGGTGAGATCGAGACTCAAGCAGACTGCATACCTCACAGATTCTTGCCCATGCTGCTTTCCTGAGGGGGACACCACCCCACCCACTCTGGTCACAAAGCCACAGCTGGCACCATTTTGAGAGTTTAATGTTGGGCTATACCTTACTCTTGGGCCGAGTTCAAGGCCCACCCAGCTAAGGGAGGAACAGGGGAGACCAAACTATCCTAAGCACACTTAGGACAACACCCACTGCCCTACTATGGGCAACTGTGAGACTGAGGACTAGTCCACTCAATCCATTGCAGCTACCAAGAACACCAACACAGACTCCTTGGGTCCTAGTGGGTTGCTCCATCAGTGCTATAGCCACCACCCATATGACACCAGCTGCCTAGGGGCTTGAGAACCTGCCCACACATCTGGCCGACTACTCCCACTACTAACTTCTTTATTATTATTATTATTATACTTTAAGTTCTGGTATACATTTGCAGAACATGCAGGTTTGTTACATAGGTATACATGTGCCCTGGCTGTTTGCTGCACCTATCAACCGGTTTGCTGCACCTATCAACCTGTCATCTAGGTTTTAAGACCCACATGCATTAGGTATTTGTCCTAATGCTCTCCCTCCCCCTGCTCCCTACCCACCGACAGGCCCCAGTGTGTGCTGTTCCCCTCCCTGTGTCCATGTGTTCTCATTGTTCAACTCCCACTTATGAGTGAGAACATGTGGTGTTTGGTTTTCTGTTGCTGTGTTAGTTTGCTGAGAAAATGGTTTCCAACTTCATCCATGTCCCTGCAAAGGACATGAACTCATTCTTTTTAATGGCTGCATAGCATTCCATGGTGTATATGTGCCACATTTTCTTTATCCAGTCTATCATTGATGGGCATTTGGGTTGGTTCCAAGTTTTTGCTATTGTAAATAGTGCCGCAATAAACACACGTGTGCATGTGTCTTTACAGTAGAATGATTTATAATCCTTTGGGTATATACCCAGTAATGGGATTGCTGGGTCAAATGGTATTTCTGGTTCCAGATCCTTGAGGAATTGCCACACTGTCTTCCACAATAGTTGAACTGATTTACACTGCACGAACAGTGTAAAAGTGTTTCTATTTCTCCACAGCCTCTGTTGTTTCCTGACTTTTTGATGATCACCATTCTAGCTGGAATGGGATGGAATCTCATTCCTGCTACTAACTTCTAAGCAAGCCACCTAGAAGCCCATGAATCAGCCCTCCAGGATTCACTAACACTGGAGCCTGTGAAACCTGCTCTGAGGCTTAAAAACAAGCACATTTACCCCACTGCTGCCACCAGTGGGGTCTGGAGGCGGCTTAGTTTGTGTCCAGATCTGCAGCAAAACTTCACCATAACCTCAACTAATAACTCTACCCTAAGCCACCAAGGAAACCAGGAATACCACTGACCTTGTGTATTGTCAAAGAAGTAACACAAAGTTTGAACTATCGCAGTCACCCAAAATCAAAGCCAAAATAGCCTACTCAACCAACAACATATATACACCCTCAGGAAAAAATAATTGTCCCCTACAAAAGCAATTTCATAAAATTGGAACAAGTAACTGCTACATCAGATGCACATATCAATGGAAGGACATAGTTAACATGAAAAAGCAGGACATACTATACAACCAAAGGACCACAACAGTCATCCAGCAATAAATCCTAATAAAAATAATTCCCTGAAATGCCAGCTAAAGCATTCAAAATATTGGTTTGAAAGAACCTCAATGAAATGCAGGAAAAATCTGAAAACCAATACAAAGAAATCAGAAAATCAATTCAGAATATGAATGAAAAATTTACCAAGGAGATAAATATCTTTAAAAAAAAGAATTTCTGAACTAAAAAATTCATTGAAGGAAATACAGAATACACTTGAAAGCTTTAGTGACACACTAGAGCAAGCAGAAGAAAGAATCTCAGAACTTGAATATGGGTCTTTTGAAATACTTCTGTCACACAGAAATAAGAAAAAAGAATGAACAAAGCCTCTGAAAGCTGGAACAAGGAAAGGATGCCCATTTTCACCATTCTTATTTAAGATAGTACTGGAATTTCTCACCACAGCTATCAGGCAAGAGAAAACTATTAAAGACATACAAATTGGAAAACAAGAAGTCAAATCACTTCTGTTTGCTGATCTTAAAACTAAAAAATCCTAAAGTCTTCAACAAAAAACCTCTTAGTTTGATAGATGAATTTTGTAAAGCTTCAGTACACAAAAGAAATCAGTAGCATTTCTATATACCAATAATGATCTAACCGAGGACCAAATCAAGAAGGCAATCACATTTGTAATAACTACATAAAACAATATCTAGGAATATATTTACCCAAGGACATGAAAGGTCTCTAAAAAGAGAGCTACAAAACACTGATGAAAGAAAGTGTAGATGACACAAACATGGAAAAACATTCCATCTTCATGGTTTGCGAGCATCAATATTACTAAAATGACCATACTGCCCAAAGCAATCTACAGGTTCAATATTTTTCACAGATAATTAGAAAAAAACAATCCTAAAATTCATATGGAACAAAAAAACAGCTGGAATAGCCAAAGCAATTCTAAGCCAAAAGAACAAACCTGGAGGCATCACATTACCTCACTTCAAATTATGCTACAAGGTTATAGTAACCAAAACAACAAATGGTACTGGTATAAAAAATAGACACATACATCAATGAAAAGACTAGAGAGCCCAGAAGTAAAACCGTATACCTTTAACCAACTGGTCTTTGACAAAGTTAACAAAAATATACACTAAGGAAAGGACACCCTGTTTAATAAATGGTGCTGGGAAAATTGGATAGCCATTTGCAGAAGAATGAAACTAGACCCATACATCTTACCAGATACAAAACTGAAGATGGATTAATGACCTAAACATAAGACCTGAAATTATTAAAAAAATCCAACAAGAAAACCTAAAAAATTCTCCTGGACATTGGCCTAGGCAAAACATTTATGACCAAGTCCTCAAAATCAAATGCAACAACAACAAAAAATAGACAAGTGGGACTTAATTAAACTAAAAAGCTACACAGCAAAGGAAATAGTCACGAGAGTAAACACACAACTTGCAGAATGGGAAAAAATTGCAAACTATGTATCTAACAAAGATCTAATATCTAGAATCTACAAGGAACTCAAGCAGCTCAACAAGAAAAAAAAACCATTAAAAAGTGGACTAAAAGCATGAACATATATTTTTCAAGAGAAAATATACAAGTTTTCAACAAACATGTAAAAAAGTGCTCAACATCACTAATCATCAGAGGAATGAATATTAAAATGACAATAAGATGTCATCTTAACACCAGTCAGAATGACTATTATTAAAAAGTCAAAAAAAAAAAAACCAGATATTGGCAAGAATGTGGAGAAGATGGAATACTTTTATAACACTGTTGGTGGGAATGTAAATTAGTACAATCTTTATGGAAAAAAGTAGAGAGATTTCTCAGGTAACTAAAAATTGAACCACCATTGGATTCAGCAGTTCTACAACTGGGTGTATATCCAAAGGGAAATAAATTATTATGTCAAAAAGATACCTGTACTTGTATGTTTATTGCATCACTATTTACAATAGCAAATATATGGAATTAACCTACGTGTCCATCAGTAGAGGACTGGATAAAGAACTACTCAGCCATAAAAAATAATGAATCATGTCTTTTGTAGTAACATGGATGTAACTGGAGGCCATTATCCTAACTAAAATAACTCAGCCAAATAGCACATGTTCTCACTTAGAATTGGAAGCTAAACAATGAATAAACATGGACATGCACAGTGGAATAATAGACATTGGAAACTACAAAGAGTGGGAGGGTGGGAGATGGGTAAGGGTTGAAAAATTACCTATTGGGTACAATGTTCACTATTTAGGTGATGAGTACTCTAAAAGCCAAGACTTTGTCACTAGCCAAATATATATATATATATATATATATATATATATATATATATATATATATATATATAATAACAACATAAAAAGAAAGTTGGAAAAATAAAACAAAGGCTGTTTTATTGAGTGCAGTTGGACAGTCCAAGGCAAAGTATTCAAAGGCCATAGAAGACTCAGATGGATAAGGATGATCAAGTGCAGGAAGTCTGAGCAAGCACGGCATTGAAGAGCAAGACTCCGTCAAGTGAAAACACAAACTTGAATGGAACTGAAACGGTATTTGGAGGTATGTTTATTTAGTGCAGGAATCCGGCCAGTCTACAAATAAGAGATGTGGACCTAGTACTCTTTTCTGGAAGACTTTATACCCCTAATAAAAGCTATACTCTGTTTCAGGTTCCCAAACAAACAAGCTGTGCATTTTAAGACAAGCTCAGTCCTAGCAGGATACTGAAGGAAGACTTAGGGTTCCTGGGAAAACTACTAAGTCATAATAAAAGCAGAAGCCCAATGATCAACTTAGATGTTGGAAGTGCTGTAACTCAGGGACCATGCAGAGGCCCAGGGATTCCCTTTGAGGTGCTCTGGATTTTGGGCCAGGTTGACCATGCAATTAGCTGGAGCCTGATCCTTCAGATGGGGCCCAAAATAACATCCAGCTTCAGGGAGCTTGGGAAGGCAAAAGCTGTTTAAGGGAGATAGGGACTGACATTTGAAATGGCTGTTGCGACTCAAAGTGTGGCTGAGAACCAGCAGCACTAGCATCCCCTGGAAGTTCATTAGAAATGTAGACTCTCAATTCAGACCCACTGAGTCAGAATATGCATTTTAATAGTAACTCCCAAGTATTATGCACATTCAAGTTTGTGAAGCACTGGTCTGTGCCGTTGCTACTAATGCAGCTTACAGTTCTAATGATGATTCTCCACTGCTGCATCATATAGTAGGTTCCATTGGAAACCTTCTCTGACTTCTCTTGGTACCACCCAAGGCAAAGTTCAGAACTGAAAAGAAACTAAGAGAACATCTATTCAATGCTCACATATTATAGATGAGGAAGTAAGGTCCCATGTGGGTAAAGTGACTTGACCAATGCTGCAACTCATTAGTGACATAAACAGGAATGAGAACCAAACTTTTCTCATCCCTACTATTGATTTCTTTACAAACACATATAATTTAGCTGCTTACTAATTAATAAAACATTTATTGAGTACATACCATATGCCAGGTATTTTCTTAGGTGATTAAGATACAAAGATGAGGAAGTCAGGCAATCAACTCCACCTAGTACAAGAGAGCTCGTCTTTCACTTATTCCTGGGCTATAAGGGATTCTAAACATAAGATACATTTTAAATTCAATAGTCCTCAGTGTTTTTCAAAACCATATCACTTCTTTGCCATTGAAAAACTAGTCTTTGCAGAAGTGAGTAAGGGAGCATTGAAAGTTCCATCATGAGTGTATTTCTCCTCCTGAATCCACCCTGAAGTATAAAGGTGATATAGGGTGAAACTGGCCCCTTGAAGACTGAAAACAAGCTGGGAATAGAACTAAGTATTAGTGGATTAGGCAAATACTGGCTGGGAGATCGAATGGGAAGTCATCTTGGGATTAGCAGTAGGTCTAAGAGAATATGAAGAATGAAGCACCAAAGAAGGGTAAGGAGCCAGGAGTGATCATGAGCTAAAATAATGCCTTAGAGAATTATTATTGCTCTAAGCACTTCACATGGACTCATTGAGTCCTCACACCACCGATTCATGGAATAGGGATTACACATCTCCATTTCACAAGTGAAGAAGCCAGAGGCATGAATGTTGACTTGCCCATAGTCTGTGTTTGCATTATGACTATGTAAGTATCATTCATGGCTAAGCCAAATAGGTTACTGCTTCCTTTATTTCTGCCTTCTTCTTTCCTGAAGAAAAAAGTTGCCTTATCTTTAACTTAGAGTCAGTCTTTTGCCTTTTTGAAAGTTTGGGAATAATCTCTAATTCTTCCCAAACTTTCAAAGAACTATACAGTCTTCTCCATTTGGTCAAACTCATCAGCATATCTTTCAGTTCCATTGTTTTTCTTCTTCAGAGACATGCTCTGCACTGATTGCTCTTATGGCTCAACTATCATCTTAAGAGTCCCATTCGTCACTCTATTGCAAATTCCTTCCCCTCTCTCTAAGTTGGGTTCCCTGGGTCTCCTGTTTCTGTCTTGAGTTACTCTCTTGTGTCAGATGAACACATCTTCCAGCTTCCTGAAAAAGGGTGTATTAGAGGTTCTAATTTTTCAGAGTACTCACGAGACTTCACAAAGAAAGGATAAGGCATGGAAGGCTAAAGAAAGCACAGGTGATCATTTGAGACACTCAAGATATCCAGGGGCAGCTTTCAGAGTCTCAGTCACATAGGACACAGTTCATTTATGGATTATAAACCACCAAAATATGGCATATCGTGGTCTCAAGCTGCTCTCTTATCTGAGGAGGAGCCTTTTATATCTCTGTTTATGTAGTCAAAAACACGTGTGAGCCCAGACTTAATAATAGAAGTGAAGATAATAGATCCAGCTGCCAATCATTAGTATGCACATTTTCTATAAAAAATGCAGACCAGATGTTATAGGCTGCTCCCTGGTGTGTTTCAGACCCTAGAACAGGACTGCGTCAATTACTGGTTAACACATTTTATTCAGGTTTGTCCAAGGGCCAATACCATGACTACATTCCCCTTATATGCTAACAGGGTTGCAGCAAACTAACTGAGATTACCCAGGAGGTAAAAAGACCTTGAATGTCTAACAAAAGATCTTTATTTTAATGCTTAATTCATTGTTTTCTTGGCATAAAATTCTAGGCTGACAGTTATTTTCCCTGAAAATGTGAGGGGCATTATTCCACTTGCAATCTTGCATTGCTGTTGAGAAGTCTGATCCCATTCTGATTCCTAGTTCTTTATTTGTGACTCTGCTAGCTCTCAGTCTTCCCTCTGTCCCGTATGTACTGAAATTCCATGATGCGCATTGGTGTGAGTCTTTCATCTGTTGTGCTGGATATTTAGGGTGGCCCTTTCAAAATGGAAAGTAATATTCTTCAGTTCATGGCCTTTTTTTATTTAATAATTTCCTCCCTCTGATTATCTTAGTACCTTTTGGAATTTCTATTATTCAGTTATTGAACCAATTGGATTAAGTGTTTACTTTTCTCATTTTTTTCCCTATTATCTACGTTTTTAAATTTAGGTTTCACTTTTGGGGAGATGGATTCAACTTTATATTTTCAATCTTTTCTTGATTATTTAGTTGTTTTGATCATATTTTTATTTTTAAGTAGTCTTCCTTGTTCTCTGATTGTCCCATTTTGTTAGTATCCTGTTCTTGTTTCACAGATACAATGTTGTCTTTCTTCTATCTGAGGATATTAATTATGGTTTCATTGGAGTTTTCTCCTGATCTTTGTCTTATATCTTATTCTGCAATTTCCCTTCTGTTAGTTTTAGTTTTTGCCTTTCATTTCCTGTCTAGTGACTCTTGACTGTCTACTTATGTTTGAAGTGAAACACTAAAAAGCATATTTAGTTAGATATTGACTTGTGGGCCTCATTACAGGATAACTGCAGAAGGAGGCAGTAGTTTCACTGGAGGATGATGAAATTTCAGCACCTGTAGGTCTTTTCTCTTTGACATATCAGTTTCCCCAAAGACAATTCTGTTAGACTCCTGCCTAATTTACTACATTCTGAGAAGGGGCTGTTGTGGGGTAGCAGGATGTCTCTCATTCAGAATACAGACTTTCACTTAATTCCAATGTTTTTAGTAAAGCACCTGAGCGTTGTACCTAACGTCCCTTAGCATAGATCCTCTCTGATTTAACATAAGCAGAGAGCAAAATAGAAGAAGTTCAGCCGGGAGAGAGGAGGCAAGGGAAAGGAGGAGTCTCCAGGTTGTACCCACCCAGATGAAAGGGAGGTTGTCTAATGTTACTCCCTGTTTGCAGTGCCACCTACTCCTGCCTTTAAAGGTACCTGAGCCTCCAGTTCCTGAGCTTCTCGGTGTTCTCAGTCATGCTTGTTGTTGGCAACCCCTCTGAAAACACTTAGGACACAGCCTTTCCTTTCTGCTGAGTCAGCTTTGTTCTTCCAGGTGCTTTCTGTCCTTCATAGTGTTGCTAACATCTTTTGTCTGCTTCATCTCCTCTTGTGTTCTTTCTGTCCTTGTGTACTTACGCCTTTTAAAAATACCTTTACTCTTATCTTAGTTTACTTTGTGAGGAAGCAGAGGTAAAGGCATGTGCTTTTAGGGGTGAAGAGAGTTTTTTCCTCCTCTTCTAAAGATTTGGGTCTAATAAAGTCTACCAAAATAATACTGACAATAGATAGCTTAACAGGAGAAAAAGCATACAAATTTAGTAATGTGTATAAGCACAGGAAAATAACAAGAGAATGATTACCCAATTACTCATACCGGAACTGAATGGACCCAAAGGGTAGACCATAGTTTTTGAATGATCTGTTTGAATGGGACCAAGAACAGACAATAGCTTGTGGGAAGTTATGGGAAGAAGAGCGGTAGCACAACACTGCAAACAAAGGTTGTCCGATTATGCAGATAAAGTCTCCCAGGCAATCTCTCCAAGCTGCCCTCAGAAGAATAGACAAAAACTCTGTGTGGGCCTGGTGATGACTTTTAGTCTTTTCTCCTCTCTGGTGCTTAATCTTTCTTGGTTATTTAATGAGATTCCTAGAAAGGGAGCTTCAAGACTATTGTACGTCTTTTGGAAGAAGTTTTCTCAGGCAGATACGGGAACCTCCTGAGAGAGCCCCTACCTGTGCTGGGTTAAAAGGTCTTGGTTCTGAGGTAGTTTCTAAGGCCTTCTAACGTCCTTTGTTACTTTGGGGCTCTGTTCTCTGAGCCTCAATATGCCTAATTACTCGGTTTTGATTGGCAGCTCTGGACAATAGCTTTCTTATATCTGAAATGAAGGAATTAGACCAGATTATCTCTAAGCTTCTGTGACTCTCAAACGCTACAAATCCATAACTAAGTAGGTGCTATAACTTATGCAACTGACTCTAAGAATTGTCAGAATCCAAACAACAGGGAAATTACTAGAGCATGAATCATCAAGGGACGTTTCATCTTAGCTGTGGTGGCTAGAAAGCTGTGTGTGGATTGGATAAATGGAGAGAAGAGGAAGGCAACAGCATAAGTGAACTCATAGAAATGACTATGCCCACTTATGGGAACGGTACACATTGAGAAGTAACAAGGAACAAAGTTGGCTATTTACCAGGTGTATGCTTAATACTTACTGTAGAGGGCCTTCAAAAGCTGAAATATAAACTTAATTGCAATACAAAATGTCACTCTTCAAAAATAATATCATATTGTTACCAAATAGTATTTATTTTCATCCTACAACCTTTGTACAATTCTGGTTCACATCATTTCTCTTTCAGGTGAATTGAAAACCCAATTTTTCTCTTCTAAACAAATACTTTTCAAAGTACAGTGATATTATTTTGTGAACTAATGCTGTAGTTTTTGAGCTAAACTCTAATTTTGATGTCACATTTTATACCCCTTTTATTTTTCTTATAGGTTTTATTGTTGTATGCATATAATTTGAAGCCTCTGAAGATTTCAGATGTTAGACATTCCACTTATAACAGTACATGTGTTGGCTCTTTATGGATTCCACTGAATAGGCAAGTAAAAATTCCACAACTCGAATTGTCTTTGTTGTTATCTCTCACGAGAATAGACTCTTTCAGTAATTGGCAAGGTGTAGCATAGGAGACCTGCTAAAAGGCACTTCGCGAAGAATCTTCCTTTTGTTTAGAGGAATATTATATTGCAGTGCTTAAGGGCATGAACTCTGAATCCTGCCTGCTTCATTCAAATACCAGTTGTGCCCCTTATTACCTTCACAACCTTGGGCAGTTTATGTAACCTCTGTACTTCAGTTTCCTTATAGTAAAATGGGAATAATACTAATAATAGTACTGAGGGTTGCTGAAGGAACAGTTCATACATGCTTCATAGAGATTACAGAGAGCACAAGGATGTTGTCTGTACTATATTTTGCCTGTAGTTTCAGCGTGGTTAAAAAATAATTTAATGTGGCTTTGTATGGAGTTTCAAAATTAAGCCCAAACTCCACTACCTCCCTTGGCCCACCTTTCCCTCTGTGCCCAGTCAGAAGTCTCTGCTTCATCTAGGTTGTTTTCCTCCCTCTCCATCAAACAGGTCATCTCTCTTAACTTTTTGCTCATGCCTCGTTTCTCTCTTCCTGTTTCACTTTACCAATTTCCCTGTTGTTGTTTTTTCATTTATTACTTAGTTTATTTTTGACTCCATTGTTCATTGCCCTTCTGACCTTAGCCTCCATTTCCTCCATTGTAGGATGGAAATGATCATAACTGCTCTGCCTGCCTTTCAGGGTTATTGTCAGGACTAAGATAGACAGTGTGTGAACATGCTTTGAAAAGCTTAACCACTAACGCCTGTTCCATCACTAAAGCCTGTTCCATCACTAACGCCTTTTCCATCAATGGCTTGGTAAACAGAGAATTAGTGTTTCTCTGTCCTTCCTTTGAGAGTCTTGTTTATGTTCCATGATTTTCATTTTGAATGACTTCTTGGCATCACCATGAAAGAGACAAAGGCTGTTTCAAGTGCTGGGCATATTTTCAATTGTTCAGTCAGTTTATTTGTTCCTTCTTTTCTTTCTTTTCTTCTTTTCTCCTCTTCTCTCCTGTTCTTCCCTTCCTTCCCTCCACTCCTCTCCTCTTTATTTTCATTCAGTCAATTTATTTTCTTCCTTCTTTTCCTTTCCCTTTCCTTTCTTCTTTTCCAAGTGAAATGGTCAAAAACTTAGGTACAGGCTACAGACCAGCATAGCTAAGCAACCAAATCAGGTAATTCTGCACTTGCTTTGTAAATCCAGAAATGTAGATTTTTCCAGCCCCATATGATGAAAATGATTATAATTTCTATAAAGTAGAAAGTCATCAAACTGATAAGCTTCTTTTTTTTATTCCAAAAAGTTTTGAATTTTGGTGTACTTCTGATCAATAGTAGGGTTACTAAAATTAGTGACAAGCCCCAGCCACTGAGGCCATCACAGAGGACCATGCCCAACAATCTTTTATCTCCTTGTCCTTTGGTGGCACTGTGAAAATAAACTATTTCTCTCATCCTGGGTGGCATTCCTTGTGTTCTTATGAGGCTCAAGATTAGTACATGGGAAATTGGTCCTGATCATCCTTTGGAAGGCAAAGTAGGAGTAAAACAGGTCAGAAAAAATAGGCCAGAGAAGAAGAAACTTGGATAACCTGCAAATTGGGACATCCTCCTTTTATCATTCACTTCCTCATCTCCTAGTTAAGTTCTCATAAGAAAAAGTATATTTTAATTCTTTGCATTTTTTTACAGCAACAAAGGAAACAATAGTGTTCTCAATGAACAGACATAAAACCTTCTGTGTAGTTCTATCTAAATTGTGCTGTTGTGACCAAAATCAAGTTCCTTGCCTACTGTCTCTGCCTTTAAACCTACAGTCATCCATGTTTCTACTTACAACTGGGTCCTGCCCTCCAGGCCACAGCAGACCCTGGGAGAGAGTGCCTAGGAGTCAGTAAATTAGAGCAGCGGCTGTGGGGAGCCCAGACGGGATGGTAGATGCTTGTTTGTAGTGCCAAGGTTTAAAAAGCTGGAACAGGCGTTGACCTGGAGGACAGAAATGAAGAAGTACGTGGGAGGACAGGGAAGTGAGGGGCAAATGCATGCCAGAGCACAAAGGGAGGGAGCAAGATGTAGGCAGGTGCAGTCATGGGGTCCAGGCCTCACACCAAGATTCAAGTCATCTGATGTTGCTCTTTGCATGAGGACTCAGCCTGCTTTGCCCGTTCCCAGACTGCTCTTTGTGGAGCTAGATGGGGCCATTTACTCTGCCAGCACAGGCAGTGAAGTTCTGGACACTCATGTACAATCTGAAACCCAAATGTCAAAGAACGGTTTATCCTTCCTAGAATCCCAAGTATTATAAAGGAAAGCTATGCTATTTGTGGAAGACAAATAAGACTTCTTTCTCTAGGTATTGGAATAAAAGAATGGCGTTTTAGAATACTATCTTTCCTTCATGTGGTTACTTGTGGTTAAGAACATACATACTTATGTCATTTCATCCTTACAAAAGCCTTATGAATTGGATGAAGTAGATTTTCTTATTCCAGTCTTACAGTAGAAGGAACCTCAGGGTCAGAGAGATTAAGTGAGTAGTCTAAGGTTTCATGGCTAGAGTTTGAAGGAACCAAGCATGACTCATCAAGTCTTTCACCTCCTCATCTTCTTTTCTCTCCAATGCATCAGACACCTTTTCCAGCATTATTGGAGATGACCTATTGTTTTTTAAGTTTTACTTTAAGTTCTGGGATACATGTACAGAACGTGCAGATTTGTTACATAGGTATACACGTACCATGGCAGTTTGCCGCACCTATCAACCTGACACCTAGGTTTTAAGCCCCACATGTATTAGGTATTTGTCCTAATGCTCTCCTTCCCCTTGTCCCCAACCCACCAACAGGCCCTAGTGTGTGATGTTCCCCTCCCTGTGTCCATGTGTTCTCATTGTTCAGCTCCCACTTATAAGTGAGAACATGCAGGGTTTGGTTTTCTGTTCCTGTGTTAGTTTGCTGAGGATGATGGTTTCCAGTTTCATGCATGTCCTTGCAGAGGACATGAACTCACTCTTTTTTTATGGCTGCTAGTATTCCGTGGTGTTATGTGCCATTTTTTCTTTATCCAGTCTATCATTGATGGGCATTTGGGTTGATTCCAAGTCTTTGCTATTGTAAATAGTGCTGCAGTAAACATACATGTGCATATTTCTTTATAGTAGAATGAGTTATGATCCTTTGGGTATATACCCAGTAATGGGATTGCTGGGTCAAATGGTATTTCTGGTTCTACATCCTTGAGGAATTGCCACACTGTCTTCCATAATGGTTGAACTAATTTACACTCCCACCAACAGTATAAAAGTGTTCCTGTTTTTCCGCATCCTCTCCAGCGTCTGTTGTTTCTTGACTATTTAATGATTGCCATTCTAACTGGTGTGAGATGGTATCTCACTGTGGTTTTGATTTGCATTTCTCTAATGACCAGTGATGATGAGCTTTTTTTCATATGTTTGTTGGCTGCCTAAATGTCTTTTTTTGAGAAGTGTCTTTTATATCCTTTGCCTACTCTTTGATGGGGTTGTTTGTTTTTTTCTTGTAAATTTGTTTAAGTTCTTTGTAGATTCTGGATATTAGACCTTTGTCAGATGGATAGATTGCAAAAATTTTCTCCCGCTCTGTAGGTTGCCTGTTCACTCTGTAGGTTGCCTGTGGTTTCTTTTGCTGTGCAGAAACTCTTTAGTTTAATTAGATTCCATTTATCAACTTTGGCTTTTGTTGCAATTGCTTTTGGTATTTTAGTCATGAAGTCTTTGCCCATGCCTGTGTCCTGAATGGTATTGCCTAGGTTTTCTTTTGGGGTTTTTATGGTTTTAGGTTTTACATTTAAGTCTTTAATCCATCTTGAGTTAATTTTTGTATAAGGTGTAAGGAAGGGGTCCAGTTTCAGTTTTCTGCATATAGCTAGCCAGTTTTCCCAATACCATTTATTAAACAGGGAATCCTTTCCCCATTGATTGTTTTTGTCAGGTTTGTTGAAGATCAAATGGTTGTAGATGTGTGGTGTTATTTCTGGGTTCTCTGTTCTGTTCCATTGGTCTATGTACCTGTTTTGGTACCAGTACCATGCTGTTTGGGTTACTGTAGCCTTGTAGTACAGTTTGAAGTCAGGTAGCATGATGCCTCCAGCTTTGTTCTTTTTGCTTAGTACTGTCTTGGCTGTATAGCTTCTTTTTTGGTTCCATATGAAATTTAAAGTAGTTTTTTTCTAATTCTGTGAAGAAAGTCAATGGTAGCTTGATGGGAATAGCATTGAATCTATGAATTACTTTGGGCAGTATGGCCATTTTCACGATATTGATTCTTCCTATCCATGATCATGGAATGTTTTTCCATTTGTTTGTGTCCTCTCTTATTTCCTTGAGCAGTGGTTTGTAGTTCTCCTTGAAGAGGTCCTTCACATCCCTTGAAAGTTGTGTTCCTAGGCATTTTATTCTCTTTGAAGCAATTGTGAATGGGAGTTCACTCATGATTTGGCTCTCTGTTTGTCTATTATTGGTGTATAGGATGACCCATTTTTCAATGGGTAAGTTTTTCAAGTAAACTTTAACAACAAATCTTTGCATTTAACTGTTGCCTTTTTAACAGAAAAGTTTCTAAGGCATACTATATAAATTCAAATCCTCTTATATGTAATTACATTTTTAACTTTTTATTGCTGAGAGCTATCATTAGGATAATCAAGTATTGCACAGTGGTGCAGATGAGGATGCTGTGGACAATTGGAAAATTGACATTTTTGCCTATGTTCCTGATGTCAGTTTGTTTTTGGGATCATTTGCTTCTTTTGCATAAAAATTTTCTTCCTTCCTTGAATGGAGACATGCATGTGCACACACATATGTAAACACATGTATGCACATGTGTGTTGTGCCTGTAGTGTGGAGTCACTGGGGCCATGCAGGTGGCTGTTTGCCTTCTTCAACTGTAAGCCTTTTCACCTTCTGCCTCCACTCCCCTGGTCCACTCTGCCTTCAGGGCATCACTGTTAACTGGCATGTGAACCTTGTCTTCAGCATCATTGCTAGTGCCCTCCTTTGGCTTTTACTTTTCCATTTTTCTTGATTCTTCTCCCTACCTCCCTTCCTCCACCCTCTTCACTCCCATTCCCGACACACATGCAATACACTGAATTGTTATGGGTCCGTTGACTGACCTTCTAGAGTCATTGCTCACTTGTCATAATTCTTACCTGCAGGTCAGCGGATAGTCAGAGCATGGCATTAAGACTTCCATAGGAGTAAATCTTTTGCTTTTGCCTAGATTTTGTTTCACCACATAGATAATTATTTTCTTTATTTTCATCTTCAGCAATATTTTAGATGTGTGCCTTTTTTATTGTGCTTTTGCAATTTCTAATTATATTTTTATCTGCATGTATGACAAGACCATAAACATAATGAAAGTTAAGACTGTGTCTCTTTGCTCATGTTTCTTGAATAAAGGGAATTACTGAATGAATGATGCTTGGCGATATCAGAAATCTAATCGTTAAATAACTGAGGGCTTACTTTATACAAGTTATTGATGCTGCAAATAAATACCTTTCTTTCTTTTTTTTTTTTTTCTGTCTCGCTCTGTCGCCCAGGCTGGAGTGCAGTGGCGCAATCTCCGCTCACTGCAAGCTCTGCCTCCCAGGTTCACGCCATTCTCCTGCCTCAGCCTCCTGAGTAGCTGGCACTACAGGCGCCTGCCACCACACCTGGCTAATTTTTTATATTTTTAGTAGAGACGGGGTTTCACCATGTTAGCCAGGATGGTATCAATCTCCTGACCTCGTGATCCACCCGCCTCGGCCTCCCAAAGTGCTGGGATTACAGGCGTGAGCCACCACGCCCGGCCATAAATACCTTTCTTAACTCTTCAAATAAAATACATATATATTTGTTATTTTCAGGGTTATTGCAATTCATGAGAAATTATCTAATCTTGCTCAAATAGCTGAACTATCATTGCCAGCAGCTCCTGAAATTACCTCAAATGAAAACATATATGAAGTAGAAGTGGAAGAGGAATCAGTTGATAATGAAATGGAAGTAAGTTGTTAAATAATGGAAAATGACATTGCTATAGATTATCTTTTATATCCTCAAAGCAGAACTATGTAACTGGACTTAAACTCTGTAATTCTTCTGCCTCTAGTTTATTCAGAGTACGAGACATGACTCAACTTTTTGACACATATGTAGTGTGTCTTCTGAAGGTCTGAAGGTCTTCTAAGCATACGAATTACAAGAATTTGATGGTGAATGAACACAAACGAATCCAGATAAATCGTTCAGCTATAGCTGTGAATCCTAAGAAATAATGCTTTGTGACTTTGCAATATTACTTTTATCTTTTTTCACTCTAAATCTATTATTTAAACACTTTTATTTCCCAAATAATATGTGAAGAAAAACTAGAAAATATAGATAAGCATATTTTTTCAGACTTTTTATATTACATATATTTTTTCTAACAAAAAAGGCTGTTATCCGTATAGTATGCTATTAAGTCTGGTCACACAGCTGAGTTGTTTTTCTGATGACCGATGTTTGTATTTTGGAGGAGATGGGGGTTTTCTGTCCCTTCCTGAGTTCTCAGTTCTCCTGGGGCACAGGAGACAGTTATATGGAGACCAAAATGTCAGCATCATTACTGATAAAGCTGATTAGTGAACTTGGCTTTAGATCTGTGGCCAAATGAGCACACTAATATTTTACCCCTGAATTAGCCAGACTTGCCCACCTAGTCATGCAGTCATCTGGCACACCTGTGTAACCACAGGGTTTCCCCATTTCCCTTCTGCCCCACTCAAGCTTACTGCATGGAGAGCAGAGAATTATAGTTCTGCAGGCAGGGTGCCTCCAAAAAGTATAAACAAAGATAGCCCAGAAGGGGTTGAGCCTAGCATGCTCTGTTGCTTTTCCCAAACTCACTGATGAGATAAGTCACTCCACTCTTTTGTGGGTAAATCCAAAAGAAGCTGGAAGTGTCTTGCCTTCTTTGGGAGAGATATGGAAATTCCTTACCCTTTATGGAAATGAGAAGGGTAGGGAATATATGTTCTCCCCTAATTACCTGTTCTTTAAATTACCATTTGTACCTTAATTTCTTGAGAGATGTATTCTGTACTTATTGTAGCTGTTTAAAAGATAGATGTACATGGCTTAAAACGAAAAAAGGCAATCTGCTGCCCAACCTCTGCTCACTCCACAATTCCGCTCTGCAGAGGCAACCACTTTCCACTTTTAGCTGCTACGTTTGTTATTTGCTTTCACACCTACAAATAATATTCAGTATCGGTCATGAAAGATGGGGTAATGAAAAGCCTCCAAATCTGAGTGAGTCAGCTGGGGACCTGCTTCATGTCTCCTCATGCCAGCATCCAGGTGGGTGGCACATTCATCATGGAACATCACCAGTCACTGTGGCGGGAGGGAAAGAAGGGGCACATTACACACTGGCTCATAAAACTTCCATCATAGCACTTCCACTAACAGTTTGTTCATTAGCCAAATAATTTATATGCTGTACCAACAATTGTGCCACCAGTTTGGAAGACAGAAAGCCAGACAAAATGATGAATCATGCTGAAAGCCAGAAATTATTGTTTTTTCTGGAGGTATCAATTTTAGACAATATATTGATTCCCTGTCTGATATATATGGATTTAGCTCACTTATACTTCTCCCCAACTTCTTCTTTTCCCTTCTCTTCTATGTATTGTTACCTCACAAAATTTAATTAAATCAATATTCAGTGTTATGACCCTGTAAATGATGTTCACAGCTGAGTCAAGTAGTGTACTATAGTTATTTTCCTTTCTTTTGTGTTTGGATTTTTCTTGACTTGTCTTTTATTCTTTATATTTTCTCAGTCATTACATCAGAACTTTCATATGTTCATCCATAGATTTTTTACTGAAGTATTCATATTTATCAAATAATGTCTCAAACGCATTTTCCTCTGGAGCCTCCCACCCTCCTGTTGCAGTTGAAGACTGAATGCTCTCATGCCTGCTGCATAGCCCTGCTTCTGGGCCCTCCTTGTGACACTTTTTGGGTTGAGTTCCCAGCTACTTGGGTCCCAGCCTCACTTTTCCAGAACTCTTGCCTACAAAACAAATTTTATTCATCATTTCTTCATTCAACATCTTTTGCATGCCTCCTACTTGCCATGGTGTGGGAATCGGGGATGAGCAAGACACAGAGAGAGCCCTTAGGAGCTTATGGTCTCGTGAGAGCAATGGGAGACACAGACTCTTGCCTCACTCTGCTGATATCAGAGCAGAGGAAGCACTTAATTCTACCCATCTCTCCTGCTTTTAGGATCTTCTCTTTATTTTTGGTCTAGTATATCTTTTTGACTTAAATCATGTTCTGCTAGGAATATTTAATTGGGTGTCAGTAACAAAATATTTTTAGTTCTGAAAGAATATTATTGTTTTGGCTTTGTTTTCTTGTTTACCTCATCTATACACTTTCATTATGTGAAAGTGTAAAAGTCAGCAACTTTCCTGATATTTAGAAGGTACTTGTTGGCATTTTTAGTTTGAATTCATCAGTAGAGTGAATGAATGCATTTTTCATTATTGTAAAAGCAGCAAGCCTAACCATAAGAGAATCTACTGTGCAAGTACAGTTAGCCTTTGCAAAATGCCACTTTTCAGCATTTATGACTTCTGTGCTCTGTGCCTAGGTATATCATGGGGCAGATGTCTTAGAATTTTGGTTGAACATCCTTTTCAGTGTCCTCCAATGTTGCAACATGAATTATGATGCTTAATGATGTACTGAGTGCTTATAATAAATCCCTCAATATATCAGATAACTCAAACTATCTCAAACTTGGGAGGTTTTATGGCTATAACTATAGATATAGGTTTATTTTATAAAGTGCATGATTGCCCTTTCATGTCTATTTTCAAAAATAATTCAGCTCTCTATTTTTATACTTCTTTTGTAGAATACCTACAATGACAGTTTTTAAGCCACATACCAAATTTACCATATTGCTGTTTTTGAGCCATGGTCTAGAATATTCTTTGCTGAAATTGTCCCTAAATTCACTACTATCTGGTTCATATATGGAAAATGATTATTTTCCTCTGAACCCATTTTCAGCTTAGATTGTCTGAGGCAGGAGAATGAGCATCTGTTAGAGTAAGGATTCTAGATTGTACCCTCTGCCACTCAGCTTTACTACTGAAGGTCCGTCTCTTAGCTTTTCCTGGAGCTCATTTTCCTCTGAACTCCATAATGATCTTTTCATTCAAATCCTGCTCTGAGATGGAGAGATGGGCTCTTTGGGTGGACTGAGAGTCACCAAAACATCCTTGGTGGGCAGATGTAGGTATCAAATTCATCAAAATGAACCCAGCATCTGAGTCAAGAGGTTGACTATAAATATAAACAAATAAGAAATAAATGAGGTCGAGGGTATGGTGGTGTCTGAAGATAAGTGGAGGGAGGAATTTGGAGGACCTACCTTGCCTTAAGAAAGGCTTATGGCTTGCTTTCCTGTTCCAACTGAAATGGTGGGTGTGCCTGGATCAATCCTCAAGTAGAACAAACTCTTTTCACTCTTAATGTTCTTCTTTGTGTTTTTGAATTTGTTTTATTCTCCAACCTAGAAAGTGTTTCTTCAGCTTTAACGTGGGGCATTTTAGATATTTTCTGGCTCCGTTAGTTCTATATATGGAAGAATATCACCAGACAGAAGGAACACTAATATTCGTTTAGGTGAATTGGCAAGCAAATTAGCTCACAGCGTTTGAAAGTTGAGAAATGAAATTACATATAAATTTTTCTATTTTCCACAATACTAATGAGCACTTTATTAAAAAAAAAAAAAAAAAAAGCTCGATTCTGGGTTGTATCAGATAAATTCCATTGACTAAATCTGCTAGTTTGTTGTCATGACAACCTTCACATGGAGCTAATTAGAAGTTAAGTAGGACACTTCTAAAAGAGATCAATTCTGGTCTGGAATTGGACAGGATTTCATAGCTTCCATAATCTATTTATTTCTATTAACAGTATAGATTGTTGGTGGGTTATTGAATATAAGGGTGCAGAAAATGTGTCTTTGGTTGACATGGGGGGAAGGTAGTGAATCTTGTTTTCTTCTTCACTCCCTTTTATGTATATCCCCCCAAAACCCTAGGGTCCAGAATAAGCCAAGAACTTCAGAACACATATATTAATTTAAGATGTATTGGGAGGACTACAGAACAGGTGTTCCAATCACTGTTGGCTTGAAAACCTTGTGTATCCTTTTTTCTAAAGTGAACAACACTGGCTGTGAATGGCTGAGTTATTTTAATCTGTCATTCACAGTTAACGGGAGTGTTCAGAGCCTGTCAGGTGTTCTAAAGCATATGGAAGATGCAAAACACCCTGATTTTAAGATGCATACACCTTATTTGGAATGATAGCATACTGATATGAAAAGTTTAGAATATGTTTGCCAAGTCACCTAAGGTTAGTTCAGCAAACATTTATGAAATGCCTGATTGTAAGACTATTAAAATTAATATATAGGGAGTATATCCCAACTATTAAAGTACTGTGAGAACACAGAGCAAGATACAATTGGAAATTAGCATCAATTCACAAATTCTTTTTGAGGAACTATTATGTGCAAACTATTTCCAGGCTTGAGGAGGTGAGAATATACAGAAATCAATATAACCAGGTCCCTGTCACAGAGGAGCTTAATCAATGTACGAGTATGGCCATAGGTACCCAGATGTCATTCCTAATGAGCCCAGCCACCCAGTAGCTCTGTCGTAAGAAAGTGTGGCAGTCAGTCTGATGTCCCAAACCATTGAAAATAATCTAAATCTTTCCTGTCTCTTATAGGAACATCCCAGGGGGAATCCTTTAGAATACACAGAAAAGTTTCTTGTAAATCCTCTTTTCCCCAGCTGTCTTGCTCTCATAGCTCTCTGGCATCCATAGCAGCTCTCTAACATCTGTCTCATTTGGCTCAAACTCCAACACCTTTTCCTCCAACTCAGTCTATGTAGAGATTTTTGTTTCTTTTCTCCTTCCCAGTCTGGCTCAGCAATTTATTATGTTGTTCAACTTAGTACCTCTGACTTCTTCCAGTTTTCCTATTTCCCCATTATCTACATTCTGCACTGTATAGACAGGTAGAGTTGTAGAATCCTTCCTTCTTGGCAGTGGGGTTACTGATGCAAACTCTTCTAACTGATTGTATTTAAAGTCTCATTTACATAGATCGTGTGTGTTTGTCTGTGTGTGTGTGTGTCTGTGTGTGTGTGTGTGTTTTGAGAGAGAAAGTTGAGCTAGACTTTGTGCTTGCTTAAATAGCTCACACAGCATTTTCTAGCCCTTCTAGACTGAAATTAAGGCCATGTTTCCTTGCATCCCCAAATATCCTGTATTAGTTAGGCAATTAGCTGATGACTTGTCTCTTCCTCTCTCTTGACTGTGAATTCCTTTGCTCAGAGGGCTTATTCATCATTATATCGCCAATATCTAGCCCAGTAACTGAACCTTAGTGCTTCCTTAATAGTTTGTGAAACTTCTAGTTGGAGACCTGTGGAGAAAACTCATTCCAGACTGTGGATACAGCAAGAGATGAGATATGAAGTCATGGAACTGAATCTCATATTCAGGAAACAATAAGATCTGTTGTGGCAGAAGTACAGGGTGAATGTAGTGGGAGATGGCTCAGGAAGGCTGGGTGGAATTATGTGCTTCCTCTGCTCTGATCTCACCACCAAGTGCAGTAGGAGTCTGTCTCTCCAATTGCCCTCACTAGGCCATGAACTCCTTATGGGCTCTCTGTGTTTTGTTCATCTCCTATTCCTCCTTCGTGGCCTATAGGAGGAATTTGATTGATGTTGAATGGATAAATGGTGAAAGGATTTTGTTCTGTAAGAGAGGGCTGTGGGAAAGCAGGGCTGGATCTTGGGGCCTAGGACAAGGTAGGGGCAGCACCTCGCCTGGAAGGGCAGCTCATGATCCACCCTATGATTTGCCAAGATAATCATAGTGGCATGTGAAGGAGAGACGAGGGAAGCAAGAGTTTGGAGGCTGGAAAGCAACTTAGGAAGTTTTTTCTCCCCCCACCCACATTATAGATGAAGGAAAATGATGATTTCAACCAAATCTAAGAATTGGCTTTAATATCTTGAAGTCACTCAGAGAGCCACTGCTCATAGAAATAGCAGATGTTCTTTTTAAGGGAGAAGTGGCAAAGACTGAGCAAGGGTCATTCTGTGCCCTCCCAGCCCCTCGCTAGCTGCAGCATGCGTGCATCCAACCGCTTTCTGGCTGGGACAGGCGAGCTCCCTGCCTTCCCCTTCTTCATCTCTGTGGCAGCAAGGTCACACAAGGAACTCACAGCCCCAACCTCCAGTCAGCCAATTTCAGAACATGTGTATGCGGTTTACCTCAAGTAATGCCAGATTAAAAGGATGTCATTCAAGCAAAATTTCTGTTTGAAAAATGTTGAGCTGAAGCAGGGCAAGGCGTTTTTCAGGT
The DNA here is from genome assembly GCF_000001405.40 of Homo sapiens. NCBI lineage: Eukaryota > Metazoa > Chordata > Mammalia > Primates > Hominidae > Homo > Homo sapiens. The sequence goes on from NC_000012.12 coordinate 96,824,379, forward strand.
AGCATTGCTCTCTTCATCTGTGATGTGAATTGATTAGTGACATAGACAGTGTCATTTTGTTTCATGGCTCTTAATGAAATCCTTACAATAACCCATCATGCTGTTGTTGAAATCTTTTATTTAGACAGAAAGCATACCTTACCTAAGCACTCAATTGGAAATACAGATAAATAAGGGGTATATAGGAGTGGATGTATGTTCCCCTCTATCTGGAAAAGTGGACCAGGGACCTGGCAAGATCAGCAGAGGACACTGGTGTACCCTGACTAGTGCTGGGTAGTCTGCCTGTCCTCCATCATTTTTAGACCCATAGAAGCTGGCCCACTTCTAGCCGTGATCACTTCCTACCCAAACTGTTTGAGTGGTGTCCTAGCTGATTTCTCTGTCTCTTTCCAGTGCAGTTCACTTTTAAACTGTGGTCAAATTATCTTTTCAAAGCAATCTCTACCATTATTCCCTCAGTCCAGTCCTGCTCTATTCTCTATACAATAAAATCCAAATTCCTTACTTTTACATGACCTGTTAAAAATTTACCTCTCTGGTGAGAACTCTCACTGCCATGGTTCCTATACACACCTGCAATGAGGATCATATCACCATATCAGCAAATTCCTTGTGTTCCTTGAATGTCCCCTGTTCATTGCTTATGTGTGACTCCCCCCACCCTACGCGCCCCACAATGCCCTGGTCCCCAATCTCTACCAGTTGAAGTTGCACTATTTTTTTCAAGGCTCAATTCTTATGACCCTTCCTCCAGGAAGTCTTCCATGTTTCTACTACTAAGAATTATTCTCTCCCACATCTAGGATCCTAGATATTATATACATATTATATATATATATATTCTCTCCCACATCTAGGATCCTAGATATTATATATTATATATAATATAACATGTTATATTATATATAATATAATATATTATATATATAATATAATATATATTATATAACATGTTATATATTATGTAACATGTTATATTATATATTATGTAACATGTGTTATATATTATGTAACATGTTGTATTATATAATATGTAACATGTTATATTATATATAATATATGTTATATTATATATAATATAATATATTATATATATTATATAACATATATAACATACATAATTATATATTATATAACATATTATATATTATTTACTATATATTATATATATTATATATACTATATTTACCTATAATAATTATATATACATATATTATTTACATATTATATATGATATAATATATAATATATATCACCCTATTGTATATTATATATATCATGCTATAATATATTATATATAACATATCACGATATATATTATATATTAATTAGATTATATAATATATTATATAAATATCACATTACATAATAATATGTATCATGATATATATTACATATTATGTAACATAGTATATATTACATATTATAATATATAAATATATAAATTAGTATATAATATAATTTATAATATATAAATTAATATATAACAGAATATATCAATATATATTCATATATAACTATATAACAGAATATATTCATATATAAATATGTAACATAGTACATTAATATATAAATTAATATATAACATAATATATTAATGTATAAATTAATAAATAACAATATATTAATATAGAAATTAATAATAGATATTAATATATTATATATATTTTATATATACACACACATTTACCAGCATTTAGAATACTAAAATGATAAAATTACACTAATTTTTAAATAACTAAGCAATACTGGTTAAAACCTTGAAATAAAAAAGCAAACAACACCTGAACTCAAAGCCCCAAAACTCCATTATATCTAAGTTTAAACAAATGCAAAAACAAGGAAAAGGCCAAATTTCAGGGTTCTAAAACCATAGATAATTCAATTCAATTTAACAAATATATTCAAGACATATATATATAGAAGACAATATATATATTGAATATATATAGTCTACAATATATATACTTGAATATACATATAGTTATATATATTCAATATATTGTTATATATATATTCAATATATATAACAAACATATATAATATATAATATATATTATATACCATATATGTTATTTACTATATATTATATAATATATGTAAATAATATATAATATATATCATGATATATAAATATATAATATATTATATATTATATATATAATTTATATATAATATATAATATATAATATAGATTATATGTATTATATAAATATATTATATGATAATATATCATGATATATGTTATATATTAAATATAGTATATATTAAATATATTATATATAAATATATAATATATAATATATTACATATTATAATATATAAATTAATATACAACAGAATATATTATATAATATATAATTCTTATATAATACATATTAATATATTATATAATATATAATTATAAATAATATATAATTATATATTATACATATTAATATATTATATAATATATCATATAATATTATATAATATATTATATAATATTATGATATATTATATAATATTATATGATATATTATATATGCAATTATATATGATTATATATAATATGCAATTATGTATGATTATATATAATATGCAATTATATATGATTATATATAATATGCAATTATATATGATTAATTATAATATGCAATTATATGTGATTATATATAATATGCAATTATATGTGATTATATATAATATGCAATTATATGTGATTATATATAATGTGCAATTATATGTGATTATATATAATGTGCAATTATATGTGATTATATATAATGTGCAATTATATGTGATTATATATAATGTGCAGTTATATGTGATTATATATAATGTGCAGTTATATGTGATTATATATAATGTGCAGTTATATGTGATTATATATAGTGTGCAGTTATATGTGATTATATATAGTGTGCAGTTATATGTGATTATATATAGTGTGCAGTTATATGTGATTATATATAGTGTGCAGTTATATGTGATTATATATAGTGTGCAGTTATATGTGATTATATATAGTGTGCAGTTATATGTGATTATATATAGTGTGCAGTTATATGTGATTATATATAGTGTGCAGTTATATGTGATTATATATAGTGTGCAGTTATATGTGATTATATATAGTGTGCAGTTATATGTGATTATATATAGTGTGCAGTTATATGTGATTATATATAGTGTGCAGTTATATGTGATTATATATAGTGTGCAGTTATATGTGATTATATATAGTGTGCAATTATATGTGATTATATATAATGTGTAATATGATACATAGTAATATATTATATTATGTATAATTATATATGATACATAGTAATATATTATATTATATATAATTATATATAATTATATTTAATATAATTATATATAATACATAGTAACATATTATATTATATATAGTTATATATAATATATAATTATATATAATACATAGTAATATATTATATATAGTTATATATAATATATAATTATATATAATACATAGTAATATATTATATATAGTTATATATAATATATAATTATATATAATACATAGTAATATATTATATTATATATAGTTATATATAATATATAATTATATATAATACATAGTAATATATTATATTATATATAGTTATATATAATATATAATTATATATAATACGTATTAATATATAATATATAATTATATATTAATATATTATTAATATATAATTATATATTATATATATTATCAGAAAAGCAAATTTTTGCTTTCTTCATTACCAGACACTGGCAACATTGTGAAGTAGGCATAGTTAATCTCTGACAATTATGTAGTTATGACTTCTTCAGTTGTAAGTGAGGAAAAAACTACTTACAGTAACTCAAGTCATTTAGGTTTGGTAGGGAGGTAGTGTTTGTCAGTATGAGTTGAGTATGGTCATGCATAGACAAAGACTGGAACCTGAAACAGTGGAGTCACAGAAATTTGAACTGGCGGATCAGGAGCCAAGACTGTGCTCAGTCCTGCAGGTGGCGTGGGTTCTCACTCGTCTCTATCTTCTCCTCTGTCTTCTCCCACATTGGCCTAATGGCTGCCTTCTCCAACTCCGCATGTGGACCTTTCAGCTCATGCAGTCAATACTGATTGTATGTCTCTTCTGTTGTTCTTCCTTACATAAAATCATATGATAGGGAATCTGACAGATTCAACCTGTCTGTGGGTAGGTCCCTTGTGGATTGGGTGTCCACACATGAACATGGCTGCATCCATGCAGCAGGGCTGTGGGCAGTGTCATCATGCTATTGACTCTCTTCCTTTTCATTCGCTCTTCCCCTGTCTTCCATAATTTCCAGTCATTCTTCTCTGCTGCAAGCCCTTTCAGGGATCTGAAACTCTTCATTCCAGGGCTCTCTTCTCAGAAGAAAAGTAATTTTTCAAAATCTTATTTAGAAAAATAATTATTTTCAAAATCTTATTTTGTACAATTAGATACAATTCAAAAAAGCCTAATTACTTAAGGGGTTATGATTTCTGAGCCCTCTGTCTTATCCTGGGAACAAAGGTTAGGTAATGATCAAGAAAAGACAAATGAAATAGTTTATAATTAAATAGGTAATATTTAGGTTTCTAATAATATCAACCTCACTGTATTACTATCTTCTTATTTCTAGGACATGATTATTCAATGTTGCTCTGAAATAGCATCTCTGTTTTTGAATGATAAAGAGCCAACACCACTATCTGAGGTATGTATTTCTCCTTTAAAATTGTATCTAATTCACTCACAAGTATTATTGCTATGAAATGGAAATATAGAAAACATCTAATTGTAAGTATCAAGGGCCTAACCCTCCTTATTAATGTGAAAAAGTGATAAACATGAGTTTACAATAACACATTATTTTGGTTAAAAAAATTATGTGTTCAAAAAACATTCAACTAATACAAAGAACTATAAAGAGGGTAATTTTTAAAGTCACCTCAAATCTACAATTCACAGAATAACCCCTATTAATATTTAGAGTATATCTAGAATTTTCCCTATGTACAGATAAACTTTAGAATTTTTATACCAATGGTATCATACTTTACATGCATTCTGTCACTTGCTTTTTTCATCGAATAATAATTTTATGGATAATTTTTATGTGAAAAGTCTACTTTGTCATATTTAATGCCTGCATAATGGTTTCTTTTACGTATTTGTTGTGTCAGGTGCCATTTACATAGCTAGATCTTTATTGATGGGTTCTGCAGTTGATTGATCTTAGTACATACATATTTCATTCTTCTGTATTACCTCTTCAGAATTAATTCTTAGGGATTGGATTTGGAGTAAAAAAGTATACGTACATTTTTATTATAAAATATATATAATATAAAATTTAAAGTTTTAACCATTTTAAGTGTACAGTTCAGTGGCCTTAAGTATATTCACAATGTTGTGCAACCGTCACCGCTGTCTATCACTGTCCAGAACTTTTCATCATTCCAAATAGAAACTTTATATCCATTAAACAATAACTCCTCAATTCCTCCTCCCCCACCACCCCAGCTCCTGGTAACCTCTATTCTACTTTCTGTCTCTACGAATTTGTCTATTCTAGGTATCTCATATTAGAATCATCCAATATTTGTCTTTTAGTGTCTGGCTTATTTCACTTAGCATAATGTTTTTAAAGTTATCCGTGTTGTAACATGTCCTAGTATTTTATTCCTTCTTAAGATGGACTAATATTCCATTGTATGTATATACCACTTTTCTTCATGGATTTACTTGTTACTGGACATTTGGGTTGTTTCCACTTTTGGCTATTGTAAGTAATATTGCTATGAACGTTAGTGTACAAATCTGAAGCCTTGATTTCAAATCTTTAGCACAATTGCTGAATCATATGGTAATTCTATGTTTAACCTTTCGAAGCACTTCCAAATAGTTTTCCTGAGCAGCTGTACAATTTTATACTACCACCAACAATGCATAGAGGTTCCAATTTCTCTGCATTCTCTCCAAGACTTTTTATTTTCTGTTTGTGTGTGTGTGTTTAATAGTAGTCATCCTAGTGGGTGTGAAGTGGTATCTTATTGTGATTTTGATTTGCATTTCCTTAATGACTAATGATGTTGAGCATCTTTTCATGGGCTTATTGACCATTTGCGTATCTTCTTTAGATAAATATCTCTTCAATTATTCACCCATTTTAAAATTGGTATATACATTTTGATATATTACAGCAAATTAATCCTCCAGAAATGTGGCACCAACATTTCTCTCCTATCAATAGTAGATGAGAGGACCATTTACCCACATATTCATCTCTCCTAGTTTTCTGGGTTTGTTTTTTGTTTTTCTTGAGATGGAATCTTGCTCTGTCACCCAGGCTGGAGTGCAGTGGTGTGATCTTGGCTCACTGCAACCTCCACTTGCTGGGTTCAAGTGATTCTCCTGCCTCAGCCTCTCGAGCAGCTGGGACTACAGGCAAGCGCCCCATACCTGGCTAATTTTTTTTTTTAGTAGCGATAGGGTTTCACCATGTTGACCAGGCTGTTCTTGTACTTCTGACCTCAAGTGATCCACCTGCCTTGGTTTCCCAATGTGCTGGGATTACAGGTGTGAACCGCTGAGCCCAGCCCATCTACACTAGTTTTCCTCCTCCTCTTCTAATGGTTAAAAGCGTGACAAGTGGAAAATAGTATATCATTATTGTATTTTTATTGTTAGTAAGGCTAAGTATAGTTCTTGTGTTGGTTGGCATTCGTGTTTCTCCTTTAGCAAAATGGTATTTATTCATTTAGTCAGCTGACAGATGTTTAGAAGAACTATCTCTGTGTCAGAAACTCCTTTCTGTGCACTGAAGAGCTAGCTGTGAACCAGCAACAAAGATTCCACTCTCCTAGAGCTACTATTTTTGTGGCAGGAAATAGACAGTAAACAAATCAATAAATGAGATAATTTTAGATTTTGTTGAGTGCTATGCAGGAAGAAAACATATGTTAGAGTTGGGGTCAGCAAACTACAGCCTATGAGCTATATCTGGTGACTGCCTGTTTTATAAATAAAGTTTTATTGGACACAGCCTTGTTAATTCATTTACTTATGATCTATAGTTGCTTTCACACTACAAAAGCAGAGTTGGGTAATTTTGGCAGAGACTGTATGGCCTACAAAGCCTAACTTATTTATTACGTCACCCTTTACAGAAAAGGTTTGCTGGTCCCTGTGACAGAGAGTGACAGGGAATGGGGTCACAGCTTAGATAGGGTGGTCAGGGAAGACTGAAGACTTCTCTGAGGAAGTGACATTTGAAGTAAGACCTGAAATATTATACTGTATTTTTCCCATTAGCTCATTAGCTTCCTGGGGTCAGAGGTGATGCTATCTTCATCTGTGAGTTCTTACAGTGCCTTGTACACCACATCTCTTGGTCACTGGTTCTTGAGTTGAATTGAATTTCCTTTCATTTTGAACATCTGAAATTTAATCTTTGCTTCACTTATTCATTTGGCCATTTATGTCCTTTTCCCACTTTTTAAACAGGGAACTTAATTGTTTATTATGGAAATGTATAGACTTACTGTGGTAAACCACTGATAATAAAATCAAGCTTAAGTCTAATTTTGGATAAATTGTGGTTAAAAATAGGTCTCATCTTGAATTGTAACTCCCACAATTCCCGTGTTTCATGAGAGGAACCCAGTGGGAGGTAATTGAATCATAGGGGCAGTTCTTTCCCATGCTGTTCTCCTGATAGTGAATAAGTCTCATGAGATCTGATGGTTTTAAAAATGGGAGTTTCCCTGCATGAGCTCTCTCTCTTTGCCTGCTGTCATCCATGTAAGACATGACTTGCTCCTCCTTGCCTTCCACCATGATTGTGAGGCCTCTCAGCCACATGGAACTATAAGTGCTTTAAAGCTTTTTCTTTTGTAAAAAAAAAAAATATATATATATATAGGTTATAAAAAAGAATTTGTTATAATAAAATATACAATTTATAATGTCAATAGGCCTTGGTTTCTGACAGGTCTAGGTTGGAATCTCGGCCTTGAGTCTTGTTAGTTGTGTGAACTTGGGCAAGTTATTTAACTTCTCTAAGCCTCAGTTTTCTCATATGTAAAAAAGTACAAATTCCAACCTCTCACAGTTGTTGTGAAGATTAAAGTAGATAATATATTTTCAGTATTTGTCATAAGGCCTAGTAAAAATAATTGTTTAGGAAATATTAGCTATATAATAATAATCATCATCATTATTATCATCATCCCCACTATGGTTTTACCCTCCATGTGTGAATTATTCATCCCCTAGTCAACTAGTTTTAAGAATAATTTTAGAATCCAAGTTTGTTTTGAAATATTTATAGAAAAGGAGAGGACAAATGTTAAAGGTAGTATTTTCTTTGTCTGTAATTTGGATTATTGTTGAATCCTGTAAGAATTAGGTCTATATTGCAGGATCCCAACATGAGATCCTAGTGGTGAAAGCACTGCCCATCCAAGATGGAAGATGGCTTCCAGCTAACTTCCACTGAAAATAAGACTCACCAACAGTACTGGGATAGTAAATGGTTAGGCAAATGAAATTACATGCCTTCATGGAGCTGTTTTTGTCACTAGCAGAAGATCTTGCTGTGCAATTTGGTTCCTTACTGAACACACCTATTACAAATTACCTTTGCCTATGTTAACTCTTCCTAATTAAAATAAATATTGACATGCACAGCTTGTGACAAAAAGAAACTGAGAATAGCAGAAAGATGAAGGAAGGGAACGAGTGCCCCATGCTTTCCTTCTTAGTGATTAATCATGGAATGTCAATAACCATTACATATGATTTCTGGTGAGGCAGCAATAAAAAGAATTTTTAATTGCCTGTGTAGGTTCAAATTGTTGCAGTTTCTAAGTTGTCAGGTAGGATTCAAACATGATGCTAAAAATATTCTTGTTCTCACGGTGACTGACCATGGAATGGGCTAAGTTCTTTAATAGAATCTCACATCTGTCAGTAATTATTGACCACCAGCTACGTATAGAACATTGGTATAGATACTTTTGTTGCTGCAAAGGCAGTGTAGATTAAAGTTCCTGTAGTTAGCAAAATGAAATAGTTTCATATTGGTTCACATGATACAGATAAATTTGCCTAATCAATTACACACGCGTACGTGTGTGTGTGTGTGTGTGTGTGTGTGTGTGTGTGTGATTTGAATGAACTAGAGTCATACAGAATCAGTATGGAGAGGAGGTTCCTAGGAGCAGATCATGATTTGAAAGTGGAAAATGTTATCCTAGGTCAAGATATCAGATGTATTATATAAGGAGATTGCAAAGCAGTTTTTCTTGGCTGCTTGGGTTTGGTAGGATTTTCTTTTTTAGTTCAAGATTTTTAGCCAGACCTAGCATAGTGCCTGATAAACAATAATGATAATAGTCATGAAAATGCAAATATTTCTACTGCTAGTAGTAATATTAATAGTTAATATTAAATACTTATTGAGCACATGGCATGTGCAGACATTATTTTAAATAATTTAATATTTTAAATATTTAATATGACAAGAGCCCTATGACATTGGTTACCATTATTATCCTTGTTTTAGAGATGAGGACACTGATACATAGGAAAATTTAGCAGAATGTGCAAGGTCTCACAGCTTGATAAAAGTAGAAGGCAGGAGTCAAATATGGGTCTGCTTAACTCTACACTTCTAACTAGACTACACTCAGTAGGTGTTTTACTAGAATAGTGGGAGCAGACACTGCAGGGAGTTGAGGAGTAAATAAGGGGTGAGAAAGTAGGGGTGAGAAAGTGAAGGTTGAAAGTGTAGATTAGTCTTTAAGAAGATTCGAGAGGGTAAGAAAACAGCTAGAGAGAGACACAGTCATGGGAGGGTGTTAGGATATTAGCGGTCAAGGGAGGCTGTTAGTGTTATGGGATCTTTGGGGTATCGGTTTTCTGGCCTGAAACCTCAGGCTAGTGGTGCCTTTGCCCAAGTTTTGCTCAGGCCCACTGAGCTTGTTCTGCCCAATGGCAGGCTGCGCTTGGCTCACGCTACTGACCTGGATCCCATGCCTGCCAAGGGCAAGTCAGGTGTGGAGCAGCAAGGATTGTGTGAGCAAGCATGGGGTCTGGCCACTGGCAGTCAGACATGCTGGCTGCTGCAGTGTGGCAGGCAGCTCTAGGTGCTGGCATGGGCGCCAGCTCTCTGCAAGGCTGCAGCTGGACCAGGCGAACCAGAAGCAGCTTCCTTGGTTGGCAGTGGGGAACACAGTGGTGCCCAGAAGCCTGGAGATGCCAGGAACTGCAGGATCTCAAAGAAGAAGTAACAGCCTTGGCTTGGGGATCTTCCAGGCCTGGGGTCCCAGAAGGGCCACAGCTCTTCTCTCCTTCTTTTCTCCTGCAACATGGCGAGCAAAGGTCATGTTTCAGCCTTGTTTGTGTTACAGCTTTTTTAGCCCTGCCATTCGGCAGCCCTGAGTTCTTATCCTACGACTAGGAAGAATGAGGTACACAGACAAGTGGAGGGTGAGCAAGATGAAGAGGAGCTTTATTGAGCAATAGAACAGCTCACAGGAGACCTGCAGCAGGTAGCTCCTTTCTGCAGCCAGGGTGTCCCAATGAGTGTTTAGCTCCTAGCAGAGAGGAGACCCTGGAGTGGGAAGCTCTTCTCTGCAGGCAGGTTGTCCTGTCGTCTCTGCAACTCTCAGCAGAGAGGAGGCTGTGGAGTGGGTTGCTCCTCTCTGTAGGCAGGTTGGTCTGATGTTTGCAGCTTTCAGCAGAGAATA